>NC_000008.11:70927265-71552265 GCF_000001405.40 Homo sapiens | reverse complement strand
GAGTAATCATATTCCCCAAAAGCACTTGCTAAATATCATCTCTTTGTAAACGTCAGCTCACAAATGGATATGGCAATAAGTAGAATAATCTGGATAAAAGTAAATTGAAAGTTTAGGAAAGCTCCACCTATAACAGTTGACAACAAAAAGCATATATACAGACATATATATGTATGACAACAAAAACATATAGACATGTATGTATACATATTATGTCAAGAGAAAAAAGTGATAAAATAAAAATTAGATAAATTAAGTTAAACATGCAGAAACACTTTATTTCAATAACTTTGATTCACTAAAAGGAAATGTTCAACAGGACAGGTTTTCCTTTTTAATTAATTAAATATACAGTAAAGTTTAGCATAGTAATTATTTATGAGACATAGGTAAAACATTATTTGAAAACTAACCTTAAGTCTTTGCTTTAGTAGAAATCTGGTCAAGAATCCTAGTGTTGCATTCCTCACTTGGTCTCCTAAGCTGACAGTGAATGAAGATAAAAGTAAGCTTGTTCCCTTCATCCCAGATTCTTTCACTGCCTACCTCCCAAACCCCTGGTATAATTAAAGAATCTGGTGATGTCCTTTAGAAGTCTTGATGGGGAAATTTACTTCCTAATGTTAGCCAACAATAGCTTGTTTAGAAAACCAGTCCTAATGTAATAAGAAATTGGCTGGAAAACTCACAATTTATGGCTCATGTAATATAAACCTATCTAGTGAGTAAACTTCTCCCTAGGTTAGTTCATACATGTTTTAGGGGATCAATGTGCATATAAATTAATTTGCAGATTACAGGATATTCCAGTAGATTAAAGAGTGCATGTACTTATATAAAGGTCCTAGAGCTTAGAGATTGTATCTTTAGTCTTAGTATAACTTTTGTTGGTATTATTATTCTAGTGCCTTCAACTAATGCTCCTTAGACTGAAGAGATGCACTTTATATTGAAAGAGTTAACATAATCCCTCACCATAATAAGTGATTTAGCTAAGTGAAAGTAAAAAGCCCAGTATTGGAAACAAATGATTCATCCATTCAAAGTTTCTTTAAATTGTTTCTGTATATAAGAAAATTCCTAACTCACACCTGGGGAGTTGGCTTCACTCTAAGCTGTTCCCACATGGTCCAGTCTTCTCTCATTGATGCTCAGGAATAGATCTTGATCTCAGTTAAAGGGTTGGATCCTCATTCTCCTTCTTAAGAATAACTCATTTTAGGTGTATTTGGAAGTTTTTCTATAGGAAAATACATTGCTAAACTAAATAATGAAGAAATTTTCAAAGTGTGTGTGTGTGTGTGTGTGTGTGAGACAATGAGACAGAGAGAAAGAGAGAATTTCTTTTGAATCAGGACTGGTCACAACATACCTAACCTGTGAGTGTAGGCAGAATATAAATGTTCAAAGAACTAGAAACTCTTGTTGATTTTTGCCCTTTGCCTTTCGTAGATCTGTATTTGAGAATATGAATAGAACCTGAGTTTAAATGCACATTTCTATCACGTGTGTTCTGTGTTTATGCCATAAGCCAGCAGATAACTCTATACTTCAGCAATTTTTGTGCCTTCTTATGAAAAAAACCATTGTCATGTCTTTATGGTACATAATTTAGGTTAGGATAGCAGTTAGGATTAACATGTTATAATATGTAAACAGCTGAATGTTCTAAGTCCAATATAAACTAACAGATACATAATTGACTCCTTATGGCATATTTTAGTTATTCATGGAAATTCTACAGATAAATATATCTATATCTATGTCTATATCAAGATATGTATGTAAACTCAAATATAACCTCAGATGGATAATTATGAATATATGTTCTAGCCTATTTTGGCTTGGTGGTGCAAAGGACATTTAAATTTGTATTAAACATTTTATTCATACTTGTATTCATCTAAAATTTAAAAATGAAGTATACTTTAATAAAAAATAAACCCACCTCTGGTGGTATAACTCATTTGCAGGTGGTGACCCTACACCCAGGCAGGACTGTAAATCCACGCTGTTTGCCTGTGACTGATTTGGGATTTGGATTTCTGATCTGGCTGAGTGATGTGTAAAAACCTCAAGTAGTCAACAGCTCCCTATTGGCTATGCATCTGAGGGGCTCAAGAGCATTGTTTATTCCAGCAAGTGTCTGGAATACATTATACTGGATGAATTGGCTCCTGCTACTCCCGTTTTGGAGAATATGAAGAATTTTATACTGTGCTAAAATAAATGTACTTTGTGCAAATAACTTTCCTAAATAAAAAATTTTGAATATGACTCTATCTTCTGAATCCACTACTGCCAATATTTTAAACATATGGCCTTTCTGAAAGAGTAGTGATGAAATAATTCTCCACACCTTCAAATTCAGAAACTCGTTCAACATTTAGATCGGTTTTTATCCAAGGCCATATGAAAGTGGGTTTCCCTAAAAAAATAAAATGGTCAGATATTTGGGTTGAGAACTGTTCTCTCAAACTTTAAGAATACTAGGATAAAGTATCAAAATAATTCTTCTATTAATACATAAAAATTTTAGGTGATATGTTACTTCTGAACTATATAAATTGATTTTTAAAATATGATTTTCAAATAGATAGTATGCCTGCCATCTTTGACATGAGAAACTTTCATTGCCTTTGGTAAGTTCTTAGCAAATACTTATATCTGGTAGCTTTGGGTTATTTTTTCTCCCCTCCTCCCTCAAATAAAATTTTTGATCACCTAATCTTTAAGTCTCTGGATTTGCTTTTTTATGTTATAGTAATTCTTTATGAATAGGTAGAAAGCATAGGTAGTAGTTTCCTTTTCAAAAAGGAAAAGCCATCCTCATCAACTGGGTAATTTAACTAACATTTCTATTTGGGCAAGGTATTGGGGTTTTATTGGGTTAACAGTTTATTGATGCATTGATTTCTACATGAAGTCTCCCTCACCCAACATACATGGTTTATTTTGGAAAGTTTCTGTGTCTGAAAACATAAAAATATCCAACAGTTAAGGACCAAAAAAAAATCAGTCTTTGTGTAGATTTCTGATTATTTCCTGTGTGTTGGTCTTATCACAGAATCTATAATCTGTGGCCTTTGAAGGTGAAGGATTAGATCTCATTGTTCTGACTCTTCATGGCATCTAGCACAAGTCAACAAATACTCAATGACTGACAGAAACAATAGTAAAGTGTGTGAATCTAGACAATTTTGAAAGAGTATGTACAATAATACCTGCATTCATGCTATGCTTTCTACTTTCTAAGGCCCTTTTGCTTACATGATCTCATTGGATGTGAACAATTGAGTGGGGGATGGGGAAGGGATTTCATCTGAGGGAGAGAAGAGCCAACATTCTGATGCTCACTGAGAAGTGATGAGTCCTTATAAGAGCAAATCATCAAGGTATTTGCATATCTTTCACTGCTCCTGATTGGATTCCCCAGTCAAGTAAGAGGAAGATCCTGGAGAAGGAACATCTCAGATTACTGGCTTGTAATGGATGCTTCATCCAATGCTGAAATACTTTGCAGGTCGAATCAAGGTTCTCTAGCTCCCCTTAAGTTACAGAGACAAGGGAATTTTGGGGTTACAGAAACTTCCCCCTACCAGCTCAAAGCGTCCCTTGGTGCAAAGAAAGGCAAAAAGTTTAGAAGAAAGGACAATGGGTTAGGCCTGGGCATTTAGTCAAGGCTCCCCTGCCCGACTTTGGGGTAATCCATTTACCATTCTTGGCCTCAGTTACGCTATCTGTAAGAAGTTAGAATACATACCTTTAAGATCACTTCTAAAGGTATTTGAATCCCAGATGTTTTAATAAGTTTCAGGCTGACTGAATATTCCTTTACATCCAACCTACAGCCCCTCGCCCCAAATCACCAAATCACTCCACCCATCCTCCCCTTCAGGACCTCCCCATGCACACCTAGCTTCCTCGCGGTGACAGAACTAACCCACCACCCCCTCCTTCTGTTTCTGAGGCCTCTCCGTAGAAAACGCTGCAGGGGCCAGGCGTCCGAGACACCCCGCGGGGCAGTGGGCACCAGGCCCAGGCTCCGGCTGCAGAGCGGAGGGGCGTCGGGCCCAGGAAAGGGGCTGTGGGTGGGGGTACGGGGGAGACCCGAGGGGTGCTGGGAAGAGGGCTCCCCTCTCCAGCGCCAGCCCTGGTGTCGCTGTGCACTCGGAGCCGCGCGAAGGGCGCCCCTCGACCCGGAGGCACAGGAGCGTTTAGAGAGGAAAGAAAGAAAAAGCCACCGCTGGCTCGAATTTCTGGAAGCCGGAGCCGGGTTTTTTGCCCTAAACACCGAGGCAGAACCCCTCTTAGCGCTGCCCCGGCCTCTCTGTTACCCATTTTCGGTTTGCTTTTGGAAGAACCGGTTCCTCAGCCCCCCGTCGCCGCAGTTGTGACACAAGTAAGTGCAGCCGCGCTGCCCGGGGCCCGCCAGGGTCCCCCGCGCCCGCTCCCCACCGTGGCTCGCGGCGGCCGCGCTCCCGCCCCGCCCCGCTCGGCCGCCCCGCCGGCTTCTGCCTCCAGTTGGGTTGCCGTGACGAGGAGACGTTGTTGTGAAACTAAATCTGACCCTGAGTTCCCAGGCGGCGGCCGAGAGCCCGCGGCTGCTGATGCCCCTGGGCCCCACCCCGGGGCAGGAGGGCGGCGATCGGCGCCCGGGAAGCGGCTGAGGGGCGCCGCGACTCTCAGCGAGCGCCGCCCGAGCCCCAGCCCGCCCGGGCAGCCTCCGAGGCCTAGGGCGCCGCCGCCAGGTACGCGAAAGTCACCTGGAAGGGAGCTGGGTGCGCGCAATAATGGGGCCTTGAGCCGTGGCCGGCAGGGGAGAGGTGCAGCCGCCCAAGGCCCGTGGCGTCGGGCGCTGCACGTGGAGGGATGTGTCAAGGGCCGGTTTGTTTTCCTTCGGGGAGGTGGTAACTGATTGGGACGTCGGGGGACGGAGGGGAGGGTCCTCTTGGCCTGATATGATGTTGTGATTGCCATCTTAGACATGTGCGTGAGCTCGAAGCTCCAGTAATGGGAAACATCTGGAGGGCAGCCCAGGCAGGCAGATACTTAGTTTTAGCGCTTTCTGGCCCAGGCCTTTCCTTTGGCCAAAAGTGGTTTGATTGGTCCAAGTCAAAGAGGCGAGTTAAAAGAAGTAGAGGTAAATTGGAGGGGTCTGCTTTCGGAGAATTATTATTTCTGTGAATAATTAGGAAAGCAAAGAAAAATAAACAAGATCTCTGCTTTTATGAGGGTTGGGGACGGGTGGGTGGGAATAATGCCCGCTGTGTAAACACTTTTCATCGTTTTCTTTATGGTAATTAAGGCCCACCAGACTTTTGTTGTTGTGGTAGCAAGACCGACTAATGCTAGGTAGGTAAATCATCTCATAAAAGTGAAGGCTTCTTTAAAAAATTCCAGTGGGAGAGTGACTGAAATGTGTCATGAAGCGTGAATTGATTATATATTCAAAAGAATCGGGCCAGGCGTTGTGGCTCACGCTTGTAATCCCAGCACTGTGGGAGGCCCAGGAGGGCAGACTGCCTGAGGTCAGGAGTTTGAGACCAGTCTGGCCAACATGGTGAAGCCCCGTCTCTACTAAAAATACACAAAAATTAGCCAGGCGTGGTGGCTGGCGCCTGTAATCCCAGCTACTCGGGAGGCTGAGGCAGGGGAATTGTCTGAACCAGGGAGGTTGGAGGTTGCAGTGAGCCGAGATTGCGCCACTGCAGTCTAGCCTGGGCGACAGAGCGTTCAAAAAAAAAAAAAAAATAAGAATCAGTAGAAAGTGTCTACTAAGCACAGAGGATCCTGGCTATGAGTGCAAAGTGCAGGAATAATGTAACAGCAGGATGTCCATGTTGGTCAATGAAGGCATTCTTCCATTTTGTTCAGAGACACCAACACCTTCAATGTCCTGGGTCTCTCCTTTGAGTTGTTCATTCAGCTACTATTGGAAAATGTGCATTGTACCAGACATTTTGTTACATGGATAAAAATTGTTTCTGCATTGAAAGAGCAAGCAGTCTGATGGACAATTGTGATCCAATGTGACTGGTACTCGGATGGGGAAAAAAATAGGTGTGCAAGGCTTCCTGGCGGAGTGGCTTGAATGAGACTTGGAGACCAGGTAGGACTCTGGGTGGAAGGGGCATTGGCCAGGTGGAGAGTTGTTGGCACTAGGGGCATCTGGAGTAGTCTGGGGTAGCTGCAGGTGAGCAGGAGAGACCTAGGGTAGACACTGATGTGCTGGGATGGTATCTGGGGCTAGGTTTGAACAGGGATGGATGTCAGACAAAATGAAACTAAATTAGACCTGTTCCTTGATCAAGAGAGAGCACAGTGTAACTTGTGTCACCATTTGGAATTTGTGAAGGCCTTGCAGAGAAAGCAGAGAAAAGTGCGAATTAAGATAGGGAAAAAAGGCCGGGCACAGTGGCTCACACCTGTAATCCCATCACTTTGGGAGGTGGAGGTGGGCGGATTACGAGGTCAGGAGATCGAGACCATCCTGGCTAACGGGTGAAACCCTGCCACTACTAAAAATACAAAAAATTAGCTGGGCGTGGTGGTGGGCGCCTATAATCCCAGCTACTTGGGAGGCTGAGGCAAGAGAATGGCGTGAACCGGGGAGGCAGAGCTTGCAGTGAGCCGAGATCGCCCCACTGCACTCCAGCCTGGGCGACAGAGCGAGACTCCATCTCAAAAAAAAAAAAAAAAAAAAAGGAACAAAATAAGAACGATGAAAAAAATCTAATAGTGGAGTTATTTAGCCTATAAAAAAGTCGAGATGTATACAAAAGATAATTAGAGAGAGAGGTGTTATAATAACAGTATTGATTTACTAATTGTTATCTTAGTAACCTGAAATGCAATGCCTGAAAGTGTCTAATTTTTCTTAGAAAATTGACTTACGTGATCTAGCTGTTTCTTTTTGGATATAAAAAGTAGACAACTGAGTATATTGCATTATGGTTTTATGACCTTTTATCCTTTATGAAGTGCTTATACACTCACAGTTATTTATTGAGCATGTACTATGTGTAGGGTGCATCGTCAGTATTTTCCATCCTATTAGATGGCATTAATGCCATTGTACTGATGAAAAAGCAGGTTCAGACTGGTTAATATTTCCAAGATTATAGAGTTGATAAGTGCCAGAGTTACAGACTCAAATCCCTACCCTCCTGCACTGAGTTTTCAGTCTACCCTTTTACTCATCCAGACTGGCTCTGCTTTTAGCTTTCTCCCATTCATCATTTCTATCTGTGACTTGAAAGAAGAAAGCTAAAGTGATGATTTTTAGGTTGGCATATTACACAAGGCTGGAATGGATATCCCTGTCATTGGCTCATGGAATCATGAGTCAAAGAGAATCTGAGTGAGCCTGAATGATAGGCAGAAACTAGCAAGATGAGAATTTCACAGAAATGAATCAGTTTCCCAAATATAGAACAGCAGAATTACGACTTGAAAACAGGCCATTTGCAGAAGAATTTGAATATCCCTAAGCTCAGTAAGTGCCAATGGTGTTCAGATCCAGGGGTCATTGACCAACAGGTAGGTCCTTTGGAGGGGGATCAGAAAGTTAAGTAAGTAACTCATTTAAAAAAGATGTACAGTCAGGTTTCAATCCTAGAGAGCAGAGCCTTTAGGAAAGATTGTAATCTTCAAATATTTCAAGGATCATTTTGTATAGGAGGATGTTGAAATATTGTGTTGGTGCAGAAGAAAAATTGACCTTAGAGAAGAGGGCTTTGATGATTCTATTTCAGCTTAGTATAAGGAAAAGCCTCCTAAAGACTAAACTTTCCGGTGCTGGACTACGTGGCTTAACAAACTTGTCCAGAGCTGGAAGGTTAGTCTTTCAGAAGCTTTCAGGAGGTGAGTTTCTGTTCCCAGAAGTATTCATGCAGAAGCAGATTGGCTATCTGCCAAGGATGTTTCGGATGATTCCTGCCCTAGATAGAAATTTGAATTCCCTGACTTCCTTCTGTGACCCCATCACAACATCCTTTGCCATGTATATTTCTATCACCTTATACCACCCATTAACTCTTTTCTCATAGTATTGAGGGGAGACCGATTTCTTGAACCTTTCTAGCTTTGCTCTAATATGAGTTGCCCTTTGGTTTTAAGGAAAGGAAAGAGTGAAAGTCAAAGAAACCCTGAGTCAGTGCCTCTTTTCTGACAGCTTAATGATTTCTCCATTACTGTCTTTTTATTTTTCTTTTTTTGGCCCCTGAGACTGCAGTCCTGCAGTCTGATTCCATCAGGCAATCCTTACTCTGGTCAAGAAGCAATGAAAAGTAAGAGTCAGCATCCAGGAAATGAGGGAACTGCTTTGCTAAACTTGAGTTGTGGTTGTCACAGGTTGGAGATGGGTGTTGGAGTAGAGCAGGAGGGCATTTATTTTCTCATTCCTGATTAAATACTAAAAAAATTAATGCTGTGGGATCATATCAATTACTGACATATCAATTGAATCTTAATATTAAAGAACATTATATGTTTCCTAATCCTCATCTCTTAAAGCAAGGATATGTTTTTCAGCCCCTTCTTCATTTCTACACCTAAAAATGAATATTGTTGGATGTTGAACTATATAATTTACTCAAGTAGGAATAAATCTCACCTGCATTTGAGAGGGATATTGGTGGATAAACAGCTAAAAAGAGATCAGCACTAACATCATGTTTAATTTAGAGGGGCAAAGGCTAGATATTATACCCAGTGAAGAAGGCAGTCACCATCTATCAGAAACTAAACTATAGTTTCTTACCTCCTTGATGGTACTGGGAAAAAAAGGTTGATAATTTTAGGAATGTAAGTCGTGGCATATTTTTAAAACTCAACTTTGTTAAGCTTACAGCTCAATGAATTTTGACAATCATGTACACCCATGTAAACACTACCCTTGAGATACAGTACACTTTCAATACCCCAAAAAGTTCCCTCAGGCCACTCTGCAGTTCATCACCCCCCAACCTCTGCTCCAGGTAACCACTGTTTGCTTTCCATCATGGACAAGTTGTTGTGGTATATTTTTAACATATTAGGAGGTGTTTGGTGGTAGATCTTTCTAGATAAAAGTAAAGGATAAATGTAAAACCCAAAACTATAAAAACCCTGGAAGACAACCTAGGCAACACCATTCTGGACATATGAAGGGGCAAAGATTTCATGAGGAAGACACCAAAAGCAATTGCAACAAAAGCAACAAGTGGGATCTAGAGAGCTTCTGCACAGCAAAGGAAACTGTCAACAGAGTGAACAGACAATCTACAGAATGGGAAAAAAATGTCTGCAAACTATGAATCTGACAAAAGTCTAATATCCAGCATCTATAAGGAACTTAAACAAATTTACAAGAAAAAAAACCCCATTAAAAAGTGGGCAAAGGACATGAACAGACACTTTCCAAAGACATACATGTAGCCAAAAATCATATGAAGAAAAGCTCAACATCATTGATCATTAGAGAAATGCAAGTCAAAACCACAATGAGATACCATCTCATACCAGTCAGATGGTTATTATTAAAAAGTCAGAAAATAACGAATGCTGGTGAGGTTGCAGAGAAAAAGGAATGCTTATACTCTGTAGGTGGGAATATAAATGAGTTCAACCATTGTGGAAGACAGTGTGGCAATTCCTCAAAGACTGAAAAACAGAAATACCATTTGACCCAGGAATCCCATTACTGGGAATATACCCAAGAGAATGTAAATCGTTCTATTTTAAAGACACATGCACGTGTATGTTCAGTGCAGCACTATTTACAATAGCAAAGACATGAAATCAACATAAATTCCCATCAGTGGTAGACTGGATAAAGAAAATGTGATACATATACACCTTGGAATACTATGCAGCCAAGAAAAGAATAAGGTCACATCCTTTGCAATATAATGGAGCTGGAGGCCATTATACTTAGCAAACTAAGGCAGAAACAGAAAACCAAATAGTGCATGTTCTCACTTGTAAGTGGGTGCTGAATGATAAGAACACATGGATACATAAAGGGGAACAACACACCCTGGAGTCTATCGGAGGGTGAAGGGTGGTAGGAGAGAGAAGATCAGGAAAAATGACTGATGGGTACTAGGCTTAATACCTAGGTGATGAAATAAGTACAACAAACCCCCATGACACAGATTTACCTATATAACAAACCTGCACATATAGCCCTAAATTTAAAGTTTAAAAAAGTAAAGGAGTAGATATTTTGTATCTCTTCTCCTTTTGAATAAAGTAAGAAAATTCATCATTTAGGTGTAGTCATTAATTTGGACAGCAAAAATAATAACTGAGTGGAGCCAGTTTTGTTTGCTGCCAGTTGTTTGCAGCTTGTTATTTTAAAACTGATCCTGTAGACTTAGTAGGCTGAGAAGCTGTTTCTGTGATATATTGTATCAAAACAACGTTTGAAGAAGACTAGCAATGCCCTAAATTCAGTGCATGCAGCAGAATCAATATATCACCCTAGTAAAATTGCAAAGCTTCCTATGTGCAATTAGATTATGTTTTAAATGATTTTCTTTTGATTGCCTGAATTTCCTCGTTACAAACAGGCTTTATAGGACTGTGGTTCTCAAGCTGTGTACATACCACTTTCTCAAATCCCTTATGGGTGTGCCATCAATCATAATCAATTGTCACTTATTTAGAGTTTTCTTAATGTTGTTCACATAGTAAGTACTATATTAAAATAATTTGTAGGTTTAATGTTCTTGAAAATATAGATTGAATTCAATTTTCCTTACCAAATAAGCATGTCATCATTCTAATTAGCATCAGTTCATTTGACTTTCTACTTGCCTTGCATTTTTCATCTGAAGTTAGAAGGAAGTCACATATGGTAGAAGCAGAAATTTGATCATATTTACTTTGATGCCTGTCTATTCTTTATAAACAGGCTTCATCCTTAAAACTTTAAATCAGCAGTACCAGTAAATGAGTGGAAAACCTATAAAAAGGTATTGGTGTATACATTTACTTCTGTAGAAACCACATCTACAACTAAGACTTTCACCAAGGTAGAGACCAACTTGTTTTTCATTAACATCTTCAGTGGTTGGGATATACCCCTTTTCACTGTTTGAAAGACTGATGAGTATATGGTTTCTGAGTCTGACTCATCTGAGTACACCCAATCTCTGTTTCTTTGATATAACCAAATTCCTTAGGAAGGCAAAGAAAGCACAGAAGAGGTGACAGACATGGCACCTTGTGGCTTCTGGAGCCATGAAGTAGTGAGTTGAGTAGGGCTCTGGAGGTCATTTATCCAACGGTTCATTTCACTGCAGGCTTCTGTTTGTAAATTTTCTTAGAAACCCCTTGATTTGATATGTTTATTCAATCTGCAGTTGTAGTCTTCTGGGGACTTATTTCAGAATAGCCCTTTTCTTTTCTGTAAAGCAATGTTCAGTCACTAGTTTCCTTCTGCTTCTCAGGAATGTTAGAAAACTCAACACTTGGTGAGAAGGCAAAGAGTAAAGTGATGGTGTGTTGTAATGAAAATATTCTTTCATCCAAGGAGCCACAAGTTATTTCCAGTATCTGATGGGTCTCTGGTTCATTAGAGATGAAAAATATGGCATCCAAAATATAACCCATTTTTCAAAATCAGCAGGAAAAATTAAAATACATGTCATGTATGAAATAAAAAATAAATATTGTTTTCTTCCCAAGCATATTACCTCCCACTCCCAGACCCACCCTATTTTTCTTCAACCTGGGAAGTCTGTCCCCATGGCCTGCCTGGCTTGACCCTTTCTCTGTCTGCTTCATGTCACCATAATCTACACTTTTTCCAACTTTTCTTCTCCCAATCTTTTGTTCTAAAAATAGCCAGGATGTTTGTGATGAGCTAGAACTAAAATAATAATAAGATAAGGTTTACCTGTACAATGGGGTGCTATTGCTTATTTTGTCAATTGCCTGGCTTTAGCTGATGGAGAGAATAAGAATGATGGGTCTGTATAGAGTGAATATGGATTTAACTGAACCTGGGAAAACTTTAAGCTCAGATCTCTTGCATATTTTTTTTCTTTTCTAAGGAGTAGGGGTTGTTTGTAGAATTGGGAAGAAAGATTGGCAGCCCAGGGAGAGTTTAAATTATGGCAGGAATGCACAGAATAGATTTTTTTTTATTTTATGTACTTTAAAGTTTCTGTGTTTAAAGCTATTCTGTATTTTGAAAATTAATAGGCTTATGGATTGCAATAGGGCATAAAATATCACTTCCAAATATGCACCTCTGAACTCTTAGCAGTATAATTACAATGTCATCACCAGTGGCCCAACTTCCCAAGGCTTCTGGGCTCCCAAGGGGGATTTTATATGTTTGCAAATGTTTGTCAGATTATAGTCTCAATTTAATGTTTTCTGCAGAGTCTGTTAGATCAGTACCTAAATCTAACATTTATTGCCATAGTTTATTTGCTAGGATGTGTACACTGATTTCAACTCCTTTCCACTCCACTCTCCCTAGAGTGGCAAATATAAGACACTTCCTAAAACTTCCATTATTCCTGTATCAGGTGAGGCTACCTAACAAAATTAGCTTTTCATTAACAGTCCAAAATCTTGCTTTCTAAAGCATCCCCTTCATTCATGGTCAGCAAAGACCATGACTGAGTTCTCCTCCACCACTTTCCTTAGCTGGGTTTCTTTGAGGGTAGGACTGAAGAAGGCATAGTTCCCTAAGGTGTTCGAAAGATCAATTCAAATGTGGCCATCACTCCTGTTTCCTTGTTGTCTGGGAGGCCTTCTGCTGTTCCTCATGCCACCTGCCCATTCTGCTCAGCAACAGATGCCCATGCAAGCATCTGGCTTGGTACTGTGAATGTCAGTCAGGCGCTCTACCACCTGGAGCTGTGGGTGCCCCTACCCTGTCTCCTGTGTGTTGTGGTGGCCTTGGAAGGGGCTGCATGCCACTCTCTGCTCTTCTTAGATGGTCTCATACAGCTACAAAATATGGAGAGTCAGGCTATCATTAAATGCATCTCCAGCCTAACACTATGCAGCTTTTTCTCAATTTTTTTTTTGGTTGACCCTTTTTTTCTACTTAAGGAGTTGATGCAGTACATTTCAGGAAGAGGCTTTTCCTCTATGCTTAGGGTGAATAGCTAACCCAGAATGTTAGACTTGGTAGACAGGGCCCTAGATGCCTCTTAGTCCTTGTCTTTTTATGAAGGAAAATTTCACTTCAGGGGTGAATAGAAGGGTAGGATTCCACTGTGTACAACTCCAAGGGGCACCCCTCCTCTGGAGGGCACCATCATAATTGACTCAAAAGTGCGTAAATAAAGGATTTGGCCATTTAGGGTAGATGCACAAGTGAGTGATTAACCCAGTTCCCTGCTTTTACAAGGTGTTGGGGATGGTTGGTAATGGCCACCACACTTATGGCACCTGTCTGTAGGGACACCTCTGACACCAAGGCACCTGCCTCTGGTACTCCACACATCTCCCCAAACAAATGTCATTCCACTAATCCTCCATCAGTGTTTCCCCCTAATCTATACCTAGATTAGCCTACCTGGATAGTCTTCTACTCCTTTTCTAGAAACCACTCCTAGGTTTATACAAAGCCTCTAAGAAGTTCACCTCTAAGTTCACCTCTATATATGTTTATATGTAGGTCTGTACAGTTTTGTGACTAGTTGCTCTCTATGTGTGTAGATAGGCAGGCAAGTAGGTGGATAGGTAAACATCAAGTCACCAGTTTTGCTTAAGCCTGTTTCTTAGGATATTTGAAATAAAGCTCAGGACCAGAAATTTTGTGGATGCTTTCTAGTTGATTGAATGATAGCACCACCATTTAACTGTCTACTTAATTCTAGCTCAGAGTTTACAAGTATTCAAAAGTTGTATCAACAACATTCATTCATTTATTCATTTTATTCATTCATTCAAAATATTTAATTAGTGCCATATGTGACTAGAACCAGAGAGTAAGGCATGGTTCTGTCTCTCTTGGAGCTACAGTCTAGCGGGGGAGACAGGTAGAGAAATAATTGCAATTCCACTAGATGAGTGCTATAATGGAGACAGGCTTATTTATAAACCATGAAAGATCAAGTCCAGCAAGGGAATTAAAGGTTTACCAGAGCCAGGCTCCTAAATATCAGTAGACCCAGTCATGTCATATATTTCATGGTTTGGATTGACATGTAGAAATCTGGAAACAACTATACTGATTTAGCAAGCACTGGAGGATTTGTAAATAAAGTCCACGGCTCGCTGTGATTTTTTGATTTTTGAGTGGTAGTCTTTTTACTGGAGGCATCTACCTGAAGTCGATGAATGCTGACTGTTTTGACTTCTCAATAATCTGTCTTTTCTTTTTAGCCCAGGAAACAATAACAAACATGAAATTTAGTACAGAATAGTTTCATCTTCAGCAGAAATAAAATTACAAATGAAATACCTTTCATGCTCATGTAACTTGACCATTCTTAATACCTTAAACTGTTCAGTAAGTTCAATATGGAAATATGGGAAAGAAACACATGGAAAATAATCCTGGAATATCAAATATACAGATTTTGATTGAAACGTGTTCACAAGACAGGTATGGAAAGGATGGGAATTTATGGGAAATCAGAGGGGGCTTTGTCTTAGACCTGCTCCCTTCTGTGAGGAATGAGACTGGGCTTTGTCTTACCTCTTATAGGTACACTGTGGGCAATTTGTGTGAAAGCACTTGGTAAACTGTAAAGCATTTTACCAATGTAAGGCAGGATTATTATCATTATTTTAAAATCCCACCTTGGTGCCTGGAACAGTTAATGTGCCTCCTAAGAGTAACTTAAGCAATGAAAACAGTCTAGGATATTCTGTAGTATCTCTTCCCTAATTATGCAAGGAATCCTCTAAAAGCAATGCTGTTGAGTTTTAAGATTCTGTTCTGCAGTTGAGTACAATTCAAAATAAAGTGTTATATTTTCTTGGTGTGACATAGCATGAATACATTCATATGATTTTTATTTACTCACAACTTGACATTATGAAATTGTTTCTTGTTAAAATTACAAAAACATAGTGCTTTAATATGGCTTGTCTAAATTTTAAGAATCTAGTTATTTATGTTTTATGTTGTCCAAAAAGCATCAACTTTATGTTGACAGTGGATTGGGCATACATTTGCAGCATTGATAATGTTGAGCAAAACAAACAAGTGACAATTCTCCTAAGACTTCAAAATTACTTCTTAAATAAACCATGCTTGGAATATTTTACCTGAAAATTATGTGTGAAATACATAGACTCATTACATTACAAAATATGAAATAGTTGTGTAAAATATAAAGCTGCAAGATATTCATTTAAAATTTCTCATTTTCCAGATTAGAGTACTAAGGTTCAGATAGCTTATGTTATTCACATGAGATCATTCAGCTGTTTAGTGGCAGAGTCAGAACCTGAATTGAAATCTCTTGACTTCCACTATAGTAGCTTTCCTAATATGTGAGCATGTAGAAATTCAAGTACTTTTATAAAAAGTGATACTGAAGTTACACTACTACATGTTCTCTGTTGTGTAATTTTATCGTGGTAATACTAAGATTGCATTTTACTCTTTTTGCTTAAAATTACATGTGCTGCATTAGTGTTTATGTGAGAGGTAGAATAATTGCTCAGTTGCCAAGCTCAAGCAAGAAAGCCTGAGAGTATCTTTTGAGTACCTCATTTGAGCATGAGCACAAAAATTAATTCTGAACATTAGGAAATTAGAATGGCATTTAAATTGCTATATTTTTTTTTGAAGATAGCTACATGTAGAATATATTTGAAAATACCACATTTACTGTCCATGTTTTGAAGCATCCCCCAAACCATTCTTCCTGAAGGTGTTGAGTCTGAAGGTGCAGACTTGATCATCCGTGAAACTGTGACCTAATGTAAACTTGCTAAGAAATAGTATAATAATATCCTTGCCCTAAGGGTAAAACACTCAACTCTAGCTTTTTCTCTTTCATCCTTGTTCAGACTACAATCATATTTCTTTGTTAGTATTTCCTCTTTGCATTGTGGTGCAGCTGACGTTGATAGATAGCACGGAGAAACTAAATTCAAAAAGAAAAAAAAAGAAGAGAAGAAAAAAAGCTCTTGTACTGCTGGCTCAAAAATAATGTGTGCGGAAGGATCTTTAGCTGCTCCCCCTGCCTCCCTACCATCCTTTCTTTCCTTGGGCTGCAGCTGCTGACAGCAGACACAACTGAGCTATAATTTGGCCACATTTGGCTCATGTAAATTGTGATAAACAGTGAGCCCATAATATTTATTTTAAAGACTCATTCAGTGAAGGTAAGTGTTCTTGACTTGTGTATACATGCTGGTAAATGGAAAGCTGCAGATGTGAAGGCCAGCTCTGAATTTCATGCCACACAATTAATACAGCTGTGTGATGCTCTGTTGTTCACAGGTGCAGGGGTGTTGGAACCCTTTGAAGAAGTGTGTAGCTAATAGCCCATACATAATTCAGAAGAAGTCTTCAATGGAAGACCCCCGGGGGATAAATGGACAGTCTGTAAGTAAACAGAATGTCAGTCCTAAGGAAAGAATTATTACTTTTAAAATCATCATGGCATTTTTATTGTAACCCGAGTATCTGGAAGATTGTCAAAAGCTCTGTACCAATGTACCAATTTTTAATGATTTTGAAGGTTATGAATTAAGTAGTACACTGTTTCATCAGCCTAACCTAATTTATATCTTTTCTCAGAGGTATCAGTTATCAAAAGTAGAGTCATACTGGAAAAACCTAACCTTTAGTATTATGTAATTATCCCAATATGCATAAGATAATTTTTAGGCTTACAGTTTCTTTGCCTCAGGGAAAGCATATATTTGCCTCTTAAAACTTAAATTAATGTCAATTTTTTGGATTCTTTTACATGTATTTGTTTTATGAATATACCTGTGTGTATGTGTCTTCAAAATAGGTTTTTAGTGAAGAAGTTTCACAGTTTGATGAACTCTTGAATGGGCTTTAAAATAAGAGAGACTTAGGTTATATTTTATTTGTTGATTTGTGAGCAGAAGAGAAAGGGTTCGCAGATTTTCTACAGGTTTGTATCAGGAAGAAAGAAAGCTACCTTTGGTTCATAAATGAATATTCCCAATTAGGGGTCATCTTACAAATAACCTTTGAGTTATTTAGAACTTGAATAATTCAATGAATTTTAATTTAAAAAAAAGCATATTTCAGTAAGTTAAAGTTGTTTTCTCGGAAAATTTCCATAGCAACATTTAGGGCAGCATCCATGACTTTACACTGTAAGTCCCCTGGTCAGATACAATGCTTTCAGACATGTGATTTCATAGCTCAGCTTTATTCACAGTAGAATTCTTTTTTTTTTTTTTTTTAGCTTTCATTTCTTTTTTAATATTTTGTTATTTAGTTTAAGTTCTGGGATACATGTGCAGAACGTGCAGGTTACATAAGTATATGTGCAACATGGTGGTTTGCTGCTCCTATTGACCCATCCTCTGAATTCCTTCCCCTCACCCCCAGCCCTGCAACAGGCCCTGGTGCATGTTGTTCCCCTCCCTGTGTCCATGTGTTCTCATTGTTCAGCTCCCACTTACGAGTGAGAACATGCAGTGTTTCGTTTTCTGTTCCTGTGCTAGTTGGCTGAGGATGATGGCTTCCAGCCTCATCCATGTCCCTGAAGCATGATCTTTAGTAACACTGTTGTGTTTCCTTTAAATGTATGTTTTACAAGACCTGTTGGTGTTATGCAATAAGCAGGAACTGCTATTGGATGGGAATTTTAATAACAAATGGTCAAGTGCTATGAAGGTATCTTCACAGTCACACTGTATGCAATTACAGAGTGTATTTTATGGATATTCTAAGTCAACTTGTGAGATAATTCACATAAAGCACTTTGAGATCACTTCGTATCATGTAGCTTTTACCCTAAACAGAAAACGAATTCAACCCATTTAATTCATTTGTTTGTTTGTTTAAACTCCTATGTTGGGTCTGTGATATTTGAATTTATTATGTTAAAATACTTTTGTAGCTCATATAAAATTAATGAAAAATAAACTCATTAATAACTTCTTACTGCCACCTTTTATGAACTCTGCTCCCTAGATGGAGGCAAGTTGATACACTGGAGAATCACCAACTAATTTAATAATATCTGCAAAGAAATACTGCCAATAATGTTTCTTTTGATACCTTGTATTATGCAAATTCTAATTTAAGACAGAAGATATTAAGTAAGATTTGAGACTAAAATAACAAATAGGTAAGAAATGTAAAGATTAAAAGAATTTATTTTGGCCATCATAATAAAAGATATATGAGAGGGCAATCTAATTGCATCTCATTTTGTCCTGTTTTTATTATGTGAGAGTGAAGCATTTTCAGTCTTGAAAGGTATTTGGCTATCTCAGAGGTACAGAACAAGGAAGGGGTATTTCTCATAGGCAAACACTGTGTGGCACTGATTGGAGAATCTGTGTCCTGGCAATTTGGCAGCTGACTGCTCAGCCAGGAGGTGTCACAATCTCTTCAGAGGCCTCGTGTGAGGACTTGGGTGAGCTCCTCGGGCTTCCTTTGGCTCTCAGGTTACTCCTTTGCTTTAGGAAGTGGGGGAGAGAGGCTCAAGATGGGAAGAGGACCTAGAACATAGCTAAAAACATTAAGGTAACTCAAGAATATAAAGAATTTAAAGGTGGTTGCGCTACTGTACTCTAGCCTGGGCGACACACCCAAGGCCCTGTCTCCTTAAGGAATTGAAAAGAGTCCTGGACCAGTATCCCAAGTGCTCACACTTCCAAATATGATTGAACATTCCCTTGCTCATCACATTCATCTTTCACAAGTTTATGTCACAAAAAGTTTCAGCCATATTTAGAGTAAATCCCTGTGCCCACTTCAACAGTTAACAGCATTTGGCCATTCTCATTCCATCTTCCCCCCACCTACTCGTCATACCACCACTGAAAGATTGCTGTTTTTCTTTACAGTTTTTTAAGATAAAATGTATATGGATTAAAAGGCACAAGTCTTAACTGCCCCATTGTGACAAATGGATGTAGCCGTGTAACCTACACCTTGTGTCATAAATTGGAAGAGCTCCATCTTCCCAGAAAGCCCTCTTGGACCCTTCACACTCAGTACTTCCCCAGTACTCATCCTCTCACCCCACAGGCAACCGCTGTTCTAATTGTTTCCACTTTGCATCAGTTTTGCCTGTTCTAAAAGTTCATGCAAATGGAATCCTCAGTGTGTTTCTGGCTTCTTTCACCTAGGACCATGTCTGTGAGAGTCATCAGTGATGTTGCACATGTCCGTAGGTTATTCTTTTTTATGGATGAGTTGTATCCATTGTGTCCATGATATATTCTTTTAAAAATATATTAAGTATATTCCAAATACTTCTCTGGGGACCTTGATTTTTGCATCTGTAAAATGAGAGAAGTAAAATCCATATAACCTAAGGTCCTTTCCAGCTTTATTATTTTGTACCTCTTTCTTACACTCTGTAGCCCTTTGCTCACAGAATTACACCTGCTAATGGTGCATTCTGGATTGTGCCTTTTCTAGTAAGGTTGAAATACTTGCCTCCCTACGCATATTTCTGATAGGAATCGGACCTTTGATCTTTTCAGAAAGATGATATTAAAGACAAAATAATACTTCTTGAAAGTTTTTTCACACAATGCTAGCTTACAAAGCATATTTGTAACTCTCAACATGTGCTATTATTAGTATAATATTATGAATCTTTATTGCTTTTGTAAACAACAATTCTTTCTCAAGTCTCAATGGTTCTTTCTCTACTACATAGATACATATGTGACAAGATCAAAAGAGAAGGTGGCGATGCCTCTTCATGTCTTTCTTTCAGCTCAGAGCTCTGGGCTGAGGAGGAGGCTGGCAATAGCTACCAGTGTAATTTTGGCTCCATGATGTCTGCAGAGCCTAGAGAGTCTCTCTCTCTGGGGGAAAGGCTAAGAGGAGCTTCCCTGTGCTTTCAGTGGATGGGAGGGTGGCAGTGCAGGGAAGCCCTTAAACAAGAGTGTGTTCATTCCAAGGGTGTGTGCATTCTTCATCTTGGTGCTGCCACTGTCATTGTGAGATTTGAAGCTAAAAATTCTGAGGGAACTGATGATACTTGAGGGAGGGGAAATAGCTAATCGTATGAACACTGAAAAGTGCAATATTCCTATCATGTAGCCTCATGACCCTAGCAGAGGTTTGGAAATGTGTCCATCCTATGATGAAAGACCATGGGCAGAGGTGAAGTTACTTCTTATTTTGATCCTATGTAGACATGACCCTGAGTAGAAACGTTAAGTCAGAAAGTCCACCTTTCTAATTCTGGAAGGTTCTGCTTATGTGTCTCCCACATTTAGGAAGAGTCAGTAACACGTGTGATTTTGTAAGTTCTACCCACTCTTCTCTTCACTTCATGAGGACATCATGGAGAGGAGGAGGTTTGTGGGCTTTCACATCATTTCTGTCATGATCTTGGCCACTCCTCTGTTTGCCTCTGAAGGGTTCCCATCTGGATGAGCACAGTTCCACGCTCTTAGCAGCCATGGCAGTGGAACTGCTGATACCTTAGTGGTTGTCCTGATCCAAGGTAAACACTGGAAACACAAGCATCAAACAGCAGAGTTATAACCGCTTCTTTCAGTTTCTTTAGTTTACTAGGATTTCTAGAAAGAAATCATGTCAAGATAAAAAAAAAAGCACATACTCACTTTTTTAAAAGTGAATTTTAAAAATATATCATTCTATTTTCCTTATGAAGTTGTGAGGGCTGCAGTTAAAAACCCACCACTCGATAACCCAAAACTTGTGTCTGAATCAAATAGAGAGAGCCTAGTTTTTTGGAAACTACATTTTAGACTTGAAGTCGTAAGACCTGGTTTTATCTTTTACTAGCTGTATGACCTGGGGCAGGTTTATAAGCATCAACCTCTTCTGCTATAAAACAGATATGATAATATTTGCCTTCTCTGATTTAAAATCACAATTTTGTAGGTCAAGTGGGATCATGGATTCAAATGTTCTTTGAAAATGAAAAGTGCAACATAACTCTAATTCACTTTTTATTGGAAACATCTCCAGAAAAATGAATAAACGACCATGAATAAAAAATTATCTGGCCACCTGCAAGTCTACAATACAATTTTAAAAATGTGACCATCACACCTGCATCAGGTATTATAAACACTAACCCTGCATATGTTTGATCATGATGTTGTCAGCTCATGCATTGGGGGGTGGAATTAGGTCTCCTAAGACTCTAAAAGGAGCATTTTGTTATAAATGGTAGATACTTAACTTACTTTTCTTTCAAAAAATTTAGATGATGATATTCTAGATCTTTGTGGACTAATTTTACTTTAGGGCTCCATTGTACTCTCATAACTGTACCTCTTGTGTCTCCCTTTAAGTTATGATAAATTTGAAGTGCTAACAGCAGCTTTTGCTGAGATGCTGGGTTTTGCAAGAAAACTATTAAATAAAACATGTATGTACGTTATTCCTGTACTTGGAGATGCTAGAAATAAAAGGTGACTTTTAACCAAACTGGAAAAATTAATTATTTATTTTTTAATAGAAAGAAACCCACTCTTTAGCAGAAGTTACTAAAAGTAGTTATACAAGTATAATACACATGTAGAAGTGAACTGGGAAATTTTATACTAAATCAGGGTTGCATTTATTCAGCTTCACCCCAAGTGAGATATTTTATGTAAGTGAAACTTTTAGATAACTTAAATATAAAACCATGGAATCCAGAGATTTACAATTTCATTTTTTAAAGCCGAGCATCTTTATTAGAAGCCTGCATTCTTTTCTTAGGACTTCTGTAACAAAGTACCACAAAGTGGGTGGCTTAAAACAACAGAAATTCATTGTTGCACAGTTCTAGAGGCTAGAAGTCCAAATTCAACATGTTAGCAGGGCCATGCTCCCTCTGGAACCTGGAGGGGAATCCTTCCTTAGCTTCTGGGAGTGCACCGGCCATCCTTGGCTTTCTGTGACTTGTAGCTGCAGCACTTCAATCTCTGCCTATATTGTCACATGGCCTTTGTCCCTCTTACATCTGTGCCCCTCCTTCTCTTCTTATAAAGACACCAGTGATATTAGATTAGGGCCTATCTTAATGACCTCATCTTAATTTGATTACTTCTTGTAAAGACCCTATTTCCAAATAAAGTCACAGTCACAGATACTGGGGATTAGGATTTCTACTTATTGTTTCTGGAGAGATACAATTCAACCCATAACAAAAACTAATAAGAGTGTGAGGCCTAAACCCTTATCTTTTTGTCTACCTATCCCCCTCCTGTCTCAGCACCTTGAATAACTCTAGTTTATGTGGTTGCAAGTAATGGAACTTACCATGAGCTGGCATAAGAAAACAAAAGGAAAGTCTTAAGAAAGAGGGCATCTGGGGAATTCAGGTAATTTTTTTTTCTTTTTTCTGCACATTTTATTCAGTCCTCTTTTTGTTTATAGACTGGCTTTCTCTGTTCCCCTTGCACAGTGCTGGCTAACCCACCATGGTTTATACATTACTGGGTCATCCACCATGTAGGAAGAAAACCTCTGACCGGTCCTGGATGCATCATGATCCTGTGCCTGATAGAGCAGGTCGCTGCAGCAGAAACACCACAGTTCCCAGAGGAGAGGCTGGGCTGACCACCCAATAGTTGGCTATTGGGATGGACCTTCAAAAACTCCCATTTTGAGATCATTGAAGCACCAGTTTGAAAGCACATATCTGATCCTACCTCATCATTTTGCAGATGGGGAGATTTAACCCTTGATATGCCATCACCTATAATCTATTTGATGGAAGTATCTAATAATGAATATATAATTATTTTCCAATACTTAAGGCTTTTTAACAACTATCAGTTAAATGCTGTATCTCTAGTGTACTAATTTTTCATCTTTCTGTTTATCTATCTGATAGCAACAATGATTTGCATTTTTGGCATGAAGCAGTAAGGCCTAGAGTTGGGGTAGTCTTTTCGGATGTGATGGGTACTCAGCAAATAGATAATAACTTGAACTTGGGAAGGCAATTAGGCATAGTGAAGAGAACCTTGACTTGGATTCAGAATTTCTGGTTCTGAGTCACAGTTTATTCTAAGAATTATTTCAATGAATAACTTCATGAAATTAATTTCAATTTCTACGCCTCAATTTTGTTTTTTACCAGTAGAGATAACAGACCTATATTGCTGGGTCCCCAGGATGAAGAAATAAAGATACCATATGCCAAAGCACTTTGTAAACTGTAAAGCAGTATATACAGCCACTAGCGTCAAGGCCAGTGAAACATCTTTTTGGAAAGGGCAGGACATTTAAAGTCAGACACATCTGCTTGAGCCTTAGCTCTGTACTTGGGCAAGCTGTTTTCGCCTTTCCAAGCCTCAGTTCTTTCTCATTTGTAAATTAGGCATAATAATACCTTTCTTGCATGATTGTGTGATTAAAAATAACATATGAAAGACGTACCGTGAATGAGAGCGCAGATTCAGGACCTCAACTTCTTGGATTCAAATTTGAGCTGGGATGGCCTCACTAGTCGTTATTTAATTAAAATGTATTTGACTGGGGGAATGAGGTACTATCTGTTAATTCTGATGTAATGGACAGACATTCACAGGGTTAAGATGAGGTTGTGACTTGGAACATCAGACCATGCTGGAAGGAATTAGGCAAAATTTTTCATTTGAACAGGCAAGGCTGGCTTGGGCACAGTAAAGGAGCCCAGGATAGAATGTGATCTGAGAGTTTCAAAAAGACTGGACGTCAAAGTTCACATTGGGCACCAGGTTGTATTAGCAGTTGGGTATTTTCAGTAAAAAATAAAACCTTGACAGGAAAATTACTCCAGAGCCAGGACAGTGACATGTTTATATTTCCAGGGCCAAACACAATGTCAAGCCCTCTACCTGCACTCAGTAAATGTTTGTTTATCTGAGCTGGCCAATATCTTGTGTTCTGGTGTAGCTCACTTGGTCCATATGCACCAAACAGATGGAGTGTGACAAAGATGAAAATTGCTTGTGGCTGATGCTGGAAAGAAAGGAAAGAGGGGCCCTAACCATTGAGACTCATTGCCCCTGGCTGCCTCTGATCTGGCACTCTTAACATGCAGGAGTGTGAGAGCTTAAAGAACTATGAACTTGTGTCAGTGAGCAGTTAGCAATTGGGGCATGTGGATCTCTCTTTCTGAATAAAAGCCACAGACTTTAGGACTTTGTTTTTTTATGTGTGAGGGGTGGGGGCGAGGGCTAGGGAGGGTGGTTTAAATACTTAAAGAAATCTGGTAATCACCAGAAATGTGAGCTACAATAAGAAAGCCATTTTGGTATAGCAATAATACAATTAATTTATTCTATAAAGGACCAGATAGGAAATATTATAGGCTTCCAGGGCCAGAAAATCTCTTATCACATGCCTATAACTCTGCAGACATGGCATGAAAGTTGCCATAGACATATGGAACAGAGTCCCAGGATAATGTTAATGCATGTAGATAAAATGAGGATTCATGCATTGTTCTGTTGTTACCTCAGTGAGCCCTTCCTATCTGCAGATGGGATGCAGAACTGGTGAATAAAGAGGACCAACTTAAGGGGCTGGGGAATCCAAGGATTTTACTATCTGTGAGAGTTTTGGAACCAGTCTTCCACAGATACCCAGGGATGACTGCCCCTGCACGCAAGGTGGGTCTACAGTTGTGCGCTCTCTCCTTTCAAGATTTCTCATTTTGTTCCTATCAGGCTAGCCCTGACATCTTGAATGTGACTGTTTACTCTCTCTCTGGGCCTCATTTTCTTTATTTGTAAAATGAAGAATTTGGGAGAAGATCTCTTCTAATTTTAACACAGTATGATTCGACTGGTGTCCTTACTGTATAGGATAACTGAAGTTAATAAAGTCTTTGCATCACAAAATAAATGTGTGGTGGTCACCAAGGGATGGGCAGGAAGACCAATCATCAAAGTCAAGCATCCGTGTGAACTCAAGTACTCAGTTTGGTGATCTAGTTCCATAGTTCCAGGATTGCATTTGAACCCTAGTGTGATACATTTCTATATTTCTAAATCCTGCTTCTCTTTTTTTCCCAAATCTTCTTCATCCCTCAGCCAATGAATCTTGTTGTAGAACCCAGAGTATATCTTTATGTTGGCTCTAATGTGATAATGATTCTTTGATGTCCACATTTCTGTGCATCCATAATTTTATTTATGTATAGTATCATATACAATTTTCCTATGATTAATTTTAAAACATGCCTAGAATAGTGATAAAGAAATACTTCTACATTTTGTATCCCATTCCCAGGATGTGTTTGTGGTGATTTTAAAATATGTTCACAAATTCTTTGATACTCCTCCCTTTAAGAGATGGAGCCTTGTAAGGGGGTCCCTTTGGATGAACCCTCTCCTTGAGTGTAGTCTGGACTTAGTGACTCAATTCTAATAGGGAGAAAAAAACAGCAGAAGTGACAGTGGCCACTGTGGACACTAGGTCACAAAGGCCCGTATGGCTTTCTCCCTGCTCTCTGTTGGATCACTCACTCTGGAGGAAGCCAGCTGCTATGTTGCAAGGGCACTCAGGCATCCCTGTGGAGGGGCACATGTGGCCAGGGACTGAAGCCTTCCACAACAACCATGGGAGTGAGCCATCTTACAAGCAGATCATGCAGCCCCAGTTAAGCCTTCAGATGACTGCAGCCCCAGCAGATAGCCAAGATATGTTCTCATGAGACCCTGAGCTAGTACCACCCAGCTAAACTGCTCCCAGATTTCTGCCCCTCAAAATTTGTGTGAGATAATAAATCTGTTACACCATGATAGATCACTAATACAGGGATCCTATCAACCTATTTTTCCATTAAAATTGATAATCAGTATTTTTGAAGAGAAGTGAAGCTTGATCATGAATATAATTAATTATATTAAGTAGCATATATACTATGTATAACTAATTATATAAATATGTGTAATTATATATGTAACATATATACATATTAATATATATATGTAATATACATTAATATGACTCTTCTTTCTCCTGTTTTATGCAGAATCTATCACTGGGTATTTTTGTAGACTGGATACATTCAGAGGTCAATTTATTTATCTTTATCTGCTCCTCTGAAACAGAATCTTAATTCTTCACACAATAAGTGCTTTGAACTGCTAATTAGCATATATTTTATTCTAGCTTATATTGTTCACCCAAACTTAAAAGGCTATTTGCCTTCTAGGCCATGAGCTGTTTGAGGGTAGAGAATATGCAAAAGAAACAACCACACTCCCTCTGTCACTCAGTCCTTTCGCTATTTTGCACATGATGTGCAAAATGTTTTGGTTGAATGAGTGAATAAGTACAATTGCCTGGAGCCAAGGTTTTGTAAACAGAAAAAGATCTTCAGGCCTGCTAGTGTGGCAGCTTTAGCCCCCACTTGTCTCCAGGGAATCAAGCACCTTTGGAAACAGGCCAGGATCAAGCTCAGAGGTTTTTTTGCTCTGCCAGGTTTCATGAAGGTAACAGGTAACCTAAAAACAAACACCACGGCTATTAAACATCATTAACTGGAACTCTATTAATTGAAAATTTTTGATAATTTGAGGGTGAGGTTAATTTTTTAAATGTTCCTTTACAAAAATTGGATTATAAAGAAATTAATAATATAGATTAATTTAGCTTATGTACATGAATACATGAAATTAGGTGGGCAAAATATGTTAACAATCACATACCAAAAATTTCATGTCCTTTGTGCAAATAAATTCTATTCATTGAAAAATTTTTCTAAGGTACTCCACTAGATTCAATTAGATCAATTAATGTTTATATTTCAAAGGAATTCATGAAATTTCCTTAAGTGGTCTCCCAAATTCAAACGACATAAATTAGACTCACATTCTCATATATTTTTTTAAATTTTGATTTCATGCAACTCTGTGACTTTGTACTCCCATCTTGTATCAATAAAACAGTAACTGAACTTGCATTCTTACCACGTTAATTCAGTGCATACCTGTGAGGGTAGAGGAGGGAGAGTGGGTTTGTCAGGCGATGGAACGCTTGTGTTGGAGCCCTGACTCAGCTGCTGCCCAAGTGTGTGCAAATCTCTGATCATCTCTGAGCCCCCATCTTCATCTCTAAAATGAGGATAGTATTTCAATACTGGGTATCTCAGAATGATCATGAGGATCAAAAGACAATCATGATGGCTTTAGTAAGCAATGTAGTAACATACAAACTCTACTGTTTATCAAGAGCATATCTCAAAAGGCAACAAATGTGTGTGTTTTCTTCCAGGCAGTATTCCGAAACAAAAACAATACTTCCTGTGTCCTCCTTAACAGTTATTCCTTCTTTCTATAAGTAAAAAGGGAAAAGAAACCTTTTTTAAATTACTGATTTTATTTAATTGGTTTTTTTCATTTTGAAATATGCTGTCCATAGTCCAAAGGGATGCCAGAGATCATTGTATTGGGCCATACAAATATTGCAATGGGTGACATTCACTCGCCCATTCTTGTTATTGCTTAATTCAGGTATAAACTAAAATTCCATTCAGGGATTCCAGAATTCATGGTAATTTATTCTGATGTTTAGAAATACTCAGATTTTTTATTATATCAAAAACATTTGGCAAAGTATATAGTATGTGATGATTTCTTTCTTTAATGAGGCTGTTGTATTTCTATCAAAGTATAGCTATCACAGGGATGTTTTTCAAGAATAAAATTTTATGCTTTGCATATTCAGGTATTAACTTTAATACTAGTCATATTTTACAAGCCTAAAAATGAATACTGGGTTTGGGATTGATTATTTAATATAACATTTCTAATTTCTATTTAAAAAATTAGCTTTTTCTGTCATAAGGAAAAATGACCTAGTACACGTTTTACTTTATTCATTCTCAGTGCTCACACTGGTGATTTTTAGTGATGTGTTCATCTAAGTTTCTGTGAAACATTAACACAATACCATGATTACCTAGCCTCATCTGGTAAATTGGGAGGGTTAACTTTAAAAATGAGTTCAAAAATATTTTGTGTGTGAAATTATGTATCTGAAAAATGTTTCTATTTGGTTAGTATGCCTGCATTGACCACTTGTGTTCTCAAAATAGGAAGCTGTTGGTGATTAAATGGAACTCAAATAACTTATAAATTTCATTTATAAAGTTGGCTTTTATTAAAATTCATTTGTTAAAAAGTTTACATTACACATTAGAATTAGCTGTTTGCTCAGCTTCCAAATTACTTGGGGAAAGAAGTGTACTCACTATTTAGTGGGGACTAACAAAATCAGATCTGTATTTTAACTTCATCAATTTCATTTTATTTTATCTAGCCTTAAAAAAATGATTATCTTTCTGTTTGCCCTAGGATAATTTTCTAAAATATGGTATCTCAAAATTGATATACATGTTTCTTACTCGTTTGGAATTTAAACTATGAGCCAGGCTGCCATCTTAAAACAAAATGGTAGCCAATAAAAATTTTCAAATGAACATATGATCTATTTATGACATTGAATGGGGACTATAATTCACAGAACCATTAGTAATGGCAGCAAGAGAAATAACAGGGCTAATTCACACAAGTGTGCAATGAGATTCTATGGTGAACTTCTCATTACTTTGAGCATTAGAGTCCTTTGAAAGTTACATTAACTTTTTAGGACAAAGGTGATTGATTTGCTGTAACTGTAACTGAGGTTAGTGGCTTTCACCTTCACTGCCAATAAGAGCTGAATAGATTTTTGGCCGGGCGCGGTAGGTCACGCCTGTAATCCCAGCACTTTGGGAGGCCGAGGCGGGTGGATCACGAGGTCAGGAGATGGAGACCATCCTGGCTAACACAGTGAAACCCCGTCTCTACTAAGCATACAAAAAATTAGCCAGGCGTGGTGGCGGGTGCCTGTAGTCCCAGCTACCCGGGAGGCTGAGGCAGGAGAATGGCGTGAACCTGGGAGGCGGAGCTTGCAGTGAGCCGAGATCGCGCCACTGCATTCCAGCCTGGATGACAAAGCGAGACTCCGTCTCAAAAAAAAAAAAAAAAAGAAAAAGAAAAAAGAAAAGAAAAAGAGCTGAATAGATTTTTATATTACTTTGGAAGACCAGGCCCGAAATTCTTGTAATGTTCTCACCCACCTTAAAACATGAGAAAAGATAGTAAATTCTAAAGGCACTTGTAAAGGGAGAAAAACAATTTTATAATCCTATAATGAAAAGTTTTAACATAAGTGTATTTTGCTACAAAATGAAAATATAATAGAATTGCATATTAACTTGTTCCAAGAGTCCTTTCAAGTTGTTGCCAAAACGCTTGAGGTCAGGTGCAGTGGCCCACGCCTGTAATCCTAGCCATTTGGGAAGCTAAGGTGGGAGGATTGCTTGAACCTAGAAGCTCAGGGCCAGCCTGGGCAACATAGTGAGACCACTCTCTACAAAAAAATAAAAACATTAGCCAGGTGTGGTGGCATGGGCCTGGGGTCTCAACTAGTTGGGAGGCAGGAGCACTTGAGCCCTGGAGGTCAAGGCTGCAGTAAGCTGTGATCACACCACTGCACTCCAGCCTGGGTGACAGAGAGATCCTGTCTCAAAAAAAAAAAAAAAAAAAGTTTGTATTGATAGCAGAATTTTCCATACATCATATATTTTTAAGTCATTAAACCACTAACAGTCCTTAAGCACTACAAGTTACAAAAAGAGATTAAATCAGCTGATTTTCTTTGGAGATATTAGTTCTATTTCTTTGGAGATGTCCAGTGCCTATTACTACAGAAAATAAAGAACATGTATTAGGCACTTACTGTGTAGCAGAGACCATTCTAAGCACTTTACATATACAGCTTTAGCTCATTACTGCTTGGTGATAATCTATTGGAGACTCCTGCATAGAAAATAATGTGGAACTGGATTACTTCTAAAATCCTTTCCACTGCTGAGATTTAGTGAATTCATGATTTATTACCTAGTGCTTAATGAAAGAGAGTAAGTGGGGCTATAAGGATCAAGGTGGTTTTTCCATATTCAAGGAGGCAAAATGCATAATGCTCTCGGCTGTTCCTTTGGGTTTAGCATATAATTTTAATGAAACCTTGCTATATTTTTCCAGAAAGTTTCACATAAAGCACATACAGATTATAAATACTTTTGAAATTTCCATGCTAGTTTTCAAGCCCTCTATGAGCCCCATGATGTAGTAAAGTCCCTTAATTCTTCTTAATATTTAGCAAAATGACATATGATCCATGATTAAGCAATAAGCTTTATAAGCTTCAGTTTGTCATAAATTAACTCAAGGAACTTATCCTGTTTCTTTTCTCTTCTCTTTCTTGTATTATCTTTCTAATAGAAGCTCAGATTGATAGTTAAAAATCTGAACTTAAAATGGGCTATCTAACTGATTACTTAGTGCCTACGTAATAAAAACCTTTGAAAACGTGCAGCCTTGAGAGAAAAGTATAACAGAGTCATGCTTGTGAAATGCTTGGAAACCATTGACTTAAGGTTTATAAAGCAATTCACTTAACATTTTTTTGCATTTGGGGGAAAAAAGAAGTATGTTTAGATTTTGATGGTTTAAAAATATATGTTAAGAGACCCTGTTTCACCATTTAAAGTTTTACAGAAGAGAATTCTACAGTGATTTCTCTGGTTAATAGATGCATGCATTTCCATGCATTATACTTTTAGAAATTTCTGTAGTGAATCTACAGTTGCATGTTCATTTTGCTTTAAACAGTGTTTTGTTTAACTTCTTTTGTTTCTTTATATATCAAAATATAACAAAATTTGGAACTACATATGGGAAATAATTTATAATTCCCATATGTAGTTCCACATTTTTCAAAACAATTAGACTATGAGTATCTCAGTTAAATTAAAATGAAACTCACAAATATGATGATCTTAGCCTTAATTCCACGTCACTGAAATGTGAGTGGTATTGAGGACAGATTTAAGATATGACTGAAAACATATTCAGCCATTTTTGTAGTTTTGTTCTCAGTATTTGTTGATGCTATTATTATTAATTTACTATATGTATCTACTTCTATTGTTCATTTCCATCTATTATTGGTCATACTGTGTATATTCTCTTTGATTCAATTCTAAGTAATGCTGGCTTAATTTGAATTAGAAAAAAATAAAGATTTTTTTTTTTTAAAAAGAGGTGACCCAAGTGTAGGATTGGAACAATAGTTAACCTATTGTGTCCAGTCTTGTGATAAACATTTTTGTTTTAACTATCAAATTTAATTACCTGTTGAGATTCATGGTACTTTGGGAACCAGAATATATTTGCAGCTAACTACAAAGATAATATAATTGCAATTCCTTATGTAAGTTTTAAAATGACATGTGTTAACTTTTTTTAATTTTTGAGAATACTGCATTTTAGGTTATTTTGCACGCATATATTTTTGAATGTAAAAAAAGTCACAGCTTTAGTCTTTATTTCCGAACTTCATTATCTCAACTGCTTTAAACCCTTAGATAGCATTAGCAAAAGTTGATGAGGAGCTAGATCAGCTCACTCAAGCTGAACTCTGGCCCTGGGGGTGTGAAGGTGGGGAGAGGAAGTGTTCTTCATCTCTTTCTCAGAGGTGTGATTCTGTTTACTTTGGAAAGAAAAGATACAAGTATCTCCTAAAGTGGATTAGACGTGGCAAGACAAGATGATACATTTGCACTATAAACTCTCAAGCAGCTGTGAGAATGCAGTATGTGTGAAATTTCTTACCTTCTTAAAAATCTTGATAGAGTTGTAGTTAAGCTCTTAACAGTCAAAAACAAACTGCCAATGAAGTTTATTTTCTTTTTTGCTGAGTTTTCTGGACCATTGTTCCGCTTGAGGGGCCCTGTTTGTTAGTTTTGGCTCTGGACTTCTCTTCCTTAAGGATAAGCCTCCTAAGGCACTTGCACAGCGCAGTGCTCAGGGACTGCCTAGCAGTTTCTTCACAGGCCCAGCTAAAGCATAATTCAACTGCATGACTTCCTGCCTCAGTGGAGGGGGGGGCCAATGAGGGGGTTTGTATCTGTAATGTAAATACATAGTTGATTGTGGAAAAAACTGGGACATTATTGTTTGTTCTCATAAAAGGTTCCTGCTGGAAGTTTTATTTTAAAGTTGGCTTTTAGCCTTTTCTGCTATGACTTGGATACTGATCTGATTTTCTGCTTTCATGCCCTTTATTAAAAATTTAAAATATTTAATTCAACATTAACTGTGCTTACAAGCCACATAGCAGAATAAAATCACATTACAAACATTGTAGTATTAGATTTTATCACCATTTATTTCTTCTAGCCTGTCCAGGGATTTCTTCATGTTCAGTAGAACTAATTTGCAGTCAGACACTGAGGTCTTCTAGAAGGCCAGCAGGCTCCAGAAATTAATTTATCCAAATAACCGATCCCTTCTAGGCCAACCATAGAGGGACACCAAAATGGCCTAAGAAGGCAGAGCCTCCTTTTGAAGTCTGGAATGTTTTGACTGACTTGAAACAGGCGGCTGGAATGAAAGGATAATTTTCAGTGACCCAGGGGATTTTTTTTTTTTTTTTGCCATTTTCAAATATTAGGTAAAACAAAGAGAAATTGCTTGCTCTAATTTAGAAAGACTTAGTAATCAGGAAGGCAACCAGACTGAGCATAAAGTTCCAAGGTCTATAGCAGAGGCTCATTTACTAAGCCTAGATTGCTGGCAAAATCACAATTATACCCTTAAAAAAACTTAGAGGGGTTAGGTTTTAGTCAACTCTCTATATTTTCATCACTTATACCTGAATTATTTTCTTAATATTTTAAAAAAGAGAACATGAATTGCTTTGATTTATTGCCATCTAAAAAGTTGCTATATTTTAATCTTAATTTTATTAAATGAACAGGAAGTTATAATTTAAAGTAGCTAACTACACTAAATTAGTTTACTAGAAATAGGGTAGATATTTCATGTTTGTCTGTTAAAAATGAATAGATTTTAAGTCTATGAGATCTTTAAAGTAAACTGTCACATGAGCAGAAGCACTGTCTAGGTGTAACAAATGTTTTTTGTCTTCCAACTCAGAAGAGATCAAAGCCATTTTCAAGAGATTCCTTCCTTACATTCTACGTTAATATTCATTGTCATAGGGGAAAAAGTACTTTGTGTTTTTAGTGAAGAAAATAAATTGGCAGTAGAAATTGGTAACCAAACTGTACAGTACATTAAGATATAAATGGCAAATACTGCTTTTTACACATTTCTTGTGACTTGTAGTGCAACTATGTACTACTATAGTATTATTTAGGAAAAAAGGGTTCAATAATACTTGTAATTTAAAAGTTCTGGATATTAGTAGATACTAGCTGATTTTATGAACTTAGGTTTTTTATTTTACAGTTTTATAAAATTATAAAGTAATGTATATACTAACAAGGCCACAAACATGTCAACCCCGTTTCTTGCCATTGTTCATTCTTTTAATTGGTGAAGTATGCAATGAATTAATTTGAACAAAAAGAAATTATAATTTTATTTCTTTTGATTTGTTTTCAGATGTTTGCTTGTTTTTGCATTGGGTTGATTCATACTCTACATTCTCATTGCTGAAGTTGTAAAACTTTATTTCTCTAAGTCTCATCTTTAATTTTTATGCCAGTTTTCTGTTTGATTAGCTGCTTTTGCAAAGGCCGAGTGCATGGTAGATATAAGAAAAACATCTGAAGGCTGAGGCTTTCATGGGAGGTAATGGTCACACTATTCCTAGACATGACAGACAGAAAATAGCATTGTCGCTTCACCTTTACATCGTCTTCAAGTTCTTGTTTTAGCACACTGAGATTCTGATTTTAAAAATGTCAGCTGTCTAATAAGTTGGAGAAATAGACGTTGGAAAAGAAGGAAATTGAGAGGTTTAAGTGATGGTTTACTGGGGTCAGCAATATTAATCACTTTTGGAGGGAAGGTGAGTCAAGATGCCTTTGGCAAGAAGAACTAAGACTCTAAGTAAGTATGTAGTAAAGATTTAAGAAATGTTTGCAGTTGAAAATATTGGTTGACAATTAAGAGATAATGGTTGCTTAGACTGATAAATTTTATAAAGTAGAATATCCTCTATGATTGTACAATGCATTGAGCCATGGGAAGAAATTAAAATTTCTAATTTGTAATTCTATCCTTTTGAAAAAAAATATTTTTGTAGATTTTATTATATGTAATATGTTAGTAAAGCACAATTTGTCTATAAAGTATAGATACGTATGTGCTGAAATTTTTACTGATGAAGAATTTATGATTAAAAAACATTGGGAAACTGCTAGTTTAGACAATAGTTAGCATTTTGTGCTTTATCCTGTATATTTTTCATTAGGAATCAGGGATTGTATATGTTGATCAGGAATTTAAGTAATTAAAATATGAAATTCCATACTTACAATTAATAAATGCATATTGATAATTTAATTTTTGATATATATATCTCCAAATTATTTAGAATATACAGTTATATATATGTATACAGTTATATATATATATATATATAGTATGTTTTCCTATCTTGTGAACAACATACTCAATGGGGCTTGATCATCTTTTATCTTTAAAAAGTAATATTAGTTCTTTGGTTAAAGTCACTGTGAAGCAAATGTATTCACTTTATATATAATAATGAGAAACCTGGGTAAAAGGTAGCTGATCTTTTCTTTGAAACTGTGTTAATGAACCTTATGATAACTATTTTTTCAGCATTCATAGATTTGTCATTTCTTTTGGTTTGAAATTACTATAAATTTGACATCTGGATAAGTTATATGATCTAGTTGCTTGGTAATAGAAGGCTTAGTGAGGGCAGGATGCATTTTTCAAAATATTTTAAAAGATTTTCATGGAAAAGAAGAATTCATCATGATATGTTTAACTGTAAAAGACATAGGATCATAAGTTTAGTTTTGGGCATTTGAATCTGAGCGCTTTTGGAGCAACTCAAATGATGTTTGTAGAGAGTTGAAAATTTGGATATGGGTTTCTGGAGTGGCCTGGCCTGAAAGTATAGATCTGAGATCATCAACAAACAGGTAATATTGAAGCCAATATGTGAGGTGACTTAAGAAGGGGTGTTAAAGGTGAAAAAGAGCAAACAAAAAAAGATTTATGGGGATATTAGAACCAGCAAGAGGAGAAGGGGCCAACTATGAGCACTGAAGAGCAGCTGGAGAAGTAGATGAACCAGAGGGAACAGGACAATTCCAGGTTTCTTTGTAGAATTAAGTTGATTAAGCACTGAAAGTTGTGCAGTGGATAGAACACAAGTAGTTTGAGTTTGACAGTGAAGGGTGGAATCCAGATTACTTGTATTGACAAGTAAAGGAGAAATGAGGTGCTGGAAATACAGAATTGGAATTTAACTACCTTTTCTAGAAGTTTGACTGAGTAGGGAAGGGTTGGCCATAGCTAGGGAGAGACTAAGGACTAAGGGGAGATTTTTAGAGGAGAAGTTGTCCACTCAGGAATGTGGGAAAGCCCAGTATTCATCCTCTAATACTAACCTACCTCTAAGGTGGCTTTGTCTCATATGCACCCTTCTCTTCAGAGAGCACAACATTATAGGCAATGGCCAACACACTAATAAGGCTGTATTTTTGGCCATACTGTGCAAATTTGTATTTGCATATAATAAATAATCATTTATGTGTTACTGGCTGAGGATCATCTTGAACCATCTCTCAGAGTTCCAAAAGCCATATTTTCCTCTTTGGCTGCATATATACTGTGTGACTTCTCTGCCTGGCAAAAGCCACCTTCTATATAGAAGTCAAAGGCCAACCATGTGAATTCACCCTGGTAACTCCAACTAGTTGTCCTCTCTCACCTTCCATCCTTCAAGAGCTCTACTGTGGCCCTTAGTAAGTTGATTTACAAGTAGCCATTTACACATATTTCATCCAATGACTTGTGAATTCTCAGAGGAATACCCTATCCTGTTTCTTAATCACTAGCCTATCACATTGCCTGGTACTCAGTGGCTATTCAATGAAAATTGCTTGAATGAATGAATAAATGAATGAAAGAATAAACAGAGTACATGAGAAAAGACAAACTGTATGTATTGGGAGAGGCACCAAAAAACTGTCTTTGTGACTATAGGTTATTTGTATACATTACAGTCTTCCATGTGTAACTGTCAAAGGCCAACTTGAGCTATAGAGAGGGTAATTATTATGGCAAATTGGGATTATGTTTACATATCTGTTAATCCCTGTTTATTCAAAGTAAGGATATACTTAGTTTATTAATCCCATCCTTTTGAAAAGTATATATTTGTATAGGTTTTATATTTTATGTGATATATCAAAGTAGGGACATACTTTGTCATATTCATCATTACTTGTCAAGTAATAGAAAATAAATAAGAATTTCAAAAGAAAGTTTGAATTGCAAAAGGTCTTGTTGGGATTATTTAGAATATACAGTTATAGTTTTGATAGGGGCTATAATGTTCAACGGACTATTGTTGAAAAGTTTTTGTTTGCTTTTCATTCTAATTTTCTTTACAACAGTTGCTCCCATTGCATAAGAATCTTCAAAGTAAGAGGAATGCAAATTAGTGTAAAAAAAGACTTGGGTTAAGAAATGTTTTACATAGTTTTCTATGTTTCCCATCATTTATTTGAACAATACTAGACTTGGCACTTTTCCGTCATGGCAATACCGTAGTATGAACTTTATCACTAGTAACAATGTGCTACCACATAATTAATTGGCTTTTTTTTTTGATATTGAGATTCAACTTGATTTTGAGCTTGTGGTTAACTGAATGCTTTCACACAGCAGTAACTGAACACTTTATTATACAATAATAAATTAGATTAGTTTCTCTTAGAGTTGGGGTCCAGAAATTGGGAGGCAGAGAACTGGAGAGACTAGAGCATAATTTTGAGATCATATGACTTGGATTCCTATTTGGGCTTTGCCACTGACCAGCTGTGGGAATGCACATCAAGTTACTTATCTGGCCTTCCTCATCTGAAAAATGAGCCAATAGAATTTCATGGGATTGTAAGAAATACATGAGACAGTGCTTGACATATGGTAGCTACTCAACTAACACTGGTCTCTTTCTTTCAAGATGATTTTGTTCTGCTTTTTTTTACCATACACTAAAAATGTGTAACTCATTGTCTTACCTTTTCAACCTTGCCACCAGGAAGGAAGATCTGAGATAGGTTTAGTGCTAATTATTAGGAGTTGTCTTATTCCAGATCTTAATACAAATTTTGCTCTACTGTTTGTCTTCTTTACTAATGTTTTTCAGTTTTCTTAAAAAGACTTAGATATTTCTATAAAAATTGTACATTGAAAATAAAACTTTAAATGATACAATAAACTAAAAACTAAAGCAAAGGAAAGCTACCTCAAATTCTACTAATCAGAAATAACCATTGATAGTTGATATGGTTTGGCCGTGTACCCACCCAAATCGCAACTTGAATTGTATCTCTCAGAATTCCCACGTGTTGTGGGAGGGACCCAGGGGGAGGTAATTGAATCATGGGGGCCCATCTTTCCTGTGCTATTCTTGTGATAGTGAATAAGTCTTACAAGATCTGGTGGGTTTATTGGGGTTTCTGCTTTGGCTTCATCCTCATTTTCTCTTGCCACTGCCATATAAGAAGTGCGTTTCACATCCCGCCATGATTCTGAGGCCTTCCCAGCCATGTGAAACTGTAAATCCAATGAAACCTCTTTTTCTTCCCAGTCTTGAGTATGTCTTTATCAGCAGTGTGAAAACAGACTAATACATAGTATCAGTTGTATATCATTCCAGACTTTTCTTGATGCATATGTACAGATGAAAAATGATTTTATAAAAGTTAGATCATATCATTAATATTTTAATTAAAAATATTTCATTCTATTAGACTTTAAAAGAAAAAACCTGAAGTGAGGTAAAGAATTCCTGAACTACAGGAAACTGTTATATTTACAAGTTATATCAACTTATAAAAGACAATCTCAAGAGCAAAAGATAAATACAAATCTACAAAGTAAGTTATTTTTAACTAAAAATAGAGCTCCCATAGGATCCAGCAATTCCAGTGCTGTGTATATACATAAAATAAGTGAAATCAGCATATTGAAGAGATATCTGCACTCTCATGTTTGTTACAGCCCTGTTCATAATAGCCAGGATTTGGAAGCAACCTAAGAGTATATCAGCAGATAAATGGATAAAGAAAACGTGGTACATATACACAGTGGAGTACTATTCAGCCATAAAAAGGAATGAGAGATCTTGTCATGTTGCAAATGACAGGATCTCACATTCCTTTTCATGCCTGCAGTTCCATGGGTGGAACTGGAGATCATTATGTTAAGTGAAAAAAGCCAGGCAGAGAAAGAAAAGCATCGCATGTTCTCATGTATTTGTGGGATCTAAAAATCAAATTAATTGAACTCAAGGACATCATAGAGTAGAAGGCTGGGAAGCATAGTGAGGAGCTGGAGAGGAGGTGGGAGGGTTAAGGGGTACAGAAAAAATTTAGAAAGAATGAATAAGATCTACTATTTGATAGCACAACAGGGTGACTATAGTCAATGATAACTTAATTGTATATTTTAAAATAACTAAAAGAGGATAACTGAATGCTTTATGACTCAAAGGACAAATGCTTGAGGGGATGGTTGCCCCATTTACCCTGATGTGACTATTTCACTTGGTATGCCTGTATCAAAACACATCATGTACCTAATAAATATTTACATCTACTATATACCTACAAAAATTAAAAATTAAAAAAGAATTATTTTAACTACAATTTCAGACAGACTATTTTTTAAACTACCAATTTTAAACAGACTATTGACTTTTTGATATAAAGCTGAAGAAATTAGTCCACTTCTCAGTTCTTTCCCATCTTACAGTTATTTTTTAAGTTATAATCTTTTGACATTGTCAAGATTTATAATATTCTATTATGAAAATTCTAATAGTTTTATCTTAAGTATATGAAATACTGTACTATTTCAGTGAATTTACATTTTGTCACCATTCTTTTGTTTGTTTTAAAATTTTTAGTGGCGTAATTTTTCAAGAAGAGCTATATGCTCATTGATTTTGTGCAAGTTTGAGAGTGTCTATTACCTTCATACTTAAAAGGCACCTTGGAGGAATATAAGATCATTGAGTCTCACTTTTTTACCCTTGTTTTTAGAGATTACACTAATGCCTTCTGTTATTGCATGCTACTGCGGAGAATGATGAGATCAACTTAATCTTTCCACCTTGTGTATGGTTAGATATTTTTCTCCTTGAATATCCCATGATCTTTCTTTGTTCTTGAGGCTTAGTAGCAACTTACATTTGATAGTTTTCTCTATCACTGCTTTTCTTTTTGTGGGGTATGGTGTTTCTTTTTAAAGCATTTATTTACTAAGAAAACTTTATTAATCTTATGTGAAATTAGTGTTATTTTTTGATTGGAAAGTTTAATTATAATTTCAGAAAAGCTTTTGTTTCATTACATTTTAAAATTTTGGTCTGTTTCATTTACTTGATTGATTCCTTTTAGATGCTCATTATGCTTATGTTAGATTTTTTTTAAAATCTGTCCCTCATATATCTTTTATAAAATTCATTTTCAATTTTTTTCCATTTGTTTTGAATTACTTTCTCCAGCTTGTTTGGTGTCCCTGACCATTTCATTCATATTTATTCTATTTATTGTTACTTCCATTGTAGCTTTTATTTTGTAACTGTTTTAGTTTTTTTCTCCTGTTTCTTCCTAGAGCTTTGCTTGCTCGCTTTTTATCACCCTTTATTGTTTTATTGTCTCATCTGAGCTTTTTTTTTCTTTTAAGAAATCATGTAGTCTTTGATTTTATTTAAAACTTTTTTTTAAAAACTTTTTTCTGAACTTTTCTCCACCTTCTTGCATAACGGCTCTGTGACATATGGAGCTCTGGTCTATTGGACATCTTTCTGAAATTCAGCTTTGAACACCAATTAGCTTAGAAGATATTATCACTCATTCAGGAAGCCACTCTGAAAAATTATGGAGAAGCTAGTGATTACTTCTGATAAATTGGAGTTGGCATTTTACAAAATGTACAATCTCTTTCATTTAGTAGGAATGCTTAGAATTTGTGCAGCACTTTTCAAATTGGGATATCATTTGATCATGACATATACATATCATTTGATCATGACATAATGCATATCATTTGATCATGACAACAAAATATGAATAGCCAGGAAATATGGCCTGCTTTTTACTATTGAGGGCACTGGTTCCAAGCATCTTTGTCAAGGTCACCAGGCTAATGAACCAGGTCTGGGACAAGTGGAACCCATACGGAAGCCTGCCTCTGGTTCCTAGTTTGCTGTTTTTTCTCCCCTTCCTGCTTTGCTCCTTGTGTTGGTGTGAAGATGACCTTTAAGATTACTGTATTAATTGCATACATTCTCCAAATTTTTATTCAATCGTGAGGCTTGATTTATTAAATGACAACATAAACAACAGTGACCACATGTAAGCAATAGCATAAGGCGTGGAGCTTACAGGATGTCTAACAGCTTTGTGGATATGCAGGCACCTCTCTTCTCCACGTGCACCCTTTGATTCTAACCATGTTATCTTTGTGTTGTGGCACCATCACTGTGCTCATCCATGCTGTTTACCTGCCTGGAATGCCCTGCTAGTCTTACCTGACCCGTCAGTCATCTTCCTGGAGTTAATTTCTACTCCAACACAAAACTAAACAAAAAACCTCAAATTAAGCATCATCTTTTTTGAGAAGATATTTTGTCCCCAGCCCCAAAAGTTTGCCAGTTTTCTGCACATTTCTATGATAGTCTTGTCTCATTGCCAAGTAACAGCTGATTTCCTTGCTCATCTCTTCCATGAGTTTTAGCTTCCTTTGGATCAGGGACCATGGCTAATTTTGGTTTTTCATTACCCACATCTGGTAACAATGCTGAAATGTAACAGGTACTCAGAAAATATAGACCAAAATGAAGGAATAGATTGACAAATTTGTAAGTTCAGTCTGCACAGGGATGTGTTGGAGGTTTCTCAATGACTTCACATGATCTTATTTTTTTTTAGCACCATTTATTTTGCCTTTATGTATAGGGCAGTTTAAAGAGACTAAGTGAGGAAGGCTTTTTAGGAGACTCTTACAGTAATAGGTGTGATATGAAGATGACTTAAGCTGGGGTCAGAGTAGTTAGAATGGAAGGAAACAGATTGACACAAGAAATATTGCAAAGACCTCAGAGAGGATATGAAGGAGAAAAGACTCCCTCCCTGGCACAATTAAAAAGAAACAAAAAAATAAATATTTCAAAGAAAGAAAGATCTAGCTGAGTGATGGATTGGAAGATGTGTTCACTCACATGAGTCTTCAGCCTTGTAAGCCCTTTCTTTCCTTTTCACATAGTTAAATTTTATCCATCCTTCATGTGAAATTCAAAATCCATCATCAGTCAGTTTTTGCCACAATAGTGCTTCATATGGTTTGGCTCTGTGTCCACACCCAATGTTACCTTGAACTGTAATAACCCCCTATGTGTCAAGGTCAGGACCAGGTGGAGGTAATTGAACCATATGAGTGGTTTCCCTCATGCTATTTCATAATAGTGAGTGAATTCTCACCAGATCTGTTGGTTTTATAAGGGGCTTTCTCCTTCGCTCGGCACTCATTCTCTCTCCTCCCGCCCTGTGGAGAGGTACCTTCTGCCATGATTGTAAGTTTCCTGAGGCCTCTCTGGCCATGGAGAACTGTGAGTCAATTAAGCCTCTTTTCTTTATAAATTACCCAGTCTCAGGTATTTCTTCATAGCAGCATGAGAACGGACTAATACAGTGCCACATAAAAAACTCAAAATCTCAGTGACTTACTGCAACATCTCATGCTCAAGCAACTGCTGGTTGACTATGGTTTGGCTGCTTTAGGGCTGGGTTCAGCTGGACAGCTGTGTTTTCAATCGTGGTGAGCTGGACTTGCTTTGGGGTTTGCTTTGCTTCAGATTTGACCCATGAGTCTCTCATCATTTTGAGTCTAATGAATACATGATAAAGTATGAAAATGAGTACATTTAAAGCCTCTGCTAGTATCATGTTTGCTAAAATTTCATTGGCCAAAGTAAGTCACATGATCAAGCCCAACTTTAATAAAATACTACTATATTTTATTATATATTAAAATAATAAATAATATATAGTGTGAGGGTAGGGTACTATATTATTACAGAACAATAATCTAAAAATACCATTACCATCTATGATTCCTTCAGCCAGAAGCATTAAATTTTGCTTCTGAATTCCCATAGCATTCTGTTTGTGCACAGCGCTTTCTACTATGCACTATTTAAAGTATTGGCTTTTTAAGGCAGGAAATGAATATTTTTTAGAGACAGGACAATATGCTCTCCAGTGGAGCAGATTCAAGTGCATAATAAAAATGCCTATCATTTAAACCTTTTCTAAATATATTCTTAAAATAAAAATGGCATTCTTTATATTTGTGAGCAATTTGTAGACACATCCTTACTGAAGCGTGTAAAAATATTTTCTTTTTATATTTTATTGACTTACATTGGCCGAGAAATGGTTTGTACTTCACAATTTAAGGTACTGGAAGTCAAAATGCATTGAAGTTCACTCAGTAAGGAGCATACATAATCTGGTGCCAAAGAATACATTTTTCTTTGTTTAAAAGATTCCAAATTCCCTTCTAGACAGGTAATTAATATATTTTAGGGATAGCTTACTTCCTACTTAAGCATGCTTTCTAAAGTAGCTTTATGAAGGAGCCAACTGTCTACTTACTTTTCTGTGAAAGTAGTTCCTAAAATAAATAATTTATTGCATGAATTATAAAACGTTAACCTTATGTAAAGCAATAAGGTTGGTTATAAAATACTCGTGAAGTTGTATGATTTAGGATACTTCCACAAAAATAATATATTTGCTTGCTTTAAGAAGCAAAACAAAATAATTATTTATTTATTTATTTATTTTGAGACCGGGTCTCTCTTTGTTGCGCAGGCTGCAGTGCAGTGTCGTGATCTTGGCTCACTGCAGCCTCAACGTCTTGGGCTCAAGGGATTCTCTGGCCTCTACCCTCCACCTCCCCCAGTAACTGGGACCACAGCAGGCACCACCACCCCTGGCTAATTTTTGTATTTTTTGTAAAGACGGGGTTTCTCTGTGCTGTCCAGGCTGGTCTCAAACTTTTGGGCTCAAGCAGTCTGCTCTCCTCGGCCTCCCAAAGTGCTGGGATTACAGTTGTGAGCCACCACACCTGGCACAAACCAAAATATATTTTTATGATAAAAATATAGAATAGTAACATATTTTGGCCTTGTTATTTAGTGCAGTAGAATAAACGTAACAAAATCTCTTTTCTCTGGATGACCCTGGTCTTGGGAAGTTTAGGATGCTATAATAAAATACCATAAATGAGGTGGCTTTAAAAATGGAAATTTGTTTCTCACAGTTCTGGAGGTTAGGAGGTCTGAGAACAAGGTGCCGGCAGATTCTGTGTCTAATGAGAACTCATTATTTTGTTCATGGATGGTGCCTTCAAACTGTGTACTCACAAGGTGGAAATAACAATGAGCAACCTTGGGCCCCTTTTATAAGGCCACTAATCCCATTCAGGAGGGCTCCACCCTCATGACAGAATCATTTCCCAAAGGCAACACCTAATACTCATATTGGTGATTAGGTTTCAACAGGAATTTTGTGGGGACATAAACATTTAGATCATAGCAACCCTACACAGTGTCCTTTCAAAGCACTAGTTTGTAGCTGGGCTTGGTGTTGTGTGCCTGTAATCCCAGCTACTTGGGGGGCTGAGGTGGGAGGATCTCTTGAACCTGGGAGGCAGAGGTTGCAATGAGCTGAGATCGTGCCACTGCACTCCAGCCTGGGCGACAGAAGGAGACTGTCTCAAAAACAACAGCAACAAAACCCCCCAAAACCCCTCTAGTTTGTTCTGGTGAGTTCTGTATACTTACATAGTATGACTGAAGACCTCAGAAAGAGCATGGATAGAAAATTTTTCTGAATAATGCGGAGAAATGGAAACTCAAACGAAGGAGAAAGTGCAGAAGCACAAGGACAAAGGAGGCAGTCACTGCACTTGGGTAGTGAGTGGCATTACTATGTAGAGGGTCCCTTAAGCAGAAGGCACTTTTCCTAGAGCATCACCTTTAAACCCCATCAAGCCATGATTAGATTAACTGACAAAGTTGGCCATAGTGGAGACTCATATGAAGATAATGAATTCATATTTAATCATTTTATTTTTAACTTAAAAGGCATAGGGTATACTTATTTGTCAATGTTTTGAGGTTAGGCCAAGGATTTTCCTTTGAGAATGGACCTGGGTTTGGAATTCAGAATCCTCTTTTCTTACTCCCTAGAATGTCCAACAAATGCATATTCTTATTCCTTTTCTCTACACAAAAGATAGCACACTATACCCACTGGTTTGCATCTTGCTTTTGCGTTTGCTGTATGTTGGAGGTCATTCCATATTAGTGGATAGAAGACTGCTTTCTTCTTTTTATGGTTGTGTAGTATTCTACCGAATGGCTGTGACATTATGATGGACAAGTAAAGCTTCTCCAATCTTTTGCTATTGCAGACAATGCTGTAAGAATAATAACCTCAGAAATATATAATCTTGCATGTGTACAATTACATGTGTGGGATGAATTCCTAGGAGTGAGATTGCTGGATTTCCCCCCGTAGGTGTTGTGTTTACATGTCACCAGCGAAGTGTTAGAGTGCCTGTGTTCTCCACTGCTTTGCCAAGACAGTTTGTTAGAAAATTTTTAAAATTTTGTCAGTATGAGAGGTAAAAAATTATATCTCAATGTGATTTTAATGTGATTTCTCCTATTATAAAAGGAAGTATTCATAGTGGTTAAGAACACAGCCTCTGGAACCCACCACTCAGGGTTAAATTTAGGCTGTAACACTTACCAGCTCTGTGACCTTGGGCAAATGTCTTAACTTTTGGTGTCTCTAATGTCCTGGTGTATATACTGCAGAGAAAAAGAATAACCACCTCATAGGGCTGCTTTAAGAACTATATGTGTTAGTATGTGTAAAGAGCTAGACTAGTGCCTGGCACATAGTACGTTTAGGCTATTGTTATTGTTGTTATTATTAGTGGAGTTGATATAGAGTTTATATGTTTTAAAGTCAGTTATTCCTTTTCTGTTGAATTTCGGTTATTTCCCAGTCTCTTGTCTATTATTTGTTGATTTTTGTATTATGGGTTTTTATGAACTTTTAATATGTTCAGATTAGCCCTTTATATATAATCTAGTATCTTTGCAGTCTGTTGCTTGCCTTTTAATTTTGCTTATGGTATTTCATGTTATGCATGTTTTAGACATTTAGTTGAATTTACCAACCTTTTCTTATTTGTTTTTAGGATTTTTATTCATAGTAAAGCACTTGAAAATTATAAAGCAATTATCCACAGTGTTTTTCTCTAGTACTTTCATGCTTTTATTTTTTACATTTGAATCCTTGATCCACTTGGAAGTTACGCTGGCATTTGTTTACACAAAATACTTAAATTTGCTTTTATCAAAGATCTATCTGAAAGCTCTAGGATTAGTTTTGAAACAACAACAAACCCTTTTTACACTCAGAGTGCATCTTATGCAATATAATTAAATTGCAAAATTACAATAACAAATATAATTGGCACACATGGGTTTAAGAAGAAACACACAAAGTATTTGCCCTATTACAGTCATGGTTAAAGATACACATCATGCATCATAGTCAGGAAAAAAATATTTTGCACACTGAGATGAACAGACAAACAAAACCAGGGTCACCCTGTTTAGCTCAATTTGCAAGTTAAATGGAGCCTTGAGCTGATACTTGTAAAGACTTGCCTCCTTGGCAAACCTTTGAGAGTCAACTTCTTTAATTTTCTAAATACTTTTGCTCTGGATATGCCTTTGACATTTCTCATCATAGTGGGGCAGCTTTGATGCTCTGTGTAGAAGTGAATGAAGGTGCCTCTTCTTTGTTCTCTACATTTTAGTAGAAAATCATTGTATTAGTCCATTTTTATATTGCTATAAAGAAATACCCAAGACTGGGTAATTTATAAAGGAAAGAAGCTTAATTGACTCACAGTTCCACATGGCCGGGAAGACCTCAGGAAACTTACAATCATGGCAGAAGGGGAAGCAGGTACCATCTGCACAAGGCAGCAGGAGAGAGTATGAGTGTGTGAAGAAGGACCTGTCAAACACTTATAAAACCATCAGTTTCATGAGAACTCACTCTCATGAGAACAGTGTTGGGGAAACCACCCCCATTATCTAATCACCTCCCACCAGGTCTCACCCTTGACACATGGGGATTATGAAGATTACGCTTCAAGATGAAATTTGGGTGGGGACATAGACTCAAACCATATCAATCATAGAAATGGGAGTGGGGAAAGGGTAATAAAGCTGACTGTACAAACCAACTCTTCTTTTATGGTTTCTAAGGCACTCAAGGGGCCAATATTTCTGGAATGAGCAGGCCAGGTTCTCCAAGCTGGCTGTGGCAATTGCCACACCCACAAAAAAATTGTTAGATCAAAAGATGAGGTAGTGCAGAGGGTGGCAAACTCTGCTGCTGTAAAAGCATCCCTAACTTTCACAGTCTTTTTGGATATGAGGGGAGAGCAGGCCTTCTCCTATGTGGATGGTCACCCTGAGAGTCCCCTATTCCTGCCACAAGTCGCAAAGGAATGCAAGAAGAAGAGATTTCACAAAAGTGTTTTTGTTGGTGGTGCTACTTCTAAATGCCAGTCCTACTTTTTAATTAAGATGTATTCTACAAGCAACATAAAGAAAAGTGTGGCAGTACTCTCTAGTCATGTCTTGTATTGCTTGAGCCAGCGCTTCTCAAACTTGACTGTTAATAAGAATCGCCTAGTGAACTTGGCCTGGTTCTAGACCTAGTGATTCTGATGTGCTGCCAGGATTGAGAACCACTGCATTCATCTTCATTTCATTTTATATATTTGTGGGAAATGCCATAGTGGAGGATAAAAAATCAAGGTTTCTTCAAGTGAAATTTTGGCTCCACTTGTGGCAGAATTACTTCTGTAATTAAAATGGAGAGGCAGGTAGGCATGGTGGTAATCCCAGCACTCTGGGAGGCCAAGGCGGGCAGATCATTTGAGACCAGGAGTTTGAGACCAGCCTGGCCAACATGGCAAAACCCCATTTCTACTAAAAATACAGATTAGCCAAGTGTGGTGGCGCACACCTGTAGTCCTAGCTACTTGGGAGGCTGAGGCAGGAGAATCACTTGAGCCCGGGAGGCAGAGGTTGTAGTGAGCTGAGCTCATACCACAGCACTCTAGCCTAGGGGGCAGAGGGAGACTGTGTCTCAAAAAAATAAAACAAAAAACAAAACAACAGCAAAAAGCAGTCATTATCTCAAGAAGGTAGAAGTGTGGAAGTAGAATTACAGGATGATTTTTTTTTAAATGGAGATGCAAGGACTCTGCCCCAGATTTACCAAAGCAGAATATCTGGAGGTGGATGTATTAATAAGCATCCCAGGTGATTCTGATGTACGCTAACATTCAAAAGCTAATATGAAAGTAAGTCCTGGAATACTTAAAACTAACAAAGTTCAATGAACTGTGTCATATTTTGTATCACTTTCTCTAAACAAGTTTTAGAAGATCTACTTTACAGGTGATTTTAAATACATATAAAATTAACTATGATTTTCAGTAGTAAAAATATACATCAACAGGAGAGTAATGGATCATGGATTAGGTGATTTATAAAGAAATTTGATAACCATACTAAAATGGGACTTGAAAAATCTAAATAGTTTATTTCTATTATGCATATTTTAAAATTCACTTGATTATAAGTTTGAGTTTTTCTTACTGACTTGAGTAAAGCTCATTTATACTTAAATGCAAACTGTGCACCACCAAGTATTTCCCTATAGTCAGTAGTTCAGTTTAATAATTTATTTCTACTTTCTTCCATTTTTAAATTTTAAATTCAAATTTTTTTGTAATTATAGTAAATAAAAATGTGATCTGTATTTTGTCTTCCAACCAGAAAGAGATGCAGGGTGAAGCAAATGCATGAACACACTTCCTGAATGATAATTTCATAAAAAGTAACATAAATAAAACATTTATGTACACCAGGAAGTGATCATGTCACCTATGAAAATAATTGCTATAATTTAGGTGCCTCTCCTGTAAGGAGTAGCTGATATTGGGACCACCCCCCACCATTCCAGCGACTCACATCACATAGGGATGTGAGACCACCAGTGGAACTGCCAAAGAGTAGTAGTTAAACACATGGACTTGGAATTGGAGACACCTAGATTCAAGTCCAGACCCTGCTGTGGTCTGTGGGGATGCTGGGTGCATTACTAACCTTGACAAGCTTCAGTTTACCTATTTTTTAAGTGAGCATGCAAAGTAGTAGTTTATAAGGATTAAATGAGATTGTGAGAGAATGTAGTACCTGCTCAAATAACATTGGTTATCATTTGTCGAAGAAGTAGTTATTCCTAGTATCAGATTAGCACCATAGCTAATATGTATGAGTACATTTATTTTGGCGATGTCATAAAAGATTACTGTGTGTAAGAGTATGTTTCTATATTCCAAATATGTAGACCTCAAGGAGAGATCTTTATTCTGGACATCCCATCTTTATGTAGGGTGTACTGAAGGTGATTCTTCCTTTTTTTTTTTTGAGATGGAGTCTTACTCTGTAGCCCAGGCTGCAATGCAGTGGCACGATCTCGGCTCACTGCAACCTCTGCCTCCTGGATTCAAGCAATTCTTCTGTCTCAGCCTCCCGAGTAACTGGGACTACAGGTGCATGCCACCACGCCCAGGTAATTTTTGTATTTTTAGTAGAGACGGGGTTTCTCGAACCCTTGACCTCGTGATCCACCTGCCTCAGACTCCCAAAGTGCCTGGATTACAGGCATGAGCCACCGCACCCAGCTGATCGCTTCCCTTTTGAATACTATACTGTCATTTAAACAGTTGAATAGTTTTTAGAGCTTTATTAAGTATTTAGTGAAAGGCCCCTGTAAGTCAGGACCTGTGCTAGAGATGAATTGAGTTCCTGACCTCAAGGAGTATGCACTCTTATTGGAAAGAAATGTATGTATAGAAACAACTACAATTCAGTATCATACGTATAATGAAGATAATAGTAAACTGATTACCAAATTTATTACAAAAAAAGACCTTGCTACAATTGTGTGTGCATGTTTGGTGGGGCAGAGTGGAACTCACCATTCAGCTGTAATGAAAATGCCCTGTACCCTTGGGAGCCAGTAATGAGATATACTCAGTTAAACAATGGCAATTGGATAAATTTAACCAGATGGTTTTACAGGGAGGCAAGATTGTAGCAGAGTTGTTGACTGGCGGTTTCAAGGCCTGGGTGGTAGTCAAGGCTGTTACTGGGTGCCTGTTTGAGTTACATCAGTTTCTTCATCTCCATGCTTCAGGCACCTTATCTGTAGCGTGATAAGTTCAAAGTCATAATCTATGATTTTATCAAGTCACTAGAGTTGCCAGATAAAATGCAGAATGTTTACTTAAATTTTATTTTAGAGAAACAACAAATAAAATTTTTTGGTAAAAGTGTGTCTCAAATATTGCATGGGACATGCTTATACTCAAAATTATTCTGCAATTCAAATTTAATTTATCTGAAATTCAAATATCATTGGGCATCCTATATTTTTTATTCACTAAATATGGCAACCCTACAAGAAATTCCAAGTGAATTAAAATGATTAAAATCTAGCTCTGCCAGTATTGGTGGTAAAAACTGAGAAGCCAGGCAGTTTATTTCCCTATAAAAGAAATATGTGGAGCAGACAAAGAAGAATGAGAGGGGAAACTATTTGGAAACCAGGTATAAAATAAAATATATACAGATAGGAAGTGTTCACACAGCTCACATATCTGTCATGGCGATAGTCAAGTCCTTTTTGTATCACCTAGTCAAATGGGATTTCAGAGGGAAGAGAAGTGATCTGGTATTGCATTATCTGAAGACACCAGTGATTAAAATTTACTGAGAGAGACATTTTTAAAATCATTTTGTTTTCCTAGGTTCAGATTTAGCAAACACTTATCAAGCACCTAATATACATATATCTGGTACCTTACTAGGTACTTTGACATGCATATCTCATAAAATGAAGAGCACTGTTAGTAGGTCCTGGAATTAAGAGATCTTTGTTGAGTCTAAAAAATTATGGTGTTAAAAGAGACAAGATACAATGTTTACTGTTGTTCTAGTTGCACACACCACAATATAAGTTTACAGTTCACCATAATTTGTGTCTGAGAATTATACGAAGTGTGTCTTTAGCTAAAATAGTTAAGTGTAATTTGCCATTTCCAGAAAAACTGACTTTCCGGCTGGAGTTTTTAAACCATATGGAGCTCAGCAGTTCTGTCAGTGAATCACGATCCTGACTTTGTGTAGCCGAGGCAGGATTGCTACTGTATTTCAGTGTCCATTTTCCCAGAGGCGAACGCTCCTTCTACTATTCAGTCCCAAAGTTGTTTTAGCATCCAGCATGCATGAGCTAAGACTTTTCCTGCTTTTCTTTATGTAGATGTAGTATAAAATATGGCCTGGTTTATGCTTTCAATCATCTAAATTTGTCCAGGCATGATAGAGAATGCCATACAATTTTCTTTTGGTAGTTAGAGCTTTACTGACATAATTGCAGCCCAATCACATTTCTAAGATAACTAGTACAATATGTACATATATAATTCAAAGTTTCCTGCAGGATTTCAAGCAAATAATGACCATGTTTTAAATCATCTCAAAACCAGACACTCAGAAGTGAAAGTGCTTTTTCATCATCTGGGCAAGACTGCTCCAGGCAAATTTGTTTATTCCTTCTGTTTTTGACATCCTTCCCCCTAGGGGACCCCGGCTTCCTTTTTATCCCAGGCCTTGCCTCATATTCTGGACTAGTCTCTTTCTTCTATCCCACCACCCAAATTTAATATACCATGCTATTGTCTTAAAGTCATATCAAGTGACTTGTAGGTTAATATGATAAATTTATTCTAGTATGCTAATAGAATGTAATGGCAGTATGAGTTATTATTCCAGATGATATATTTGCATTTTAATGGTGACCTTCTATGGCTTGACACCAAGTTATCATAAATTGGAATGGGTAGACGTTGAGGGGAGATTTATTTTTTGCACAGCCTCTCAACCCTTATCAAATCACACCAATAAACATCTAGCTATCTGGCTTAAGTTGGGGACTGACTTAAAATGTAAAGATTATGAAGATTTGGCTGAGGTAAGGAATCTATGTTGCTTTTAAAGGTCTTTTACCTTTTATACCAGTAGAAATAAAGTCATAATAAGTTGTCCTTATGTGTGTGTGTATGTGTATGTGTGTGTGTGCATAAAAACTCATATGCTGTAGTGAAATGATAATGAAATGCAGAATGTAGGTAATTTCCTTTCATTTGGAACACAGACTTAATAGATATAAAAAAATAGATACATCAAGATCGAAGTTGTGTATAGTCATTGTTAGTCACTTGACAGCTTACCCAGAGTAAATACTGATTGATGGGAGGTGATTTCCTGTTTGTTTGTTTGTTTGTCTGTTATGTACATACACGAGACTCCTAGAGAAAATAGAGAGTCAAAAGGAGGAACACCGAAACACCACTGGAAAATTAGGAGTGAAAGGACAAAGCAGTGCTTGCAACAAAGTGAAGAAGGGTAGAGGGCACTTTGAAGAGGAGATGAAAAATCAAGACTCAAGAAGTTGTCTCCTAACCATTAGCAATAATAGCTTCGGACACCAGTAGAAGTTCTAAGTCAAGTCTGGTTTCTATCTTCCTCATACTTGGAGGTCAGTCTTTCAAATTACATTGCTATTATACATATTTGTTCCCTAGGAATATGTTTGATCTTTTTTTCTTTCAAGATGGGTGTGGTGAATTAGAATAAATTTATTCATATGCTAATGTTTTCATACATTTATCTTCTGTTCAGACCTCTCCCTAGAGAGTCACTCTCATACCTTTACATGCTTTCTTGGCATCCCTTTTACACAGGACATGGAGAGCACAATTAAACATGCCTGAAATTGACATCGTTGTGTGTTTCGGTTCCTTTCCCATTCACCCTGACAGTCTTTTACTATCCAGCCCCATCATTCCTCATTTTAAAATAATTCTCCACTTTTGCTGTCAAGTCTCTCTCAACCTGTTCCTTAAATTTCCCTGACTGCGTTATAAAATAATTGCCAACATTATCCCTCTATCTGTTTTCTTGCGCCTTTCTGGCATATGCAGCCAGAATGATCCATCCAAAAGGCAGTTCTCCTAAAGCTACAGTGTAAATCCCAAGGTTCTTGGTATACAAAGCTTGCCATGCCTCAGCCTCTCCAGCAACACTCAGCCCATTTCTTACCCCACATTTTATATTCCAGATTGAGTTAGATTCTCTATTCATAAATCTGTTATAGTCATGTCACACTGTATTTAAATAATTTATTGAGCTTTCTATAGTTTTCAACCCACCCCCATTCCTGCAAACAAGAAACAAGTAAGCAAGCAAATAATCTCTGGTCTCTTAGTGGGCAGGGGCAGAATTTTGCTTGTTTTCATTTGCCTCATGTAACATAATGGCTCTGAGCAGGTCCTGGAATCAGACTGCACTCAGCCCTAGCTCCGTCATCTAGTAACTGAACTCTTTCTAGTAAGTTCCTTAGCACCTCTGTGCCTCAGTTTCTGTGTTTGTAAAATAGAGATGATTGTACTACTTCACAGGCATAAATTTCAGGCATTTACGAAAATATCTGGCATAGAGTAAGCAATCCACTGTTATATATTATTATAGAGAAAGTGCTCAATATCTTACAAAGTGGAAGGTGTTTAAAGGGAAGTCATCACAAAGAAAGGACCAACTGGATTTAGTGAGGGTCTGACTCTAGCAGTGAGAGGTGACTCAAGTCTACTTTCCTCTGGAAGCTGAGTTTGACCAAGTGTACCTCCCCTAGATGTTATTTAGAATGTGAGGAAAACCCCTAAGCAGAGGGTCCCCAGCTCCACACCCCCCAGACACACCCTCGTTGATTGAGTGTCCCAGTTTCTTTGAAGGACAGCCCATTCTGTGTAGAATTGGCTCCTGCCAGAGCTGGCAGGGGGCACCTTGTCTTTGTCTAAATTAAATTTGAACAAGCACCTAGTTTCTGTTTGGGAGTTTAATGGATGCCTTCCTCAGGAGGATGTTTGCAGTTCATGGCTTAATAGTTGTGCAAAGATGATGCATACTTGGAGTCCAAAGAGCAGTCATTCTTTAGTGACTCATTTCTTCAGCCCTGCTTGTGACTCCAGTATAGTCTCTGAAAACTCACTCAAGGACTTTCCAGGGTCCTATCTCTACATATTTACCTTAAATACCAATTACATTTACTTTAACCGACTCGGAGATTGATTGCCCAGCAGCAGAAGAGGTCCTGAGGTCCTGCCTGATATCTATGGTTGTTGGAACCCTTTTCTCTTCACATGTGAAGAGAGGTCCTGTGAGGGCCCTTGGCTGAGCTTGTCTAGCCATGTGGTCTTGTAGATGGAATATAGTTTAGTAGCGAATGTTCATGAACATCCTATGCTCTTCTTCCTCTTTTATTTACCACTTCTCAGTTTGTGTGAAAATATTAACATCTAGAAGGGTTCTGAGATCAGATTAATCAATAGGAAAAGTCTGAACATAATTCTACTCTATTAGAATATTTCGATGCAAATAGGTTCTCTCATGGCAAGAGACTAATGTGATTGGATTTAAGAGTCTTTAGGTTTATTTTTTAAAATTGGTAGATAAAATTGTATGTATTTATCATGTACAACATACTGTTTTGAAGTATATATACATTGTGGAATGAGGAACTCCAGCTAATTAACATATTCATTACCTCACATAGTTACCATTTTTGTGGTGAGAACACTCTACATCCACACTCAGCATTTTTGAAGAATACAATATAATGTTAGCTATAGTCACTGTGTTGATCAATAGATCTCTTGAACATATCCTTTTTAGCTACCTGAAATTTTTTATCCTTTCATTAACATCCCCCCAGCAACCTCCACTCTGCCCCCAACCACCCTAGTCCCTGTACCATTCTACTCTTCACTTCTAGAAGATCAACTTTTTTAGATTCCACATATGAGTGATCTGGACTATTTATCTTTCTGCTCCTGGTTTATTTAATTTAATGTCCTCCAGGGTCATTTATGTTCTCGCAAATGACAGGATTTCCTTTTTATGGCTGAGTAGTATTCCATTATATATACCACAATTTTAAAAATTCATTCATCCAGTGATGAACTTTAAGGTTGATTTTATAACTCGGCTATTGTGAATAATGCTGCAATAAGCATGGAAATGCAGCTATCTCTTTGACATACTGATTTTCTTTGGGTAAATACCTGGTGGTTGGATTGCTGAATCAAAGGGTAGTTCTGTTTTTAATTTTTTGAGGAACCTCCTTAGTGTTTTCCATAATGGTTGTAGTAATTTACACTCCCACCAAGAGTGTGTGAGGGTGCCCTTTTCTCCACATTCTTACCAACACTTATCTGTTATCTTTTTAAAATAGCCATTCTAACAGGTGTGAGGTGAGAGCTTATCATGATTTTAATTTGCATTTCCCTGATGATTAGTGATATCAAGCATATTGTCATATACCTGTTGTCTGTTCTCTTTTAAGAAATACCTATTCAGGGACTTTGCCCATTTTTAAATTGGGTTGTTTTCTTGCTAGTGAGTTGTTTGAGTTCTTATATATTTTGCATGTTAATCCCTAATCACAAGCTTATCCAACCCATGGCCCGTGGGCTGCATGCGGCCCAGGATGGCTTTGAATGCGGCCCAACACAAATTTCTAAACTTTCTTAAAACATTATGAGATTTTTTGTGTAATTATTTTTTAGCTCATCAGCTATCTTTAGTGTTATTATATTTTATGTATGGCCCAAGATGATTCTTCTTCTTCCATTGTGGGCCAGGGAAGCCAAAAGATTGGACACCCCAGCTTTAGCAGATATGTAGTTTGCAAATATTTTCCCCATTTTCTTGATTGTCTCTTCATTCTGTTGATTGTTTCCTTTGCTGTGCAGAAGTGTTGGTTTGATGTATGTAATCTCATTTGTCTTATTTTTCCTTTTGTTGCCTGTGCTTTTGGGGTCATATGATTGCACTTTAATTGATGACTCTTCCTTTTTTTTTTTTTCTTAGACAGTTTACCATGCTAGAAAAAGTGAGTGAGGTTAAAAAAATGTGAGGTAGATACCAGGCTTTTTCTGGCTCTTGAGAATTTAATTGACCAACAATAATTGGTGGTAATCGACTGACACAATTGGTTTCCCCATGGTTCCTTGAAAAGAGCATATGGTAGAAGATGTAAAGACAGAGGGTAAAAGCTGGGCCACTTTGAAGTTGCTGTAACTCTTTTAGGCTACCAAGATAGCATTTAGTAAATTAGGTGTTTTGTTCCAGAGGTTAGTTCACATAAAAGAAATTGGCTCAAAACATTGAAAAAAATGCTGGTATATTCGCTCTGTGGGTAGCTATAACTTCTAAATTACAACAAGCTTAAGTATTATAAATTAGAAACAGAATAATCTGTTTTCCTATGAATATTTAACACAGAGCTATAACGTTTCGCTTAGATATAAATAGAAATTACAGCTCATAGTTAATTAAACAATTCAGAAACCCTTCCTGTTTTACAATCTGTTTTCAGTATCAGGGTATAATCTAAGTGAATTAAGTGCAAAGACCCATAATACAATGATTTGCATAGGGCTGCCAACAAAAATAAACCTGACTGTGATTAAGGCTATGACAATGGTGTTAGCTTAGCTGTACAGGCTCATGGAAGCATGCAAAACAAGAGCAATTAGATTCACAAACTGATTTATTACATGGGCAGCAGGTGTTGAGTTTTATGGAAATTGGGGATTATCAGACTTGCCTCTACATTTTTCAATTTAATTATATGACCTCTTCTTAGAAATCATTCACTGGAACATTTTCAAAAAATTAGGCATAGTGTCTGAATTTGTGAGTTTTTTAAAAAAGTTAATCTGACTTAGACATTTTTAATACTTGTTTTGGGTTTTAGTAGTATCAGAATAAAACCAGTGTTTAGGAATAGTAATTCACTTCCAACCTTTTGCAAAACTTTGCTTTTAGAGTCTGCAATGTAGTAAACAAAGCATCCACACTGCTCGTGGGGTTGTTGCTGGGGAATGATCCCCTGGCAAGGCATTCCCTTTCATGGTGGGAGAAGGGAGAAAACTGTAAGACATTACCTTTTCACCCAGGGAGACCACTCATATCTGCTAATTGCTGAATCATGTGTGTTTTTATTGATTGGTGGAGGAGAGGTGGACTTCCTAGGAGTTAATTTTGTTGGTCAGTGAAGAAAAATAACCACTACAGAATGTTGTCTTACAACTGAATATAAGATATAAGTAGTTCCAATCATTGCTAGAATTAAATTTAATTTTGTTTATTTATTTATTTTTTTGAGACAGAGTCTTGGTCTGTCGCCCAGGCTAGAGTGCAGTGGCGTGATCTTGGCTCACTGCAACCTTTATCTCTCAGGTTCAAGCGATTCTTCTGCCTCAGCCTCCCGAGTAGCTGGGATTACAGGCACGCCACCAGGTCTGGCTGATTTTTCTATTTTTAGTAGAGATGGGGTTTCACCATGCTGGCCAGGTTGGTCTCGAACTCCTGACCTCAAGTGATCCACTTGCCTCAGCCTCCCACAGTGCTGGGATTACAGGCGTGAGCCATCGTGCCCAGCCCTAAATTTTACTGAACTCCTAAATGAATTTCACATCAAATTAGAACTATTACCACAGTTCATTTGCTGTTATTTTTATCGTGAAAAAAGTTGTCACAGCCATACTATGGTAGCAAATTTGAAAATTTTAATTGTTTTATTGCAAGAAAGAATTATCTTTTATAGCAGGAAATTTTATGGAATCACTATTTATCTCTTTAATATGTAGATTTTGCATCTCAGTTTCTTTTCTTTTCTTTCTTTTTTTTTAAAGTATAAATTTGCAAGATCCTTAGCCTTGAGTTGGTGGTTTGCCTGAGTATGTTTTGCAATGTGGTATCTTCCAGAAGTACAGAAAATGGCCATAAACTACTTAGGAGTCCACTATTGCTATGTTTGTAAATACTATATTGCTTAGGCCTTAAGAGATGGCATGAAGCTTACACAAGTTTTAAAACTTACAGTTCCGTTTCTGCTTGTGAACTTGTTTAATGAATATTTTATTGAATTTGGCTTTAAAATATTCACAAATATGTTTCTCATGGTTAATTCAGTTATTTACAGGGTATTTTCCTTATACATATTTTAGATTATAAATGCTTGACTTAAAGCAGCTGTGTATTCACTTCTTTTCTAACCCTTGGCATGTAAACCTTGCTCTAGGCCTTGTCTTCATTTACCTTTCACCAGATTTCAAATGTGCAGCATTTTTCTTGCACTTTTGAAACCGAGCAAATTATTCACAAATGTTATATGGTAACTGCAGTTATTGGCCTACTTTTCTTAAAATTCCTTTGCCCCTGTGTTTTACTTGAAAGAATACTGATTTTTGCTAGAGTGTACATTGCTGAGGCCATAAGAGTAATATGAATGCATAAGTAAAAATAATTTATCTTAACCTATTGATTACGTCTTCATTTAAATTTTGTAGCGTTATTGTTACATTGTTGAAACTGCATAAGATAACACATTGATTAGATGGAGGAAACGTATAAACTAAAAAAAAATAAGCAAACTGGAACTCTTAAGTGAATTAACATTACAGTGTAAAGCATGTTTATGTGCAAGGAACCAAAGCTTCTACATTTTTAACATTGTCTTGCTTCTAGGGTTTGTCTGGAATCTATGAAATAAACCACTGTCTAATTTCAGATGTACAAAGTCAGAATGTGAAATTATATGCCAAGCTATTGTGCCTAAATATAATAATTGTACTTTATAATAAAACCTAATAAGTTTAAACTGGATTTTATTTTGAAAATTCTTATAATTAATCTAATCTAATCCTTTGTAAACATAAAAAGCCTCTTTTTTTTTTTTTTTTTTTTTTTGAGACGGAGTCTCGCTCTGTCGCCCAGGCTGGAGTGCAGTGGCGGGATCTCGGCTCACTGCAAGCTCCGCCTCCCGGGATCACGCCATTCTCCTGCCTCAGCCTCCCAAGTAGCTGGGACTACAGGCGCCCGCCACTACGCCCGGCTAATTTTTTGTATTTTTAGTAGAGACGGGGTTTCACCGTTTTAGCCGGGATGGTCTCGATCTCCTGACCTCGTGATCCGCCCGCCTCGGCCTCCCAAAGTGCTGGGATTACAGGCGTGAGCCACCGCGCCCGGCCAAAAAGCCTCTTAAAATGATTCAGTATTTCACAACATAAAGTTTCACTTGGAAAAAATATAATATATAATATATAATGAAATTAACCATATTTAAAATGTTCAAAGTAATGAAAATTCTTTCCTTCTCTAATGGGAGTAAAGTGATTTTTACAGGTGGTATTGAATAAGGAGACTTTCAGAAAGTTCCTATGACAGTTTTCTATTAGTAATTAATTCTCCCTGGTCTTTTTATGTAGTAAGGAAGTTGCTTCTTTAAATCTAAATTCCTTAAGGACTGTTTTACTGTTTGTATACAAATGGCTATTGTATTACTGTTTACTGGATAAACCACATGGGCACAATTCCAGGTGTTGTAACTGCTAAGAGCATGTTTCAGCCAGCCGTAGAGGTAGGGCAGTGGGGCTGGCAAGTGGAAGAAAGAACAAGATAATACTTGTTCCTAAAGGACATGTGTGCATATCTTGCCTTATTACTAAAAACTATCATTCATTCTATCATAAAGACACACACACACATATGTTCATTGCAGCACTATTCATGATAGCCAAGACATGGAATCAACCTAAATGCCAATCAATGGTAGACTAGATAAAGAAAATGTGGTACATATACACCATGGAATACTATACAGCCATAAAATAGAACAAGACCATGTCCTTTGCAGGAACATGGATGGGGCTGGAGGCCATTATCCTTAGTAGATTAACACAGGAATAGAAAACCAATTAGCACAGGTTCTCACTTTTAAGTGGGAGCTAAACGATGAGAACATATGGACACACAAAGAGGAACAACACACACTGGGGCCTATCAGAAGGTGGAATGTGGAAGGAGGGAGAGGATCAGGAAACACAACTAATGGGTACTAGGCTTAATACCTGGGTGATGAAATAATCTGCATAGCACACTCCTGTGACACAAGTTTACTTTGTAACAAACCTACACATGTACCCTGAACTTAAAAGTTAAAAGAAAAGGCCGGGCGCAGTGGCTCACGCCTGTAATCCCAGCACTTTGGGAGGTCGAGGAGGGTGGATCACGAGGTCAGGAGATTGAGACCATCCTGGCTAACACAGTGAAACCCCATCTCTACTAAAAATACAAAAAAATTAGCCAGGCGTGGTGGTGGGCGCCTGTAGTCCGAGCTACTGGGGAGGCTGAGGCAGGAGAATGGCGTGAACCCGGGAGGCGGAGCTTGCAGTGAGCTGAGATCACGCGACTGCACTCCAGCCTGGGCAACAGAGCGAGACTCCGTCTCAAAAAAAAAAAAAATAATAATAAATAAATAAATAAACTGTCATTCTGTGGGCAGGGGATGTCATCTGCCAAAGACAGACAATTCTTACCTTCTCCTGCTACCATCTCTTCCCATCTCTTCTCCCTATTCTTAGTCCATTAAAAATATATTTGTTATTATCTGTTAAGATAGTTTTCAAAAGTAACTGAACATAAAAGGTGGCTCCCGTGTTTCCTCAGTATTCATTTAGCAGATCTGCCCTTCAGACGCGCCACTCCCTGGGGCAAATCTGCTGTCCTGTGCCAGGGGCAGTTACCGAGGCCCATTTTTAGGGCCCCCTTTTCCTGAACCAAGACTCCATCTTGGAGTACATTTTAAAAGGAGATGTCAGTCGGCCACTGCTAATGGACTGGCATCGACACCTAACCTGAGACCCATTTGCCAACGTCCGGTAGGATCATAGTTCCTGCAGGGCTGATGGTTGCCATCTAGAGTGAAATAAACCCAGTAGTTCCTTCCACATGGGATGCTGGTTGGCATTAACATTATGCTTGGTACAATCAAGTCAGCTTTGCTTCTTAAGTTAAAAAAAAAAATCTACATTTTAATTAAATACCCGTATAATTGTGTTGGCTATATTCAGTAAACTAAAAACAGTCATAGAAAACAACATGTGTCTCACACCTTCATGGACTGTTAGTAACCACCGCATAACTGAACTTGGGATTGCAGGTTTTACTGTGGCTCTGAGGGGCAGAAGTTGATTCCTGTGTGTTAACTTGCTACAGCTGCCATAATACTGCCACAGACTGGATGGCTCAACAGAAATTGATTTTCTCACAATCTGGAGGCTAGAAGTCTCAGACCAAGGTGTCAGCAGGATTGGTTTCTTCTGAAGCCCCTCTCCTTGTGTCTTCACATGGTTGTCTGTGTTCTAATCTCCTCTTTTAATTCAGGCATATTGGATTAGGACCCACCCATAAAACCTTGTTTAACCTTAATTGCCTTTTTAAAACCCCGTCTCCAAATCCAGTCACCTGCTGAGGTACTGGGGCTAGGGCTTCAGCATATGAATTCTGGGGAGACACAGTGTAGCGTTTAACAATCTGTTTTGGTCTCTGATTAAATATCCTCTTCTCTGTAGCCCTATCAGAATGAGGAGTTCCTGTTTCCCCTGGCCCTGCACGTAACTACAGAGTTCAGCCTCTTCAAACAATGCTCCTTTCTTTTTTTCTCTTAGTGCTTTTTTTAAAAAAATAAAAAGAGAACACAATGAAATGCAGAAAGTATTTATATATGAGGAAGCAGAAGTCCTGAGTTCGAGCCCTATGGCTGCCATCGATTAGCCATATGGCCTTGCAGATGCCCCTCAGCTATACGTGCTTTATATTCTCTATAAAATGAAGAGGTGAGTCCAGAAGACTGCTTGGGTTTCTCTTAAAGCTAATATTTTGATGCTCAGTGTTTTTTTTTTCATCCAATCATTGGTTTATTCATTCACCAGTTACTTGAGCGTCAATAGAGTGACTTGCTTTATATGATCTTCCTCCCAAGAAGGATTAAGTGTATCCAATTGAAGTAGCCAGAGCTTCCTCACACCTTTTAACCCACCCATCTGCTTTCATGGTCAGTGCTGCTTTATAGCATTTGAATCAGTTCCTCAATGAAAAATCTTGAAGTTTTAACATGTTACAACCAACCTTCTCTGCTAAACAGCTCTTCAAGTTGTGGATTCTTTTCTACTTGATGTTTGCTTCCAAAAACTATTTCCTAAAGATGTTAAAATTTTTCACTGTGATTTTTAAAACAAGTTTTAAGACATGTTACACAATAGGTTCTCAAAGTAGGCTTATCTTGTAAGCTCCCTAAATAATCTTCTTTCATATCTATACATATTTTTTTCAGCTCCTCGAATAATTTTCTCAAATAACATCCATCTTTTCTCTATAAATATTGGTGTTGATGTGTCCAATATTTGCATTTATATCTTTATATCTGTCTATAAACAACAAATTTTCTACTTATTTTATTAAAAACATAAGTCGTAAAAGCCTTTATAGTTCTGTTTATTGCGTAGGATAACATTAACACAAAGAACCAGGAAGGTTTAATTCTGAAATAACTATTTCAGCATGCAATACCCCATGGTTACTTAATTAAGCAAATCAAGAAACCTTGTCAGTCAGTTTTAATGGTGGAGAATCATCTCCCTTCAGGAAATTTTGTGGTCAGTGGGCAAAAATGGCAACCATCTTCTCAAAAGTTAAGGCATTATTATGTACTAAAGGTCACCCACAACTTTTATAATAGAGAACCAGCTGTGTAAACTGCAAGATGTTGTCAAAAGGAAGTGCCAAGCAAAACTTTGGTGCTGTTTGCTGACTATGCTGAAGGGCAGAGAAGCTAAATTCTTGCCAGTAGTTTAGAAAATTGTTAGGAAAAGCATAGCCTCTGGGAGATGCCTATTCCCCAGGGCCTGGGATCCAGTCCTGGAGATCACACTTGGCCCTGGACCTTGGTCCTCAAAACCTACCTAATGACAAAGGCCTGGATCCTGCAGGGTTGGGCTCAGGCAGCAGCTGGGCAGGCTGCACTCCTAACTCACAAAGCTGCAAGTTCTTAAAACCTGGAAGTAATTCTTTAGATGGTTTGGAATCAGCAGCAGCTATGATGTGGTTGCAGCATTGTCAACTGAAGTTGATTAAAATACATGTCGTTCTCTATGACATTATAATTAAAATAACCCAATTTCCAAATCATGTGCAAGTTTTTGCAGGCCTAGAGCAAGAGTTCTTTCATGGATTAAAAATGTGTTCATGTTCTGTACCACATGTTCTGAAACCATTGCTATTAGCTCTAATTGCACAGAAGCAGTCAAATGGTACTTGTTAGGCCTCTGCTGTCTACCTAGAACTGTTCAAAAACATACATGGGCCAGGCCCAAGTTGCTTAGACTACAGTTAAAGAGATAAAACAGGCTTATGTGTAAAGGTTAGTGAGCAGAATGGTATTTAACAATAATGGCTTCCCTTATGTATGTACATTATGATGCATCTCTGTATTTATTTTTATCTATTGATTCTTTATGTTTTAAAACAAAGCGTTTGTAGGAATTGCCATATAGTACAATGATAAATAGTACAATAATAGTACAATACAATAAAAATAATAAAGAAACTATGGTAGGAAAAAAAAAAGATAGAAAAGTAAAATGAACCCAGGGATAAAAGTAGTTAACAAAGATAAATGTTCCAGAAAGCCCTAAAAGAGAGTGGCTCAAGAAGTAGGTGGAAAGCCAGAAAAAGAGTCACAAACCAATCGATGTGTGTTTTTCCCCTCTCTTTGTTCTGACCACCAGGAAGTTCAGTTACAGGATTAACAGCATCCGTCACATAAAAACATACCAGTTGCTCAAGAGAAACAGCTTTCCTGGCGTGAACCCTAAAAGAATTTTCTCCATTGCCTCTCCATCAGGAAGAGATGGTAGAAAATGTCCTCAAATAACATCCATAGAGTAAAATGACATCAGATTTCATCTTGTTTCTTAGAAAGCCCTCAACATAAAACAGGAGATACATTCTAAAGCCTAATTTCTAATGAGAGGCTGAAGGGATGCAGTGCAGTTGAAGAGGCATGTAGATCTGCCTTCATGCAAGCATAAAATTTAGACTATCCCAAGAAATCAAGAAGTTGGACATTCTTTAGTTAATTCTCATGAATGTTCTTGTGAATCTGTGCTTTTATTATTATTTTGCTGTTGTTTTAAAATTAAGGTGTAACATACACCTAGTAAAGTGTGTAGAGACCAGCTAATTTCAAGTATATAGTTTGGTAAATATTTACATCTTTAAACACTTGTTTAAAAGTAACACCCAGATCAAAATTTAGAACTGTGTAGCAGCCATTGGCTCCCTCATCCTTATTCCCAACCGATATCTATCACTTCTCTGACTTCTGGCACGACTGATCGGCTGTGCTTCTAAGTGGGATGCATATATAAATTGAACCATACAGTATCACTTTTCTTTCAGTCTTGCTCAATATAGTGTCTGCTAGATTCATCCCTGTTCTATGTTTAGCAGTTGTTCATTCTTTTTCATTGCTATGCAGTATTCTGTTGCATGACTACATCCTAATTTATTTATCCTTTATATCATTTATCCTTTATATCATTGATATATATTATATTATCCTTTATATCATTTATCCTTTATATCCTATATCCTTATTTTTTATCCTTTATATCATATATTTATATCATGATGTATATTTATCCTTTATATCATTGATGTATATTTATCCTTTATATCATTGATTTATATTTGATGTATATCATTGATGTATCATTGATGTATATTTTACATTGCTATGCAGTATTCTATCACATGAATACATCATAATTTATTTATCCTTTATATCATGTATCCTTTATATTACTGATGTATATTTGAGTTGTCTCCCCCCTCCTTTTTTTGGTTGTTGTGAATAAAATTGCTATGGGAATTCTTATTCGTGGCTTTTATTGGATATTTGCACTTATTTCTTCCAGGAATTGAACTGCTGCTCCTAGGGTAGATGCATATTTAGATTTAGAGGATGCTGCTAAACTGTTTCCAAAACCAGCATATACTTCCACTAGTAATGTCTGAGCTTTCCAATTGCTCCATGTCTTCAACAATTCTTGGTATTGTTTTTCTTCTAAAACGTTATCTATTCTGGTGATCGTGTAGTCATATTTCATTGTGATTTAATTTGTCTTTTCTTGATAAGTTGAGACCTTTTTCTTATGCCCGTTAGTCATTTGGTTAGCCTGTTTTGCGAAGTGCCTGTTCATCTCTTTTGCCCATTAAAAAATTGAATTGTTTATATTTTCTTAATCATTGTTAGGAATTCTCCCATTGCTTTCTTAATGTTATTTTTAGGTGGACAAAAGATCTTGAGCTTTTGGTAGAGTTAGGCAGTAAAGAGGGTTGCATATAATATTCTCTGGCAAGAACTTATAGGAGGGCATAATGTTATGGTAAAATGCTTAAATTATGGATACAGGTAGAAAATATGATGGTGGAGAATAAGGCTGTGATTGTATGATAGTTTCAGGAAAAGTCTCAGATCTTTGTAGACTGGTTTGGGCTCAGATACTAGGAGCATGTTCACACTGGGAGGGCTTCTGGAGATCATCTGCATGAACCCCTCATTTTACAGATGAAACTGAGCCTGAGAATGTTAACCCACAGTAATTAAATTAAACTTAATGTAGAAAGTGGGATTTATCTGTTTCTTAAATAATATGTGAGCTACATCTGAGATGCTTTTCTGGGTTAGTACCCACTTCAAATACTTAGTCTCATTGTCCAAATAATACATTTGAATTTCTGAGATTGTTTCCTGGTACTCCTCTTTGTTTTTGAACAGAAGAGATTGGGAAAATGTGGTTATCATTGACAAACTGCTTATTAGGTATGTGATCTTGATTAAACCATTTAGGTCCATGAAACCCTTGCTAGAAATTTAAGAGAGAATAATTAGTCTTACCTTGTTCCTCACTCTTGAATTTGGAACCACCTGAGAAGTGACGCACAAGTCACACAAATGGAGATGAAAATAGCACTTCTGTTACCAATAAGGCAGACTTAGAAACTGAGGCAACCTACCAGAGCTGGGATCTCTAATATTCATTCTCTTCCTTTGTTTCTTTCAGCATGACCCTGAGACAACTCCCTGGTGGGAGAGTTTGGGTCTGCAGGGCAGACGTGCTTTCTTAGAACCTCACCCTTGCATCCACTGGGAGCAGAAAGAGAAAGCAAGCTGAACTCCTGATCTGCCCCTGCTGTCAGGTCTTGGCTCTGGGCCTTGACCTGCTGCTTACACAGAGGAGGGTGGGAACCGAATAGGATCCAGGTCTTTTTTCTCTGGATTCGGAGGATCCCCAGGGAGAAACTCACATAGCCAGCTTCTCCCTACCCACCTGGCAGGTATAGATATGCCACTGCTTCTCCCAAGAGGAGGCACGACTGGGCAGGAGAAAAAGGACCCCCAGGTTCTTTTCTAATGCTGTTCTCCTTGGAGAGAGAAGCAGAAGCTTCCTAATCTGAAGACTGTTGTAGGAGCATGAGGGGAAACGAATGCTTTCTCCTAACACCTCAGTTTCTTCTCTTTCCAGTAGAGTCGATTATACCTCTTCTGTGTGCCTCCCAGGATTGTTGAGGTGATCAGAGGCGCCAACCCAAGGGAAAATTCCTTGCAGCAATCACTGTTGCACCATAAGGAGGAAAAACACAGTGGTTGCATAGTGCTTTGCCACCAGGAGAGTTGTAGTGGGAATATCCCCAAGTCAGGCAGGTTGTCTCAATACTAGTCTGATAGTGCTATGCCTAGTACCAAGTCTTCACCACAGCAGGAATTCAATACTTGCAGGGATGATTCTGCCGCACCCTTCAAACCATGCAACCCGATACTCACTATGAAGATTCCGCCAGAACTGTTGGTGCTAATTAAACTCTATTTCTGAGATCCTAATGGTTGGTAGGGGCAGTGACTTCACAGGTCCCTTTGCATTTGGCAAAAGCTATCAACTCTTCTCTCATTAAAGGACACATCAAACATAACTTTTTTTTATTGTTTCAAGACACTCATAAAAACTCATAAAAAATGCCATCCATGGAGCCTTTAGAATGACTTGGACCTCAGTGAAAAATCCCTGACTTGGATGTCAAATCTTTTGGAAACATTTCAGCCCTTATTTTACTTATTAACTCATCTGCAGAGTTAGTCACTTACATTGGATTAAGAGAATAACCTTGCAGGTTTTCATTTAATACCCAATACTTAAAAAAAATACAATATAAAGAAAAACAAAGCCATATTCCATCCAGAGGTAAGTAAGAATTTGGGATGGTAGCTCCCCAAACTAGTAAACTCTTTTTTTTTTAAATGGTTTACTCTTCCGTTGACTTGTACTTTTATTCTTGTAAAATCTGTTCTCTTCTTGCCTAACCGTTCTTTTTACATGATTTAGAGGAATGAGAAAATGAAGAGGATATGGGACTGGAGATTTATTAGTTTATGATTCTTCTCCATTGCCTCCTTGTCAGTTTTTATGTCCCCCTAACTTTGAGAAGGAACACATTATTTGTATTTATGTAGATTTATTTTTTTCAGTGAAAAGACATATGTCTCAAAATATGAAAGAAAAATTGGTTTTAGTTATATATATGAAAAATTACAAGTTGTCCTCAATATGAAATGTTTGATTGTTTAAAAAAATACATGAATCTTTGGTCAAAGGAAAACATCTGATCATGACACTTTATCTAATGTTACTTAGTTTGAATTTGAAAAGCATTTTCCTATCTACTTTTATTCACAACAATAAATCACAAACTTTAACATATACCAATAAGCAGTTTGAAAATGAAATACGCATCCATTAGTCAGTCAGATCCTCCTAGAGTTTTTGTCCTTGGACTCTAGTCCTGCTTATGAATAACCATGAGGCTGTTTAGGGTGGTTGGCAATGCAGTTGAAGGCTGCTAGAGGCACAGAGCTTTGCTTATGGCTTACATGAGGCTTGTGAAGAATTTCACAGGCGTGGCTCCCAACAGCAGCTGTTCCCTACCCTCCAGGTCCCCCGGGACAGGCCAGTCTGGAGCCAAGGCCCATGCTCTCAGCTGCCAGATGGAAGGAGGGTGGTAAGACAGCATGATGGGGAGCGGCAGCATGGTCACAGGTAGTGGGAAGTGGAATAGCTCCCTGGGACAGGAAGTACAAGGTGCAGTAACTGACCTTTTCATTAGGAGAGGATTTCCCAGCACACCTCAACCCGTTGTACATGGCCAGCAATCTAATTTGCAGGACCCAGTGCAAAATGAAAATGTGAGGGCTCAGCCAGGGGTAGGGAAGTCAGTGTATCCTTCTTGTGTGTGCATCACCCCAAACAGCAACATAGGAATGACCCTCAAGAGGTTTCAACCTGAATACCTAGGTAGGGGAATTCCTCACTATAGCATTAGACTGAGGGCAAAGTTATTACCAATGGCATAACCAAGCCATTACAGCCAGCCCATTGACCAACACTTTGAGGTGGGTTACAAGAGAAATACCTAACCTTTGCCTGCCACTTTAGAATTTGTGTATACTTTCCCTTTCATTGACTAATTTACCCTCAGGCTTCTGTAATGGTACACATTTCAGTAAACCTGGTCTTTTTACTTTTGTGAACCCAATGTTCTGCTTCTCTTGTTTATGCTTTTACACAGACTATGCTTATTCTAAAATAAGGTCTTTCCACACTTTCATCTCTTAAAACCCCCCTGACACAAGCATCAGTTTTTTCCCTTTCCCCTGCAGGGATGGGCACAGGTGACTGTGGGTAATCCAGTTGTACAAAGGAGGGCTATCCTGCTATATTACCTTCCTGGACCAGTGAGGTCAACCAGCCCCTGGCTCCTGTGGCCTGAGTGTAATTCAGTAGCTGCTTGTGCAGGTCTGTGAAAGCCCCTGAGAAGTCCCAGAAATACAAGAACACCGCAGCTGAGATGCTCTTCTCTTTTTTTGCTAAACTTTCTCCCATGACAGAAGAAAACAATTTACCCTCTCATTTTACTTCTGATTGACCCTTTGTTTCCCACCTCCAATTTCATACCTTACTCTTATTTAGTCAAACTCATTTCCTCAGCCGGAAGGAAAAGTTTCCATACTATTTGGGGTCAAAATGAAGGAAAAGCTCTTGCTAACTTTCCTTATGGGCTCATTTTTACACATTGCATCACTGCTTTCAATTCTTGCCTTCTATTCTGTATGTTTGCATACCCAACACACACACACACACACGCACACACACACATACCATTGACGCTATTAGGCAGATTGTCATATTCTTCCCACATCCTGATGTTTTTTTCCAGCTTCCCCAGAGGCCACATAAAAAATGTGGTGTTTTTTTTTTGTATATTCTAAATATTTACTGAAGACTAAAGGAGAAAGAATGTGAGCTAGTTTTGCATGTTAAAAAATTGTTAAACTTTTTTAAAGTGTGTTTTTCTCTCTTTTGATAATACACTGAAGCTCAGTTTATTTCTTCAGTGTGGCAAACCTGATTGTGATTGGTTTCAATCAAACACACACACAGGTACACATGCACATACTAAAGTGAGGGCTTTGCAGTGTTAAACAGGATGAGCTCAGATAGAGCTTGGTGAGAAGATGACATTTAAACACAGTCTTGAGGAGCTGAGAGAGGGAGGTTGGTGGCTATCTCGAGGAAGAACATTCCAGGCAGAGGCAACAGCCAGGGCAGAGGCCCTGGGACAGCAATATTCAAGGAATGTTTTAGCAGCAGCAAGGAGCAAAATAAATTAGAAGGGTTGGAGTGGCCAAATCTGGTTATTGTGGGCCATTAAAAGAGTTTGACTTGTACCCCAAGTGAAATGGGAGCCACTCATGGGCTTGAGCAGGGGTCTGTCATGATCTGGATTATTGACTTCAGAGAATCAGGTGACCAATTCAGAGGTGCAGTCATGGTAGGAGCATACATTTTTGTTTATGTAGACACCCCTGTAACCACCACCAGGAAGAAGAAGGAATACAGCATTTACACTACCTCCATTGTACCCCCTCTCTTTCAGCTGATACCCACAAAGGTAACCTCTACTCTGACCAATAGATTTGTTTTGTGTTTTACTTTTGATTTCATGTAAATAGGAATCCTATAGTATATGTTCTTTTGTGTCTGGCATCTATTGTTTGCTCGACTTTGGGCCTGTGAGTTTTGTCTATGTTATCGTGTATGTCAGTAGTTCATTCTTTTCATTGCTGTGTAGTATTCCATTATATGAATATGCCACAATTTCTTTACTGTTGCTGAACATTTGATGATTTCATTTTTTGACTTTTATGAATTATGTTACCATGAACATACTTGTAAATGTCATTTGGTGAACACATGCATTCATTTCTCTTGGGTATATACCTAGAAGTGGAATTGCTGGGTTTTAGGATAAACATAGGTCTAACTTCAGAAAAGAGTCCAAACAGCTTTTCAATGTGGTTGAACCAGTTTGAACTCCTACCAGCAATGTGTGAGCACTCAAGTTACTCTACGTCCTCAACAACACTTGATACTAGTTCTTTAACTTTAACTATCCTAGTAGATGAACAGTGGTATGTTGTTGTGGTTTAATTTGCATTTTCCCGGTGAATAATGACATTGAACACCTTTTCGTATGCTTTTTAGCCATTTGAATAGCCTTTTGTGGAAGTTCCTGTTCAGATCATATGCTCATTTTTTATATTGGATTGTCTTTTTGTTTTTGATTTGTAGGTGTTCTTTTTATATCCTGCATATAAGTCCTATGTTAGATATATGTCTTGTGAATACCTTCTCCTCATCTGTAACTTGCTTTTTCACTTTCTTAATGGCGTTTTTTGACAAATAGAAATTCTAAATTTTAATGAAGGCTAACTTTTTAATATTTTCCTTAATCAATAGTGCTTTTTATGTGTCCTGATAAAGAGACTGTGGTCTTCCTCTTTCTTCTTAAACAGAAAAGTTACAGAATGGAAGCTACTTTGTTTGATTCAACTTGCTTTCTGATGGGCATCAGAATAAATCAACCACTAAAATATTTTGTTTCTCCTCTTGCCCCTCCTCTCCTCCTCCTCCTCCTCCTGCTCCTCCTTCCTTTTTCTCCATCAGAAGTTAAATTCCTGCTGTGATTGCCCTGGCTTCAATTTCCCATATAGCAACTGCTGCTGTTGCTGCTGCTGCTGGCCATTTGCAGGATTATACAGCTCTACGGGAAAAGTAGGGGATAGAATATAACAGAGAACTCTTGTTGATTAACTTGCTTTACAGCTGCATATTAAGCTCATCATGTAAAGGAAATTGGCCCAGTTAAGTATCAATACCACAAAGCAAAAGCAATCTCGTTTGTTTTCATACCCATATTCAGCATCTTGCATAGTCCCGGCGTGCAGTAGGCACTCAGAAAAAAACATTTTTCTTTTTCAGAATTAAGTGGATTCGTCTTGAAAAAATATCAAAAAATAAGTTCTTGCAGTCAATGTAACAGCTTAGGATTGATCATTATTCTCAGTTCAGTGTGGAAGATGGTATAATTAATACTTTTCTGATCATTCAATGACTCTCATCTTAAAATTGACGGCAGCCTTGGCTAGCATGTGCTTGCTATTTTTATAAATAAAAAATGCTACTCATGCAAATACAAATAAATATTTTGTAAGGTGCTTTCTCATATACTTAGAGTTTAAACTAAAAATATTTAATGTCCAACTTTATTATGTTACTACTTTGTAAATTCTAGTAAACTTTTTTTAACTTTTCTAAAGCAATGGAGTAAAATCTGTGTGTTTTCTTTATTTGTGCATAATTTTCTATATTCGTTAACTTAAAATATATGCTTAATGCCTTGAAATATTCTAATATGTATACAACTTGCTACCTAAAATTTATTTTAAATTAGTTTTAATAATAGAATTAGAGCTACTGGAATTTTTCTAAGTTGAGTTTTGACATTTGCTTTTGAAAATTCATTTACCAGAAAAAAAAATTCTAATTTTATTGACCACGGAAAAAAGCCATTTTCACCTCAAAGGAATTTTTAAGACCTTTTAAAGTTAATATACACATAAAGCAAAATTGTTTAACTTGCAAGGCATAGATATAAATAATTGATATTTGTTTTAGAATATTCTAAACAGGTTATTTTGCTTAAATATCTATTTAAAATGGAAACGTAAACTATCTCTTCTACTGTTTTTTTTTCATGCAGATATAATGTTTCGATTCTTTGGTGCTAAATCCATTAACATGTATTATTTTGAATCCATAGTGCTGAGAAATTAGGCTCAGGTTTTGAAAAGAGGAAAGGAATTCATGGGATTTTTTTCTATTCAGCTGAAGGTGCCAGCATTTTTTTTTTCACTTTAGAAGGTAAATAAATTGTTCCGGGGTGGATCTTAATCTCTCAGTTTTGCAGACCAATCAGTGGAATTTTGTTGAAATGCTTTAAGACAATGCGTGTGTACAAGTGATTTAACCAGTGATGAGGATAGAAAACAGCATCTGCTTTCAGCCAAGTGATTACTTTTGTACTGTTGTATAAAGGCAAACAAAGGTGCTTCCCTGGGCCCCATTTTGTACCCCGGTAATCTCATGTCATATACACATCACATCATCCCCATTTACAATTTTCACACATTTCGAAATGAACATTTTAATAATGAAGTCTTTTCTGTTGATTAGAGCTGTAATGATTAAATGGTCTTGAGTTTTCTTAGCCTGTGAATGTACAAGATTAGACAAGAATTACAAATAAAATCAAGGAAACTGTAACAATACGTTATGGATAAACTTTAGGAGTAAAGCACCAGGGATTTTTTTCTTTCTTCTTCTTTATTTTTTTTGAGGAGTGAAAGAAATTAGAACAAGATGAGGAAATAAAAAATTTAAGTGACCACATGTATCACTTGAGATACCAGGGATTATGAAGATCAGAGAAGATTTAGGAACTAGAGTAAATAGGTCTCTCTTCCAGCTCATTGTTTCCAATCTCCTTTGGACTGCTTGTGGAAAAGGCAGACCATTACATAATAAACATTTTATATATAAATAATTTTTGTCCACCCACATAGCTCACTGACAGGTATTAATGGGACGAGCAGGGATGGGAAGCACAGTTGAGTGGTGTTCAGGTATCTTAGGAAACCCTATCCACTGTTGAGTGATAGGGTGTCTTCACCTTCACATCTCAGGGGCCAGTGTAGCTGCTTGGGCCATAGAATTATAGCTGTGATATCAGGTGCTCTAAAATGGTATCCCCAAATATCCAGTCCAGAGAGGCTTTTTTTTTTTTTTTTTTTTCATAAAGAAAGTGTTCTAAAGGTATTTTTACTGTTTCTGCTCATTCAACAGTGTTTATGCAGCAGGTACTGTAGTAGGTGCTGGAGAGACAGTAGTGTGCAATACAGACAAACAATAAATTCCTCCCCCATGGCCTTACAGCCTGGGGGGTGGGCAATAAAAGAAAGTATAAGTAAGGAAATTACATAGCATGTTAAAATGGAATGTGGAAAGAGAAAGAAAATTAGAGCAGAGTAAGAAGACTAGGAAATGCTAGAGGCAAGTGGGTTGTGATTTGAATAAGGTGTTCAGGGTAGGCAGGCCTCGTGGGGAAGGTGCAATTTGAGCAAAATCTTGAAGGAAGTAGAGAAAGTGAGCCATGAGCAAATCCAGGGAAAATTTCTCAATGTCATGGAACAGCTGGTGCAAAGGCCCAAATGAGGGAGCATGCTGAGTGCATTGGTAGACTAATCAAGAGGCCAGTGACTGTAGTGAAGGAAGCAAGGGTTAGGAAAGTTGGAGGTGAGGTCAGAGAGGTAAAGGGTGTGGTGTGGGAAAGTAGGTCCCTATCACATAGCACCTCACAGGACCTGGTTAAGGCTTTTGTTTGCAGAAAAGTGGTGCATCATTGCAGGGTTGTAAGCAGAGGAGCATGTCATTTTGCCTTCTTGATACCCACAAAGAATGTTACACAAGAATAAGTATTCTCTTGTATCTCTGCAGTACCTGATGCATGGTAGATGCTCAGTAAATATTTGTTGAATGGATGGATAAAAATGGCAACACACTCATGTACAGGTTTTTGATCAATCTGATGATAAAGTGCTTTATTGTGGGACTCTCGTGTTTCTTCTGTGTAGGACTCTGACTCATGAAGAGGTGGACTTTCAATGGAAGGCCTCCCATGCCTCCTGTGACCCCATTGTGAGCATGCTAAGGGCCCAGCAGCTATTTCCTCTAGATCAGTGAACAATAACTTGAGAAGGATCTTTACGTGGCTGAGGTCCACAGCATGTAGGCAGTGTATCTCTTGCTAGCACCATTTCTGGCTGAGTGGCTGTTCACAGGTAGAGGTCTTTGAAGAAAGACTTTAATCCTTATGAAGCTCATTTCGTTTACTCCCATGATTTTTGGGGTAGCCATAAGTTCTCCAAGGATAACATTTCTTAAAGTGACTGTTAAAGAAAGCATGAACATACTACTCCCTTTCTGTTTTTTACCTCTCTGTTTGTATAGATGGGCTCTATTGGACTATGATTAATTGTGTTGTCTCTGCAGAGTCGGTGATAGATTTGCATGGGTACATTTATACCAAACAATGTCTGTGGATACCTCTGTTTATAAAGTTGGATGCTGATCTTTTTCTACCTATTTTTTCTCCTTACCAGCCTTTTACATGCTCTTAAAAATAATTGTTGCTGACCATTATTTCCCTCGTGTTAGCTTTACTGAGGTATATTTTACAGAAGTGAAATGCACAAATTATTTTTCCTATTATTTTAATGGAAAAATTCAGTAGTTTTCAGTATATTCACAATGTATGCAACCATCACCACTACCTAATTCTAGAATATTATCATCATCCAAAATAAGTATCCCCTACCTAATTCCTCTCTTGTCCTAGCTCCTGGCAACCACTCATCTACTTTGTGTATCTATGGCCTTTGTGTCTGGCTTCTTTGACTTAACCCAATGTCTTCAAGGTTCATCCATGTTATAGCAGCATGTATTCATACTTCACTCCTTTTTATGGCTGAATAATATTCCATTGTATGAATGTACCACGTTTTATTTTTCTGTTTATCAGCTGATAGATGTTTGCATTTGGCTATTATGAATAATGCTGCTGTGAACATTCTTTTACAAGTCTTTGTGTAAATGTTGTAAAAATGTGTTTTCATTTCTCTTGGCTGTATACCTAGGAGTAGACATGCTGAGCCATATGGTAGAATAACCCTGTGTTTAAATATTACAGGAGTGACCAAAATTTTTACCACAGTGTTTGCACCATTGCACATCCCCCACTGCAATACATGAGGGTGCCTAATTTATTCACCTCCTCACCAACACTTGTTTTTTGCCTTTTTTTGAAAAAAAAAATTTAGTCATCCTAGTACATAGGGAGTGGTAGGTATCTCGTTGCAGTTTTGATTTTCATTTCCCTAGTGACTAATGATATTGGCCATCTTTTCATGTGACCATTTGTGTATTTTCTTTAGAAAAATGGCTACACAAACCCATTGCCCATTTTAAAATTGAATTATTTGTATTTTTATAGCTGAGTTGTGAGAGTTCTTTACACAGTCTTGCTATAAGTCCTTATCAGAGAAATGATGTGCAAATATTTTCTGTATTCTGTAGCTTGTCTTTTTTACTTTTATGATAGTTTAAAACACAAAAGTTTTTAATTTTGATGAAGTCCAATTTATTTTTTCTGTTATTGCTTGTATTTTTGGTATTGTATCTAAAGAAATCTTTGGCTGACTCATGGTCATGAAGATGTAATCCTGTGTCTCTCCCTGTATGTTTTACAGTTCTACTCTTGCATTTAAGTCTTTGATTCATTTTTAGTTAATCTTAGGTCTTGATGTGTTGTAGGGTTCTAGATTTATTCTTTTGCATGAGGATATCCAATTGTTCCAAAACTATTTGTTGAAAAGACTATTCTTTCCCTGTTGAATGGTCTTGTCACTTTTGTTGAAAAAAAATCGACCTAGATGTGTGGGTGTGTTTTTGGATCCTCAGTTATATTACATTTATCTACGTGTCTATTTTTCTGCCAGTACAACACTTTTTTGTATTACTGTGGCTTTGTAATAAATTTTGAAATCAGGAAGTCTGAGTCTTCCAACTTTGTTCTTATTTTTCAAGATTGTTTTGAATATGCCAGGTCCCTTGCATTTCCATTTGAATTTTAGGAACAACTTATCTATTTCTATAGAAAAAAATGTTGTTGAAATTTTGATAGGAATTGCATTGAATGTGTAGATCAATTTGGGGGGTACTACCATCTTAACAATATTAATCTTCCATTTCATGAGCATGGAATGTCTTTCCATGTATTTAGCTCTTCTTTAATTTTTTGCAACAGTGTTTTATATTTTTCATTATACAAGTCTTGACCTTCCTTGGTTGAATTTACTCCTGGGTATTTTGTTCCTTATCAGTAATTTTTTAAATGAAATTGTTTTCTTGATTTTATTTTCAGATAATGCACAAAGTACATTAAGTGTATTGTTCAAGCACTTTTGAGAAATAAATACATCTATGATGCTGATTTTTAATGGATTAATGTAGCTAGAGATTTGAATATTGTTGACTCTTAATTAGAATTTATCTGGGCCACAGGAAGGTGGTGATTTAGAGGAAAAAGTGCTTTAGAATTTTTGTCCTGTCTATTCCAGAAGAATTGAATTTTGTAAAATTTTATATAAGCCCGGTACTCATTGAGACCATAGATTATTTTAATTTCTGAGACTTGGAGAATATCACATGGTTAAAAGGTATATGAAGGATTGGGGGGTATATGTAGGAAGAGAAGAACAGAAAGTTGTTTGTAGGATTAGCTAAGCCCATGCTAGTTCATTCAACATGAGGTTTCAAATAAGAGTTTCAGGTAAATAGTTGGAAAGACGAAGATAATTTGATGCAGTTATTCTTTCTTCCAGCTTTAAATTAGGAAATGCAATTTCAAAATATTCAATGACTCTTGGGACGCTTAAGGAGTGTATTTAGTGATAACTAAAAATGTCTTCAAGAATTATTAGTTTGAAATTTGTTTTTAGTTATATCAATAACAAATGGATAATAATTTGAGGTTCCATTTCAGGATTGACTGAGTAATAAAATAAACAAACGAAAATTATAGCCAGCAAGGATTTTTCTTTATACAAAATCAGCAATCTCTAATTCGATGTTAGATTCCAATGTTGCAAACTGGAAAAGAGGAATCTAATGGCCATGAAAAGAATTTGGGGAAGGAACCAAAATTTTTTCCTTGGTCTATCGTGTGTTTCAGTCATTCTGTTTTGCCTATTTTGAGTCCACAGAATTAGACTTTGGGACAATGAAAAGGAAATAATAATATAATAAAGGTATGTTCACTATGATTTACTGCCTAGATTTTTCTATTTTTACTTTATATTTTTGCCTATAAAAAGACAGGCAGAATTTGCCTAGTTAAAATTTGAGACCAAACCTAGTTTTCCTTTATTGTTTTTATCATGAAAAGAACATATCACATAGTTTAAAAATATTCATTCTGGACAAAAGGTCGTTAAAAAGCAAATCTTTCTTTTGCTCTAGACCTGCAGTCCCACATCCCAGACATAACCTTTCAATTATTTATTTACCTCTTCGGAACATTTTCATGCACGTATATTTATCTATCCCTGTTTGACCCTAGCTACACACACTATTATATACCTTGATTTTTAAATTAAATGGGCTATCTTGCTAGTTCCATGTTAACACATGAATATCTACTCCATTCTTTTCTATTTATTTATTTTTTGAGATGGAGTTTCGCTCTTATTGCCCAGGCTGGAGTGCAATGTATGATCTCGGCTCACTGAAACCTCTGCATCCCAGATTCAAGCGATTCTCCTGCCTCAGCCTCCCAAGTAGCTGAGATTACAGGCACATGCCACCATGTCCAGCTAATTTTTGTATTTTTAGTAGAGATGGGGTTTCACCATGTTGGTCAGGCTGGTCTCGAACTCCTGACCTTAGGCGATCCACCCACCTAGGCCTCCCAAAGTGCTGGGATTACAGGCATGAGCCACCGCTCCTGGCCTCTACTCCATTCTTTATAGTCATTGCAGAGTGTTCCATTGTACAAAATGGATAATAATTTATTTTACCAGTCCCCTGTTGCTAAACATGTACATTTGATTTTCTTTTTCCTTTTAATTATAAATAATCTTTATATATCTTTGACATGGGAGAGAGAAATAAAAACCCTTGCCATTTCTTTGGCTATAAAAATTATTTTATATATTCTAGAGTATAGTAGATTATAATTTTCACAATTTTATATGATGTCATTATTTAACAAATAGCTTAGTAAGATTGTGAGTAGAATTAAAAGCAATTTGTAGGGTTGAGAGTGTGTATTCTGTGATAGTTGTGATCTTGATAATATAGTTCTCTAGGTAGAAGCTTTTGCAAAACAACATGCTGTTGTGGGATGGCTGAGTAGTCTTTATGGCACAGTTGCTGAGCAGAGTGGCTTAAAATGTATAGCCCTCTGCTATTTCTCTTGGTTTTATGTTCCATTCAGTCCTCACCTCTAGATCTCTTCAGGGTTGTGTGCTCATCTGGAAGGTAGTACTATGCTGATAGCCACTAGGGAAAGTCCATTGGAATCAGAGCTGCTGCTTCTGCTTCTTCTTCTTCTTCCTTCTCCCTTTTTCTTTCTTCTTCATCTTCTTTTTTTTTTTTTTTTAATTTTACTTTAAGTTCTGGGATACATGTGCAGAACGTGCAGGTTTGTTACATAGGTATACATGTGCCATGGTGGTTTGCTGCACCCATCAACCCGTCATCTACATTAGGTATTTCTCCTAATGCTATTCCTCTTCTATGCACCCCCCAATAACAGGCCCCGGTATGTGATGTTCCCCTCCCTGTGTCCATCTGTTCTCATTGTTCAGCTCTCACTTATGAGTGAGAAGATGCAGTGTTTTGTTTTCTGTTCCTGTTTTAGTTTGCTGAGAATGATGGTTTCCAGCTTCATCCAAGTCCCTGCAAAGGCCATGAACTCATCCTTTTTATGGCTGCATAGTATTCCATGGTGTATATGTGCCACATTTTCTTTATCCAGTCTATCATTGATGGGCATCTGGGTTGGTTCCAAGTCTTTGCTATTGTGAACAGTGCTGCAATAAACATACGTGTGCATGTGTCTTTACAGTATGATGATTTATAATCCTTTGGGTATATGCCCAGTAATGGGATTGATGGGTCAATTGATATTTCTGGTGCTAGATCCTTGAGGAATCGCCACACTGTCTTCCACAATGGTTGAACTAATTTACACTCCCACCAACAGTGTAAAAGTGTTCCCATTTCTCCACATCCTCTCCAGCATCTGTTGTTTCCTGACTTTTTAATGATCACCATTCTAACTGGCATGAGATGGTATCTCATTGTGGTTTTGATTTGCATTTCTCTAATGACCAGTGATGATGAGCTTTTTTTCATATGTTTTTTGGCCACATAAATGACTTCTTTTGAGAAGTGTCTGTTCATATCCTTTGCCCACTTTTTGATGGGTTTTTTTTTTTTTTTGTAAATTTGTTTAAGTTCTTTGTAGATTCTGGATATTAGCCCTTTGTCAGATGGATGGATTGCAAAAATTTTCTCCCATTCTGTAGGTTGCCTGTTCATTCTGATGATAATTTCTTTTGCTGTGCAGAAGCTTTTTAGTTTAATTAGATCCCATTTGTCAATTTTGGCTTTTGTTGCCATTGCTTTTTGGTGTTTGATACATAAATGAATCAATTTACATTGTAATATTATATTGTATTTGCCCTCTTTTATGTTCTTACAAGTGGGAAAGAACAGGATGGATTTAAAGCTACCATGCTAGAGTTGGACATTATTTGGACTCATTTTTATCTAAGTCATAACACATTGAGAGTGTGTTTTGAATATATGTCTTACTGGAAAAATATTTGCAAACCATTGCTTTATACTATTTGTTTAACAATTATATACTCTTCTCCCACCCCAATTATACAGTGTTTTTAGTCTTTGTCTGTCTAGACAGTAAGGTGGCAATATAAATAAACATAAATATAAATATATATGCATATACTCACTGACAGATATATATATATATATATATATATATCTTCAAAGCTACATCTAAAATGCATGTATTCAATACATACTTGCATGGTATACTGGTTAAATGTGCGGCTTGGTCAGGCAGCCTGAGTTGTACGTCAGTGATGATGTTATTCAATGGCTGGCAGTTACCCTATGCAAGATACTTAGTCTTTCCGTGCTTCAATTTCCTTATTGTGAAGAAAAATAATAATATTACGAAGAATAGATTGTTGTGAGATTGTACACTGTGAAGTACTCAGTTTCCAGCATAATAATAATGGCTGCTTTTTACTATTTAATAGTTTTTATCTGTAATAATTAATGAATACATGGTTATGCCTTGACCTATTTTTAATTCAAAACTGCATACAAGGTTAAAACAACCCAAAACAGCAAGGAAATTTAGAATTCTTGGGGCACCATTCAAGGAAATGATATATGGTGATTATCTGTTGGACATCACCATCATTTCAATAGAATTGCTTTTTAAATATGTTAGAAACATCACATTTAGTCATGTGCTTTTCCTTTAACAAAAATGTTGACAGAGAGAAAAGGACAATTGGCTAGAAGTAGGCAGTGTTTAAAGTTGGCTGAATGCCTTGTTTTAAAGTGAAAAAAGAAACCAAGCTGTAAACACTAGCTTAGCACAGGCATACAGAACAGTTTCACAAAAGAGAGAAACGCAGTTGCAAAATAGAGTAAATGTTTTTATGGTTGAATACAGAACATATATTAAGGTCCAAATGATCTTTGCTTTTATGAGTTCTCCTGATTCAGACAAGATTCTTGGTTCCTAGGGAATGGCAATGGCACCTTTCGCATGACTAGATGTGTATTTGGAAGAGACTGACAAGCCTTACAAGAAGCATACAAACAGTGATTTTGTGTTTTTCAGTTTAAATGGCTAGTTTATAAGGGAGACAAAGATGGGCTATAAAAGGGGTTTGCAGGATTTGAAATCAAAATTAAAGTTGGATGTTTGATAACCGCAAGTATGCCATGACTCCAGAAACTTAATTTGTATTATATGATAACATCCTCTTCTCCCATCCTTCCCTGACATCTAGCCAACCCCAATATCAGGGGAAAATCACTTTTATACTTTGGGAAGGTAGAAGCTCCATGCTGTGAGGAATGTGCTCATAATCAAATAATTTGAAACAATTTTAAAATTTATTAACATTATTTGGAGTAAAAATATAACCAGGACAAAAGTAGTCTATAAATTGAGTACGAGATCACTTTTGTGTTTTATTTATGAGAAAACAGTTATTTTCCCAGGTTTAATTTAGCTGATCATCTACATATAGATGTCCTATATATAGGTATAGATATGAACACATATATGTACATCTATATGCACATAAATGCTTATGCAATCCTTATACACATGTATACAGTCCATATATTAAAATTATGTGTGTATATATCAATATATAACAATCATCTTATGTTGCAGTTTTCTTTGTATAGAATTTATAACAAACTCTTCATATTTTAATAAGGATTACAGACATCTATCATTCCTGCATTAATTTTGTAACCCAATTGTATAACAATTGTTTTCTATTTGTGTTCATATTATCTAGATGATCTGAATTCTGACCCTTTCCCCAGAGTAAGAGGCAATTCAGACTCTCTTCTAATTGAGTCCTGTGAGGCTTGTGAAATATCAGTTTTATTATGGGGATTGTTGTTCTCTGGGGCTTGAAACAGGACCACCAAATATAACATTTTGTACCACACATTGTTTAAGAACTACTAATGTCTCAAGATGAGTTAAGTAAAAGCAATAAATTTTTTAAAGATGTGGGAAAATAAACATAAATGTCTGCTGGGTAAGGTTTTTCTCCCCTTTTTCCTTTTTTTTTTAAAGCCCATTGGCACTGCTGTTCAATATGTTACGACATTTGGAGCAACCACAGCAGCAGCTCTCACCAGAAATTAAAGGTAAATCTGACATTTTTTTCATCATGTAGTACTACGGTTCTGTTTTTATTTTTAATGCTACATACATCTTTTAGCCACACAGTGTTAAGTCTGTTATATCATTACGGTGATGTTTTCCCCCTTAATCCTTGAGTGTTTAGGAAAAACATGAAGTATCTTTGTATTTCCTACATGATTGATCTTTTCTATATCAGATTAATGTTTCTTTTATCTGTGTTATTTTGATCAATGTGACAGAATCAATTGTCACATTAGTTATGGAAGGACCCCTACAGACTAGATACTTCAAGCACCTCACCTTCTATTAGGTTGGTGCAAAAGCAATTGCGGTTTTTACCATTACTTTTAATGGCAAAAAGCTCGACTACTTTTGCACCAACCTAATAGAAAAAGAAACTCAGGTTCTTGTAGCAAATTCAGAGCTGGTTCCCTTTTTCTTGTGAAATTCATATGTGAGTTATGGGTTAGATCAGAGAAACCTCATTGTTTCTACTGACCAATGGAGAAATGACAGGGATAGAGAGGTAAATAAATACAGACTTGCCCTAAGCCTCAGAGGTTAAAGTAAAAGCCAGAGTAGAAAGCAAATCATTTGAAACAAAATATGCAATTTTCCCTTTATTCTTTAAAATCCTACTGGAAAGCAATTGCATAGATCTACTGATTAGGCCATCTTCAGGAAGACTCTCATAGGTTTTGGTGGAAAGAGAAACCATCTGGCCAGTCTTGCTAGAGAACACTAGCAAAGGGAGAACACTTTCCCAGTGTTAGTTACATTTTTTTGTTTGTTTCTTGTAAGTAACAGCTACTGACTCTGGCAAATTTAAGAGATGGTTTATTGAATGGATGCTGTTATAGCTCATAGAATCAAAGGCCTTGGTGAACAACTGAACCTCCAGAAGGGGAACAGCTGGGGCAATTCAGGGACCCTCACTTTAGAGTTTTGCCATTAGGATATCTCAGATCTAGTGACCTCCCATTTCTTGAGTCTTCATTTTGATGATCAAATGATCAAGAGAAAGAATCTGATTGATCCAGCCAAGATCATGTATCTACCCTTAGACCAGTCAGTTATGGCCAAGAGGAAAGTCAAAGGCACTGATATGATAGACACGTGAGGCCCATATTTGCATATCTGGCTATTCCAAGAGAAAGAGAAATCTCTGTGAGTCTGGGATGCACCTAATGGGCATTCACCTAAGTCCAAATGTGCTAAAAGATAATGTAAAAACAGTTGACTGCATAGTACATATATATTTACATGCACACATACAACTGATTTTACATCTCAGAAAACAGAGTGTGGTTTTGGTTCAGTGTCATCTTCTAAGGCAATAGAAGGAACTAATTGGGTATTTACAATGTGCTAAGTGGTGGTAAGCAGGACACATGCATTATTTCATTTGATCCTCACAACAATGCTGTGAGATAGGCACTATTTTCACACCCATTTTACAAGGGAGGAAGCTGAAGTATAAAGAAGTTGTATATCTCCAAATCACATAGTTAGGTAAGTCGTAGGAGGGCTTGCATACACCTTTGACTCTAGATCCCACAATTTTAAGAAGTCACTGACATTTCTCCAACTGAATAAAACACACCCAGTACTTACCACATTAAAATATAACTATTTGTTTATAGTTCTTCTTTCCTCCTAAGATTTGAGCAACTTGAGGACAGATTTTTTTTTTACTTATGTCTGTATTTAACATGTACTAGGGTGCCTAAAACATACTATATGTTATAATTAGATTGAATTAATAAAAGAATAAATGAATGAACATTTGACCCAGTCAGATACTAAGTTCCAAGCTCATAATTGTCACAATTGAATTAGTTAAACCTTACTGCTAGAAAACATGCCAACAGCAAGAAACATTTATGTAGCCTTTGGTAACTTTAAGACAAATAATTTGAAAGTTTATGAATATTTGGAGAAAAATAAGACGTAATGCCTCCCCTTGGTTTAAAATTTATTCAAGTGATAAAATTTATAAAAATAAATGTAAAAATTTGATAAGTACTAAATTTGCAATGTTAAATGGACTCAATGCTGTAGGAGCTCAGAGGAGCACGTTATCTCAAAGGCTGGGGCAGTAGGGAAAGTTGTCATGGTGAACCCGGAATTACTGGGCATTGAATGTATTGGACTTACACACTTTGAGGGAAGAATAGGCAGGGAAAACAGCACTAACAACAATACATCATTAAGAAATGTTTATGGGCATTACAAATATCTTTTATTGTGGTAAAATATATGTAACATTTACTATTTTAATCATTTTAGAGTATACAATTCAGTGGCACTGTGTATATCCACAAATGCATGTTTGTAATGTTTTTGGAAAACAATCGTTAGACAAGTTCTAACCAGTTACCTGCTGGAAATTCTATTTAGAGTGATGTAACTTTGGGTTATATTATAACACTTCCGTTGGACTCCAACCCTCAGCTCATTTATAAAAAAATTGCAACATGATTTCCACAGGCCTGTAATTGCAAAGCTGGTGTGCCTAGAAATGTGAAGTCAAAAGATAGGAGCTAAACCATACCAGATGAGAGAGAGTAGTGAGTGGGAAGACCAGAGACCAGAATTTTAAAAACATCTCTGCTATTGATGGGGTTATTCTTTGCCTAATGGGATGAACTTGGGCAAGTTATATCTCTAAGGTGCCTTTCTAATAATAAATCTCATGGATCCAAATGTATAAAAATAGCTTATCAAAGAATGTCCCTGTGTTTCTTTGAAAATAGAGATAAATGTGGTCTTAGTACTTAAATGTGGAGACCTACATAGTAGTCTAGCTCAGTTCTGCAGTGCCCTTGGATCAGTTATACCATCAAGACTTTGCCCTTGAGCAGCTCAAACTTTATCCAAGTCAGGATTACAGACACCTTTCCTGCTAGTGTTCAATTCAATGTGATATCTGTGAACCGAGACTTAGTAAATCATCTAACCAAGAAAAGGAAAATTCAAATTATTCAAGACTTAACTGAATGTGGTGAAGTATTACAGAAAATTTAATGAAACTCAATCTGTAGATGTTCTAATGTATGAAAATCATTATTATCAGCCTATTAATTTTTCAGATAATTGTGCATGTATCTCATGCATAATCATGTATCATTTCTGCCAGTATCCATACCAACCAATGACCACTTCAGATATGATGTATTTTGATATGCTTTCAACCCCAGTCAATGACTCTAATGGGAAGAAGCCCTTAGGCACTTAGAACCATTTATTAAGAAACTCTCAAAATTAATTACAAAATAGTGAGTTTTAAATAGTACCCTAGAGACATGAAAAATCATTTGATTCCAAAGGTGCCAAACTTGGAAACAGGAAATAGCTCATAACTTGTTTAACATGTTAAGCAAAACACAACAACAACTTCTCTTTTTCCCAGGTACTAGTAATTTTTTGTTATTGTTCCTTCTTAGAAGAAAATACACCACAAAAGAAGGATATTGACTTATAAGACATTTAATACTCTGCAACAATGCCCTAGTTGGCAAACTGCTAAGATGACTCCAATGCCCGATCCATTAGACACTGTCTTACAAAAAAGGGATATTTTAAAATGTTGGACCCTGAAAAGCACATTAATTTTTCACATTTTAAAAATGTATGTTTAAAAACATATGGTTTTAAATTCTATCTATTTTTTAAAATAATGTATATATATATTTTAACATAGGTATAATTCTCTTTCTCATGTTTAGCTATTACATTCAGGAGAAGAACTCAGCTCCAACATACCACAATAAAATAAATTCTTAATTTTACTTATTAACCTAAAAGCCTGAAATGGTTTAGAATATGGCTGTGTACCTTTTTATTCCCAACTGGTGTTTCATCTGATGATGGAAATAAATATTATAAGGTACATATAGTAATCTCATTGTGAGGAAACATAAAAGTTTAAACAAAAAGTCACTTTAAAATTTACATGTTAGATGACTCTTATCCAAACCCCAGTGGTAAGAAGAAGAGACAGAGACTTCTGAACAGTAATGTGAGTCTGTGTTTCCTAGATCCTAACTTTCAGGAGTTCTCTTTTTCTCCAAAGTTTCTTCTTGTAAACATATATAAAAATCTTCTTGCTCTATTATTTTTATTCCTTTTCAATGAGAAAACAACAACATATTTAATTTAGAAAACCACTTTTAAGGTGCTCCATTGGGAAACATTTTGTCGAGAGGTATAAATCTGTGGTCATAAATTTATAGTGTGTGTAGCTGTCCTGAATATTGATTAACGATTATATCTCTACACCTGCTCACATAAAACTATGTACATGCTTATTGATATTTTACAGTCACTGCATGTTATTCTTATTCTCGTTTTAAAGACTTTGGGTTTAAATGTAATTGAGTCAACTCATACTATATGCATGCACAATACTTCATATCACTCATGTTAACTGTAAATTTTAAGTGCTATTCTCTTCTACTACTACTGTGAATAATTTTGCCTTGCCTTTTCTGATTTCAAAAAAAGCTTTTCAAAAAAACTTTTCAGAAGAACAGAGTTCTACTGAATAAACATTGCTTTTTGAATGTTTTGTGCTTACTCGTATATGCAAAAATCTTTTATTCTTCCTTATATGCTCTGACATAAATACCATGTTGCCCAGAAATTGTTGCTTGAATATTTCTGTGGTTATATTTAGTCATATTTCTGAGGCCATCAAAGCTGTTATGAGGTTTTTCAGTACTAATCTCCCCATCATTTTAGAAGTATTGCAGCTCTATTCTCAAACCTTTTAATAAAACAACAAAATTATTTTCCTGCACAAAGGTGTATCTTTCCAGAGCAAAATATTTCAGTTGCCCATCTAGGGCAGAATGTTTTGATGGACAATCTTTTCATTTATTCTGTGAAATATGAAAGTGACCATTTGTTTTGTTTTGTAGAAATTGTGTCTTTCCATCACCTTGGAAACTATAGGTAACTAATAATTTGAATAGATGGATGAATAAATAATATAGTTATTTTTAACTTTGTGAATAATTTTGCCTTGCCTTTTCTGATTTCAAAAAACTTTTCACAAATACCCCACTTCTTAATACTACCACAATAGAAATTAAATTTCAACACGAATTTTGGAGGGGACACATTCAAACCATAGTAATCGTGAATATAAATTTATGTATTTTAAAGATAAACTAAATATTCTGAGTATTACTTGTGCATTTTATATTATCATTTTATTTGTTTATTTATTTTTTTGAAATGGAGTCTTGCTCTGTTGCCCAGGCTGGAGTGTATGGCTCAATCTTGGCTCACTGCAACCTCTGCCTCCCAGGTTCAAGAGATTCTTCTGCCTCAGCCTCCTGAGTAGCTGGGATTACAGACGTGCACCACCATACCCGGCTAATTTTTATATTTTTAGTAGAGATGGAGTTTCACCATGTTGGCCAGGCTAGTCTGGAACTCCTGGCCTTGAGTGATTTTCCTGCCTCAGCCCCCTAAAGTGCTGGGATTATAGGTGTGAGCTACCACACCCGGCCTCTTCTTCCTTTTAACCAATTTCTTTGATGGCGTGGCCAGTTACAAATCTTGTTTGCGTTGTATAAGATGGTTTCTGCTCTATTTGTTTACCTTAATATTATCAACAGCAGTTGCATTCTAAATTTAATTGTATAGAGGCAATAAACATAGAGTCTTAAGAGTAACATCATTTAACATTTGTCCTCAATCCTTTCTGAAGAAAGTGGGCAGTAATAAAGTATCATTTAGTGAAAAGATGTTAAATTTAGACATCTGTCAAAATTTGAAAAATAAATGAAATTGTTCTGCTTTATCATTTCAAGTTTCTTTGAAGCTTTATATGAGTTCCACATATACATTTTACAATAAGACGTATTAGTATTTGTGGAAGCTGAGTAAAAAATGATCATATGTTACTCAGGGGGAAGTTGTAATCTTGGTTTTGAAAATAGGCAGTAATGTTCAGAAATGTAATAGGCAATGTCCTACATGTCCTTTGCAAGATCACCAATAGGAAGTGAGTCTGAAAGTAAATTTAAATGCAAGGCTTGTAATTTTAGATAAATAGTATGTGTAGAATGCATATTATTATTGAATTTAAAAGAATGATTAATGTAGGTTATAATTTATATTTTATGCTATCTTCATTTTATAATAAGTTGAGGATTAGAAATCTCAAATTATATTAATAAGTTGTATTGCAATTGTCCCTAAACAAAATTTTGATGATAAAGAATTGTTAATGTAGTGTAGTTAATACCTATTACCAAGATTCCATAATTATGCCAACATTACAATGTATTCTAAATATTTTCTGTCTATATCTATTGGGCCAACTAGGCCCGTTGCATTGCCTGTTGAGTTTGGCTCAGTAGTGCCCTTTACCTGTGTAAGTGGCACAGATGGGGAAAACGATGAAGATGGCTGTTTCTGATGAAGACTATTTAAATGGACTTGCAGCTTAGAAAGGTACTTCAAGGCAAGAAGGTGAAAGACATAAGCTGCAATGCACATTTGTCATTAAAGGCAAGTAAGAACATGGAGGAAAAGCATTAATGTGGCATCCGTAGCTAAAAAGTCAGTGAGTTTTTTGAGATACAAAGATTGGTGTGAAACTTGTCACTTAGAGGCAAATGGCTATAGGAGAAGTTTGGGAAGGGGCCCCTTGAAGAGGAGGGAGAATAGAAGATGTGGAAGCATGCAGTCCTCGGGGAGAGCAGCGCCTGAGGAGGGTAATAGGGTGAGTACTACCTGGAGGAAGATTATTTAGATGTGGTAGTAGAAAGTTACATGAATAACTACCTAAGGAAAATCTGTTTAGTGGGTTCTGTTATTATAATGTAGTGGAAATGATCCAAAAAGGCACATTTGATGAATTTGAATCCCAGTTTACATAGTCCTTACTCTCCTTTAGCTTTAACTCTACAGAGGAATGTTTTTTACACTAAAGAAAATGTGAAGGCGAGAAAGCTCCAAAAAGAGGGAAAACATTTAGGGATGAGGACAACAGGAAAGGAAAGTCAATTAAAGACTGTGTTGTCTTCAGGAATTCAGCAACGGTCCAAGGGAATGTTTGAAACGGTTCTGTGACAACTGTGGCAGACCGGTAGGAATGGGAAACTAGAGAATGTATTGCAGTTAAGTAAATGATGTACCCTAACATGTATATGTAAATATATGTGTATATGTGTACTCTGTGAGTGTGTGTGTGGGAGGGGGGAGGGAGGGAGAGAGAGAGAGAGAGAGAGAGAGAGAGAGAGAGAGAGAGAGAGAGAGAGAGAGAGAAAGCATGTATTTCTTAAGAAATAACCTAAGCATAATGTGTGATTTCAAATGTCAGTATCAGACATAGAAAATTAGACTGGAATTAACCTTAGAGATCTTCTCATCCAGCTTTTTGTGTCATGATACATGAAGCTTTCTTCAGCATTTCACTGGGGTGGTTGTCTAGTTACAGTTTGGAGCAGTCCAGTGAAAATGAACTCAGGTTTACAAGGCAGTCCATTCTATTGTCTATAGACACATTGGTAATTCTGGAGGGGAACACATTTCTCTCTGTACTTGTGAGATTCACTACCACAGAACATCACTTTGGCTTCTGAAACTGTGGATGAGAAAACCATGTACCTTTAGTCTAACTCTGTGCCATCTAATACAGTAGCTAGCCACTAGCCACATGTGGCTATTGAACACGTGAAATGTGGTTAGTCCCAAATTGAGATGTTCTGTACACACCAGATTTTGAAGACTATTGCAAACACAAAAGAGTCTACAATATCTCATTAATAATTTTGATATTAATTATATGTTGAAATGGTAGTATTTGGGGTATTTTGGATTCAATAAAATATATTACTAAAATTAATTTGACATCTTTGTTACTTTTTAAAACATGGCTACTAGAAAAATTTCAAATTGATGGCAGTGGCGGGGATATCCACAGCAGCTGCTGCCATCACGCTGGCTGCAGTGGGGAGGTGCAGCCAATGGTGCCAGGAGTGGCTATGGGAGCAGCAATGGCAGACGCTGGTCCTCTGTGCCCCATGTCCCTGAGGCAGCTGACTGCACCACCCCCACTTTCACATGCCTGGGCAGGACCTGCCCCTAGGCCTGGACCCTCTACCGCTCCAGACCCTGGCCCCCTGTTGCCACTCTCACCCACCACTGCTGCCTGGAGGGCACAGGGAGAAGGCAGAGCTGGGCCTGGGGTGGTACTGCACTCCAGGAGCCAGTGGGAGCCAGGGACAAGCAGGAATCCCCCGGAGCCTGCCACCCTGGGGGTCACTAGGGCTGGGCTGAGCTGCTGGGGCCACCTGCACACTCCACAGAGCGGGTGAGAGTCCTGCCCTCCAAGGCACTGAACCTGGGCATCTTTGCACCTCTGTACACTTGAGGGCCTGGGAAGGCTCCCATTCCCCTGCAGGCTCAGGGGTGGTTGTCTGCTCCCACTGCCTAGCCTCTCCCTCTTCCTGGCACCCACTCCGATCTCGGAGAGGGGTTGGAGCTGAGCCCGGCTGGGTGTGTGCACACTTGGAGCAGCACTGGCACGCCAGTCCCCTGCCACCTTGGCTCCTTCCTGACATTGGGCACTGATAAGCCTGGTGGGGAAAACCAACTGGGTGCTGAGGACAGCTCAAATACTGGCCTGCAGGTACCCCTTGACTCCAGCAGCCTGGGCACCATGGACGGTGGCAGGAGGCAGACAGGCTCCTGAGCAGAAGCGGTGGGTCCCCATTGAGGCCCCACCTTCAGGCCAGGGAGGGCCTGAAGGCTGAGGGCTAGGCTTCCAGTCCTGAGGACTGGAGTGGGAACTTGTGGTGCCTTTTCTGGGCCCAGCCATGGTCACCCATGAACCAAGCAGCATGCACTTCCTCCCCTCTGAGGCCCCAGGCTCAGCCAGAGCTGGACAGAAGATGGGACAACCAGCTGCAGAGAGGAACTACCCTGGCTGCTGCGACCTGAACACTTGTTGGGATGACCTGTCTGCAGAGAGGAGCTACTCTCTCTGCTAGGAGCTGAACACTTGATAGGACACCCTGGCTAGGGAATGGAGCTTCCCCCTGAGGGACACCCTGGCTGTGTAATAGAGCTACCCCCTCAGGATCTCCTCTGAGCTATTCTATCCTCTTCATCTTGCTCACCCTCCACTTGTCTGCGTACCTCATTCTTCTTGGTCTCAGGACAAGAATTTGAGACCCTCCAAATGGTGAGGCTAAAAGAGTTGTAACACAAACAGGGCTGAAACATGCCCCTTCCTTGCCACATTGCTGGCAAAGAGAAGGAGAGAAGAGCTGTGGCCCTCCAGGGAGCCCAGACCTGGGAGCTCCTCAAGCCAGGGCTGTGATTCCCTCTTTGGGGTCCTGTGGTTCCTGGCATATCCAAGCTTCTGGGTGCTACCACATACCCCGTTGCTAGCCGTGGAAGCTGCTTGTGGTGTGCCTGGTCCAGCCACAGCCTCACAGAGAGCCAGCACCAGTGCTGGCACCTGGAGCTGCCTGCCCCACCATGGCAGCTGGCATGTTTGACTGTGCAATGTTCAGACGCCACGCTCACTAACACACCCCTTGCCGCTCCATGCATGACTCCCCCTTGCCAGTAGCATGAGCCGGGTGCAGCCTACCAGACCAAGTTGGCAGAGCAAGCCCAGCAGCCTAAGCAAAATTTGGGTGCCTCTTGGGCAAAGGAATCACTGGCCACAAAGGTTTCTGGCCAGAAAAGCAACACCTCAAGGATCCTGCAACAAAATTACATGAAATTACATAAAAACCTCAAGATTATACACTCACATTATATTTCTATTGGACAGTGCTGGTCAACATTATACTTATAACCAATTGTTTTATTTGCATATGCTGTTTGTTCTTCCTAAAATCTAGCTTTCACCAGACAATGTAATTAACAGAAAATATAAACTTTCAAGTTCTTTGATTTCTAGCCAAAGACTTCAAAGGCGCTACAGCTACTTCCCCATTCTCTAGAGACTGTATTATTTAAATTAGTGTTTCCCAAACTTCCAGGATCACCAGAATTGCCTGGGGTGCTTGCTAAAGTCGAGCTGTCTAAGTCTCTCCCATATCTACAGAAACAGTTTCTTCTGGGACAGTCCTATGGCAGCAGTGTTTGGGAAACTTTTCGTTAGGGAAGAAGAATCCACAATGGTTTTCCATTTGCATAAGACAATATGTGCACTTTTTGAAACACTTCAGAGCCTGGTTAAGTCCTGTCTTCGCATTGTGGTTTCCTTCCCTGCTCCTTCCCACCACTTCCCAGCCATGACAACCTACTCATTAGGTTATTTCTTGCTTTGGGTTGAATTAGTTTCTCCACCTGTCTGAAGTGCCTCCTCCTGGCCCTTCTAAGCCTGATGGGCTCTAACTTTTTGTTACTGGCCCTTGTAAGAAGCTTGCCTTCATATTCTCCCCACTCCAGACAAAGATAAGTGCTCTCTTCTCCTTTATAGTATCTTTCCCCTAGAAAGGAACACAATCCAGGCTGCACATTCGAATCATCTGGAAACTTTTAAAACCGATGCTCAGGTCACTTCCCTAGAAGTGTAAGTTGCTTGGTCTGTGGCAGGCCATGGATGTTGAAATTTTTCTTTTCAAGCTTCTCAGGATACCAGTGCTGAGAATCACATTTGGTGATTTGAGCACACTGCTATTTCAGAACTTTATCACAAATTATTATAATTACTTGTTTACATAGATCTCTTCATCTTAGATTGAACACCTGGAGAATGTGAACAATGTCTTCTGTATCACAAATGCTGGGGGCGCAAAAAATGTTCAAATGCTTTTTCAATGAAGAGTTTAAGGAACTTCTCTTAGTGTGACTTGACGAGTAGATGACAGAGGTAACAAAGGAATATGTGATGAAAATTACTTAAATCAATTTTGAAAATTCTTAGGAGAGATATTTTTCTGAATTCATATGCTGATAATCTAGAATATACTACAAAATTGGAAAATGAGCTTAATTGAAATATTAATTTATTTACTAAAAAAGAACAGATAGTGGGTATGCAAATTGACAGTTATCTTTGCATACTAAGAAAAAATAATAATTGAAGAAATGAGGATTTGAGTCCAGGAATATATAATATATTAAGAGCAGTGTTGGAAAGACAAATAAAAAACACATAACTAATTTTTACTCTCAGAGTATGATGAACAGTATAAGATTTAACATAAACATGGTGAAAACAATAAAAAAGGAGAAAAAAGCTCTCAGAAAAGAGAATATTTTACATTTGAAAAAGTAGCAAATAATGCTAAGAAAAATTCATTTAAAATAAATAGCAGAAATAAAAGTATAAGTAAGAAGCTTATGTAGACCTTGGTTAACATGGAGACAAGAGAAGCAAGGCACTTTCATGGATCATTCAGAGGTTGATGTTTATGAAGAGAATGAAGGTCAGTACAGCCAGTTTGGAAGGTTAAATAGCCCATTACACCAAAACTTAAAGACAAAACAGCTGGAGGTGTTTTGAAATCCAGTATACCCATGAAGCGAGGAGAAAAGAATTCAGTTAGGTACAGGCTTTGCAGGAATTGAAACAAAAATTAAAGTTATGGAAGTGAGAACCGCAAATAAAAGTTTGGCCACCGTCAACTTCTACAAGATTTTTGAGATTCCTCCAGCAAATTTCACTTAATGGATAAAGATGGCACCAAGGGGCATGCCATAATGAGCACAGCAGAATGTGGGGAGAAGTCCAAGGTTATGTCAGAGAAATGTGTAAAGTATCTTAGTAATTTGCCTTGAAAACTTTGTAGAAACTTGTGAGCCAATGTGTTTCTCCAGTTTCTTTATACACACCAGTCCCTTCCCAACCTCCCTTCCCTCCCTATCTAGTTTAGAAGACCATGAGCCGCCACTGTAATAAACTCTTGTCAATGTCATAGAACCCTCCTGCCCTCTTTAGTATGTATTTCTGTGTGTTTTCTTCCATCCAGGAAAATCCTACCCTTGGATGAACCCCTCTATTCATTTTCTTCTTGCCTTTGAGCTGTATATGCAGAATCCAATTGCCTCGTTAACATCTTCCATTTGGATGTCATAAGAGCACTTCAAACTCAACGTGTACAAAATTGGACTCAGGAGCTCTTCCTGTAAGCCTGATCTACCCCACTCTTCTTTATCTTCAGGAGTGGCTCCACTTTCAATATAGTTGCTTAAGCTCTCAACCTTGGAGTCCCTTTTAACATCACTTTCTTGCTTTCTTCTTCATCATCCATATCTAATCCATCACCAAAAACTTCATGCATTTTGTGCTGATAAAAGAGATTATAAGTAGCTGTATTTGGAGCTATGTAATACCTAGTAGGCTTTTCGGTAGTATTTTCAACAGTTCTTGGTGGTTAATAGAATATGGCTGGTGATGAAAAAAGCATTCCCTGGCCATGTGAGGTAATGAACTCTAAGAAGTCCTTAAAATTATAAAAAGGATATGTAGGTGAAAAGAAAAAAAAAATCTACATACACACAGAGGATTGTGACCCAAATAAAGAATGATGAATGTTTCAGGAAGTACCCCTGTAATTCTTAACACCTGGTATTCTTAGAAACTTTAAAACAAAAATTCCCCAATCCATGTCTTACCTCAGACTATATAAGTCAGAGTTTTAGGAATTCAACCTAAAGTCAATAGTTTCTTAAAGTTCTTCGGTGACTCCATGTACAACCAGGGTTGTATACAACTTATATAAGTCAAATTCTATTTTCTATATTTAAAAGTTTTTTTGTTTATATCCTCTAGTTTTTCTTGTATTTTCAAAGTAAAATATAAAGATATTCAAACAGAACAAGATATTCGCTCTCTCTACCCTGAAAATTACAGTATGTGTACACTTAGATGCTGACTCAAAAATTGAACTTTAACAGAATAGGAGCCTGTAATTAAGATGTAAGGTGAGTCAAACTCAAGTCCATAACTTAACATAAAGTAGCCTTAATGCATATGCTAATTCTTTTTTTTATTATACCTTAAGTTCTAGGGTACATGTGCATAACGTGCAGGTTTGTTACATATGTATACATGTGCCATGTTGGTGTGCTGCACCCATTAACTCATCATTTACATTAGGTATATCTCCGAATGCTACAGGCCCCTGTGTGTGATGTTCCCCTTCCTGTGTCCAAGTGTTCTCATTGTTCAATTCCCACCTATGAGTGAGAACATGCGGTGTTTGGTTTTTTGTCCTTGTGATAGTTTGCTAAGAATGATGGTTTCCAGCTTCATCCATGTCCCTATAAAAGACATGAACTCATCATTTTTTATGGCTGCATAGTATTCCATGGTGTATATATGCCACATTTTCTTAATCCAGTCTGTCATTGATGGACATTTGGGTTGGTTCCAAGTCTTTGCTGTTGTGAAAAGTGCCACAATAAACATACGTGCGCACGTGTCTTTATAGCAGCATGATTTATAATCCTTTGGGTATATACCCAGTAATGAGATGGCTGGGTCAAATGGTATTTCTAGTTCTAGATCCTTGAGGAATCGCCACACTGTCTTCCACAATGGTTGAACTAGTTTACCCTCCCACCAACAGTGTAAAAGTGTTCCTATTTCTCTACATCCTCTCCAGCATCTGTTGTTTCCTGACTTTTTAATGATCACCATTCTAGACGGTGTGAGATGGTATGTCATTGTGGTTTTGATTTGCATTTCTCTGATGGCCAATGATGATGAGCATTTTTTCATGTGTCTGTTGGCTGCCTAAAGGTCTTCTTTTGAGAAGTGTCTGTTCATATCCTTTGCCCACTTTTTGATGGGGTTGTTTGTTTTTTTCTTGTAAATTTGTTTGAGTTCTTTGTAGATTCTGGATATTAGCCCTTTGTCAGATGAGTAGATTGCAAAAATTTTCTCCCATTCTGTAGGTTGCCTGTTCACTTTGATGGTAGTTTCTTTTGCTGTGCAGAAGCTCTTTAGTTTAATTAGATCCCATTTGTCAATTTTGGCTTTTGTTGCCATTGCTTTTCATGTTTTAGACATGAAGTCCTTGCCCATGCCTAAGTCCTGAATGGTATTGCCTAGGTTTTCTTCTAGGGTTTTTATGGTTTTAGGTCAAACCTTTAAGTCTTTAATCCATCTTGAATTAATTTTTGTATAAGACATAAGGAAGGGATCCAGTTTCAGCTTCCTACATATGGCTAGCCAGTTTTCCCAGCACCATTTATTAAATAGGGAATCCTTTCCCCATTTCTTGTTTTTTTTTCAGGTTTGTCAAAGATCACATGGTTGTAGATGGTGTGATATTATTTCTGAGGGCTCTGTTCTGTTCCATTGATCTATATCTCTGTTTTGGTACCAGTAGCATGCTGTTTTGGTTACTGTAGCCTTGTAGTATAGTTTGAAGTCAGGTAGCTTGATGCCTCCAGCTTTGTTCTTTTGGCTTAGGATTGACTTGGCAATGCGGACTCTTTTTTGGTTCCATATGAACTTTAAGGTAGTTTTTTCCAATTCTGTGAAGAAAGTCATTGGTAGCTTGATGGGGATGACATTAAATCTATAAATTACCTTGGCAGTATGGCCATTTTCACGATATTGATTCTTCCTATCCATGAGCATGGAATGTTCTTCCATTTGTTTGTGTCCTCTTTTATTTTGTTGAGCAGTGGTTTGTAGTTCTCCTTGAAGAGGTCCTTCACATCCCTTGTAAGTTGGATTCCTAGGTATTTGATTCTCTTTGAAGCAATTGTGAATGGGAGTTCACTCATGATTTGGCTCTCTGTTTGTCTGTTATTGGTGTATAAGAATGATTGTGATTTTTGCACATTGATTTTGTATCCTGAGACTTTGCTGAAGTTGCTTATCAGCTTAAAGAGATTTTGGGCTGAGATAATGGGGTTTTCTACATATACAATCATGTCATCTGCAAACAGGGACAATTTGACTTCCTCTTTTCCTAATTGAATACCCTTCATTTCTTTCTCCTGCCTGATTGCCCTGGGCAGAACTTCCAACACTATGTTGAATAGGAGTGGTGAGACAGGGCATCCCTGTCTTGTGCCAGTTTTCAAAGGGAATGCTTCCAGTTTTTGCCCATTCAGTATGACATCAGCTATGGGTTTGTCATAAATAGCTCTTATTATTTTGAGATCCATCCCATCAATACTGAATTTATTGAGAGTTTTTAGCAGGAAGGCTGTTGAATTTTGTCGAAGGCCTTTTCTGCATATGTTGAATAATCATGTGGTTTTTGTCTTTGATTCTGTTTATATGCTGGATTATATTTATTGATTTCTGTGTATTGAACCAGCCTTGCATCCCAGGGATGAAGCCCACTTGATCATCGTGGATAAGCCTTTTGATGTGCTGCTGGATTCGGTTCCCCAGTATTTTATTGAGGATTTTTGCATTGATGTTCATCAGGGGTATTGGTCTAAAATTCTCTTTTTTTGTTGTGTCTCTGCCAGACTTTGGTATCAGGGTAATGCTGGCCTCATAAAATGAGTTAGGGAGGATTCCCTCTTTTCCTATTGATTGGAATAGTTTCAGAAGGAATGGTACCAGCTCCTCCTTGTACCTCTGGTAGAATTCGGCAGTGAATCTGTCTGGTCCTGGACTTTTTTTTTGGTTGGTAGGCTATTAATGATTGCCTCAATTTAAGAACCTCTTATTGGTCTATTCAGCGATTCAACTTCTTCCTGGTGTAGTCTTGTGGGGTGTATGTGTCAAGGAATTTATCCATTTCTTCTAGATTTTCTAGTTTATTTGTGTAGAGGTATTTATAGTATTCTCTTATGGTAGTTTGTATTTCTGTGGATCAGTGGTGATATCCCCTTTATCAGTTTTTATTGTGTCTTTTTGATGCTTCTCTCTTTTCTTCTTTATTAGTTTTGCTAGCAGTCTGTCAATTTTGTTGATCTTTTCAAAAAACCAGCTCCTGGATTCACTGATTTTTTGTGTCTCTATCTCGTTCAGTTCTGCTCTGATCTTAGTTATTTCTTGCCTTCTGCTAGCTTTTGAATGTGTTTGCTCTTGCTTCTCTAGTTCTTTTAATTGTGATGTCACAGTGTCAATTTTAGATCTCTCCTGCTTTCTTTTGTGGGCATTTAGTGCTGTAAATTTCCCTCTACACACTGCTTTGAATGTGTCCCAGAGATTCTGGTATGTTGTGTCTTTGTTCTCATTGGTTTCAAAGAAAATCTGTATTTCTGCCTTCATTTCAGTATGTACCCAGTAGTCATTCAGGAGCAGGTTGTTCTGTTTCCATGTAGTTGAGCGGTTTTTAGTGAGTTTCTTAACCCTGAGTTCTAGTTTGATTGCACTGTGGTCTGAGAGACAGTTTGTTATAATTTCTGTTCTTTTACATTTGCAGAGGGGTGCTTTACTTCCAACTTCGTGGTCAATTTTGGAATAAGTGTGATGTGGTGCTGAGAAGAATGTATAACCTGTTGATTTGGTGGAGAGTTCTGTAGATGTCTATTAAGTCCGCTTGGTGCAGAACTGAGTTCAATTCCTGGATATCCTTGTTAACATTCTGTCTCATTGATCTGTCTAATGTTGACAGTGGGGTGCTAAAGTCTCCCATTATTATTGTGTGGGAGACTAAGTCTCTTTATTGGTCTCTAACAGCTTGCTTTATGAATCTGGGTGCTCCTGTATTGAGTGCATATATATTTAGCATAGTTAGCTTTTCTTGTTGAATTGATCCCATTACCATTATGTAATGGCCTTCTTTGTCTCTTTTGATCTTTGTTGGTTTAAAGTCTGTTTTATCAGAGACTAGGATTGTAACCCCTGCTTTTTTTTGTTTTCCATGTTCTTGGCAGATCTTCCTTCATCCCTTTATTTTGAGCCTATGTGTGTCTCTGCATGTGAGATGGGTTTCCTGAATACAGCACACTGATGGGTCTCGACTCTTTATCCAATTTGCCAGTCTGTGTCTTTTAATTGGAGCATTTAGCCCATCTACATTTAAGGGTAATATTGTTATGTGTGAACTTGATCCTGTCATTATGATGTTAGCTGGTTATTTTGCTCATTAGTTGATGCAGCTTCTTCCTAGCATCGATGGTCTTTACAATTCGGCATATTTTTGCAGTGGCTCGTACCTGTTGTTCCTTTCCATGTTTAGTGTTTCCTTCAGGAGCGCTTGTAGGGCAGGTCTGGTGGTGACAAAGTCTCTCAGCATTTGCTTGTCCATAAAGGATTTTATTTCTCCTTCACTTATGAAGCTTAGTTTGGCTGGATATGAAATTCTGGGTTGAAAATTCTTTTGTTTAAGAATGTTGAATATTGGCCCCCATTCTCTTCTGGCTTGTAGAGTTTCTGCCAAGAGATCAGCTGTTAGTCTGATGGGCTTCCCTTCGTGGGTAATCCTACCTTTCTTTCTGCCTGCCCTTAACATTTTTTCCTTCATTTCAACTTTGATGAATCTGACAATTATGTGTATTGGAGTTGCTCTTCTCAAGGAGTATCTTTGTGGCGTTCTCTGTATTTCCTGAATTTGAATGTTGGCCTGCCTTGCTAGGCTGGGGAAGTTCTCCTGGATAATATCCTGCAGAGTGTTTTCCAACTTGGTTCCATTCTCCCCGTCACTATCAGGCTCACCAATTAGACGTAGAGTTGGTGTTTTCACATAGTCTCATATTTATTGGAGGCTTTGTTCTTTTCTTTTTACTCCTTTTTCTCTAAAGTTCTCTTCTCACTTCATTTCATTCATTTGATCTTCAATCACTGATACCCTTTCTTCCAGTTGATGGAATCATCTACTGAAGCTTGTGCATTCGTCACGTAGTTCTTGTGCCATGGTTTTCAGCTCCATCAGGCCATTTAAGGACTTCTTTACACTGGTTATTCTAGTTAGCCATTCACCTAATCTTTTTTCAAGGTTTTTTAGCTTCTTTATGATGAGTTTGTACTTCCTCCTTTAGCTCAGAGAAGTTTGATTGTCTGAAGCCTTCTTCTCTCAACTTGTCAAAGTCATTCTCCATCCAGCTTTGTTCCGTTGCTGGCAAGGAGCTGCATTCCTTTGGAGGGGGAGAGGCACTCTGAATTTAGAATTTTCAGCTTTTCTGCTCTGTTTTTTTCCCGATCTTTGTGGTTTTATCTACCTTTGGTCTTTGATGATGGTGACGTGCAAATTGGGTTTTGGTGTGGATGTCCTTTCTGTTTGTTAGTTTTCCTTCTAACATTTAGGACCCTCAGCTGCAGGTCTATTGGAGTTTGCTGGAGGTCCACTCCAGACCCTGTTTGCCTGGGTATCAGCAGCGGAGGCTGCAGAACAGCGAATATTGCTGAACATCAACTGTTGCTGCCTGATCGTTCCTCTGGAAGCTTCATCTCAGAGGGGTACCCAGTCGTGTGAGGTGTCAGTCTGCCCCTACTGGGGGGTGCCTCCCAGTTAGGGTACTTGGGAGTCAGAGACCCACTTGAGGAGGCAGTCTGTCCATTCTCAGATCTCAAACTCCGTGCTGGGAGAACCACTACTCTCTTCAAAGCTATTAGACAGGGACATTTAAGTCTGCAGAGGTTTCTGCTGCCTTTTGTCCAGCTATGCCCTGCCCCCAGAGGTGGAGTCTACAGAGGCAGGCAGGCCTCCTTGAGCTGTGGTGGACTCCACCCAGTTCAAGCTTCTTGGCCACTTTGTTTACCTACTCAAGCCTCAGCAATGGCGGGCGCCCCTTCCCCAGCCTTGCCGCTGCCTTGCAGTTGGATCTCAGACTGCTGTGCTAGCAATGAGTGAGGCTCTGTGGGTGTGGGACCCTCCAAGCCATGCGTGGGATATAATCTCCTGGTGTGCCATTTGCTAAGGCCATTGGAGAAGTGCAGTATTAGGGTGGGAGTGACCTGATTTTCCAGGTGCCGTCTGTCACAGCTTCCCTTGGCTAGGAAAGGGAATTCCCTGACCCCTTGCACTTCCCAGGTGAGGCGATGCCTCACCCTGCTTTGGCTCAAGCTCGGTGGGCTGCACCCACAGTCCTGCACCCACTGTCCGATGAGCCCCAGTGAGATGAACCTGATACCTCAGTTGGAAATGCAGAAATCACCCGTCTTCTGCGTCGCTCACACTGGGAGCTGTAGACTGGAGCTGTTCCTAGTTGGCCATCTTGGAACCACACCTGCATATGCTAAGTCTTGATGAAATGATCTCTTGTGACTTGATATTGGAAGACTAAAAATTTCATAAATCAGAAAAGGTAATTAATGAAGATATGTTCATTTCACCAACTGATAGGTTTTCAGAAGAGGAACCACATAATTATGACCTTCTGTGGTAAAGGTAAAGATATGTAAAAATAGTTTTAAAGAAGAACCTTGATTATGAGGATAATAAATAAGAAAATTTGAAAAAACAAAAATAATTCCCCATAAACCTATAACCAGATTGGTATTTCATATATTTCATATATTTCTTTCTGGCATTGTGTGTGTACATGTACAATTTACAAATTTGTCTCATATCATAGATAGTTTCATATTCTGCTCTTATTCTTTATTTACTGTATGATATTTTCTCCAATAGTTTCTGAAGATATAATTTTAATTGACAGTATAATATTTAATCCATTCACAGAAAATTTTTAAAAAATATTCTTCTGTTTATATATTTTGTTTGTTCCATATTTGTTTTTCTATACTTATTGCTGTGATGATGAACATGTGTACATTAGGAATTATTCCAGAAGTGTGGTTACTAAGTCCAAAATCATGTGCCCTTTGAAAGCCTTTTCATACATAGTGCCAAATCATTTTCCAGGACAATCTACCAGTTTATATTCCCATCAGCATTGAATAAAAATATGTATAATTACATTGTACCCTCACAACATTCAAAATATGATCTAAATCCTTCACAATTTAATGGGTGATAATAGTATCGTAGTGTGCATTTCTCTGATAATTAATGTGAATGAATGTTTATTCGTGTTTGCTAGCTGTTTGCATTTCTTCTTTTGCATGTTTTTAGTAGTTCATAATCTTTGCTTACTTGTGAAGTCATTTTACGGAAGTTAAAAGCATTATAGAAATGTAATTCCATTTTAGCCCATGCATTTATGGTTATAATTTTGGCTAATTCCAGTATCCACAGATTGCAGTCTCTATCCTGTTAAGGTAATCTTTGGGCATCTTTCTTGTTCCCTTTTTATATACAGGAATACCTCATTTTATTGCACCTGCTTTATTGTGCTTTGCAGATAGTACAGTTTTTATGAATAGAAGGTTTGTGGCAAGCCTGCCTCAAGCTAGTCTATTGGTGCCATTTTCCCAACAGCACATGCTCCCTTTGTGTTTCAGTGTGACATTTTGTTAATTCTTCTGATATTTCAGTCATTCTCATAATTATTGTATCTGTTATGATAATCTGTAATTTTTGATCTCTGATTGTAAAGGTTCTGGGGCACCACAAACCATGCCCATATAAGACGATGAACTTAATTGATAAATGTATGTGTTCTGACTTCTCCACTTACCACCCGCTCTCCCATCTTCCTTGCTTTCCTCAGGCCTCCCTATTCCCTGAGACACAACAATAGTCAAATTAGGTCTGTTAATAACCCTACAATGGCCTCTAAGTGTTCAACTGAAAGGAGAGCCACACGCCTTTCACTTTTAGTCAAAAGCTAGGAATGATTTAGCTTAATGAGGAAAGCATGTTGAAAACTAAGACAGGCCAAAAGTAGGCCTCTTGTGCCAAATGGTTAGCCAAGTTGTTAATTCAAAAGAAAAGTCCTTGAAGTAAATTACAAGTGTTACTTCAGTGAACCCATGAATGATAAGAAAACAAAAGAGCCTATTGCTGATATGGAGAGAGTTGTAGTGGTCTGGGTAGAAAATCAAACTAGCTACAACATTCCCTTAAGCCAAAGTCTACTCTAGAACAAGGCCCTAACTCTCTTCAATTATCTGAAGACTGGCAGAGGTGAGGAAACTGTAGAAGAAAAGTTTGAAGCTAACAGACATTGGTTCCTGAGGTTAACATAAAAATGTAGGATGAAGCAAGCACTCAGCAGAAGATGCAGTAAGTTTCCAGAACTTCTGCAGCAAGTTTCCAGAAGATCTGGCTAAGATCATTGATGAAGATGCCTACACTAAACAACAGAGTTTCAATATAAACAAAAGTCTTCCTGTGGAAGAAGATGCCATCCAGGACTTTCACAGCTAAAGAGAAGTCAATGCCTGGTTTCAAAGCTTCAAAGGTCAGGCTGACTCTCTGGTTAGGGGCTGATGCAGCCAGTGAGTTTAAGTTGAATCCATTGTTCATTTCCTATTCTGAAAATCTCAGGGCTCTCAAGGATGATGCTAAATCTGCACTGCCTGTGCTGTCTATAAATGGAACAATAAAGCCTAGATGATAAAACATCTGTCCATAGCTTGGTTTTTTAAATATTTTAAGCCCAGTGTTGAGATCTACTGCTCAGGAAAAAAGATTCCCTTTTTCTAAAACAAAAATTACTGTTCATTGAAATGCTCCCAGTCACTCAAGAGCTCTGGTGGAGATGTACAAGGAGATTACTGTTGTTTTCATGCCTGCCAACACAGCTTCCATTCTGCAGCCCGTGGATCAAGGAGTAATTTCAACTTTCAAGTCTTGTTATTGGCTGAATACACCAAGTGTGAGTCTTGGTTGTGGGAACTGACTTTGTTACGATGTTGTCTCACTGCAGGAGCCATATATTGAAGACAATGTCTGGAAGCTTCCACTTGGTAATTAGTGGCCACAATGATAATCCAGTTTTTGAAATGGAGTTTTTTCCCAGCTAGGAAAGTAGAATCCAAAGACAACCGTCATTACCCATAGCTCATGCTGTTTGCAACCTCATAGATAACATGTGGCTGTCGAAAAACACGTACTTGAAAACTGTGGACAAGTGCAACAAGTGTTTTCTGTCGGCATTCGTAACTCCAGGGCACATACATTTTTTTATTATGCTTCATGACATAAGGCAAGAAGATAGAATAAAGAACTACTTTACTGATGTTTAGCATTTACACATAAAGTTTGCAATGAATCCATTTTATGAACCCAGTTCTCCTATTTGATCATATGCATTTGACAGAAAAGTTCAGTTTCTTAGGAAAGGAAACACTTTTTAAGTGGAATGTAGAAAAATTCCAAAACAAATGATGTCACCTCAATAGAGTATACTCAGGAATGTGAACGTTGTAGGTAACTTGATTAAATAGCCTGGAAAAATTTTTAAAAACTATTTTTCACAAGGCTATAGCTGCCATAGATAATGATTCCTCTGATGCATCTAGGCAAAGTACACTGAAAACCATCTGGACAGCATTCACTGTTCTAGATGCCATTAAGAACATTTGTGATCCCTAGGAGATCAAAATATAAACATTAACAGGAGTTTGGGAAAAGCTGATTCCAGCCCTCCATGGGTAAGTTGGAGGAGTTCAAGACTTCAGGGGAGGAAGTAACTGCGAATGTAGTGGAAATAGGAAGAGAAATAGAATTAGAGTGGATCCTCAAGATGTGACTGAGTTGCTACAATCTTACGATAAAATTTGAACAGATGAGGAGTTGCTTCTTATGGATGAGCCAAGAAAGTGGTTTCTTGAGAGGGAATCCACTCTTATTGAAGATGCCATGAACATTATTGAAATGACAGCAAAGTATTTAGAATATTACATCAGCCTAGTTGAGAAAACAGAGGCAGGTTTGAGAAGATTGTCTTTAATTTTGCGAGAAGTCCTATTGTGCATGAAAGGCTCTTAAATACAAAAAATTAGCCAGGCATGGTAGCATGTGCCTGTAGTACCAGCTGCTAGGGAGGCTGAGGCGGAGAATAGTTTGAACCTGGAAGGCGTAGGTTGCAGTGAGCCAAGATCATGCCACCGCACTGCAGCCTGGGCAACGGAGCGAGAAAAAAAAAAAAAAAAAGCTCTTAAACAGCTTTGCATTCCATGCTACAGAGAAATCTTTTGGAAAGGAAGAGTCAATTGATATGGCAAACTTTATTGTTGTCTTATTTTAAGGAATTGCCACAGCCATCCCAACCTTCAGCAACCTCCATCCTGATCAGTCAGTAGCCATCAACATTGGGGCAAGACTTCACAGCCAAAAGACTTGCTGAATGATCAGATAGTTATTTGCACTTTTTAGAAATAAAGTATTTTTAATTGAGGTGTGTACATTGTATTATTAGACATAATGCTTTTACAAACTTAATAGACTACAGTGTTAACTTTTATATGCATTGGGAAACAAAAAATTTTGTGTGACTTGCTTTATTGCAATATTCACTTTTATTGCTGTGATCTGGAATCAAATTTTCACTATTTCTGAAATATGCCTGTATTAGCATTCAGTGGCAATGAATTATCAAAACTTAAATCAATATAATTAGATAGAAATTTTAAAATAAATATGAACTGCACAAAACATCAATCTGAAAAGTTTAGAGGTGCAAACAACTAGGGATGGTTGAGAATAAATGCTGTTCTACTGTGTGGTAATGTCAGTCATTGTGAAGTAAGTAGCACTAATGAAAAGATTAGATATCTGAGATTCCTGGAGCATACGTGGAGAAGGCTTTTGAAGAGGTAGTTCTGGCCTTTTGCAGACTTTACCAATGCCTATATTTCAGACTTAAAAAAAATAGATTAGGAATGGTGATAGGTAGCCATTTAGTAGAAGTCTAAGGCAAGATGTATTTGGATTGATTAAAAGTTGAGAAAGCTGAAGACCCCAAAGAGGAGGAAGGTCTGGGGTGAGTGATAAAAGATAAAGAGAGTTATTGTCTTTTTTGATGGAGGAAGCATAAAAGTTGGGCCCATCACTAATTTTATATATATATATATATATATAAAGATTATCAATAATGAGATTTCAGAGCATGACAGTTCCGCTAACTTCAAAGCAATGTAGGAGCTACTTGGCATTTTTTTAGTTTTGCTGGACATATAGTGGTTGCTCAGTGCCTGTTAATTGAGATTGCAGGATAACTAAGCTGCTACTTTAAGATAAGCCACAAGTAATATGGGCAGGAGCATTTTATAAAGACCTAGTAAATTATAATGTGAAATATTTTAGCATTGCTTTCAACTTCTGAAAGTCTCAGACAAATAGACAGTAATGCTAAGATCAATCATAACTGCAGTGGTTCACTCTGAACCTAATGGCCAAAGACATTAGGCAGATCTGAGTTGCAGAGGTGCAACCAGAAATAACTACCAATCCTGAAAATAACAGCTGTTGCAATAATTCAAAAGATGATTTTTAACATTTATGCCAAGTGTGAATTGCTGTTCACTTGTCTTCTTATTGAAATTTGCAACTCAACAAGAAATACAAAGCAAAATTTTTATCATCATATGCTTCAATAGTGGAATTTCTTGAGGTAACGGATATTATGGTTGTAATAGTCCATTTTCGCACTGCTATGAAGATACTACCCAGGACTGGGTAATTTTAAACAGAGGAGATTTAATTGACTCACAGTTCTGCATGGCTTGGGGGGCCTCAGGAAACTTACATGGCAGAAGGGGAAGCAGTCACCTTCTTCACAGCAGGAGATAGTGAGCGTGTGAAGGCGGAACTGTCAAACTCATAAAACCATCAGGTCTCATGAGCACTCACTCACTATCATGAGAACATCATGGGGGAAACCACCCCCATGATACAATTACCTCCTACCAGGACCCGCCCTCAACACCTGGGGATTATGGAGATTATAATTCAAGATGAGATTTGGGTGGGAACACAACCAAAGCATATCAATGGTGTTTTAAAAATAATTTGAACTTGAGGGCATGTGAATGTTCAATAAATAATATTGCAAAATATGTATTTAAATGTTTCATACAGTTCTGAAGGCTTTTCATAAATAAAGCCAAATGTTTTAAAAATATATATATTTACCAAGTCCTTATGTCTGAAACTGGCATAGTTCAGGCTTATTTGTTTCAATCAACTGTAGTCTCCTAGTTTATTATTCTAGAGAAGAAGTGAGCCAAATAAGAGTAGAAAGGAGGTTACGATGTAAGACAAAGTCCTGTATAACTCATACCTTTGTTAATTTATGAAAAGTTTAGAATGAGCCAGGCGTGGTGGCTCACACCTGTAATCCCAACACTTTGGGAGGCCGAGGTGGGCGTGGTGGTGGGTGCCTGTAGTCCCAGCTACTCAGTAGGCTGAGGCAGGAGAATGGTGTGAACCCGGGAGGCGGAGCTGGCAGTGAGCCGAGATCGTGCCACTGCACACTCCAGCCTGGGCGACAGAGTGAGACTCAGTCTCAAAAAACAAAACAAAACAAAAAAGTTTGGAATGATTTGTGAAGACAACACAAATCAAAGTCCCAATATGAAATACACATATAGAAAGTGAGATCCTAAATAATATTAATAACATTACTTTTAAAAAATCAGTTCCTATTGCTTACATTCCTATTGTCACTAGGTATCAAGCCAGACAAAAATGTTATTTTGTCTTCAGGATACACTAAAGGTAAGTCTACTTTTGCATTTTACTTAACCGATAGTTTTTATTCAAAATAATAAAATAATTATTGGATAGATAGTCTTTGATTATCTGTTACTCTAAAGTCTCCATTTCAGCTACCAATTTCAACTTCTATTAAATCACTAGTGAAAGTATAAAATCCAATCTCTTTGCTAGAAAAACTCATTCAGTATAGTAATAGTAGTAAAAGAGGTAATATGGAATGGGAGTTTTAAAAAGAATGAGGATGGATGACGAAGGTAAATTTTTAACAGCTGAACTCAGCCAAACTCTAGAAGCAGATTCAAAATTTCTCAAAGCACACATACACACTAAAAAATAAAATAAAATAACATAACATAAAGCAATACAAAAGGTATTCTACTAGTGGCAATGTAAAAAAATTGGGCAAATTATCTTGTGAAAACTCAGAGAGTTTTTTGATAGGGTCTGATTTGAGTTCCACTTCTCTCCAATTTCACACATGGTTTGAATTAACATCTCTAGCTGTTGGAAAAAAATATTACATTTTAGGATTTCATTTAAAACTGCATAGTTTCCACAAATAGGTTGGTAATGGCCATCTTGAGGAATATTTTTCTAAAGATAGTTTTAATATCACTACCTCCCACGAAGTGAAATCTGGTCGATGGTGTAGACAGTTCAAATCCAACTTCAGTGGTTAGGAGTGTGGTCCCTTTATATGTTTATAAGTTCAGATATAAAATTCTGGCTAATTCTAACCCCTCAGTGTAGGCTTGGTGTTATATCAGATACCTGCTGTATGCAAGAAGTACATACGGATGCTCAGTCACCTCGTACCAAGTTAGTGCTCCTCTCATCCTGGTACCAAATCATTCCAACCTAAGATGAGCCCTGAGTGGCAGCATCTCCTGTCCTTACATCTTAATTTGACTTAGTTGACTAAATCCTCAATACTGTCTGCTACATTTTTAGTGCCAAAAATCTATCCACTTAAAACCTTTCTAGGTCACCATCTCTGCCCCCTTTCAATCTATGGTCTAGTGTTCTGTTCCTGCCAAACAATAACTTCATTTGTGGTTCCGCTTTCTGAAAGCCCTAGAATGAATCTTCTTGTTGCTGTCTTTTCTATATCTGTGTCCCCACATGTCTTTCTTTAGAAGAGTGAGTGCCCACTTTTACTCATGTTAAGATTCAATTCTGACTTATCCTGGTCATGAACCACTTTTGCTTTGTTAGAAAGGAATATTGGGTCTTGTTTTCCGGCTTTGAGAAGAACTCATTTTATGTACACTGGTCACCTAAGTTGCAGTAAATTAATTGGATAGAGGTTATCTGTGCATAGGTGGGTAAATAAACACAAATATGATTTATACTTCTTCTTAGGAACAAATGGCTGTGGCAAACCAACCATTCACTCAGTCGGTAGATCTTTATAGGAAACAGTGGTGTCACATATTCAGGAATCCAGATCACAGAAGATTTTGACCTCAAATTATTATGTGTCTGGCCTTTCTAGAGAAAACAGATAGTTAAGTTCATTGGTATTTGTAGAAATGCTTTAGAAAGCTGTCTGCTTGCTCACTAACACTTTAGCTTTCCTAATGTTATTTAAAATTCTGTTTTGCATAAGGGCAAAACTTAAATTACATGTTAAGATATCTTCTACCAAGGGTCTCAGAAGTTGGAGGCTTTAAGGGTGGACCCAACTGGGCTTACAGTAATATCATTCAGTGGCATGTCAGGGCAAACACTAAATATGCAAGGCCAATGTAATATGGGGAGTGGGTGTGAGAGAATTACTCTTGGAAATGTGAGTTTTCTTTGAATCAGTGTTGTAGAGGCCTGTGTATAGTCATTATAGCACTGTCCTCTTGTAGATGCAGATTAGGTATTAAAAATAATTCTGCCTGTAATCCCAGCACTTTGGGAGGCCAAGGAGGGTGGATCACCCGAAGCCAGGGGTTCAAGACCATCCTGGCCAACATAGCGAAACCCTGTCTCTACTGAAAATACAAAAATTAGCCAGGCGTGATGGCACGTGCTTTACCCAAGTGGCTAAGGCACAATAATTGCTTGAATCTGGGAGGCAGAGGTTGCAGTGAGCCAAGATTGTGCCACTGCGCTCCAGCCTGGGCAACAGAGCAAGACTCTATCCCCCCCGCCAAAAAAATCCATTTTCTTCAAATCTCTGAAATCCTAATCTGTCTCTGCCATAGATTTTTTTCCAGCTAGACATTGTAGAACTGTTGACCAATCATCCCACTCCACATAATATTGGGATATTGGGGTGGAGAGGCAGTGGGTTATTCATCATTATCTTTCTGTCCTGGACCATTTTCTCGAACTTGTGTTTTAATACCTAGCCATGACATTCTTCTGTTGTTTTTTCTCTGTGTGTTGCAGATTCTGCTATAAGTAGTGCTTCTAAAATAGTCTTGTTGATAGCCAGTTTGTTGATAATGTTTGCTGTATGGTGTATTAATTCTCATTAGTTGAGAGTATGTAATAGAGTCCTGTAATAGTTCTCATTTTGTTGTGAGTGTAAATCATGGGAAAATAAAAAGTGACCTGTAATACACATAAAGAAAAGTATATCAGAGATAAAATGTTATGACTTCAGTATTGACCAGGACATGATAAATAGGGGACACATGTTCCCACTGTGTGTATTAACTCTGTGATTTTGGTCAAGTAAGCTCAAGTATCTCAGTTTGCTTGTTTGTAAATCGTTATGGTAGTAACATCAACACATAGTGGTATTATAAAGACGAATTGAGTTAATGCATATGAAACCCATAGCAAAGTACCTGCCATAATACCTAAGTTCATGCTCAATAGAACATAAATTGAGAATCTGCAAATTCAGAAGTTTTGATGGATGCCAGAAAAAGTTTGACTTTCAGAATCAATACAACTGTCTGTTAATTGACCCACATTATATTATAGTCATCCTGAGATGAAGCGGAATCAGAAACTGCCTACAGCTTATGGATTTCTGAGTTACAGGCTGAGATACTTTCTAGTTCAACTTGGAGAAGGGCACATGCATAAATGTTATGACAGCATATACAAACAAGAAATAAGATTCCATTATCTAGGAATCTTGTTTTCTAAGAAGCAGTTCACTTGCCTCCAGATTCAAATGTCTTGAAAAGAAAAGATCCACTTCCCACAGGACCCATTGATTAATGGTTCAGTCCAGTCCTCAGAGAGCTATTGGAAGAATTAAAAGAGATGTTATGGGTGAAGAGTTTAGTGCATTGCCTTACTTATACTAAGAACTAAATAACTATTAACTATTAGTTTATCTAACTTTGTCCTCATTCACAACTTATAAGTGGGATATTATCTTAGTCTTCTTAGACTATTATAACAAAATACCATAAACTAGGTGGCTTAAGCAGCAGAAATTTATTTCTGACAGTTCCGGAAGCTGGCAAGTTCAAGATCAAGGTGCAGGCAGATTGGTGTCTGGTGAGGACCTGCTTCTGTGCTTGTAGATAGCTGTCTTCTCACTGTATCCTCCCATGGCCTTTCCTAGGTGTGTGTTCTCAGAAACAGAGATATCTCATGTCTCTTTTTCTTTTTTATAAGCGAATTAATTCCATAATGAGGGCCCTGACCTCATGACGTAATCTAATTATCTCCCAAAGACCCCACTTCTAAATACCATTGCACTGGAGATTAAAGTTATAATGTACAAATTTTGAGAAAACCACAAATATTAAATCCATAAAAGCTATATTATTATACCTCATTAAATATTTAAAAACAGGGATATGAACAAATGCATTTACTTGTCCATCATCCCATAGTTAACAAGTAGAGAAACTGGGTTTTGAATCAAGAAATGTCCAATTTATGAACCAATATTCTTTATTTTTATATACCATACTATGTTGCTTGAAAGCTTCAGTAGGGCTATTCTAGCATTAGTCTTGGTAATGCTCATTTGGTATTTCAGTTTTATTTCTATGGGAGACAGATAGAAATTAGACTTCCAGTCTGATTGGGGTTGGGGTGAGTTTTTTTGGTTTGTTTGTCTGGTGATTTTTTGAGATGGAGTTTCACTCTGTCACTCAGGCTGGAGTGCAGTGGTGTGCTCACAGCTCACTGCAGCCTCAAACTCCTGGACTCAAGCAATTCTCCCACCTCAGCCTCCTGAGTAGCTGGGATTACAGGCTTCAGCCATCATGCTGGTCAACTGGGGTGGTTTTAATTGTCTTATTTATGTAAGTGACTCAAAAGCAGATCATAGGTGTATCTATATTAGTCATTCTGTTTGCATATATACAGTGTTCATGTCTTATGAAATCTCCTGTTTATGACTATTATGTTACAATTTCTCAAATCATTCAATCCCTAAACCTTGGGATTGCCTTTGTTTCTTTTCATTCCTTTGTGCACATATACTTGGGTCTATTTTTGTGCTTATCAGTGGTTTTGATGAATGCCAGAAAAAGTTTGACTTTCATAATCAATACAATTTGCTCTGTAAAATGGCCCACATACAGATTTAGGTGGATTTCTTCTTAAGCATATGTGTGTCCATAGGGGGATATCCTTACTTTTCTCTCTCTACCTTTAGGTACCTTCATAAGATTTTTCACTGCATCGACTTAGTTCTTCTTTCTTTCTGTCACTCTCTCAGTGTCTTTCTCTTCTTGGGCAACTTTATCTGTCTGTTTTACCATTGTTAGCTGCAAGTTAAAACCCCACAATTCAAAAATTTGTATCTCTAATGACACACAGGTAGATATTTCCAATGGGAACTTGACGTATGGGCTCCAAGTTCATATCCAGATGCCCACTGGACACCTTATACCCACTGGATATTCCACATTTTAGATCCCAGTAGTTCTGAACCTGAACTCAGCACTTCTATCCCTGAATGTTTTGCATGTTTGGTCTTCCCCATCTCAAAAAATGGGCCATCCTGACATAGCTGCCCAAGTCTTAGAGCTTTGTCATCCTGTACTCTCTCACCCATTTCCCATGTCTAATTAGTTAAGTCATATAAAGACTTCCTCCTAACGTCCTCTTGATTGCACCTCTTGTCTTTATTTTGACCAGCCCTGCCCATGTCGTTCAAAGAGCTTCCAAGTGATTTTTCCATCACTACTGCCAGAATGATCTTTCTAAAGCACAAAACTGCTCATGTCATGCCCCTATCACAAAACCGGCCAATGGCTGTCCATAGCTTTAAATATAAAACTCAAACTCGTTAGCTTAGCACATAGGGCCTTTTGTGATTTGGCTTCTGCGTCCAAATCTTCTGACTCCAGCCAGAGCGAGCAGTCCGAATTGTGTTGCGTCACACCTCCATTATTTTCATAGGCTATTTTCATTTGCCTCAGATGACTTTCTTCTGTTTCTCCTTAATAGAAAACGTCCACTAGCACGTCAAAGTCCCACACAAGTATCTCTACCTCTAGAAGCCATCTTTGCTTTGGCTTATCTAGTCTTTAAAAATAATTATTATTTTTAGTTAATAGGTGTTAGTTAATAGCTAACACCTATTGAGCATTTAATATATGCCAGGCCGCAGTCTAGGTGTTTTAAGTGTCTGAACACATTTATTGCTCATAATTACCCTGTAGTCTGTGTGTGTTCATTATCAGAGCTAAGTCCCACAGCTAGTTGAGTAGAGGAGCTGAGAGTCTGACTGCTGATTAAGCACAACTCTACTTACCATACTTCCTTTAGTACCTGTAGGTGCTTGGTGAATGTTTGTGGAATGAATGACTGAGCAGTCTTGCAACTGAGTTAATATCATTAGGAGAAGGATTGACCCAGACCATTAAGCTTTACAACTCTATTTCCATGCCGCTAACACCAGAATGAATGGTAAGCCAAATAATGCCATGAATGGCGGAAATTATGGAGGAGCCCAATGAGTGTTTACTGAATGAATTAGAAAATATGAATCTACCCTAAAGTACAGGTCCCATAATCATGCTCAGACATTTAACAGTTCTTAGGGTGCTTCCTGGGACACCAGCTGGTTGCACAACATCCCAACTAGTACATAACTGTCAAACCCCAGGTTAGAACTGCAACTCCTAAGTTTCTTTCCATACCCCCTTTACCCCCACCTCCAACTTATAGTGACTGGGGAACTACCTGATTACAATCCTTCCCATTCACTGGAAACCAAACAAACTCAATGAGTCAAGCAGCAAATTACAATGGATCAGGGAACTTGATAGATGGTACTGAGTAAGAGTTATGGCTAGGTGGTCAAGCATTTTGGGTTCTAGTCCCAGCTTTGGTGCCACTTCATCTTGTAAGCAGGAAAAAAGGTTTTAACCTTTCTGAGATTCAGCTTTACAGAATCATCTGGGCCTTTACTGGCCTAGGTGGTTCAATGACTGAATAGGGCCCCCCATATCAAAATCTCTGACCTCATATTTGGGTCCCTGCTTGGTTTGCTCCTTGCTACCTGATGGTAGGTAGCCTGGCTGCTCAAGTTCTGGTGTAACCTGACTACTTGAGTTTCACTTGCTGCCTGCTCTGGCCAATTCTTATCTCAGGATTTTTCTCCCAGATACCAGATCTATGAACTGCTGTGACCTGTCAGATCCACAAAGACATTCTCCAAACCTCCGTACACAGATCTGGCACCTGTAAGGTTTGCCACCTTGCCATCTAAGCAGCAGCTAGAGATCTTTCTCCTGATCTTCTCTGTCTGCCTGGAGCTTTTCACTGTGGCATTGCCTGTCTCAGTCGTGTTCTTGTATGTGTCATAGTTACTCTGGCTTCTCCGGGGCCCTCCACTTGGACGCTCCTTCCTTTCTCTCCATCTGCTCACACTCTCCACATTTCAGGCATCATTGTAACCCTCACATGCTTCATGAAGGCATCACCTATCATTTCGTCTGCACTGGTCAACCCTGACAGCAGTTTCTGCCTGTGCCACTCAGTGTAATCTTATTAAATATTTAAAGTATCTGTAATTCTTCTACGAAATCTTATGATCCTTAGGGACAAGAATTGTAACTTGTGGCATTCTTCAGTGTCCAGCACAATGTTATGTATAGGGTAGTAGGTGTTTGAATTTATTTACTTCATTATTTATCTAGGTTATTTATTATATATAAATATATTATATACATTAATTAATTCACTGAAGACCATTTGATTGTGATCAAGTTAGTTGGTTATCATTCTGTATTCAATGTATTTGTTTTCTTGTCTTCCAAAGGCCATTCTTAGCACACCAGAGTAATTGCAAATTTCTCTTGTTATTCTTGGGAAAGAAAATATAAATTAAAGGCAATTTTGTTCTATTTTTGTTTATTGTTTTTGGGTGAGAATTAACAAGATGGTAAGGAATTCATCTAGGACGTATAAGTCCATGGAGATTTGGGAGGTCACTTCTTGATACCCTTGAGTATCCAAAGTAGTTTTCAGTGGTTTCTGGAACTCTTCATGCATGACCCATTCAGAATAGATGTTTTGTCAAGATCCTTTCAGATCCCTGATCTAAATATTTTTAATGTGTCACAAATTTTAAATATCCCCAAGTAATCATTCTTTAATACTTTGATTCTCAAATTGAATGTCATATTCCTCTTGGCTTTATTATCTATCAAAAGTTGTTTTTCCAACTGCTTGTCTCATGGTATAGAACTCCTATGTCATTTTTTTTTCAATATGTAGTCTCTTCAGATCATCTGGTACTGTTTGTCAACAGTCATTCAATTTTCATTTTCTAGCCCTGTGGACTAGGTTGTGTATATATAATTTTACTTCATTTTTCACTAACTTGCAAATAAAATTTGTTGGGCTTTTGTTAAACTGGAATAGTTTAATTTGTTTCAGTCTTCTAAATATGCTCAGCATCTCTATTTTAGAGCATGATTTACCTTAACGTTAAATTTCTTTTAAAAAGTAATAATAATAATATACCACATGAAATGCCTATATAATATTAAGCTGTGTACATGTCAAATAATGCATATGACATTATTTAATCCCATAGAAAACCTAAGAGCTATGTGTGACCTGACACATTTTAGAGATGGACAAAACTGAGGCATAGAGGCTGATCTTTGGGTTCCTGGTTATAAAGAGGGCATCAGGAAAAGCTAGAATTTGAACTCTGCTCTTTCTAACACAGTACATTGATTTTTCAGCAGACAAGATAAATAATGAAAATAATTACTTGAATCTGCCATGAATGAATTTTTTAAAAATTGTGCCAAGAACGAAACTGTTGAAAAATAAAAGAAATTCTGACTTAAATAACAGCTTTTCTTCAAACTAATGGACAAAAAATCAAAAATTTGGTGGCTTAATATACACATATACTTTTATACAGATAATTATATGTAGGCAAACTATGTATATCTATAAAAGATATATATATATATATATATAAACAAGATGGAGATATATATATATATATGTAGATATACACACACACCTGGAACTAAGAATAATATAAAAGCATGCATGTCCTACTTAGAACTATAATACCCAGGAATGCAGTAAAGATGAAATATAAATGTCTCTAACATCATCATACTGTTTATTGAAATAGTTTACAAAAAGGAAATAACATGATTCATTTTAAAGTCCCCCTAATGAGAGATACTGTGCTTGAAGCAGGATGACCTTTCCTTTATTAGTGTGAATTTACCTTCCAGGCAAACATTTTTCAATCAACACTGATTTGCATATAATTTATCAAGAGAGAAGAAGTGCAAAATAATTTTGTTTAAAGATTTCTCTTTGTTTTAAGTGTCATTAGCAGTTCTGACTAATCCGATTTTTACAATCTCATCAGGCGCTTTTAGAAAATCTCTCTGAACTCATCTGGAGGATGCATTTATTCCTAAGTGTCCTATATTGCATTACAGCACAGCGGAGAGGCGCAGTCCGCTGCAGATGTTTATGTGAAATGCAGTTAACACTCTGCCAATTTAGTTTTTATAGGGACACAATCAATTTTTATTCATTTAAAAACCAGAATGCTTTCTTTTATTGTGTGCAGCCTCTCCTGATTATACAGCTAAACAAATTATTTCTCTGTTTGTACTAAATGGTACTGTTGCGGAAAGGCAATGGCATGGTATAAGTATACCATATATACATCAGACAAGTAAATAATGATTCTCTCTTCGGGTATGTTCCTTGGAATGGGTTATTTGAAACAATTCTTTTTTAGTTTTACTTACTGTAAATACACATAAATGGAAAGTGAATCTTGCATTGTGTAGTCAATGGGATATGCTATCTGATTTGGCATTTTAATAGAGTTTTATAGTTTATAGGTGACTTTTATGTACATTATGTCATATCATTTAAGATGCTTAGGTTCTATTGTTCAGACTTTGGAATATTGAGGCCTTTCCATTCTTCTTCAAAAAGATTCCTGTAGCTCTATAGGTTCATGTGCTACAATTTTAAAATGCATCACTGAATGTCAGTATTCTTGACAATATGTAGCAAAATATTTAAAGGACCAAAATTAAAATGATATTGGTGATAAAGGAGAAATACATTTGTATATTTAAATCCTTTAAAATTCATCATGTTCAAGTTTAATGGAACCTCATAACAATGGAGTGGAGAAACATTACCAAAATTGGCACTGTAGACCACTATCCTTATCAGACTCTTAGTATATCTGAATCCATCCAACACTGAAGTGGTTTGAATATTGCCAAGAGAAGGCTCTGAATCAGGACATTTTCTTGGGAGTTGATAGAGGCTAGAGAGCCTCTCCGTGAAATTGTGTAGATCCCCTTTATAGGGTAACACTAAATATATTCTTTTAAATTATGCTTATATAGAGTTCTGTATGTTTGAGATTTAAGCAGCATGGGAAATACCATAGACATGGTTAAGGAAAAGTAGAAAAAAGTCTATAAACAGCCTTCTGCTTTATCTTAATAGCTCCTCTTCCCCCCAACCCAGAATTCTTAATTAAGTGGTAAGATCATTTCCATATACATTTTTATCCCGAAGACAAACCTTTATTTTAGAGCTCACTTTCATTTAGTTTATATTTCAGTAGATAATTTTAAAAATTAAAAGGAAAAATAAATATATTTATATATGAATCAATTTATTTATCCAATAAAACATTATGATACCCCTGTATCACTATATGTTAGCTCTGCCCTCAAGAAGCTCACAGTTCACTTTGGTAGCAAAGGTTAAACATCATCATGACAAACAATAAAAGCAGATTATAAGTTTAGTATTGCAATGTAAGAGATTCCACGGGGCAGCTGTCATTATGGATCATGTGAGTGTAATCATAATAAATGGAGTGAGTCCAGAGAAGAACCACTGTGAGCTGGAGAAATCTAAGAAGGTTTCCCAGAACCTTGAATGATGGATAGGAGTTGGATAGATAGAAAGCATAAATCTGGACAAATGGACTTACTTACTTAAAAGATGCATTTGCCCATTTTCAGAACTGCATATTTTTTTGAGTCTATAAAAGGAAACCATGTAGGTGTGTGCAATATGTGTGTGTGTGTGTACATATGTATGCATAGTATATGTGTGTATGCACATATATATGTCTGTGAGTGTACACAGATTTATTTTACATAAATGGTGCTTGGCTTGGTAAAATTGCTGTATGAAAACTTGTATTCCCTCCCGTAAGTAGGGAGGCATTTTAGCTTTCAATTGAACACACACTTTTTCTAAAAATTACACTTAGATCTTTTATTTTGTTTTATTATTCAGATTCAATAAAAACCTTTTGAATCATCTATCCCTAACTATCAATTTATTTATCCCTAACTATCAATAAACAATTCACATTTGCCTGTGTGGTTAGGTAGAAGCTGAACAACTTTACAGTTAAAATGTATGACGTTCCTGGTGAAGTATTTCAGCCATACTTTTGAAGGACCTTGTTTCCTTGGGAGACTTCTATCTTCTATGTAACCTCTAATTTTTCTTTTTACAAGAAGTCTGTTATTTTTCTTGTTTTTTACCAAGCAAACCAATGTCAATAGGTTTTTGGAGTTAAATTGATGCCATAGCTTATCTAATTGTATAAAGCTTTCCTTCTTCAACAATCCTTTTATCACTGAGGTAATGTGTAAAGAATGTCCTTTGAGTGACAGGTTTACAGAAAACTGAGATACTTTATTCTATCAATTAAGAATATTTCACCATTGCATTTATGAAGGAAACATTGGTGTCCCTATATGTGTGAAATTGTATGCTGGATACTGAAACATGTCATTTCTCAACATTTCAACTTGCAACTACAATAATGTCTAGAAAGTTATTAGTCTCATCGAGGGTAGGTAACCAGCATGTAAATATTTAAATATACCTTTAGTAATAACTTCATCCTTCAGATGATTAGGCAAACAGAATCTTAGAGTTATCTTTAATTCTGCTTCTCCTTTCACACCTCACATCCAATCCATTAGCAAAATGAGTTGGGTCTACCCACAAAACACATCATGAATTGGCCATTCTCTGGAACTCCACCGCTGCAACTCTGGTGCAAGCCACTATCTTTCTTCAATTGAGCTACTGAAGTAGCCTCTTAACTGCCTGCTCCATCTGCGTTAGCTGAATGTCTACAGCCAGAAGTGTTTCCACTGAAATACAAATCAGATCTTGTCACTCCTCTGTTGAGAATCCTCCGTGGCTTCTCACTTGTCACTCAGAGTAACAGCCAGTGGCCTTCAGGATGCTGAATGATCTGGCCCCTGCGACCTCAGCAGTCACCTCCTCCTCTTGGCTCCTCTCCAACCCTGATTCAGACAGGTTGGCCTCTCTGCTGTTCTCAGACCACCAGTCACACCCGTACTCAGGACCTTTACAATTGCCACTCCTGCACTTACAATGTTCTTTCTCCCTGAAATCCCCATGGATTGTTACGTTGCCTGTTTCTGGTCTTTGCTAACTTAGTACTTCCTTGATAAGACTTAATTTGCCTGAGCCACTATTTAAATTGCAGCTCACTAAGCTCTCCCGGGAAACTATGGTCTATTGTGCTGATTGTCATATGATGGACTGGATATTTTCCTCATTTCTTCTGAACGTAAGCTCTGTGAGAGCAGAATTTATGTCTGTTTAATTTAAAATCATTCATGTTATATGAGAGTATATGATTATCTTTAGTAAATTCCGGATACTGAAATATTCTGACATCCTAAAAGAAGCTAGAAAGTCCTGGAATGTTTATGTTCTTTTTTCTTTTCAAATCTTTCTCCTTACCTTTTCCTATGTGCAAAACACTGTTATTTTCTAGAGACCAGGGATCTGTGAAAATGTTAAGTTGTAAGGAAAAAATTGTAAATATATACCTTTCATACTTCCAGAAGCTATAGTAGTTGAAACTAAAGGTGTGTGTCATCTGTGTAGGGTTCCTGAGTGTGGGCAGTTTGGTATTTGACCACATGGCTGAGGCATCCTAGTAGTAGCCTGTGTCTCTTTAAACCTTTGTTTCACATGCTTCCTGAAACAGAGAAGGTATGCACTTCTAGTTTTAAAAGCTTTATTACCAGGTACCAGTCAATATTCCAGAGTAAAGAATAATATAAGTTAAAAAGCATCTACAGCAACTTAAAATGGAAACTTGGAATAGTACCATGGTGGTTTGTACAATGTCTCATTGTCTTCTTTTGGTCTTTGTTTAGTCCATCAGTCTTGCTGGTTCCACTCATTTGAATAATTTACTCAAAGGCATCTGTTAGGGCTGCATTGTATTCCCCCAAAATTGATATATTGAAGTCCTCCCCTCCCCAGTACTTCAGAATACAACTGTATTTGAAAAGAGATTCTTTAAAGAGACATTTAAGGTAAAATTAGGTCATGTGGGTAAGTCCTGATCCAATATAACTGTGTTCTCATAAAAAGAGAAGATTAGGACACAATCATGCCCAAGCACAAAGGAAAGACAATGTGAGGACATGGGGAAGGCGACCATCTGTAAGCCAAGGAGAGAGGCTCCAGAAGAAACCAAAGATGCCTTGATCTTGGACTTTTGAAGCCTTCAGAACTGTGAGAAACACATTTCTGTTGTTTAAGCTGTCCTGGCTAACTAATATAGCACTCTTAAAGAAAGCCACACTGTCCTATTTAATATAGCATTCTTGAAGAAAGGATATATAGTAGTCATATACCGTTTCTTTTTAAAAGCCAGCTCTGAAAGCAAACTGCATTTGATATTGTTAGGCAGAGGTTAGGCAAACAAAGCTTAGATTCTAAAATGCAATTGTTTATTGTGACCCTTTACATCCTTGTGTAGAGCATTGCTCTAGGTTCTATGCATACAAATAAGCAAAACAGAACAGAAACATGCTTCTTAACCATAAGAGGCTTGTTATCTATTTAGGACAGCAAAATATGTATAGTTCACAAAACAAGTATAAAAAGAAGTTCAGAGAAGGAAGCAACTAAGAGACATTCCAGTGATAGCTAAGGAAAATCTTGAAAATCTTGTGTAACTGAGACTAGTGGAGTAGTCAGAATTGTATTCCATGCAATATAAATAGCAGAAATGTGGACCCTGGGATAGCCTAGGATGCATGAGTAGATCAGGCTATCCAAATGGAAGGGTCCCATCTTGACAGATTGCCAAATTTAGGCTTCATAAAGTAATCATAGGGGAGCCTGTGAAGGTTATGATTAGGTGGATGAAATATGCAAAGTAATACCTTTGGAAAAACAATGTGATACCAATGTATAGAGTGACTTTAGAGGATGGGGGGGATTGTGTAAAGAGGATGCCCTGTGGAGTCTCTTTCAGTAACACAGACTAATACTTCCCTAAGTCTTATCTTGAGTTTCCTTAAAAGAAGACTTTCCTCAAAAAGAAGGGAGGAATGGTTAAAGAAATTTGGAAAATACTGGTGGGTAGTGTCTTCTTGGAGAAGGCACAATGTCAGTTAGCATATTTTAAAGACCCTAGCAATTCTGTTTCCTATACATGTCTAATCCTGGGACTTGTTCTTTTGTTTTTCTTTTTTTGAAGAGGGAGGGTATCAGGGACTAGGCAGAGTAATGCCTCTAAGTATTTCACAGAGTTAGTCATCCACAGAAGAGTGACATTAGGAATTTCTAGTCCAGGCTTGTGGGCCCAGACTGGAGCGGTGGCAAAAGGAAAGCAAAAGAAAGTATTGTATTCAAGAAACATTTTAAAAAACAGAGTGAGTTGATGTGATTTTTCCATAGGTCATGTGAGAGAGATGCTCACTGAATATACTTACAGGAAGGGAGACAGAGAGATTACTCTTCTCCCCTAACCAGATATAAATGTGGGAATCAAGGATTATATCTTATTTCCTTTCTCTTTCTCTTTGCACTTAACAGAGGACTGAGAACATGATTATACTCAAAAAATAGGTAATAGATTTCTTGTGTAGTAGCTGAGTTAATACCAGGGAGAGGTTTATTTAAGACATTACGGTCTAGGACATCTATAGCCGTCAAACATAGACTAAAAAATCCCTCTTATATCCTAGAAAGTTTTGGGTGTCTACCTTGACTCTACAAAGGACTTATCCACTTAATTAAAGCCAAGCTGTCTTGTTCCATGTTCTTAGGCCCTGTAGTGTTTTTTTTTTTTTTCTCCTTTCTAGAGTCTTCCAATTTATTTCCAACTACCTGTGTTTCAGTTGCCCCTTATCTTCTCCCACATCACCTTTTGGCTTTGGTCTTAAAGTGACTTAGGTAGCTTTTGACTTTGCACCATAAAGCAACTTCATTCTTACCCTCTGGCTTCTTCATTTCTGGCTACTTGGGGAACCTTTACAGCACCCACCCCCATTGGTTTCAGGGATAACAGCCCCTTGGCCAGCATCCCAGATGGGCTGGCTCCAGCCTCCCATAAAGGAATCAATTATTTACCACAGGTTATTTCTAGACATGACTCAACTGGATGTTCATATCCCAGACCAGAAGTGATGATGCAGGGCACTGTCCTGAAGATGATCAATTCATGACTTCCAACTTACTCTTAGCTCACCTCTTTTTCAAGATTCTCATGTTGGTTCCCAGGATTCCTTTTCCTAATTTACTCTATTGTCCTGCTGGATTCTCAGGATAATCTTTGTACTCAAGTATAGCGAACAGATTGTAAACTCAAATGTCAGCTCTGCCACTGACTGTCTGTGTGTGACTCTGGGTAGTGTATTTACCTCCTCTGAACATAAGTCTTCTGCAACTGTAACATGAAGATAAAAATGGTTATTTTTTTCTTAATGATATCTTCTTTGTGGTTATGGGAAAGATCAAATGAGATATTACACATAAAGGATTTAGCAGAGTGGTTGGCACATAAGTCTTTAATAAAGGCAAGCTATTACTGGACTTTTCATAGAAGATGAAACCTGTGAATTAAAGTTTTTACTATAGGGCTAATACATTTTAAATAAAATATCTTTCAAATTTATACAGTGGCTCTGGCTATACTAACAAAGCCTTGCTTGATAGGTGTTTGTAAGTTATTTTTACTAGCACTAATTTACTTGCATTTTAAAGTAAGTTTATATATAGACTTATTCCTAAGATTCTACTTTCATAACTAATTTTCACAGAGGACTTGACTGTATTCATAATGCCAAAGTTAAGCTACAGGTAGTTTTTGTTCAAATTATCAAAGAACTTCATTTGACAAGGCTTAACAATGCTGTATTTATAGTTCATCTTTTATATCAACAGGAATAATATAATCATAGTGCTACCTGTCCTCTTTATTCAAAATCAGGTAGGAAATCAGAAATGCTATCTGGAAATACACAAGTCCCTTTTATATGAAATAGAATGACAGATTCTGGGCTCATAACCTCTGTCTCTCTATTTAATACATATTTTTTGAGGACCTAATATTTATTGAGCACCTACTCTGAGTAAGCCTTTGTTTTTCTATCTGTAACATTTGAACAATTCATCATATTAGGTAAGTGATTTTTGACAAAAATCTGTTTCATACTGGAATTGATTTCTGTGCTGCTTTTTCAGCCACAAGATACTTCTATATTTCTCTTATTATCAAGGTGCCTACCAATGTAGTATATTATTATAATTTGACCTAAATTATCTAAAATACAAGGATTTTTATTTTAGAGGTGTATTTAGCAACATTCTTAAAAATATATTTTTTGAAATCAACTTAATTGTGTGCTTGAGTGATTAGACATCTTTTATCATTTATTAAAATGAAAGTGATTTTTGTTACATTTAGATGCAATTTATTAGTTAAAATCTGATAGGTCTGCACTATAAATCTGTAAAATATTTTCTACTCCTTCAATGAAGTAAGTATCCAAATTCATTTGCTAATTTTGATGCTTTTAAGAAAACAAAGGTCATGTTTGGAAAACGAAGACTCAGGATAAATTATATATTCTAATGAATTTGGCAATATGAGGCATTGCATTTAAATTATTTTGAACTGATTTTTCCTCCTATAGAAGGTGACCAAATACTTCCATCAAGGGGTCTTATACCAATAACTCACTTTCAAGATCTGTTTTCCTGGGCCTCTCTGCAGACAGGAGTGAAGGCCTCTGGGGTATTCAGGTTCAATGAAGCCTACTTGAATAATTGTTGAAAATAAACACCCCTAGGAATATGGAAAAGGTGAATAATAATAAAATGTTATTAAACTTAGAGATTTCAGCTTTCTCTCTTGTTTCTCCTGGCATTTTTCAAAGGAAATGCCACAATGACTCTGAGGTTTTTTTAAGTCACATGCTGAACTTGCAATAGTATTAAAAGGAAAGCCATTGTGAAATAGAAAAAGAAAAGAGCAGTTAGGACACTTTAATGAACACTTGAATGCACCTCAAATGAAAAACAGATGTTCCTTGTTAAATTTAACAGCGTTTCTTATTCAGATTGAGGTAACTAGACAGCCAGTGGGGTAGAATTGGCTATAGCAGGATCTTGTTCTAGGAAAGTTTGTATATTTCATGGTGCTCTGTACAGAGTATTTCCCCTAGTTTTTTATGCATTTTGTTAAAAGGGAGGCATTTGAAAGTTTCAGCCTTGAAGATTGATCTTATTCATGTATTTTGCATTACAATTTTTTGGTATAATGGAAGTTGGATACATTTTAAACTCATGAGATTGTTTTAGTTTTGTAATAGTTGCATAAATCTTATTCTGACATTTTATTAGGTTTTTACAAAATGCATCATTGCCACACAACAACATAGGTTGGTAGCATTGTTTTAAAGCATCAACTGATGTTACATTAAATACTTTTTACTAATGCTCTCCTCCCCCAAAAAACATGCTTATCCATACTTCTTCATAACTTCTCCCCCGAACAAAATAACGTTAACCAAAGCACTCTCTGGGCAATCTATTCCAGTCCATCAATCAGTAATACTTTCTCCTATAAGCCAAAAAATTGCTTCTTATGGCAACTTAACCATTCAATGGAAACATGGTCAGGAGCCAATGCAGACTCACCCATATGCCTCGTTCCAGACTCACCCATATGAAAATATTAATTATATTACTGATTCATCTCTTTTTTTTTTTTTTGAGACAAGGTCTCTCTCTGTCCCCCAGGCTTAGTGTAATGGTGCCATCACTGCTCACTGCAGCCTCGACCTCCCAGGCTCAAGCAACCCTTCCACCACACCAGGCTAATTTTTTATTTTTTGTAGAAATAGGGTTTTTGCTATATTGCCCAAGATAGTCTTGAACTCCTAGACTCAAGCAATCCTCCCACTTCAGCCTCCCCAAGTGCTGGGATTACAGGCATGAGCCACCTACTTGGCCTACTGCTCCATCTCTAATAATTTTTGAGATGCACTAGCCTTCCCTGTTTTTTGTTTTTCAGCATATATGTTGAACTAACTGGCATTCTGTTTATTAACACATTATTGATTTTTAAGTCAGTGACCTCACTAGGCGTTATATAAGGCATAAAAGGTGACATGATCTTAGCCCACAATGAGGTGAGAGAAGTAGGTAATTTATTCAGCAGCCTTCAATGAGGCAATGGTAGAAATACTAATAATTCAGACTATGGTCTGCTACTCTGAATGGACTTTCCTTAAGTGTTCCATCTCTCTTTATTTCTGCATATATTTTGGTTTGATGCCTGGGACATTTATTCTCTCTTGTTTTTAATTGTTATCATTTAAAAGGAAAACCCATAAAACAAAACTACAACCAGGTCATTAAGCAGCAGGGGAGTCGATATAATAAGCTAACCAAACATAGGGAGGAAGGCTCCACAAGCTGATGCAGCTAAGCAGGGCTTGCCTCGTGTAAACTCCCATCCGAAGCAACAGCAAGGCCAACCAACATCAATATCCAAAAAGAGAAGGGAAAAACATGAAAAATTGCGATGTTTCAAGAGAACAAAAATTGTAGCCCCAAAATCATTGCTAAGTTTAGATCAGTCACACGGAAGAGGAAAACCGCAAGACAGTGCTTCAAAGCAGACCAGCTTCATACTCTGTTAGAAATCACCTATATCTCACAAGTTGTTACCATGATTTATACTACTGTACAATCTATCTTATGCAAATTTTGGGTCATGGCTTCAAATTTCTCATTCTGAGTCTTCTTCCTGCTTTTTATTTCTCATCTTCTTTAGGAATCTTTAGGGTTAATGCATAAATTCTGTGTTTTAAGTAAGAAAACTTTAGTCATACATAAAAAGCCATTTTTCTTAAAAGCAACTCTTTATTTCAGAGCAAAGCAACTAATAACAAAGAGTTCAACCACTGTAACATTAAAGGAGGTTAGATTTGGGAATTTATATTTCTAATTTATAAAGCAAAATTGTAAGTCATCAATCTTTGATATTATAATAGTTTTTGAGTAAACTAGATCTCTATTTTGCAAACCTGGTGATTTAAATATTAAGGAGAGGGTCTAAAAAGGGCCAGAAACCCCATGAAGACATCAGCTATTCCCTCTCCAAGGGCAAGGCAAACCACGAATGCTCCCAAGAACAGCCCTCCGGTTAGGCCAGGAACTGGCCAGAGGGGAAGCAGGCCCCTCTCTTCCCTGCGTTGGTAGTTACCTGCATACTGCACTCTCCCTGATCTCCCAAGTCTTTCTCTCATCCAAACTCCAGTGATACTTCCTTGGCAAGAATCTTTGGCAATTGGTAGATCTTGTACATCAAATATGTCTTGTATATCTGATATCCTGCCATCCTGTTGTGGTTCCCTTTCCTTGTTTGGCTCTTACAATTCCAGGGTACTTCACATGGAAACGATAATTCTACTTTGCTTGTTAATGTCTCCATGTGAGAATGGACCCAGATTTCAGTGAAAAGTTATTTGAAAAGTTAAAAAATCATGTTATTAAGAGCTGTGTTTTTCATCCTGTGATTAAAGAAATGACCTACAACAATTAGTTTAGGCCATACTAAAGTATTTGATTAACTTATAAATGCATATTCTTATTAGTCAACACTATTGAAATATCAGCCAGAATGGATGATATTATATTTCATTCCTTGCTTAGCTAAACTAACCTCCCAGAAAAAATAAATACAAGGTTCTATCAGCCTCATGAGGTCTATATAGCTTTAATCTGGACCTTTTCACCTTTTCTGCCATCCCAGACCTCTGACATCCGGAGTGGAGATGCATTGGTCTTAGAATTTCACGTTTGCTTTCTTTCCCCATTGTTGGCAGTGGCTCCTCTCAGTGCTGGCTTGTCCATTGGTTCCCTGGAATACTGCCCCTCTTTCAGGCTGTTCCAGCAAGCATGCTTGTTTATGGGTAGAATACTGGGACATGATTCCAATGATACCAGTGATGCCAAAGCAAACAAATACATTCACCTACACACACACACACACTAAGGATTCAAGGGAGAACTCACTTTTTAAAGGTGCCTTTTTCTGATCCAAGAATATCCAAATCTGGAAAGGAATCAGTTGCTTATTGATACTAAGCTCCTTAGATAAGGGAAATTTCCCCCCTTATGGTTGTGTGCAGAAGGTACTTTTCCCATTGTGTGTGTGTTGTGGAAGGGATGTTTAATCATATTTCAGAACAGGTAATAATTAAAACTAATGTGAAAATTTCATAGGCTTGGTTAAAAAAATAAGGGGAACATCATTTTTGGATCTGTAAAAATCATTAGCATACATTATCTTTAAAAATTATATTTTGCTGTTCAAAAGTTTACTATTTGCTTTCTCAACCTCTCCCTCTTTAAGAAGCAAGTTTTTAAAGTGTGCATTTTCTTTTTTTTTTCTTTGAGACGGAGTCTCCCTCTGTCACCCAGGCTGGAGTGGAGTGCAGTGGCATGATCTCAGCTCCCTGCAAGCTCTGCCTCCCGGGTTCACACCATTCTCCTGCCTCAGCCTCCCGAATAGCTGGGACTACAGGTGCCTGCCACCACGCCCGGCTCATTGATTTTTTTTTTTTTTTTTTTTTTTTTGTATTTTTAGTGGAGACAGGGTTTCACCGTGTTAGCCAGGATAGTCTCGATCTCCTGACCTCGTGATCCGCCCGTCTCGGCCTCCCAAAGTGCTGGGATTACAGGCGTGAGCCACCGCGCCCGGCCTAAAATGTGCATTTTCTTAGAAACAATGTGGAACATAAGTCAGGAAGCTCTCATTTTTCTTTCTGGAATTCTACTGGCTTTTCTTGAAGAGATCTGGTGACTATTCTTACTAGGAGCCTGATGTTACTGCTCTTAGCCCGTAGAGCCGCAGGAAGGAAGTCACATGTAACCCAGTAGACTATAGGAAACCATCCAGCAGGCCAGGATGAGAACAGAGACCTGGAATGTCACAAAAGTGAAAAACCTTAGCAAGCAGAAAGTTCAAGGGGAAATAGCATTGATCCCATAGTGCAGAGGCCAAAAAATATGTCCAGACTGGAAACAGGCTTCTCCAGCTGGGCAGATAAGGTGACATTCACCAGTTTTGCCATCTTACTGAAATTACTGTTCCCAGTCAGAAGAGTTCTGTCTCTAATGCAGTTTTTTCATGTGAGTGGGCTTCATATTTCATTAAGGTGAGTCCTGGATTTGGGAGAAATTATGCCTTCATAGAAATTATCATATACCATGTATATTCACAAATGTAAAACCTCAAGATTTTCTTAAGCAAAGCATTTTGGGATATTTAAACCTCAGTATTAGAACTTTAATTTTGAAACCAATGGTCATGCCTATTTTCTTACATACTTTATACACTCTCATTACCATTTGAATCATTGAATTTTGACTCAGATGTTTTAGGATTAAATACATTAACTAGAGATTGTGGATCTGACTGTAACAATTTTAGGAAATTTGATTGCTTATATTTCATTTGGAATGTATGCCAGATAAATATATTCCCTTGGCAATATTCTGTTATTGAAAAATGCTTGTGCCTGGTATAGGTGGTGTTGCAGCTTGGGAAGCACCTGTGACAGACGGTGAATATTTTTTAGGTAATTTCATCCAACATTTTGTCTTATATTTTAAAGAAAGAAGCTTGCTACTTCTATAGAAAAGAGATTTTGGCTGGCCATTTTTCTAGATATTTGAAGTTGTTGTTTAACATTTACCTAAGGTTACAAAATAAATAGAAGCATTAACAAATGACAGGGGAACAAGTAAAAACAATTTACTAGCTGGAGTGATCCTAACCATCTATCCAAGACCTGTATTCTACTCAGTTGTCTTCAGGTCTTGCCTATACATTTTCTGGCAAACCTTTTACAGAATAGGTATATTTTGGAATGTATGCCTTTTGAATCAAGAGTCTTCTGTAGTTTGCTGTTAACTATTTTAAGAAAAAAATGTGGGTACATGAGAAAAAGTTCAAAGTAAATTCATTAATTTTAAATAGTGGTATTGTATATTTGAAACACATTAAATGAAATTAATTAAAGAACATTTGTTCCTCTCCTTACCCTTATCGGTCGTGGATGACTAATCCTTTATGTAGAGATACAATCACAATATGAAGAAAATGGGGTTATTAAGCAAGAAAGACAATGAAATAACTATATTCTTATTGAAAATTATTATGATTATTTGAGTATCCTGAATAAATAAAAACAATTTGACTATGGATTTTTCTTGCCAGTTTGAAGAATAAAAACAAATAATACTCCATTAGAACGTGATGGATCAGAAAATATAAAGATAAAAATATTTCAAGAACAATCCTCAAAGCTACATTGTAATGAGGGACATTGAAATGAGTGTCATTCCTATGTGTACCGTTGTTGTTGGGGAAAAATATTTCAGATGTTTAAAACAGTATGCTGTTTCCATTCAATCTTTGAGATTTACATTCAATCTTTGAGAATGTTTTTATCAACTTAGTTTTGCCCTGTAAGAGCTCTTCTAAACTTTTGGAATGATAGCAAAGACACCCCCATACCCAATAACAACAATTTGAAAACATAATGCCTTTGTGAACATTAGTACTTTATAACATCTTTTGGTGGAGGGAAAAAGCCACATACTTTAAGGAAAAAAAAACAGGATTTAGGTTCTGATTTAGGTTCTTATTTTTGTGATCATTGATTAGTTTCTGCAGGTTTCCAAGTTTAAAATTTTCATGTGTAAAACGAGAATAATCATTTTTGCCCTGTAGCATTGTTCCTAATAAAGGCAGGTGATATGGTTTGGCTGTGTCCTCACCCAAATCTCATCATGAATTGTTGATCCCATAATCCCCATGTGTTGTGGGAGGGATCCCGTGGGGGGTAATTTAGTCATGGGGGCGGTTACCCTCATGCTGTTCTCCTGATAGTGATGGGGTTCTCATGAGATCTGATGGTTTTATAAGGGGCTTTTCCCCTTCAACTCATTCTTTTCCTTCCTGCCATCATGTGAAGAAGGATGCGTTTGTTTCCCCTTCTGCCATAATTGCAAATTTCCTGAGGCCTCCCCAGCCATGCTGAACTGTGAGTCAGTTAAACCTCTTTCCTTTATAAATTACCCAGTCTTGGGTATGTCTTTATTAGCAGCATGAGAATGGACTAATACAGTAGGTATCTGTAGATAAGTGCCTTTCCCTAAGAATATACAGACCACAGACAGAGACAATACCCTAATTATGAACACATTCGGAATGAGTCTGCCGAGGGCATTGCACTTTCTATGCCTGAGAAACAACAGAAGCAAGTATTTTGCCACCTGCATGTTCCCATTCCTGTTACCAAAGATCAGTAACCAATGTAATAGTTGTTGGAGAGACAGCAGCTCTAGAGAGTAAAACCCCTAATGTCTCCAAAAGGAGGAAGGATTAGGAAAGTTGCCTTAAATGTCATCTGCTTTATCCCAGAAAAGCTCACCAGATTTTACTGACTTCTCTGTATAACAAAACAAGACAAAATATATCTGGGAGGCTTCCCCATAAAAGTAAAGTGATCATTTTTTTCAGAGGTATCAGAAGAATCAATGTTTATTACAAAAGAGAGTTCCAGATTCAGAATTATCATCTTTACGTTAAGTGAAACCAAATATTCTGATTAAAAAATACCTGAAAGGAGATATTAGACCACTGTAGAAAAATGCATCTTCTTTAAAAATTGATAGTTACAGGTAATCATTTGTCTAACTACTACCCAACATACCTTGAATACTGACGCCGATACTTTTCAAATCTTAGGATTCTCTTGGCCCCATGTCAACCTGTCCCCCTCCCTTTGCACACATGTATACACATGGACAACACACTACATTGTTCATTTTGCAGGTGCAGTGGCAGCAGCTGCTTAGAGCACATTAGTTCAGTTTCAGGTACCTTTTTGACATCCCATATGTCTTAATTGAAGGTTAGAGAGCAGGGAAGAAGTTTGGAGGAGGCCAACTCAAGAGCTGGACAAAGCCAATCCACTGTATTTATGTAACCTATGGTTGACTGCTGCCACCACCAAACAGCTGTTCAAAGGGCTGCATCATTTTTTTCCACAACCTTTAGGACTTTCGTATCCACAAGTTGCCCTACCCCACCAGACACACACACTTGAGCATGTAGTGACAGATGTAAGTTTTGAAAAATCCTATTATGTCACCATCATTAAAAAATTCCTCTTGGCAACTTGGCATAGTAGAAGAAAATTCCTAGACTGGCACTTAGAAAAATCTAGATTTTCAGTTTGGTTCTTTCATTAAACAGTTGGATGGCCTTGAGCGAATCACTTTTCTTGGCCTTCAGTTTCCTCATTGTAAAAGGAAGTAGTGGGACTAGGAAGTGTCCAGTGTCCTTTCATCTCCATAGTTCTCTAAGTCTGTGCTGAGTTCCCATCCAAGAGAAACATTCATCTAAGTTTCAGGGGGATTCCTTGCAACAGCACCAACCTGAAACAATTGATTGATCACCCCTGGAATTGAAGTAATGATCCATTGCTCATCCATCTTTTTATCCCTGATGAAAACAAGGAGTTTCCCTGTAAACAAGGTTTTTCCTAGGCTCAGAGAGCCCCATGACTCAGGTTTCAGAGGATTGTAGTATTTGTCCCAAATATAGACCTGGCACTCTGAGGCCAATGTGTTAGTTCTGTGATGTTTTAAATGCAAAATTTGGACATGACCACCACATGAAAAGTTATGTTTAACTTTTTTAAAAAATCAAGAGTATGCCTAGTCTAAGTGTTTTTAATTGCCATGTTAATGGTAGGAAAAAACCCACAAACCTGCCTTGACAACCTGGGTCAAATTTTGTGGTGTTTGTTACCTTTGCCTCTCACAAAATGATGCTTTTAAAAATAATATAGAAGAGTGATGCCTTTCACCATTCATATTAATTCATAACTGATCACCTGTAACTGAGATAACTACTTAGACTACAATTTTACTATTCTAGTCTGGCTAAGTGCTTCTGGAGACTTGAAGCACAAAACTCTGCTCACTCAAAAAGCTTGTTAATGGGTCCCTCATGACTCAGCTATCAATTTTTTAGTATCAGATATACATGCTGTATCCATTATTACTTTCACTTAGCGCCAGATCTGACCTGACTCTACAGCAGCTTATGAGATTTTATTTATGTTCATTTTAGTAATAGATAAAAAGTAGACATAGTGGTACATAGAAAAATGTGTATTTTAATTTTTTTAAAAAAAGCTTCCTGTGTAATATTATGGATGTAGTTACTTTGTCTTTTAAAAGAATTGTGAAATTTTTTTCCATGTTTTCCACCTTTAACATATCCTAGGTTGTTTAAATGTGCTTTGTAAGCAATGATAAAATGACAAGTTATCATTGATCTGTCCTTTCTTCCATCTCAGAGGGATTCATTAAATAATGCATGCACCCATGTGAATTACTTTCTTCAGTATAGTATCCCCAGACCATTAGCCAAATATAGCAACATTAGCATCTTTCAACCCTTAGAAACCCTTTTGGCTTTCATTTAATTAAATTATCCCATTATGAAAACTCTTATAATGAGATTAAATTTAATTATTTATTAGACACTTATTTGCACTAGGGAGCCTATCAATTATGCATGGTTGAGCTAAACATTTTTCAGTCCATCACCTTTTCTTTTCAAGGAAGGTGCAATTTATTAAGCAAATTTCAGATACTATATCTAGCAAGCCTTAATGGGAAGAAGTATTTAGCCCTCTTAAAAGCTACTATAATAAGGATTAAAATTACTATGTCTGAAAAACAGACAAGATAATTAATGTAAAATATTCTAATGTTCTAGACTTCCAGTTTTTAAAAATCTTAATATAGTTTGTAGTTCATCTTTGAGGATTTTTCTATTATTATTCATTTATCAAATACATAAAATATAGCTTAGAATTTAAATATAGGAATAATTATAGAACTAGTAAAGTGTGTATTTAAAACAATCCTATATTAAAATGTTAATATTAGTAATATCTAAATGCTAATTTAAAAAACTTTATGGAAAATTTCAAAATAATAAAAAATAGAAAGAATAGTGTAATGAACCCTTAGGTAACCATCTTCCAGTTTCAACAATTTTGAACCCATAGCTAATCTGGTTTCTTTCAACTGTCACTTTCCATCCCAATTCCCCACCAACAACTGAAGATCTGAGACATAATTTTGACAGTCTTTATGAAAAGAAAATTGAGTGTCTCAAAGGGGAAATGCTTTTTGACAATGGAGTTTTAGTGAATGTTATGATGATAAATGTCAATTCATGGCATAGGCTGTCCTATAAGGTCTTGTGAATATATAATTAATTATTCTTCTGGTATGCTTTGTGCTGCTTTAAGTCAAGATGGTAGGAAGCATATGACTTGAAAGCTATAATATGTATATATGATATGGCTAAGATGTATGTGATGATATGATGGACTGTTGTACTAGTTCCTTATTTGGTTCCCTTGCTTCCATTCTTGCCATTTTAAAGTTTGTTTTCTGCACAGTAGCAATGGTGATTCTTTTGAAAAGAATCATTATGCCATGCCTCTGCTCAAACCCTCCAATATTTCTTTATTTTACTCTGCAGAGTGCCATGATGGGCCAGAAGGCTCTGCATATTCTGATTCTCTAACTGATACTCTGGCCTTACTTCTCATCTCAACCTCCTTTGGTTAAGTTGCTCCAGCAACAATAACTGCCTTGCAGATTTTCAGGTGCTTTAAGCGTATTCTAACCTTAAGGCCTTCTCAGGTGCTCTCCCCCAGATATCTCTGTAGCCTACTTTCTTACTTCCTTTAGGTCCCCATCCAAATGTCATCTTATCAGAGAGTCCTCCTCTGAGTGCTCTGTGTAGAAGAGCACCTCCCTCCCTCCCATTGTTGCCCTTCATCCCTCATCCCCACTTCCTTCTTCACAGCACTCATCGTCATCTGGGACAGATTTTATTTCTGCCTCTCCTGCCAGAAGATCCCCAACACCTAGAACAATGCCTAGCATATAATATGGTGTTCAATGAATATTTGTTGAATAAATGAAAATAAATAACTTACTCAACTTTCTGAGATAATGTGTATATTTGAATATTCATAAAAGTGTATTTTTTAGATAGCTGTTGTGTGTGTGTGTGGAAGGGTGTAGAGGATGAGGTGGAAAGGTAAATTAAGACCAGTTTGTGTTACTAGCATTCTAAGTCAAATTTAAGCCTTTTAGATATTATTCTGTATGCCAAAGTGCATGTGGGCTCAAGTCAGAAAATGGGTTCAGGTACAAGTGACACTGGGGCAGACTGAAAAGCTTATGACCCATGGAGAGAGAATAGCAGAATCAATTTATGTGGGACTCTGAGCTCAGGGATGATACATCTTCTCATTTTTTAAGAGTAGCTAGAAAAGTGAAATTTTATGCTAAATCTCTCAATTTTAAAAACACCGTGCGAACCAAATTAATCATACCATCATATCCAGGGGATACAATTTTACAACTTCGGCACCAAGTGTTGGGGAACTAGAATGAATCTTTAAGTTGGAAAGTGGGAGGATCACATTTATCCTTAGGATGGTGACTCAGGACTCAGTGTGAGGAGTGGACTAAAGGGATGAGACCCAGGTGACCCAGAATCCACTAAAAGGCTACTTAGTAGATGAGGCAAGAATGAGAGGGTATGCCCTAAGGCAGCTCAGAGAAGGGTACAAAGGAGGTGAAAGTGACAGGATTTTATGAGCAATTTGGTGAAATGGACAGAGGCATTCAGGATGATTTCCAGTTTTCTAACTTAGGAAAGAAAAGGGACTTAGAGGCTGATTTAGGTTTGGGAATTATGATGGTGATTTAAGGAAGAGTGGAATTTGAGTTATCTCTAGATATCAAGATAGAGTTATATTTTGGACTGTCAAAAACATGGGTCAAGGGCTTGGGAGGCAGGCCTGAAGCAGGGTTTCTCAACCTCAGCATTGCTGACATGTTGGCCGGATCATTCTTTGTTATAGAGGGCTGTCTGGTTCAGTGTTCAGCAGGAACCCTTGTGTCTACCCATTAGATGCCAGTAGCACTTCCTAGTTGTAACAACCAGAAATTTCTGTGTTTTTCTGTGTTTTTTATAATGTAAATAGGAGCTTTATTCATAATCACTACAAACTGCAAACAACTCAAATGTCCATCAACTAGCAATTGTCTAAATAAATTTTGATACATCGATATAATGGAATGCTCAGAAATTTTAAAAAAAACTTTTAGTAGGCAAAAAATGGCTTTCTAAACTTGTCCATGTTCTAATTTCTAGAACTTGTGAATACTTTACCTTTCATACAATCAGAAATATCTACAACCATTGATAAATGTCCCATGAGGGGCAAAATTGCCCCCTACTGTTGTGGACTACTGGGCTAACGATATAAAATTAGGGGTTGTATTTGTCAGAGCTCTCCAGAGGGACAGAACTAATAGGATAGATGTATATATAAAGGGGAATTTATTAAGGAGTACTGACTCACATGATCACAAGGTGAGGTCCCACAATAGGCCATCTGCAAGCTGAGGATCAAGGAAGCCAGTCCGAGTCCCAAAGCTGAAGAATCTGGAGTCCGATATTCAAGGGCAAGAAGCATCCAGCACAGGAGAAAGATGTAGGCTTGGAAGCTAAGCCAGTCTAGTCTTTTCACGTTGTTCTGCCTGCTTTTATTCTGGAAGTGGTGGCAGCTGATTAGATGGTGTCCACCCAGATTGAGGGTGGGTCTGCCTTTCCCAGTCCATTGACTCAAATGTTAATCTCCTTTGGCAACACCCTCACTGACACACCCAGAAACAATACTTTGCATCTTCAATTCAATCAAGGTGACACTCAATATTAACCATCACAGGGTCATCATATTTCTAGCTAGTGTTTTTCAAATTTTTATGTGGCTATGAATAAATAGGAATTTTACAATACAAATGTGATTCAGTACATCTGGGGTGGCCCTGAGAGTCTATATTTCTAACAACTCTGAGATGATGCTGAGGCTGCCAGTCCAAGGGCTACACTTGGAGGGCAAGATTATAGATAATATTTGAAGTCATGGGAATGGATGAGGATCACCTAGGAAGATTGCACAGAGCAGGGCCTTTAACCTAGTAAATGTGGCCTTTCAGGGGTTTATAAATTAGGCCTCCCAAATGACTGCTATCTTTCATTTTTTTCCTCTTATTTTTAAAATTCTGTTTTTCCATTTTGCATCTCAAATATTTTTATTAGAGCAGTATTGTACTTTTGTACTCTGGATCAGTTAGAATCCCAGCAGGAGATAGAATTCCACCCAGATGGCACAACTGCAACGCATTGAATAAAGGACTGTTTACACAGACATAGGCAGGGCTAAGAAACCAGTAAGGAATAGAGAGGCATCAAGAGACTGGCAACACTGGGATGTCCCAATAGTACTGCTGTCACAGAGCAAGGACTGCTGAGGAGGAGCTGCATTCCTGGAGGGATAGCCCTGCCAGAAGCAAGGCAGAAAGCAGGAGGGAGCAGGGAAAAAATGCCCCTAGTGCTCACTCCTCTTGCCCTCTGACCATCCGCCTGGAGCTTTCTACTGGTTGAATCCAAATGTAGCCTGTCAGCCTGGAAGCCTGGGGAGAGAGAGTCTGTAGAGATCAGCCTCCTGCGGCACAGGGAAGCAGGGGAAGAGCAGAGAATGGATCCAGGGTGGCAGGGGACAAAGAAGAGTGAGCACATCCTCCAAACAGGTGTAAAATGGACATACTTAAGCACTGCGTCCTTGTCCTTATCCCCACGTTGTAATATCAAGAATAGTTTCCTCTCTACAGGGATTAAATAAAAACATCCTGCTATTTATGCTTATAGAAATTTGTCTTTGTTTATGCTGGATCTGGCTGTAATTAATAAATGTCAATGAAGATTTCAGCTATCTTTTGTTCTACCTTCATTGCTGAACATGCAACACAGGAGCCGTGATGCCTCTTTGGGGCCAAGTCGTGTCTATAGAGTGTGAAGCCAATGAAGCTAAAGCTATAGCTTATGTGTGTCACCCTGAATGCACACCAGGCCAGGTAGAACTTTGATAAGAGGAAGGCTCCATGTAAATATGTTGGGATGATTCCCAGACTAACATTTGTCCCTCAAAGCTACTTGAATTACCATGTAGTGTAGCTAAGAGGACAGACTGAAGCAGAGCAGCTTGTTGAATCTTGGCCTCACCCTTACTAGCTCTCTGTGTTTAGGGTACTTCTGTAAGCTCACGTTGTATCATTTTGCTCATCCCTAAAAGTGGGAACCTGTAACATGGCAGTAAGAGTAGTGCTTACTCCATGGGGTTATTGTGAAAATTGAGATAATACAAGTAAAGCACTTAGAATTATAGTTGGCCTACAGAAGATCTTCAATAATTATTAGCTTTGTTGTTATAATAAGATTAGTTTCTCATATCCAAACAAAGAATTGGTGAGAACCAAAATTAATGAGAACTTTAAGTTCTCTGGAAATAGTCAAAGAAGAGGAGGAAGAAAGGTGTCTTTGCAAAGAATCTCACCTAATAAAGAAGCACTGATATTTCCTCAGTTTCCTTTATATTGCCGGTACACCACTGCTGATGTCAATCAGAGCAACCAATGCCTCTGGTTTTCTACTGTTATGTGATGCTGAGGCCATTGGAGAAGAATTTCTGTTTTACAAGTTTTGAAGCATCTGCAATGCTCCAAAATATGTCAGACTTTGTAATTTTAGTGGCATTTACTTCCAAATAATCATCCTGACTTGAAAGCCATAAACTCAATTAGAACCAAAGATTTCAATCACTGTCTTTTCCAGAGGCTTAGTCCATAAATGGAAGAATCACATAAAGATTTTCTGTACTTTAGAAAGAAGTTCTCAGGTTTTCCAGAGACCAAGGCTTTAAGGCACCTAACTATCAGATGCATATGTCCCTTTCTCTGAGTAAAAAGGAAATCTACCTTCAGAATATTTGACCACATAGAGTTCCCATGTGACTTGGCTTACTTTGTGGAAAAATTTGACATATGTTTGAGGTAAATATTTTGATTCAAGAATCTGATGGAACTATTTTAAAACAGGCTAAGAAAACTGTTTTGGCCCACTTTCATCTCTCAGAGAAGGGATTGCAGGTAGGTTTTAATGTAAAAGTTTTAGTGCTGAGACAGATATCTATAGGCTGGAGAGAAGGGTGATAAACCTCTAGCTCTTTCTCTGCAGTCAAAAGTAGAAAGGCCGTAAACCTTGTCAAAGATGACAGTACAGACTTGGGTACACCGGAAATGATGGGACAAGAATTCACTTTGAAGAGACTCAGATAATTCTGGTGTTTTTTGAGAGAAACCTCCTGTAGTGGATACTGTCATGTGCTACCCAGATCTCCCTTCAGGAATGAAACACGTATTCCTCCAGCTGCTTGGAGAGCCACTGGGAGAGCTGCTGTAAGGGGCTTCTCAGCTGTCAGCTCTCCTTAGGAATTGCCTTGGCTGAAAAGCACAGCCTCATCTGAGGTCACACCCTTTCTGGGACAGCCAGAATCCAACTATTGATTGATATGGGTGCCTGATGGCCTGGCCTGTAGCTCCTACTCAGGATAACTATGTAGGGCCTTCCCTCTGGGGCAGCTGAAGCTTCCTGGAGGTTGCCTTGCCATTAACCTCTTTGTCTGCTCAATTCTACTTTCTTTCCTACCCTTACACAGTGTTAATCCCAACAGCATTCTCTAACAAACTTCCTATGTGCTAATTGTCTTAGATTCTACCTTCTAGGAAACCCAGCTTGTGACACTTGTGACAGCTTGTGATCTTCATCTAACAGAGAGAACAAAGCAAAATGATTCCTTTCTTGCTGCATACCTTTAGAAGTAAGACATTTAGCTCTAGTTATTAACTAAATGAAAATTCAGAATTGCATAACCAAAGAGGACAGAAACATACCTAATCACAAACATCACCACAATTACAGCACTGCTGTCAAGCGAAAACAAAGCAAAACGAAACACAACAGCATTGAGATTTACTTTTGAACACAATTGGGATACCTTATTTTGCATATACAGTTTGCATTTTTCCTTTGTTTATAATCAGAAAATGGCTATTTATATAATTTGTGACATAGAGAAGGTTGTTTTAAGTCTGCATATTTGAAGTAAATTTCCAATGCAATAAAATAGATGGCATGCCAAATTTTGTGTGTAGGTGTTTATGGGCATTTTATCCTGGGGAAATGATCCATGCCTTTCATTGGATTCCCATAAGAGTTTCTGATTTAAAAAAGGCTAAAAACAATTGGTATAAAGTAAAATGAGAAGCAGAACTAGGATAATATACTGAGCATATGGAAGGCACTCAAATCCTTGCTGAATATTGAGAGGGCAATTGGAGTTGCTAATGCAGGAGACTGAGAAGTTTCTGTTAGGGAGGCAGGCTGCTGTGCAGGTGGCACCTGAGGCTGTCATCACCACCACCATATGGATGCTTAGAGACTCTTAAGAATGAAGCACTTTTTTGACATTTTAAAGATAATCTTTCTGGACTTTTGGTCATCTTTGATTTTATTCTGCTTCTGAACTTCCACAATATCATCCTTATAATAATGTGTTTTCATATCCACCCTCCTCTCACTCCATACAGTTAAACTATGGCACTTTTACCTATGACATTGGCTTTGGACAGTGATTCTGCTTTCTCAGCCTGACTCTGCCGCTTCACACAAGTACCTCTTACCCACTCTAATTTAGTCTTGGAACTCCCTATCCTAGCACAGCTCCCCAAAAGGTATTCCCACCATACTTTGTGATGAGGACAGTGGAGGTATGGAAATATCAGAAGAGAACCTTGAAATCAAATGTGAGACTGTCAAGAGGTAAGGAGTAAGCAGCAGTGCTAGGTATGGCAGGGATCATGATGATGACTCGAAAAGATGCCCTTGATGTTGGCCACGTTGGTCATTCCTGACTATGCCCAGAGCAGTTTAAGTAGGATGTGGAAAGCACCAGTTCTTTTTCTTTTAACTCTCTATTATGGAGTATTTAAAATGTAACACTAAATTTCTATGTATCCATTATGCAGATTTCATAATAATCTCAACTCATTGCCTTGCTTCAGCCATGTCTCCATCCACTCCTCCCGTATTACTTTGGAGCAAAGTTCAGACATCATATTATTTTATCCATAAGCATCTCAGTATGTATCACTAAAAGATAAGGTCACTTAAACATATGCAGTTATCATACTATTATTGCATCTAAGATAAATGAACAACAATTTCTTTTTTTTATTTTATTTTATTTTATTTTTTATTTTATTTTATTTTATATTTTTTTATTATACTTTAAGTTTTAGGGTACATGTGCACATTGTGCAGGTTAGTTACATATGTATACATGTGCCATGCTGGTGCGCTGCACCCACTAACTCGTCATCTAGCATTAGGTATATCTCCCAATGCTATCCCTCCCCCCTCCCCCCACCCCACCACAGTCCCCAGAGTGTGATATTCCCCTTCCTGTGTCCATGTGATCTCATTGTTCAATTCCCACCTATGAGTGAGAATATGCGGTGTTTGGTTTTTTGTTCTTGTGATAGTTTACTGAGAATGATGGTTTCCAATTTCATCCATGTCCCTACAAAGGACATGAACTCATCATTTTTTATGGCTGCATAGTATTCCATGGTGTATATGTGCCACATTTTCTTAATGCAGTCTATCGTTTTTGGACATTTGGCTTGATTCCAAGTCTTTGCTATTGTGAATAATGCTGCAATAAACATACGTGTGCATGTGTCTTTATAGAAGCATGATTTATAGTCATTTGGGTATATACCCAGTAATGGGATGGCTGGGTCAAATGGTATTTCTAGTTCTAGATCCCTGAGGAATCGCCACACTGACTTCCACAATGGTTGAACTAGTTTACAGTCCCAGCAACAGTGTAAAAGTGTTCCTATTTCTCCACATCCTCTCCAGCACCTGTTGTTTCCTGACTTTTTAATGATTGCCATTCTAACTGGTGTGAGATGATATCTCATAGTGGTTTTGATTTGCATTTCTCTGATGGCCAGTGATGATGAGCATTTTTTCATGTATTTTGGCTGCATAAATGTCTTCTTTTGAGAAGTGTCTGTTCATGTCCTTCGCCCACTTTTTGATGGGGTTGTTTGTTTTTTTCTTGCAAATTTGTTTGAGTTCATTGTAGATTCTGGATATTAGCCCTTTGTCAGATGAGTAGGTTGTGAAAATTTTCTCCCATTTTGTAGGTTGCCTGTTCACTCTGATGGTAGTTTCTTTTGCTGTGCAGAAGCTCTTTAGTTTAATTAGATCCCATTTGTCAATTTTGGCTTTTGTTGCCATTGCTTTTGGTGTTTTGGACATGAAGTCCTTGCCCACGCCTATGTCCTGAATGGTAATGCCTAGGTTTTCTTCTAGGGTTTTTATGGTTTTAGGTCTAACGTTTAAATCTTTAATCCATCTTGAATTGATTTTTGTATAAGGTGTAAGGAAGGGATCCAGTTTCAGCTTTCTACATATGGCTAGCCAGTTTTCCCAGCACCATTTATTAAATAGGGAATCCTTTCCCCATTGCTTGTTTTTCTCAGGTTTGTCAAAGATCAGATAGTTGTAGGTATGCGGCGTTATTTCTGAGGGCTCTGTTCTGTTCCATTGATCTATATCTCTGTTTTGGTACCAGTACCATGCTGTTTTGGTTACTGTAGCCTTGTAGTATAGTTTGAAGTCAGGTAGTGTGATGCCTCCAGCTTTGTTCTTTTGGCTTAGGATTGACTTGGCGATGCGGGCTCTTTTTTGGTTCCATATGAACTTTAAAGTAGTTTTTTCCAATTCTGTGAAGAAAGTCATTGGTAGCTTGATGGGGATGGCATTGAATCTGTAAATTACCTTGGGCAGTATGGCCATTTTCACGATATTGATTCTTCCTCCCCATGAGCATGGAATGTTCTTCCATTTGTTTCTATCCTCTTTTATTTCCTTGAGCAGTGGTTTGTAGTTCTCCTTGAAGAGGTCCTTCACATCCCTTGTAAGTTGGATTCCTAGGTATTTTATTCTCTTTGAAGCAATTGTGAATGGGAGTTCACTCATGATTTGGCTCTCTGTTTGTCTGTTGTTGGTGTATAAGAATGCTTGTGAGTTTTGTACATTGATTTTGTATCCTGAGACTTTGCTGAAGTTGCTTATCAGCTTAAGGAGATTTTGGGCTGAGACGATGGGGTTTTCTAGATAAACAATCATGTCGTCTGCAAACAGGGACAATTTGACTTCCTCTTTTCCTAATTGAATACCCTTTATTTCCTTCTCCTGCCTGATTGCCCTGGCCAGAACTTCCAACACTATGTTGAATAGGAGTGGTGAGAGAGGGCATCCATGTCTTGTGCCAGTTTTCAAAGGGAATGCTTCCAGTTTTTGCCCATTCAGTATGATATTGGCTGTGGGTTTGTCATAGATAGCTCTTATTATTTTGAAATACGTCCCATCAATACCTAATTTATTGAGAGTTTTTAGCATGAAGGGTTGTTGAATTTTGTCAAAGGCTTTTTCTGCATCTATTGAAATAATCATGTGGTTTTTGTCTTTGGCTCTGTTTATATGCTGGATTACATTTATTGATTTGCGTATATTGAACCAGCCTTATATTGAACCCAGGGATGAAGCCCACTTGATCATGGTGGATAAGCTTTTTGATGTGCTGCTGGATTCGGTTTGCCAGTATTTTATTGAGGATTTTTGCATCAATGTTCATCAAGGATATTGGTCTAAAATTCTCTTTTTTGGTTGTGTCTCTGCCTGGCTTTGGTATCAGAATGATGCTGGCCTCATAAAATGAGTTAGGGAGGATTCCCTCTTTTTCCATTGATTGGAATAGTTTCAGAAGGAATGGTACCAGTTCCTCCTTGTACCTCTGGTAGAATTCGGCTCTGAATCCATCTGGTCCTGGACTCTTTTTGGTTGGTAAACTATTGATTATTGCCACAATTTCAGCTCCTGTTATTGGTCTATTCAGAGATTCAACTTCTTCCTGGTTTAGTCTTGGGAGAGTGTATGTGTCGAGGAATGTATCCATTTCTTCTAGATTTTCTAGTTTATTTGCGTAGAGGTGTTTGTAGTATTCTCTGATGGTAGTTTGTATTTCTGTGGGATCGGTGGTGATATCCCCTTTATCATTTTTTATTGTGTCTATTTGATTCTTCTCTCTTTTTTTCTTTATTAGTCTTGCTAGCGGTCTATCAATTTTGTTGATCCTTTCAAAAAACCAGCTCCTGGATTCATTAATTTTTTGAAGGGTTTTTTGTGTCTCTATTTCCTTCAGTTCTGCTCTGATTTTAGTTATTTCTTGCCTTCTGCTAGCTTTTGAATGTGTTTGCTCTTGCTTTTCTAGTTCTTTTAATTGTGATGTTAGGGTGTCAATTTTGGATCTTTCCTGCTTTCTCTTGTGGGCATTTAGTGCTATAAATTTCCCTCTACACACTGCTTTGAATGCGTCCCAGAGATTCTGGTATGTTGTGTCTTTGTTCTCATTGGTTTCGAAGAACATCTTTATTTCTGCCTTCATTTCGTTATGTACCCAGTAGTCATTCAGGAGCAGGTTGTTCAGTTTCCATGTAGTTGAGCGGCTTTGAGTGAGATTCTTAATCCTGAGTTCTAGTTTGATTGCACTGTGGTCTGAGAGATACTTTGTTATAATTTCTGTTCTTTTACATTTGCTGAGGAGAGCTTTACTTCCAAGTATGTGGTCAATTTTGGAATAGGTGTGGTGTGGTGCTGAAAAAAATGTATATTCTGTTGATTTGGGGTGGAGAGTTCTGTAGATGTCTATTAGGTCCGCTTGGTGCAGAGATGAGTTCAATTCCTGGGTATCCTTGTTGACTTTCTGGCTCGTTGATCTGTCTAATGTTGACAATGGGGTGTTAAAGTCCCCCATTATTAATGTGTGGGAGTCTAAGTCTCTTTGTAGGTCACTCAGGACTTGCTTTATGAATCTGGGTGCTCCTGTATTGGGTGCATATATATTTAGGATAGTTAGCTCCTCTTGTTGAATTGATCCCTTTACCATTATGTAATGGCCTTCTTTGTCTCTTTTGATCTTTGTTGGTTTAAAGTCTGTTTTATCAGAGACTAGGATTGCAACCCCTGCCTTTTTTTGTTTTCCATTTGCTTGGTAGATCTTCCTCCATCCTTTTATTTTGAGCCTATGTGTGTCTCTGCACGTGAGATGGGTTTCCTGAATACAGCACACTGATGGGTCTTCACTCTTTATCCAACTTGCCAGTCTGTGTCTTTTAATTGGAGAATTTAGTCCATTTACATTTAAAGTTAATATTGTTATGTGTGAATTTGATCCTGTCATTATGATGTTAGCTGGTGTTTTTGCTCGTTAGTTGATGCAGTTTCTTCCTAGTCTCGATGGCCTTTACATTTTGGCATGATTTTGCAGCGGCTGGTACCAGTTGTTCCTTTCCATGTTTAGCGCTTCCTTCAGGAGCTCTTTTAGGGCAGGCCTAGTGGTGACAAAATCTCTCAGCATTTGCTTGTCTGTAAAGTATTTTATTTCTCCTTCACTTATGAAGCTTAGTTTGGCTGGATATGAAATTCTGTGTTGAAAATTCTTTTCTTTAAGCATGTTGAATATTGGCCCCCACTCTCTTCTGGCTTGTAGGGTTTCTGCCGAGAGATCCGCTGTTAGTCTGATGGGCTTCCCTTTGAGGGTAACCCGACCTTTCTCTCTGGCTGCCCTTAACATTTTTTCCTTCATTTCAACTTTGGTGAATCTGACAATTACGTGTCTTGGAGTTGCTCTTCTCAAGGAGTATCTTTGTGGTGTTCTCTGTATTTCCTGAATCTGAACGTTGGCCTGCCTTGCTAGATTGGGGAAGTTCTCCTGGATAATATCCTGCAGAGTGTTTTCCAACTTGGTTCCATTCTCCGCATCACTTTCAGGTACACCAATCAGATGTAGATTTGGTGTTTTCACATAGTCCCATATTTCTTGGAGGCTTTGCTCATTTCTTTTTATTCTTTTTTCTCTAAACTTCCCTTCTCGCTTCATTTCATTCATTTCATCTTCCATTGCTGATACCCTTTCTTCCAGTTGATCGCATCGGCTCCTGAGGCTTCTGCATTCTTCACGTAGTTCTCGAGCCTTGGTTTTCAGCTCCATCAGCTCCTTTAAGCACTTCTCTGTATTGGTTATTCTAGTTATACATTCTTCTAAATTTTTTTAAGTTTTCAACTTCTTTGCCTTTGGTTTGAATGTCCTCCCGTAGCTCAGAGTAATTTGATCGTCTGAAACCTTCTTCTCTCAGCTCGTCAAAGTCATTCTCCATCCAGCTTTGTTCCGTTGCTGGTGAGGAACTGCGTTCCTTTGGAGGAGGAGAGGCGCTCTGCGTTTTAGAGTTTCCAGTTTTTCTGTTCTGTTTTTTCCCCATCTTTGTGGTTTTATCTACTTTTGGTCTTTGATGATGGTGATGTACAGATGGGTTTTCCGTGTGGATGTCCTTTCTGTTTGTTAGTTTTCCTTCTAACAGACAGGACCCTCAGCTGCAGGTCTGTTGGAATACCCTGCCGTGTGAGGTGTCAGTGTGCCCCTGCTGGGGGGTGCCTCCCAGTTAGGCTGCTCGGGGGTCAGGGGTCAGGGACCCACTTGAGGAGGCAGTCTGCCCGTTCTCAGATCTCCAGCTGCGTGCTGGGAGAACCACTGCTCTCTTCAGAGCTGTCAGACAGGGACATTTAAGTCTGCAGAGGTTACTGCTGTCTTTTTGTTTGTCTGTGCCCTGCCCCCAGAGGTGGAGCCTACAGAGGCAGGCAGGCCTCCTTGAGCTGTGGTGGGCTCCACCCAGTTCGAGCTTCCCGGCTGCTTTGTTTACCTAAGCAAGCCTGGGCAATGGCGGGCGCCCCTCCCCCAGCCTCGCTGCCGCCTTGCAGTTTGATCTCAGACTGCTGTGCTAGCAATCAGCGAGATTCCGTGGGCGTAGGACCCTCCGAGCCAGTTGCAGGATGTAATCTCCTGGTGAGCGGTTTTTTAAGCCAGTCTGAAAAGCGCAATATTCGGGTGAGAGTGACCCGATTTTCCAGGTGCATCCGTCACCCCTTTCTTTGACTGGGAAAGGGAACTCCCTGACCCCTTGTGCTTCCCAAGGGAGGCAATGCCTCACCCTGCTTCGGCTCGCACACGGTGCACACACCCACTGGCCTGCGCCCACTGTCTGGCACTCCCTAGTGAGATGAACCCGGTACCTCAGATGGAAATGCAGAAATCACCTGTCTTCTGCGTCGCTCACGCTGGGAGCTGTAGACCGGAGCTGTTCCTATTCGGCCATCTTGGCTCCTCCCTCAACAACAATTTCTTTATGTCATCAAATATCTACTTAATTCTCATTTCTGTAATGGTCATTTCCCACCATTTTTTGTGAATTCATAAATTGCTTTATAAAAGTTGATGGGAATGAAAATGTCTATGCATTGAAATTGTTTAATATCTTTTAAATCTATGCTTACCTACATCTCTCTCTTTTATCTTCATTTATTGCAATTAATTGTTGTTGCTGTTGTTTTACAGCTTTATTGAGGTATAACTGATACACAAAAAACTGCACATATGTAGTGGATACAATTTGCTGAGTTTGGACATATGAATATGCCACTGGTTGTTAAAGAAATTGAGTTGTTTCTCCTGTAAAGTTTGCCACAGTCTGGATTTTGTTAATGATATCCCTATGCTGTCTGTTTCTCTGTCATCTATATTTCCTGCAAATTGTGGCTGTGATCAGGGGATGCCATATATTAAGATTTGAGAGGCGAATGCAATTGAGAAAAGGAAGATAGTAAAATGTGAGTAGTTTTCCAGAAAGTTTGTCAGTGATAAGAAGGAAAGTAATAGGTTTAAAATTTGAGGAAGGTTTTGCTCTTTGTTTTTGTTTTTGTAAGGGGTATATGGAAAGGTTGCACATGCTCATCAAATAACAACGGAAAAGCACCCAGATCATAGAAGCTTAATATCCAAGGAAGGTGGATGTTTACCAAGCAAAGACTTGTAAAAGATGGAAAGAGAATTTAGTGAGTGGCTTAGCGTGCATTCATTTATTCACCCATTCTAATTTTGTACCTTTTGTGTACCAGACATAGTGCAGATGCTGGTGAAATCAAGATAAATTAAAATAACAGTGATAATAAACAACTTCCTCTATAATCAAGGGCCTTACATACTGAAGCAACAAAGAAATGAAGTGTAATAACAATTGCACAGACACCTGAACCCAGAAACAGCAGGTGGCTCAAAGGAGAAAGGGGTCTAGTCTTTAATTCTGATTGACCCACATTCTGTGGTTAAGAGTTAATTATCCCGAAAAAAGGTTGGACAGGAGAGGAGAGTAGGGGCATGAGTGAAGGGTCTTGAGCAATCATTGTTCTAAATAGCATCTCTTGTTTGTTGTTGTTGTTGTTTGTTTTTTAAAGCTGATCTGAAATGGACTAGCTGAATCTGAAATGATTCAGAAAAGGAAATAAGCTAATTGTAGAATTTCAGGTGCTAGAAGAGGGGACATATTTACGGCCATTTACCTTTCTGGAACGTGTAATATGATACCATATTGGCACCTTGTACTACTCTTATTTGTAAAAATTGGCCTGAATCCTAATTTTATTCAGGTATCCTAGAGTAGACTTTAACTGAAGAGGTGGTGTCCTAGAGGTGGCTGTGGCTATGTAAAATAAGGTGAAGTGTGTTATCCCTTCCTTTTGTATATTTCTGAATCTTTTTTTTTTTTTTTTTTTTTTTTGAGGTGGAGTCTCGCTCTGTCGCCCAGGCTGGAGTGCACTGGCGCAATCTCGGCTCACTGCAAGCTCCGCCTCCCGGGTTCGCGCCGTTCTCCTGCCTCAGCCTCCTGAGTAACTGGGACTACAGGCGCCCGCCACCACATCTGGCTAATTTTTTGTATTACTAGTAGAGACGGGGTTTCACCGTGTTAAGCAGGATGGTCTCGATCTCCTGACGTCGTGATCCACCCGCCTTGGCCTCCCAAAGTGCTGGGATTACAGGCATGAGCCACCGCCCCAGGCCTATATATTTCTGAATCTTAACATCATTTGATTATCGCTTCCTGTACTTCACAATCTATCAGATGATGTGTTCTGTCAGTTTTACCTCTAGCTTTTAAACATTTTAAACTGCAACCCACACTTGGAAACATTTTTCATCACAATTCAGTAAAAATATATTTGCCATATTTGCATATGTGAATATCTATATGGCTAAAAAATTCATGGACTAACACTCTTATGAAGTGTGGTGACCACTGATATTTATATTCTATTTCATTTTTCAAAAATCTTAGTAGCAAGCCATTCAAGTCATTCCAAGACCCATTAATACATTGTAACCAGTAGTTTGAAAAACATTATTTTTGTATTTTCTTCTTCCTCTCCCTCTTGCTGGGGCTTTTCAATGACTATGATATGGACAACTCCAAAATGCCCTACTCCTGCTCTAAATTGTATTGTTTTTTAAAATGTGCATTTCTGATGAGATCACTTCCTTTCTTAAACACAAAATACTCCTAAGTAGGGATGAAATATGTTCGTCCTTCATTATTTGGACCCTGTTGCCATTTTCAATCTGACTTCGTAGTTCCATTTCCAATCACTGTGCTGTAGTCAAACTGACCACAACAATCAATTCCAAAAAGGCACAATTATTTTTTAAATGTCCTTAATGTTTTCTGAAGTCACGAAAAACAAGTATGTACTTTAAGAAGTGAAACAATCCAAATATGTGTAAAGAAAGATAATAACCTTCCCTCCACCTCCTCCCATTCCCATCCTCTTGAAATAACCAGTGCTATCAGCTTGGGATGTATACTTTTATGGCTTTCTCCCTCCTTTTCCAAACATAGCTATTATTTGTAAGACTTTGTTTTTGTTTTTAAATGGTATCATGGTGTACATATCACTCTGCAGCTTGTTTTTATGCTTGAAAGTAGACATCTCCTCGGGTTCATAGATATGGCTGTATCTGATTCTTTTAAGAAGTGCAGTGCAGTTCTTTCACACCTGTAATTTAAAATATAATTTATTATCTACTGGTAGATGATCAAGTAGATCCCATTTTTGCAGTAACCAAAATGGTGCAGTGAAAGTCCTTATATACTCGCCTTTTTTATGTCAATAGGATATAATCTCAAGTCCGAGTTTTGGTCATAGCCTGTATATGCAAACTGAAAAGCTTGTTTGAATAAATACTGCCAACTCATGTTTCCAATATGTTGTGGCATTTTTCACCTCCACCAGCATCCTATGTGAATTCCATTTCACAACTCTGCTGTTCTTCAGCACTGCCCCTTGAACACTTTTTATGTGTGTCAATTTCTTAGGTTTGATAGTAATGATACATTTCTTTTCATGTTTATTGGCCATTTGGATTTCTTCTTCTGCCAATTGTCTGATCATATTCTTTGAACAATTTTGTATTGGATTGCTCACCTTTTTCTAATCAAGTGTGGAGATTTGCTTACGATTGTGAACACAGTTTCTGTCAAATATCTTCTCAGTCTGTCATCTTTGACTTCAGTTATGCTGTCTTATGCCATACAACAGTTTAAAATATCTATATAGTCAATTCTATTTGTCTTCTCCTTTGTAGCTTTTGGGTTTACCATTTTGCCTGGGAAAATCTCACCCACTCAAAGCTTGCACAAATGATATCCTAGTTTTCTTTTTAATATTTTTTATCATTTATGCTTGAAGTTAATTCATCTGGAATTGATCTCTGCATAGTGTGCATGCAAATTTTAATTATTTTCCCAGCCAGCTATGCTTACAGTATTTATTAAATAAGTTCTACTTTTTCTACTGAATTGAAATGGCACCTTTGTCATGAATTAATATCCATATATATTTAGATTTATTTTTGTCTTTCTTTGTTATTCTGCTAATTTCTGTATATATTCCTATGCCAAAAGCATACCATTTTAATTAGCATAATCTTATAATAACTTGTATTATCTGTGAAGTCCAGTCTTGCCCTACTCTTCAATGCAAAATTTGGGAGGATATTCTTGGACATATTTTATTTCATATAAACTCAGAACTAATTTTACTCAGTTCTCTCATAACCCCAAACTTAATACACTTTGCTTTGAATTACATTATTGTATACGTTAAATTTTAATTAAAAAATAACTTTAGAATATTAAGCCTTTTCTTTTGTGGGCATGTAACATTTTATTCATGTGTTTGGGTCTATACTACTTAATAATAGTTTATTGTTTTCTTTACAAAGCCCCATACCTTTCATGTTAAGTGTATTCTTAGGTATCTTGTTTTTGTTGCTATTGGGAGTGAAATTTTTATTTCTTCCAGGGTAGCTCTCATGCCCCGTTTTCAGCTTATGATTGCTAGTAAACCCTGGACTTCGTCTTTTTGAATCTGAGAGAAAGCAAGTGGAGGGGAAAAAAACCTGCCTCTAACTGAGGTCTGGGGAAGCAGACCACAAACTTGTGATTCCTTGCAGGAGCACAGAAAGTAGAAACCTGCCCATTTGGTGCATCTGGTTCTCAAATGGCTCAATCCTATCAAATGTACAGCCTTGGAGAGGACCTAGACCTACAATGGTGGGCAGAATAACTCAAGTTCCTGAGGGTGGGAAGAGACCTTTACTTGTACCAGACAGATTTAGAAGCAGAGACTGTTTTCCAGTGCTTAATAAGGGCAGTGACTGGACAGTTCTTACGGTCAGAGATATCACTGGCATCCTTAATCCACTCATTTGTCTCTACTTGTGAGATTTTAATAGCCTGGCTTTATGGATGCTGAGGGAAAAAATCATAAGCAGACAGAGAAAAACTATAATTCATTTAAGTGGGGCTTAGTAAAAATGATTCAGAAAGTGGTGGTAGTAGTAGTGGTAACAAGAACAACAAGGATTTATCGAAAGCTTTCTCAATGCCAAGCGGAGCTTCTAAGCCCTTTTACGTAGAGGGTCTCCAACTTTAGGATAATCTTAGAAATTCTGTACTATTATTATTCCCATTTGACTGATGAAGAAACTGAGGCAATGGAGAGGTTGAGTAAACTGTCCAAGAGACAATAGTTGGAATTCAAAGAACCTCTACTCTTAACCACTATGCCATAAGAACGCTTCATAGCAAAACCTGTGAAATATGCTAATATGCATATGCTAATATGTTTCAGAGGAAAAGGTAAGCTGTAAGTGATTTTATTCTGAAAACAATGAAAATTAATTATTTACTTGCAGTAATGAGAAACTAACAAAGTAAACAGCAGATATTGGGATGATAGTGATTAATAAAGACCGAAGTTAAAGAAAATGAAAGAATAAAATTGAAATCTTCTTGTTGAAAGGTAATAAAATAGAGAAACTCTTGCTGTGTCTGATTTTTAAAAAATTTATTTTAAGTTCTGGGATACATGTGCAGGACATGCAGGTTTGTTACACAGGTAAATGTGTGCCATGGTGGTTTGCTGCATCTATCAATCTGTCACCTAGGTATGAAGCCCAGAATGCATTAGCTATTTATCCTGATGCCTCCCTCCCACCACCCTCCTGAGAAGCCCCAGTGTGTTCGTTCCCCTCCCTGTGTCCATGTGTTCTCATTGTTCAGCTCACACTTATAATTGAGAACATGCAGTGTTTGGTTTTCTGTTCCTGCGTTAGTTTGCCGAGGATAATGGCTTCCAACTCCATCCATGTCCCTGAAAAGGGCATGATCTCATTCCTTTTTATGGCTGCATAGTATTCCATGGTGTATACGTACCACATTTCCTTTATCCATTCTATCATTGATGGGCATTTGGGTTGATTTCATGCCTTTGTCATTGTAAATAGTGCTGCAGTGAACATATGCATGCATATGTCTTAATAATAGAATGATTTATATTCCTTTGGGTATATACCCAGTAATAGGATTGATAGGTCAAATGGTATTTCTAGTTCTAGGTCTTTGAGGAATTGCCACACTGTCTTCCACAATGGTTGAACTAATTTACCTTCCCACCAACAGTGTAAAAGCATTCCTATTGCTCCACAGCCTCACCAGCAACTGTTGTTTCTTGACTTTTTAATAAATGCCATTCTGACTGATGCGAAATGGCATCTCACTGTGGTTTTTATTTGCATTTCTTAAATGATCAGTGATGTTGTGCTTTTTTCATGTCTGTTGGCTGCATAAATGTTTGCTTTTGAGAAGTGTCTATTCCTGTCCTTTGCCCACTTTTTAATGTTTTTTTTTCTTGTAAATTTTTTAAAGTTCCTTGTACCTTCTGGATATTAGACCTTTGTCAGACTGGTAGATTGCAAACATTTTCTCCCATTCTATAGGCTGTCTGTTCACTCTGATGATAATTTCTTTTGCTGTGCAGAAGCTCTTTAGTTCAATTAGATTTCATTTGTCAATTTTTGCATTCGTTGCAATTGCTTTTGATGTTTTCATCATGAAATCTTTGCCTGCGCCTATGTGCTGAATAGTATTGCCTAGGTTTTCATCTAGGGTTTTTATAGTTTTGGGTTTTACACTTAAGTCTTTAATTCATCTTGAGTTAATTTTAGTATAAGGTGTAAGGAAGGGGTCCAGTTTCAATTTTCTGCATGTGGCTAGCCAGTTCTCCCAGCACCATTTTTTGGAATAGGGAATCCTTTCCCCATTGCTGTTTCTCAGGTTTGTTGAAGACAGATGCATGTAGATGTGCAGTCTTATTTCTGAGATCTCTGTTCTGTTCCATTGGTCCATGTGTCGATTTTTATACCAGAGCCATTCTGTTTTGGTTACTGTAGCCTTGTAGTATAGTTTGAAGTCAGGTAGCATGATGCCTCCAGCTTTGTTCTTTTTGCTTAGGATTGTCTTGGCTATACAGGCTCTTTTGTGGCTCCATATGAATTTTAAAGTAGTTTTTTTCTGATCCTGTGAAGCATTTCAATGGTAGTTTAGTGGGAATAGCATTGAATCGATAAATTACTTTGAGCAGTATGGTATGGCCATTTTCACAATATTGATTCTTTCTATCCATGAACATGGAATGTTATTCCATTTGTTTGTGTCCTCTCTGATTTCCTTGAGCACTGGTTTGTAGTTCTCCTTGAAGAGGTCCTTCACTTCCTTTGTTAGATGTATTCCTAGGTATTTACTCTTCTTATAGCAATTGTGAATGTGAGTTCATTCATGATTTGGCTGTGCCTGATTTTGTGAAAGGGAAAGTTAAAACAAAGATATGTCACATAAGGAGATATAACCACATGTATAGAAGAGACAGACTTGAGACATAAGCAGGAGGAGGTTCCAAGATAGCCGAGTAGGAACAGCCCAGTCTGCAGCTCCCTGCGTGAGTGATGCAGAAGACGGGTGATTTCCGCATTTCCAACTGAGGTACTGGATTCATCTCACTGGGGCTTGTCAGACAGTGGGTTCAGCCCATGGAGCAGGGCAGGGCATCGCTTCACCCGGGAAGCACAAGGGGTCAGGGAATTCCCTTTCCTAGCAAAGGGAAGCCGTGACAGACGGTACCGGGAAAATCAGGACACTCCCACCCTAATACTGCGGTTTTCCAACTGCCTTAGCAAACGGCACACCAGGAGATTATATCCCGCACATGGCTTGGAGGGTCCCACGCCCACAGAGCCTCACTTACTGCTAACACAGCAGTCTGAGATTGAACTGCAAGGCAGCAGCAAGGCTGTCGGAGGGGCATCTGCCATTGCTGTGGCTTGAGTAGGTAAACAAAGCGGCCAGGAAGCTCGAACTGGGTGGAGCCCACCATACTCAAGGAGGCCTGCCTACCTCTGTAGACTCCACCTCTTGGGGCAGGGCATAGCTGAACAAAAGGCAGCAGAAACCTCTGCAGACTTAAATGTCTCTGTCTGACAGCTTTGAAGAGAGTAGTGGTTCTCCCAGCACGGAGTTTGAGACCTGAGAACAGACAGACTGCCTCCTCAAGTGGGTCCCTGACCCCCAAGTAGCCTAAATGGGAGACACCTCCCAGTAGGGACTGACTGACAGCTCATACAGCTGGATGCCCCTCTGAGACGAAGCTTCCAGAGGAAGGATCAGGCAGCAACATTTGCTGTTCTGCAATATTTGCTGTTCTTCAGCCTCCACTGGTGATACTGAGGCAAAGAGGGTCTGGAGTGGACCTCCAGTAAACTCCAACAGACCTGCAGCTGAGGGTCCTGACTGTTAGAAGGAAAACTAAAACAGAAAGGACATCCACACCAAAACCCCATCTGTACGTCACCAACATCAAAGACCAAAGGTAGATAAAACCACAAAGGTGGGAAGAAACCAGAGCAGAAAAGCTGAAAATTCTAAAAATCAGAGTGCCTTTTCTCCTCCAAAGGAACGCAGGTCCTGGCCAGCAATGGAACAAAGCTGGACAGAGAATGACTTTGACGAGTTGAGAGAAGAAGGCTTCGGACAATAAGTAATAACAAACTTATCTGAGCTAAAGGAGGATGTTTGAACCCATTGCAAAGAAGCTAAAAACCTTGGAAAAAGATTAGATGAATGGCTAACTAGAATAAACAGTGTAGAGAAGTCCTTAAATGACCTGATGGGGCTGAAAACCATGGCACAAGAACTACGTGACACATGCACAAGCATAAGTACAAGATTTGATCAAGTGGAAGACAGGGTGTCAGTGATTGAAAACCAAATGAATGAAATGAAGTGAGAAGAGAAGTTGAGAGAAAAAAGATTAAAAAGAAATGAACAAAGCCTCCAAGAAATATGGAACTATGTGAAAACACCAAATCTATGTCTGATTGGTGTACCTGAAAGTGACGGGGAGAATGGAACCAAGTTGGAAAACACTCTGCAGGATGTTATCCAGGAGAACTTCCACAACGTGGCAAGGCAGGCCAACATTCAAATTCAGGAAATACAGAGAACACCACAGAGATACTCCTCGAGAAGAGCCACTCCAAGACACACAATTGTTAGATTTGCCAAAGTTGAAATGAGGGAAAAAATGTTAAGGGCAGCCAGAGAGAAAGGTTGGGTTACTCACAAAGGGAAGCCCATCAGACTAACAGTGGATCTCTCAGCAGAAACTCTATAAGCCAAAAGAGAGTGGGGGCCAATATTCAACATTCTTAAAGAAAAGAATTTTCAACCCAGAATTTCATATCCAGCCAAACTAAACTTCATATGTGAAGGAGAAATAAAATCTTTTACAGACAAATAAGTGCTGAGAGATTTTGTCAACACCAGGCCTGCCTTACAAGAGCTCCTGAAGGAAGCACTAAACATGGAAAGGAACAACTAGTACCAGCCACTGCAAAAACATGCCAAATTGTAAAGACCATCGATGCTAGGAAGAAACTGCATCAACTAATGAGCAAAATAACCAGCTAACATCATAATGACAGGATCAAGTTCACACATAACAATATTAACCTTAAATGTAAATAGGCTAAATGCTCCAATTAAAAGACACAGACTGGCAAATTGGATAAAGAGTGAAGACCCATCAGTGTGCTGTATTCAGGAAACCCATCTCACATGCAGAGACACACATAGGCTCAAAATAAAGGGATGGAGAAAGATCTACCAAGCAAATGGAAAACAAAAAAAAGCAGGGGTTGCAATCCTGGTCTCTGATAAAACAGATTTTAAATCAACAAAGATCAAAAGAGACAAAGAAGGCCATTGTTTAATGGTAAAGGGATCAATTCAACAAGAAGAGCTAACTATGCTAAATATATATGCATCCAATACAGGAGCACCCAGATTCATAAAGCAAGTCCTTAGAGACCTATAAAGAGATTTAGACTCCCACACAATAATAATGGGAGACTTTGACACCACACTGTCAACATTAGACAGATCAACGACACAGAAAGTCAACAAGGATATCCAGGAATTGAACTCAGCTCTGCACCAAGATGACCTAGCAGACATCTACAGAACTCTGCACCCCAAGTCAACAGAATATACATTCTTAGCACCACATCACACTTATTCCAAAATTGACCACATAGTTGGAAGTAAAGCACCCCTCTGCAAATGTGAAAGAACAGAAATTATAACAAACTGTCTCACAGACCACAGTGCAATCAAACTAGAACTCAGGATTAAGAAACTCACTCAAAACCACTCTACTGCATGGAAACTGAACAACTGCTCCTGAATGACTACTGGCTATATAACGAAATGAAGGCAGAAATAAAGATGTTCTTTGAAACCAATGAGAACAAAGACACAACATACCAGAATCTCTGGGACACATTTAAAGCAGTGTGTAGAGGGAAATTTATAGCATTAAATGCCCACAAGAGAAAGCAGGAAAGATCTAAAATTGACAACCTAAAATCACAATTAAAAGAACTAGAAAAGCAAGAGCAAACACATTCAAAAGCTAGCAGAAGACAAGAAATAACTAAGATCAGAGCAGAACTGAAGGAAATAGAGACACAAAAATCCCTTCAAAAAATCAATGAATCCAGGAGCTGGTTTTTTGAAAAGATCAACAAAATTAATAGACCGCTAGAAAGACTAATAAAGAAGAAAAGAGAGAAGAATCAAATAGACACAATAAAAAATGAGAAAGGGGATATCACCACCGATCCCACAGAAATACAAACTACCATCAGAGAATACTATAAGCACCTCTACGCAAATAAACTAGAAAATCTAGAAGAAATGGATAAATTCCTCGACACATACACCCTCCCAAGACTAAACCAGGAAGAAGTTGAATCCCTGAATAGACCAATTACAGGTTCTTAAATTGAGGCAATAATTAATAGCCTACCAACCAAAAAAAGTCCAGGATCACATGGATTCACAGCCGAATTCTACCACATGTACAAACAGGAGCTGGTACCATTCCTTCTGAAACTGTTCCAATCAATAGAAAAAGAGGGAATACTCCCTAATTCTTTTTATGAAGCCAACATCATCCTGATACCAAACCCTGGCAGAGATACAGCAAAAAAAGAGAATTTTACACCAATATCCCTGATGAACATCGATGCAAAATCCTCAATAAAATACTGGCAAGCCGAATCCTGCAGCACATCAAAAAGCTTATCCACCGTGATCAAATGGGCTTCATCCCTGGGATGCAAGGCTGATTCAACATATGCAAATCAAGAAATGTAATCCAGCATATAAACAGAACCAAAGACAAAAACCACATGATTATCTCAATAGATGCAGAAAAGGCCTTTGACAAAATTCAACAACCCTTCATGCTAAAAACTCTCAATAAACTCGGTAATGATGGGACATATCTCAAAATAATAAGAGCTATCTATGACAAACCCACAGCCAATATCATACTGAATGGGCAAAAACTGGAAGCATTCCCTTTGAAAACTGGCACAAGACAGGGATGCCCTCTCTCACCACTCCTATTCAACATAGTGTTGGAAGTTCTGGCCAGGGCAATCAGGCAAGAGAAAGAAATAAAGGTTATTCAATTAGGAAAAGAGGAAGTCAAATTGTCCCTGTTTGCAAATAACATGATTGTATATTTAGAAAACCCCATCATCTCAGCCCAAAATCTCCTTAAGCTGATAAGCAACTTCGGCAAAGTCTCAGGGTACAAAATCAATGTGCAAAAATCACAAGCATTCTTATACACCAATAACAGACAACAGAGAACCAAATCATGGGTGAACTCCATTTCACAATAGCTTCAAAGAGAATAAAATACCTAGGAATCCACCTTACAAGGGATGTGAAGGACCTCTTCAAGGAGAACTACAAACCACTGCTCAACGAAATAAAAGAGGATACAAACAAATGGAAGAACATTCCACGCTCATGGATAGGAAGAATCAATATCGTGAAAATGGCCATACTGCCCAAGGTAATTTATAGATTCAATGCCATCCCCATCAAGCTACCAATGACTTTCTTCACAGAATTGGAAAAAACTACTTTAAAGTTCATATGGATCCAAAAAAGAGCCCTCATTGCCAAGACAATCCTAAAGCAAAAGAACAAAACTGGAGGCATCAAGCTACCTGACTTGAAACTATACTACAAGGCTACAGTAACCAAACCAGCATGGTACTGGTACCAAAACAGATATATAGACCAATAGAACAGAATAGATCCCCCGGAAATAATACCACAGATCTACAACCATCTTATCTTTCACAACCCTGACAAAAACAAGAAATAGGGAAATGATTCCCTATTTAATAAATGGTGCTGGGAAAACTGGCTAGCCCTATGTAGAAAGCTGAAACTGGATCCCTTCCTTACACCTTATACAAAAATTAATTCAAGATGGATTAAAGACTTAAATGTTAGACCTAAAGCCATAACAACCCTAGAAGAAAACCGAGGCAATACCATTCAGGACATAGGCATGGGCAAGGGCTTCATGACTAAAACACCAAAAGCAATGGCAACAAAAACGAAAGTTGACAAAAGGGATCTATTTAAACTAAAGAGCTTCTGCACAGCAAAAGAAACTACCATCAGAGTGAATAGGCAACCTACAGAATGGGAGAAAATTTTTACAATCTACCCATCTGACAAAGGGCTAATATCCAGAATCTACAAAGAACTTAAACAAATTTACAAGAAAAAAATCAAACAACCCCATCAAAAAGTGAGTGAAGGATAGGAACAGACACTTCTCAAAAGAAGACATTTATGCAGCCAACAGACACTGAAAAAATGCTCATCATCAGTGGCCATCAGAGAAATGCAAATAAAAACCACCATGAGATACCATCTCACACCAGTTAGAATGGCAATCATTAAAAATGCAGGAAACAGATGCTGGAGAGGATGTGGAGAAATAGGAATGCTTTTACACTGTTGGTGGGACTGTAAACTGGTTCAACCATTGTGGAAGACAGTGTGATGATTCCTCAAGGATCTAGAACTAGAAATACCATTTGACCCAGCCATCCCATTATTGGGCATATACCCAAAGGATTATAAATCATGCTGCTATTAAGACACATGCACACGTATGTTTATTGTGGCACTATTCACAATAGCAGACTTGGAGCCAACCCAAATGTCCATCAGTGATAGACTGGATTAAGAAAATGTGGCACATATACACCATGGAATACTATGCAGCCATAAAAATGGGTGAGTTCATGTCCTTTGTAGGGACATGGATGAAGCTGGAAACCATCATTCTGAGCAAACTATCACAAGGACAGAAAACCAAACACCACATGTTCTCACTCATAGGTGGGAATTGAACAATGAGAACACTTGGACACAGGGTGGGGAACATCACACACTGGGGACTGTCGTGGAGTGGTTGGAGGGGGGAGGGATAGCATTAGGAGATATACCTAATGTAAATGAGGAGTTAACGGGTGCAGCACACCAACATGACACATGTATACATATGTAACAAACCTGCACGTTGTGCACATGTACCCTAGAACTTAAAGTATAATAATAATAATAATAATAAAAGAAAATTACTTAAGCAATTATAAGAAATAATACAGATAGAATCTATATGTCCTTCACTCCCCATGACAATGTTTGCATAATTATGAACTCATTAAATTTTATATCAACAAAGTGCTTAGTGCATATTTTACAGTGAATATTGCACTTGTACTTACTTTCCAGTGTATAAAATGACTTTAGATTGAAAATAGAGGTACATAGTTTTATATCTTAGCTTTTGATAGGCATTTTTGTATGTGTTCAAATATTGCAGAAAGGTATTCTATGAAACCAATTTTCTTTAACTCAATAGCAACTAAACTGTTCAATTGTGCACCGCTATTAATTAAGAAAACATAAAACACATATATGTGCTAGAGAGCCCTAGGTAAATTACAAACATAAAATAGAAAAATGAGGAGATTGAGTAAACTAACACATATAGAAAATATTGTTTATTGTAAAAAATGATTTGAATTTCACTAAAAATATTATCTTATGATTTAAAAAAAGAGATAGACTTAAGACAACCTCTTTTTTGGTAAGTCTGTGGCAATACATTTGAAATTTTAGAAGAAATGAATGATTTTTCTGGCAAGTATGAACAAAAAAGATTTACTCAAGAAGAAACTGAAATCCTGAAAAGACCAATAATTATACAGCAGGTGAGAATGATTATTTATCATTTAGTACCTTTTTTAAAGGCACTAAAATTTCCAGTGACAGCCAAGATGGAGTAAGCTCACTACAGCCTATCTCTCACCTCATTACAATGGGACCTCTGAGCAAAATACAAAAAGCAGCCATTTAGAATTCTGAAATGTAATCATAAGCAGGAAGATTAGGGAGGAAGAGCAAAACTTGATGAAGCAACTTATATAGGAGTAAGCCCCATTTTTTCCCCCTCTTTCCTGTCATGGCTTTAACCTGAAGGTGGTCTCTAGTCACAGCGCTGTAGCTGCAGAAGTCCAGGAAGCAAGAATGGAGAAATTCTTTATCTTTTTGGACATGAAACTAGAAAAAGAGCCAATGCAAGCCAAAGGGTGCGGGGGTAAAGTCTTCAGGAGTTTTCCTTTTTTCTTTTTCCGTCCCTTCCTCCCCTGAGGACAGCTCCACTGGGGAAGCTGTGGGAGCAGAAGGTTCCCTCCACTAAAACTTAGAGAAATTCTGTTTTTCTGTACAGAGGAATTGGGAAAGCAAAGTCCTGTGGTTTGAAAAGTATGGAGGGAAATCTCTATTATTTTTTCATCTTTCTCTTCTTTAATCTTTCTGCTTTGACTCAAGGGCAGGCCCCAGTCAAGGAGCTGCAGCTGCAGTTCTGAGAGAAACTCTATTTTTCAGCCAGAATACAGTTGCAAAGGACCCCTTAAAGATTGGGTGCAGTGGGATTCTAGAAAGGAGAAAGTTGGGGAAGGAGACTTCCTAATGCTATATTCAGAATGGCAAACACCCTGGGCTCACCACTGAGCTCTACATACAAGGAACAGACAAAAAGAACATGGCAAAGGCTTTGGGAATTGTACTACAGTATGAACCACTGTCCAAGTCCCAGACTAACCTCTGAATGGTTCACACCTGGGTAAGTCCCAAAGCAGCATAGCAAAGGCTTTGAAATCTGAACTGACAATTGAACTACCATGCCAAGAAGGTAAGATAGAACTTGTAGTCTGAAATTAGCCAGATTCATTGCCTGCTAAACAAAATTAAAAATAAAATAAAAATCAACGTTCTCCATAAGATTTTAATAGGACCCAGAGTTTTACAACATAATCATCAAAATATCTAAGATATAATCCAAAATTACTCACCATACAAAGAATAAAAAAAGGTGACAAATTCTTAAGTGAAAAGACAACCAATAGATACAAACCCTGACATAACAGAGATCTTGGAACAATCAGACAAAGATTTTAAAGAAGCTATTATAACTATGCTAGTTGCTAGAAAGATAAACACTCTTGAGATGAACAGGAAGATGGGAGTTCTCAACAGTGAAACGGAAGCTATTAACAAAAGAAGAAAATTTTTGGCTGGGTACAGTAGCTCATGCCTGTAATCCCAGCACTTTGGGAGGCTGAGGTGGGCAGATCACTTGAGGTCAGGAGTTCAAAACCAGCCTGGCCAACATGGCAAAACCCTGTCTCTACGAAAAATAAAAATAAAATAAAAATTAGTTGTGTGTGGTGGCACACACCTGTAGTCCTAGTTACTTGGGTGGCTGAGGCATGAGAATTGCTTGAACCCGGAAGGTGGAGGTTGCAGTGAGCCGAGATCGCACCACTGCACTCCAGCCTGGATGACAGAGCGAGACCCTGTCTCAAAAACAAAAACAAAAACAAAAAAAGGTAAATTTTATATTGAAAAATACAATATATTAAATAAAATTCCACTGTCTTAGCTCAATAATGGAATAGAGATGACAAAGGAAAGAGTGAGTGAACTTGAAATAGATTAATAGAATTCAATCTAAAAAATAGTAAGAAAAGAGATTGAATAAGAGAGTCTCAGGGACCTATGGGACAGTTTCAATAGGTCTAGCATTTATGACACTGGAGTCTAAGAAGAAAAGAAAAAATAAATTGATGCAGAAAAAAATTAATATAAGTGAAATCAGACTAGGTTCTTCTATAGTCAGAGAAAGAATAATTCCTATAGTTTTAAAATTACTTCAGCTCAAACAAAAAGATGGCAATGTTTTCCTATTCATTTTTATGGAACAGCTTCACATAAATATCAAAAGCTAGATGTTAAAAAGGATGAATTGCTAGGCATGTTGACTCACCTCTTTGGGAGGCCCAGGTGGGAGGATTGCTTGAGATTGGGAGTTCAAAACCAGCCTGAGCAGCATAGCAAGATCCCATCTCCACAAAAAATTTAAAAATTAGTTGGGCATGGTGGTACATACCTGTAGTCACAGTTACTCAGGAGACTGAGGCAGAAGGATCACTTGAGGCCAGGAGTTCAGTGAGCTCTGATTGTGCCACTGCACTCCAGCCTGGGCAACAGAGTGAGACTCTGGCTCTAAAAAAAAAAAAAAAAGAATTATCCAATTTCACTTTTCACTTGTAAATGTGAATGCAAGATTTCCAAAGCTTTAAGAGAATTTGATTAGCAAATCAAACCCAGTAGTATATTAAAAGAAGAACACACCATAACCAAAATATTTTTGTCGTTAAAGGAATATAAGGAATATTCAGGAATATAAGGAAGATTTAACGTAAGGAAATCTATCAACATATAAGTCATTACCTCCAAATCTTAAAGGAGAAAAAATACATGTATTACTAAATGCAAAAGAAAAAGCATCTGGTAAAATCAGCATTTAAATGATAAATTCAATAAATGATAAATTCAATAGTGGTACAAACAGTTAAGCATCAAACGGAGAAAAATATAAATGTATATATATATACCCAATTAACTGAACAAAGGGAAAGGGATAGGTTGGGAAGTATTGAGTATTAACCTACAGATCTTTGAAGTTGCCAGTTGAACTACTGGCATTACAGTGTAAAGGGGTCTTTCTGGTGGACAGCAAGAAAACTCTGCTAGTAACTGGAGACCAATAGGTTATGATCTTGTACGAAACTCAGCTTCAAAAGATTTTTAACATGTATCTGTCACCAGTCGTACATGGACCATTTGATTTTTTTGAATCAGTTTTTTCCAGGTGTTAATATCTTTTGTTAGAAAGATTTTTTTCCATGATGTTGATATTCTTAACTTCAAAAGTCAAGTCTAGTAAAAGCTCTAAATTGACCCTTTTTGACAAAAGCTGATGTGTAATAAAGAATCTGCTTTGCCAACTCACGTTTTGAAACTTGTTGAGTTCTCATAGTTACATGCAGGACATTTAAAACATTTCATGAGTGAATATTTCTAATGAATTTCAGGTCTCATTTCACCTGCATATTGTGAAGCTGTTTGTTGTTGTTAATTAATAAAAGAGAACACATATGCTAACGTTTTTCTTCTAAAGCAGGATTTAGCAATATAAATAAATATCATTTAACAAATATTTATAATATGTTCAAAAACTTTAAAAAAGATAAACAAATAACCCTGTATACTAAATATAAATCATGTTGGAATAAAAAAACAATGAAAATATCATGAGCATTCCCTGCCAGAATTTTTTTTCCCCATTAAAAAATAGTGAGTTTGGGGGTTATGGCAGAAACCTTGTTGTTTCTTTTCTTTCTCCCTCTCTCTCTGCCTGTGTGTGTCTGTCTCTCTCTTTCTGTTGTTGTTGCTTGACTGTCTTGGTAAAGTCCTGAGAGCAAGCAGATTGGCAGGCGTTCTCGTGTGGAGGGGTGAGAGGGGCCCAGAAGAGGAATGTTCTATGTCTTTTAGTCTACAAGGGACTTGTGTGTAGGAACTGGCAGGCCTCCTGAGTCTCCTGGAACTAGCTGGATGCTGTGAAGTTGCCAGCGTGCTGTTTGATAACCAGGACCAGTCAGCATAAGACTTTATATGTCTAATTCAATTCATTTTCAAGCTGATTCTGACTATCACTATTATGCTTATTAAAATGTACTTCCTCTGACCCAAGCTGCTGAGCCAAGAAAGACCTGCTCACTTCCTATTCCCGATCAAAATTGTGTGATAGAGGTTCAGCATCAGAGTGTCATAGGAGCTCTGTGTTTTTATTTGTGTAATGTGGCATTAATTAGAAGATGGAATAATATGGTTGTTCTTTCTAGTTTCTACTCCCCGGCAGCTGAGATCGAAGCTACCTGGAAATGATGAGTAGAGTCATAGTTCCAGAAAGGTCCTCGGATCTCTTCCTTTCTACATGTGAAATTACACATTAGCCATCATGATAATAAGCACCTTGTAAAGTTCTTCACAGACAACCGAAAAACTCTGGTCACCCTCACTGTTTAGGAGCACTGTGTGCTCCTTGGCTTTCTTTTTTCTATTGTCGTACCCAAGCTTCTTTACAAGAGTTGTATGCATTTGCTAACTCCACTTCACTCATTCCAGATAACAATTACTGGTCATAATTATCAGTGGCCTTCATATTGTAAATCCCATGGACACTTTTCAACCCTTAACTTATTTGACCACTTCGCTATAAGACCTTGGGGATCACTGGTGTCTGGATGAAGTGAAAGTTAATCAGTCTTTGGAGTGTGGCAGGATTAGGTCTGAATCACAGGAATCTTAACTTGATAGTGACCTTGGGCAAGGTATTTTCTTTTTGAGGGTAGCTCAGTTTTCTTGACTAGAAGATGGGTAGAATATAATGATAATTAACTTATGAGATTATAGTCAATGTGTGCAGGCTTAGCACAGTTCCTGGCATATGCTAGCTTATTCTTGACCCTTCTTCTTGGACTTCTTCACATAGTCTATGAGTTCTCCTACTTTGCTGATGATTCCTAATGCTTGGGTTTTTGTGTTCAGCCCCTGTGCTGCTCATTACACACTCACCCTAATTGTTCTCCACTGCCCTCATGCTTTAGTCTCCACTGCATTTCTAATAATTTTCAAAAATATGTCTCCAGCTTGCATTTTATCCCAAAGATTTGGATAGCTGAAAATCTCCACCAAGATATCCCATGGGTACCTCAAACTTAGAGTATCTAAAAGGTATGTGGCATGTTTTCTAAAATTTGCTACTTTTCTCTGTTCTTGATCTCTGTGGATGCTACCACTGTCCACACTGTGACCTGAAGTTAGAAATGTGGGTGCCGTCAGCATTGCTGTTCCTGAGCTCTACCATAACATAAATCATTCTGTTCCAATAATTTAACTGTAAATGTTTTTCAGATCTCTCCGTTTTCTCTCAAAGATGCATGTCACTTTTCTCTGGTCTAAGTCCGTCTCTCTCACCTGGACCACTGCTACACTCTTAAGTGGTGTTTCTACCTATCATTTCTCTCTATATAATCTGTCATTTACACATTGCAACTAGAATGGTCTATCTGAAACAGATGACCATGTTACTTCTCCTCTTAAATGTCAACACCCATCTGCATATAGATTGATAAAGACATCATGTTGTTTCTATCTTCTATCCCAAAAGCTGTTTTGCTTGTCATTCCCAGCTTACCTGAGTGATTCCTATTCTTTAATATTCAGTTTCTTCCTTACCTGTAGTCATTCATCACTGACTGTCATGCTTTCCCTACTCTGTGCTCCCAAAATCTTTTCCTCTACTCCCCTAAAGTAGTCTATCTTTACAGAAGTCGATCGCATCACACATTCCAGTTGCCTGATAGATCATGAGCTCTATAGGGGTAGGGGACATGTCTCATTCACCTGTATTATCAGCGTGTGGTACAATCTTGTCACATGAGGAACCAGAAAATGTTTATTGACATGGCTAATCCCCCATCTGCTCAATAAATTCCATGTTAAGAACCATTTCACAAAGCTACAGTCAGCAAGATGATACTAAGTTGTCTGATTGAGAATAAAAATTTCCATTTATAGTTATTTTTGAATCCTTACATCAGGTTGTCATGAAATAGAAGCAGATAAGATTAAATTCATCATCCTTGACTTCTCATCAATATTCACTTATATAGGCATGAGCAAGCAATTTCTTCCTCTGTACCCATTCTGTGATTCTAATATTCTAATTACGTTTATATCATCCTGTTTTTTTCCTAAATTTGTCCAGCAATTGGATTATACACAATGGAGAAAAACAATTTTCCCAGCTGAAATCTGAATGAATGGTATGAAGCTTAATGACCTGAGTCAACCATTCTGCTTTTTAGAATAGGAAACTGAATTAGCTATTGTCAACTCATGGCCCACAAGTGCTGTTCACTCTAGACAATGTTGGTCCATACAGTGTTTAAAAAATTATTTGTAATTGTGGCCTTTAAAGATTTAAACTTCCTTATGAAAAACTATAAATTTCTGGCTTTTTTCAAAACCTTGGAAGAGCCAGCAACAATGAATCCACAGTCAACAACCAACTTGGGTGGAACAGCAAATGACCCCTTTTGAGAGCTTGAGCGACTCCCTCATGAGTGCATTTTGCCCTATCCCTTCCCCTATCTTTCACATACAGGCTCCTGAAGGCTCTGCAGTTTGACAGCCACGTTGTAGTGTTGACCCTGGTCTTGGAGACAGTGCTGATCTGAGATTTGTGGAGTCCCTAGAGTTTTGACAATCAGAGAATCAGAAGAGGATAAAATTGAAGAAACTAAAGAAGTATGACTGAATAATTTAACCTAATAGAGAAAATTATCATTACTGAAAAACAGAAATATTTTCCTAAGTGGCGTGAAAGTAATACAGTGAAGCATAATTTTTACTACAAAACCAAAACAAGTAGGAGTATACTTTACAGCTACCTAAGTGGTGCAAAGTCGGGGACAGATTTTCAAAGCATTAAATGGGAGCTTATCCACCTGATCTCTATTAGTGCTAATGAGAACCACACCACTCATGGCTTTGAACATTCCTCCTAGGTGTTTCCCTATGAATATTTATGCAATCAGAAGTAAAATGCTAAGTATCACCAACTAGATATTATTCAATTATTGGAGAGTTTCAAAATTATCTAAATTCCAGTACAACTATATTTACTTAGAAGGATTTTTAAAGTGGGGTTTCACATTCTGGAAAAACATTGCGTTAAAAGTTTTTAAAGTTTGGGTTTAAGTATTCCTTCTGATGCTATCTCTTTGTCCTTAGTCTCACTCTGAGCCTCAATTTCTTCATCTGTAGAACAGGGACATTACCTGATCTTCCTAATCTAAGGAATGTTGTGGGCCCTTAGTGAGATACTTGTGGGAAAGTGCTTTATAAATAAAGTATTATATAAACTTCAGATGTTGCTATATAGTCAATAGACAGTTTAGATAGTTGTAACAGATAAAAATGCACTGTATTTTTCTGCTTGTTTTCTTAACTCTTTTTTTGTACCTACATTTCTTTCCATTTTTGTTTTACGTGGTGGCTCAGGTGAGAGTGATCATTTATTCTTTTAGGGTTAGAGGGTGTTCTGTCATATGGAGAACTGGGCTCATCTACTTGGTCACTCCCCCTCTGCTTGGCTGCTGCTGAATATGTTTCTAGTCCCTTATTTTAATTACATAATAATTCTTAATTTACTTTCTTTTATTGGAAATTAAGTGCTAGCATTATATCTAGAAATCCATCTGCTTAATTCCTCAGTTACTAAGTTATAAAAGTTTTTGGGATTCTACTCAGGAGGCTCAGATAGGAGAACTGCTTGAGCCCAGGAGTTTGAGGCTGCAGTGAGCCAAGATTACGCCACTGCACTCCAGCCTGGGTGACAGAGTGAGACGCTGTCTCAAAAAAATAAAAAATAAAAAAAATCCTGGATTATATTTTAATATTTGAAATTTATAAGGGTCTACTTGCCATGGTTTGGTACCTGCATATAAATTATTGCGTCAGTGAACATCCCTTTTTGAAAAGTCTTAATGATCAACACTACAATCTAGTAGTAGAAAGCACGACAATCTATATCCCTTAATACTAAAAACTTGGATTCAAGAGTAAGATGCATTTCATCTACAGTGAATGTAACGATTTTCCTAAAAAGGGATTCTGTGTTGAATTGCCTTTTGCCTTTCTAAGACACAAAAGTCTTGTCTAAAGAATAATACTAGTAGAAAAAGATTCATGCTGCATTTATTTCTAACAACTGCATTTATTCATTTGTTCATTCAACAAATACTTATCAAGCAAATGTTTGATTGTTCTGAGATCTTGAGAAGGTGAAAGCAGAACATAGTTGCTGCTTTAGGAAGCTCATATTCCCATCGAGGAGATGGAGTATCTGCCAGAACAGCACAGGGTGATATATTCTGCCATCCAGATATTTGTAAGGTACTGTACAAACAAAGGGCTTCTCGGGGAGGGCCCAGCCTGGCCTGCACTGGTCAGAGAAGGCAACCCAGGTCAGGCCCCATCTGAGATAAGTCCTAAAGAATGAGAAGTCTCAGTGAGAACAGCCAGTGAAGTCTGGGGGAGTAAGTCAACCTTACCGTGGATCTCACAAAGCTCTGAGAAGAAGAAACGTACACAGAGAGGTTAAGCTCTTCAAATAACCTTCTTAAAAATGTTTAAATGGGAAACAGACACACCAATTTAAAATATATGAAGGCTGATAATGTAAGCAACATGAAAACAACCAATTACCTTATCAGATAGTGTATCATCAGAGGTCTAAACTTACCTCTTAGTGAGGTTAGGAAATTGGACAAGTTCTTAAAGATCTAGAGAAGATTATGAATATGGAAAGACACTTAAAATTGTAGTTGCTCTCTCTGAGATGCAATGAATTTAAAAAAAAAAGTAAAGATAGTAACAAATGTTCTAATAACATTTATTAGGGTGAATATTACTTCACTGTAAATTTTTGTTCTTTAAAATTTGAAATAGTTTTAAAATATAAAAATTAGAAATAATATAATTAATCCATGTATACATCTACCTAGATTGTAAAATGTAACATTTTTGTATTGTATTCTCCAAATCTTTTCTTTTCTTTTTTCAAGGAACAAAACATTAAATAAGTTAAATCCTATTGTGCATCTTCTTCATTTTCACTCTCCTTACTCTCCTTACTTCTCCAGACAGGATTACTGTTCTAGATTTGGTGTTTATTATTCCCACTTATGACTTTATATTCTCACTACATATCTATATCTGTAGGTGACACATATTATTGCATGCTTTAAAACTTAGGCAAAAAGTAACCTATTATCTGTATCATCCTTAAACTTGCTTTATTCCTTCAAATCTGTATATAGAGAGATTTCTCATATTGATGTATGTAGCTTTAGTTTATTCATTTTGATGCTATAGAATGGCAAATATACCACAATATTAAAATTGACTCTGTTGATAATGGAAATGTAAGCTGTTAATTTTTAAAAAAACTCCTTTAATTACAATTTTTTGACCATTTGAAACAGTATTGTGGTGGATAGTTTTGTGTATTTTCCTTTGCACTCATGTGTAGGAGTTTCTCTAGAGGATATATCTAGAAGTGAAATTGCTGGCTGCAAAAATATTAGTATCTTTACTTTTAACAAAAGTATACCTTTTTACACTCTAACAGAAGTGTGTAAGAATTCCCATTGCTCCAACTTTGCCAACATTTGGAATTGCCAGAGTTTATAATTTTGGTTTAGCTGGGAATAAAATGGTATGTCATGTAAATTTGTATTTTCATAAATGAGGTCATAGTTTATAAATTGGTAATGCAAAAAAAAAATAGGTGCTGTTAGAAAACAATGTAACTGAGGATACATTACAGTAATGTAACTGTTCCACAGAAGAAAAGTTGCTTAACCAAAGATAAAACTCTTAAAAATTGTAGGCTTAGAATTTTTTAAAGCACAATTTTGTATTCATGTCTGTCTGACATGCCACATATATTTAGTCATGTCATTCTTCCAAAATGTGGACTGATGCCAATTTTCTACTGTTATAATACTAAGAATCAAAATGTATTCGTTATAGAATCTTCTTGAGACCTAGAAATCGATATGATTTCTGTGAGCTGTTATACTATGACTTAACACACAGATTGAAGCAGGAGATTGACAGATTTAGAAAGTGTAGACTGCCAAATCATTGAATTCTGTAATGAGGCACTCACAGAGATACATAATATAATTTTGTTTTCTTTGTGCAATGATTTAAGAAATAAGTGTATATATCCTTTACTAGTCAATGAGAAAATGCCCTGTCCATAACATCACTTATCTATTTCCTATTAATGTATACTTTTAAGGAGACAAATTGCAACTTTAAAAATATTTTTAAAAAATTCTTGTAGTATGAACTAATACTGTGTGCTGAAATATATGTGAAGTGAATATAAAATTAAATTTAATATGCCTGTGATGTTCATACTTTACCTTTTGTATTCCTTTAGACATTGGAATAATTAGGATATTTGCTCTTTTTATTGTACATATATCTGTTAAAGTAGCGAATTTTGAGATATTTTCTGTGTCACAAATTGGTGTATATTTTAGCAATTTGTAATGCAAAGTAATTCAATATTCTACATAGTAATTTGTTACCACTATAAGTACTACTTCAATTCAGTATAACATAATTTTAATTATGAAAATAAAGCTTTTATCTACTTTCATCTGGTTTTAATTTCTTCATTTTTATTATAAGATCCCTTTATAAATATTATGTAATTCATCTGCGGTTCTACTAAAATGTCTAGTTTTATTCTAACAAATGTAAGATCAGATGGTAGCCTTAATATAAGCATTCTGTTTCTTCTCATCTTTTATGTCATTAGTAAAAATAAGGATGGTTGTGATGTATAATGAAAATGCAGATTCATAACATGCTTAGCCTGATGTAAAACAAATTTTTAAGTGCCTCAGGCATTACAGACATTACTCTGGATCTGTGCCCATGTGTGTATACAAAGTGCTTTTTTTAATTGTTGTAAAGGCTTAGAATCAACCTGTTAACTAAAATACCAATAAATCCCCAAATGATACACTGAAGGGTGTCTGCACACCAGATTGTGTATGATAGGGAGTTGAGTGTGTGTAGGGGTGGGAGGGGGATGTAGACATTTCTTTGCAGTCCCTCTAAGAGGACAAGAAAGAGGGGAAGATTCTTCAAAGCAATTTTAGGCACACTTCCGTGTGTCTGCATGATTGGTACTCACAACTGTAGAGCTATTTACTTTTTGGCTCATACTGTAAGGATGAGTGTAATACATATTTTTTTCCAGCTCTGATAAAAATGCATTTCAGTTTTTTCCTGTCTTTCAAAAAGCCAAAATCTTCAGGATTTGGTCTGTCCTAGGCCATTGTTTGCATGTACCTTGCCTGAGGCTTCAGCCTGACCCCTGGTTATATTCTCCTCTTTCCTTTTTCTTCCACCGGCGTTTCATCTCCTTTTGGCATAGAGCAGCTTATAGATGGGGGTGAATGAGGGAGAGGTTAATGCAGAGACTGACAGGGCAGAAGAAGCTTCTTTCCTTCCACATTTGTTCCCATCGAAATTTGTCTGAAAGTATTACCATGGCCCTAATTTTCTTTTTTAATTTTGTGTCTAACTAAATATCTCGAGGATGTTACACATGGCAGGGACAACATAAGTAAAGGTGCTTGAGAAGCACAGGCCTGGTGCCACTGGCAGTTTAGGGCCACGTGTGACCCCAGGCCAGAGTGAAAAAGGGGACCAGATCTAGACTGTGGAGGGCCTGGCCAGCTGCTTTATGGATTCGAGCTTTGATAATCTTTGATATCTTTGATTTTCTTTGATAATGGGGTCTTGTGAACTGTTGAAGGGTTTTAAGACCTGCAGTGAAATGGCCAGAATGGCAGTCCACCTGCAGGCTGCAGTGTGGATTGAGAACACTGGTGGCAGTGGGACCTGCTGGGAGGAGTCTGAGCCAGCAACACAAGGTGGGCAAGGCCCTCAGAGGTTGAGGACAGGAGAGGTAAAGGGGGCATCAGCTGGACTTGGGTTTGGATTTGGATGTGGAGAAGAAACAGGAAAAGAAAATCTGTATGTTTCCAGCTTGAATTACTGGTTGTGCCCCCAGTGAAATAGATAAATAAGGAAGCAGGTTATAGGAACAAGAATGTAAGTTTACTTTGGTATAGATTGCATTTGAAGTGCCTATGGGACAGCTAGTTGGCTACACTAACAGGGATGAGATTATGAGATTACTAGGGTAATGCTAAGTTAAACTTTGAAAGACAGTAGGGGCTGGACATTCCAGGCCAGGGAGCAGCACAAATGCATGAATGAGGAGATCAGGTTTGAGGAACTACTAGCATCTCAGAATGACTAGAAGAAGAAAGCATAGACATGCCGCAGGGGCAGGGCTGCAGGCTGGAGAAGGGGGCTTATGCTAGATGGCATGCGTGGTGGAAAGTCAGACATACCCAGGTCCATGAACATTTGTGTTTTCCCACAACATCAGACTTCTATTGATGCTATTTCAGTCATAAAAACTATGAGCTACGTGGAGTTCCCAAGGAGGCAATTCTCCTCAGTACTGCCCATTCACCTGGTAGCAAGAGCCGTGGGCACATAGGTTCAAGCCAATCCACAAGTCAGTCAATATTGCAAACCATGCATAATAGTATATTTAGTTAATACATAAATGTTATAGATCACATGTTCCACAAAAAAGTGACATTTAACATCAAGAGGAAAGGGGACAGAAAAAAGAGGCTATTGAACCAATCCAAGGAGAGAGAAGTGGGCAAGGAGAATATACTGGACTGATCCTGAGGGATGTCAACATCGTGCAAGAAGAGTCTGTGATTTGGGCAGAACCTTCAGCGGCAGGTGCCGGGTGCTGATCCTGAGTGACAGCAGGACAGTGTGTGTCAAGACAGCCATCTCAAGATGATGAAATCCTGCTCTTTTTATAGAGTGAGGACTGATACATCCCTATCTGGTTGGGAGCAGTCTCTATTGATTAGGCCAACATCTGGCTCCTGTTAGCATGATGCTTTTTGAAATGTGAGAAGGAATTTTTCTAAGATGGAGTTGCTTATGCCAAGGGTGCTCTGTACACTGGATAAATTGAGGATTTTGAACTTCACCTAAAATCTATGAAGGAGTTTAAAGTGAGAGATATGATGAGCTTGACATTTATAAAGACGGTCTGGTAGTGTGGGTACAGTGTTGAGGGCAGATTGAGTTTTGGGCACAGAAGAAGTTGTCTGTTAAAATATTGCTATCACAATTCATGTACAATTCAGGTGTGAAATGAGGGTAACTTTATTTTTCACATCCTATTTCTTCTTGCTTCCAGGCACACTGTAGCAAAACAAAAACTAACAACAACAAAACCCCTCAAATATGCCTATTTCAAGAAATATAATCTCTTCAGGCACACAGGTGGTCCTTTCAGGATTTCAGTCCTGATGGTTCTGACTTCTCCAGTGTACCTTTGCTCATCCCTCTCCCTGGGGTAATTGAAGTCCCCAGGGGCTCATGAGTGTATCATCCTGGCCTTAGTGCCTGTGCTGTGCTGGGTGTTCTCTGTGGCCCCTGTAGAGATGTATTCATCCAGCTAAATCACTATGAAACCTGGGTAGGAGTATGTACAGGTGTGGCTGGTCCTCTATGGTCTTGTCCAGCATCATAGTGGACCCTACTGTTCAGGTCCTTGGTCTGCACGGTAGCCTCGAGGCTCGAGTGATCCATTTGTGGCCTCCTCATCCTCACATAGAGCCTCCACTTAGTTTGTCAGGTTTCTCTGCACTTTCATGTACCCACTGAAGACCTAGGCATTCTTCTCTCTACTGTAGTAGGTGAGATTTTCATGCTTGAGGAGGCCTTTTACGTATAGAAAGGAATTCCCCCATTCACTTGTGCTTTGATAAACACATGTTCATTCCGAAGCTAAAAGTCAATTTACAGAATTTATTTTACTTCTACATCTGGTTATTTTTTACAAAATAAAAATTTCATTCACTTCTTTAAGTATTTTATTTAACACATAAGTTTAATGGATTGAGTCTTCTTTAAACATTAGCATCACTTAACCAAATTTTTTTAGCCATTTGAAATTGTGATTATGTCTATGACTTTAGGATGTAGTAAAGGTTTCGAATATCCTAAAAGGTTGACCAAGAATATACAAGGCAATCCAATGATTATAAAATATATTACCTCACATATCTTCAAACCTTAAATTATAAATAATAAAGTTTTCTGGTGTCTTCATTTCTTTACATCTTACATGTTATTGTGAAGTATAACCCATATATACTTCCTTATTTTTTAAAACCTTGTTACTGTATATTCCTGGGGTTATCACAATCTGATCAGATCCCAAGAAAATATCACCTCATACTAGGCAAGATTACTGGTTTTTTATTACTGACAGTTTAATTTTGGTTTATATATTCTACATTCTAAAGAGGTTCAAACCTGAATTCATGATTTAGGCTTGGTCACCATTCTTATGGTTACCACTTCTTAAGCCTACCCCGCCTTAAACAGTGCATGAGTTTCCATTTCTAGCAATCAGTGCCTACAACTAGAAGGTACTTCTCTTCCCCTTCTTATCTTAAAGGGTCTTCCCTTACATCATATCTTCTATTAATATCTTCCTTAGCCTCCCTGCAAGCCTAATCTTAATGGCAGGAAGACTGGGGGTGGGAGGGGGGATGGATCATAATTGCTGAGAAAAGAAAATACATCAGGGTATAGTTCAAATTTTAAAATTTAGCTTTGTTATATTAGAGATGGGGCTTTGGTTACCACTTGCATCTCTGTGGTTATTGAAGCATGTATGGGAATGAGATCACATGGGAGAAGATGTTGGAGAGAGCCTGGTGTTTCAGAGGAAGCTGAGTCAGTAGGTCAAGAACAACCCTAAAAAGAGACCAAGATGGAAGAATAAAAAAATGAGGCAAAAGGTGGTTTTGTGACAAGACCTTACAGGGAGAACATTTCAAAGAGGGAATGTACAGCAATGTCAGATGAAACAGTTAAGATGATACTACAATGCTACACTTATAACATGATTCCATTGATGTGAGGTACCTAGCAAAGTCAAATTCACAAAGACAGAAAGTAGAATGGTAGTTACCAGGGGCTGGGTAGAGGCAGAAATTGGGAGGTAGTATTTAATGGGTACAAAGTTTAAGTTTGAGAAGATGAAAAAATTATGTGGATGAATGATGGTGATGCACAACAATGTGAGTGTATTTCATGACACAGAGCTGCATGCTTAAAAATGTGTAAAATGGTAAATTTTATGTTATATACATTTTATCACAATAAAAATGCTGTAATTAAGACAATTAAGATAAAGGCAGAAATGTGTCCATTGGTTTTGATAATATCCTTGCGATTGGAATCATTTGCAAGAGTGACTTCAATGTAATGATGGATATTTTTATTAGGTACCGCTACATTACACCCCACCATTTTATTTGTTCATGATTCTGTGGATTGGCTGAGCCCAGATGGATGGCCCTTCTGCTGGTATTGCTTGGGGTCTCTCCCAATTTCTGTCAAATGGTGGCTGGGGCTAGAATGTCCAATATGGCTTCACTTTCATATCTGGTACCTTGGTGGGATGGCTGGTAGGCTGCGACTTCTCTTCCACCACATAGATAGCTTGGGCTTCTTTCATGGTGCCTGGATCTAAAATGTCTGTTCCTGGAAGAAAACCTCCAGTATGCATGCACCATTTAGTATCTGCTTGCTTCCTCCTTGTTAATGTCTTATTTGCCAAACCCAGAATTTGAGGAGGTATGGTTCATTGGGGGTCACCAAAGTAACAATCTACCATAATAAGACAGAAGACAGTGATGGGTAAGAGGTTGATTAAGTAGACAAGAGAGATAAGGATGTTTATATCAGGCTGGTGAGTACGGAGACATGTGAGCATATACACAGAGACAAGAGTGAGCATAGCATACGGAAATGACAGAACGGAGGCTTCTGCGGAGGGAGCCTGGGCAGGGCAGCGGGAGCTTCGGCTAGTTTGACAAGATAGTGATGAAAACTAGTTAACTTGCAGTTAATGTTCAGATTTTGATTGTTCCGGCTTTTTGGATTTATGTCATGTTCTTGTATGAGCAAGAAAGCAGAAAGAAGAATGGAGATGACAGTCAAATCACTGGTGTTTCTTGTTTACGCGGAGAGACTGCAGTCATCCTTAGTTTCTTTCTTTGCCTGAAACCCACATTCAATTTACAACTCCTATTGACTCTAATTCCAAATATACCCTAAATCTGACCACATATCATCAGTTGCCCAGAGAAAACCCTGGTCAGATTACACTCCTTTCACCTGGACTACTACAATAACCCTCTAATTTGCCTTCCTGCCTCTATTTTGCTCTCCTATAGTTCATCCTCCACACAGCGGCCTTCCTTACACATAAATCAGATCATGTCACTTTTGTGCTCAAAAACTAAAGAAAGCAAACAAACAAAAGCCACCTTTAGTAACATCTCATTACAACCAGAATAAAATCCCACTCTTTATCTGGCCAGCAATGTCCCATGCCCTACACCCAGCCCTGGCCCTGTTCTTTCTTTCTTGTTCACTTTTATCCGCATTTCTTTCTTCCCTCCTACTTGCTAAGCTTTCTCCCTTTGAACTTGCTGTTCCTTTTGTGTAGACCACTCCCTCCTCACCCCAGTTTTTACAAGTATATTACCTTTTCATTGTTTACGTCTTAACTCAAATGACACCCCCTTCAAGGGGCCCTCTTTGGCTAACTATAATAGCACTCACTGCTTCGTACACAGCCCTGTCTGCCAAATTTTACCTGCATTTGATTTTTAACTATTTGTCAATAATTTATACACATGCACCATACATAGGAGCAGAAAACTGTCTACTTTTATATTTTCATTTTAATCAAAATTATATGTGCATAATTTAAAACTCAGTTCTATAAAAATTGTTGTCCAGGTGTGGTGGCTCACACCTGTAATCCCAGCACGATGGGAGGCAGAGGCAGGTGGATCACCTGAGGTCAGGAGTTCGAGACCAGCCTGGCCAAGATGGTGAAACCCTGTCTCTACTAAAAATACAAAAATTATCTGGGCATGGTGGCAGGCGTCTGTAACCCCTGGTACTTGGGAGGCTGAGCCAGGAGAATCGCTTGAACCCAGGAGGCAGAAGTTGCAGTGAGCCGAGATCACGCCACTATAGTCCAGCCTGGACGACAAGAACAAAACTCTGTCTCAAAAAGAAAAAAAAGTTATGTAGAGGGGAGACTCCTGTCTTCCTCTCATCTTGCTTTCCCCTACCCAGAGAAAAACGCTCCTCACTTTTCAGCTGAATTTTTGTTATGCTGTTCTTTATTGATCTTTCATGTTTTAGATGTTATTTGTTGACTTGTCACCATGGAATTGTTTCCTTGAGGATTTGTTTCTTTCATCTCACTCCCACCCCCAACACATTCACACACAAATACTGCCAGTCCTGCCATTCTTCCAGGATTTTTGTTGATTTTTTGTTGATCCTGATTTTTGTTGGATCAATGTTTGGCATTTATATTACTCCACCTATATGTAAGCTCTTCTAGCATGAGGTAGTATTCCCATTTTAAAAAATTATATATATATATTTAAGATGTACAATATGATATTTTGATATGCACATATATAGTGAAATTATTGCTGTAGTCAAACAAATTAACCTATTCATCATCTTCTGTAGTTACTTTTTGTTTGTTTTGTAGTAGAGTATCTAAAATGTACTCTGCAAATTTTCAGTATACAATGCGGTATAATTAACTTTAGTATTCAAGTTATACACTAGATGTCTAGACTTGTTCATCCTATAGAATTACAAGCTTTCACCTACACTTTTCACCTACATCTCCCTGTTTCCTCCCCTCCCTTGCCCCTGGTAACCACATTATACTCTTTCTATGTATTTGACTTTTAAAGAAAATATTCCATATATAAATAAGATCATGCAGTAGTTATCTTTCTGTGTCTGGCTTATTTCACTTAGTATAATTTCCTCAAAGTTGTTGAAAATAACAGGATTACTTTTTTTAAGGCTGAATTATATTCCATTGTGTATATATACCACAGTTTCTTTATTCATTATCTGTCAGTGGACACTGAAGTTGTTTCTATGGCTTGGCTATTGTGAATAAAGCTGCAATGAACATGGGAGTGCAGATATCTCTACAAGGTGGTAATTTCATTTCATTTTATTTGGTTGTATACCCAGCAAAGGGATTGCTAAGTCATACGACAATTCTATTTGTATGGCAGTCCTATTTTTAATTTTCTGAGGAACTTTCACACTGTTTTCCATAATAGCTGTACCAATTACATTCTCATCAATGGCCTGCAAAGGTTTCCTTTTCTCCACACGTTCATCGACACTTCTTATTTCCTGACTTTTTGGTAACGGACGTCCTAACAGGTGTAAGGTGATATCTCATGGTGGTTTTGATTTGCATTTCCCCGATGATTAGTGATGTTGATTATCTTTTTATATACATGTTGGCCATTTGTATGTCTGTTTTAGAAAAATGTCTATTTAGGTCCTCTGCCCATTATTTGATTGGGTTCTTTGTTATTTTCCTATTGAGTTATGTGAACTCCTTATATTTTGGATATTAACCAATTATCAGATATATGGTTTGTAAATATTTTCTCCCAATCCATAGGCTGCCTTTTCATTTTATTGATTGTTTTATCTGCTGTGCGGAGCCTTTAGTTTAATGTAGTCCCACTTGTTTATTTTTGCTTTTATTGCCTTTGCCTTTTTTGTCCGTTCCAAAAAAATCATCACCAAGACCAAAGTCAAGGAGTTTTTCCCCTGTTTTCTTCTAAGAGTTGTATGGTATCAAGTCTTACATTTAGATCTTTAATCCATTTGGAGTTGCTTTTGTGTCTGGTCTAAGATAAGAGTTCAGTTTTGTTCTTTTGCATATGGATATCCAGCTTTCCCAGCACCATTTATTGAAGAGACTATCCTTTCCTTATTGGTCTTATTGGTGGTCTTGTTGAAAATTATTTGACCACATATGCTTGGGTTTATTTCTGGACTCTTTATCCTGTTCCATTGGTGTATGTGTCTGTTTTCAGGCCAGTACCATGCTCTTTTGATTATTATAACTTTGTAATACAGTTTGAAATCAGGACGTGTGATGCCTCCAACTTTGATTTTCTTTCTCAAAATTGTTTTGGCTATTTGGAGACTTTTATGGTTCTATATAAATTTTAGAATTGTTTTTTACTATTTCTGGAGAAAATGCCATTACAATTTTGACAGGAATCACATTGAATCTGTAGGTTGCTTTGAGTAGTACTGACATTTTAACAATGTTAATTCCTCCAATCCACAAACACAAGATACCTTTTCATTTATTTGTGTCTTCTTAATTTCTTTCATCAATGTTTCATATAATTTTCAATGTACGGATCTTTTACTTCCTTAGTTAAATTTGTTTCTAAGCATTTCATTCTTTTTGATGCTATTGTAAATGAAATTGCTTTCTTGATTTCTTTTTCAAATAGATTATTATTAGCATAAAAATGCAGCTGATATTTACATGTTGATTTTGTATCTTACCACTTTACTGAATTAATTGATTAGTTCTAACATTTTTTGTGGAACCTTTAAGGGGTTTTCTACATATAGCATCATATCACCAGCAAACAGAAATACTTTTTACTTTTTCCTTTCCAAGTTTGATACCCTCTATTTCTCTTTCTTCTCTGACTGCTCTTGTGAATACTTCAAGTACTATTTTGAACAGAGGTGGTATGGTGAGAATGGGGATCCTTGCTTTGTACCAGATCTTAGAGGAAAAGCCTTTAGGTTTCCTTCATCGATTATGATGTTAGCTGTAGACCTTTTATAAATGGCCTTTATTATGTCAAGGAAATTTCCTTCTACACCTATTTCATTGAGAGTTTTTACCATGAAAGAATGTTGAACTTTGTTAAATGTCATTCTTGCACCTGTTGAGGTGATCAGTGCTTTTGAAATGTCATTCTGTTAATGTGGTGTATCATATTGATTGATTTGGAATGTTAAACCAACCTTGAATCCTAGAGATAACCCCCACTTGGTCATGGTGTATAATGTTTTTGATGTATTGTTGAATTAAGTTGATGATTCCTTTTAATAATTCAATTCTGTGCTCTCCCCTATTTGTTTACCTCTCCTTTGCATATATTCAGATGTATCTGTTATTGTATCAATTCCCTCATCTTCATGAAAGTGTTCCTGGAGCCTTCTGACCTTCTCCAATCTGGACTGTCATGCCTAGGGTATAGCTATCATTCTAGAATTTCCTTTTCCATAAGAACCAGAAATTATATTCATCTTTCTCCTATTTGGATTGTCTAGTTTGTAAAGGAGGTTTGCTTCCTAAATTTAATGGAACACACCCTCTGTTAGCTACCTGAGAAAGGATTGGGAAATTAACCTGATTGGGAAGTTAACTTTTTGATAATTTACTTGTCTGAAAATGTTTTAAATTTAATTTAAATATTTAATTTTCCTACTTACAAAGTATAGTAGGTTATAAAATTCTAGGCTAGGAATTATTTGTCATCTAGGAATTTGAGGCCATTGCTTTACTACTTTCTAGAAATACATGTTCTAATTGAGAAGTCTGAAGTCATGACCTAGGCTTTGTATGTGGGCTGTTTTTTCTCTCTAGAAGTTTGTAGGGGCCATCTTTTTCGTATTCTGAAATTTCCGAATAATATCCATTGATGTGAGTTGTTTTTACTCTTTTTGTTGGGTAATCATTGAGCTCTTTCAATCCGAAAACTCATGCCCTAGGAAATATCTTAGAATTATTGGTCTAAATTTTAGGCTTTATTGTCCTTCCTCTCTTGCTGAAACTCTAGTTATCTGGGTGTTGGAAAACCAGAACTATAACTTCTCATTTTCTTATATTTTCTATACTTCTCTATTTTCCATCTCTTCTTGCTCTCTTCTCTTGGAGATTTCAACAGTTTTATTTTTCAACCCGTATTGAGTTTTATTTTCCTGTGATCTTACTTTTTATTTCCAAGGGCTCCTTTTTGTTGTTAGATGTTCCTTTAAAAGAAAAAAATAATTATTGTTTTCTTATCTTGTTTCATGGCTTCAGTATCTTCTCTTATTTCTCTGTTCATATTAATGGGAGTTTATTTTTGTTTTCCTGGCATTTGCTTTTGTTTGATCTCTGTTTCCTGCAAGTTGCTTTGCTTTTCATTTGGTTTCTACATTTCTCGAGAAGCTTTCCTCAGACTCTTCATAATTCTTAATTGTTGGCTTATATTTAACAGTAGGGCATTAACTTTGTTAATGACTTGTTGCCCATGGTTTTTACTTTAGTTAAATGACTTGTTGCCCTTGATTTTTACTTTAGAGTGATCAGATTGAGTTCTCGCCTTAGGAGGTCCCCAGGTATAAGTGATTTAGATCTTTCCTTTGGGGCTGGTCTGAATACTTAGTGAAATCAATGTAGGCTCCTTCCTGGATGATCACTGGCTAACAGTGTTCTGGGAACCCTAATGAGGAAAAGTTATGGAGGAAGAGAGCAGGGGCAGTTATCCCAGCATTTAGCGTGAGTGTTTTATAATCTGCCTGTTATCAAAATGGTGCATGCTTCTTCAGCACACCCCAGGGCTTCTCCTACAATCCATAGTCTACTTATTTTACTGACTATGTAGAGTGGAGAAAAGGGTCTTACTGCATCTTATACTGACTTGTACCCAATCCTCCTATGGTAGCCTTACTTCTACTTCCACTTGCAGAAGTACCTAGTATCATCAATTGCTAAAATGTTGGGGATGGGAGGAGTTGGGTGGTGTAACTTTGATTGCTTTTCAGCTTTCCTTACTGCCAACTTAGGATTCAGCTTTCTCATATCTGCTAAGTGAGTTACTAATGGTCTGCATGGTTTAGACTTTTTCCCCCACTTTTAAAATTTGTTAAGGCTGGGTGTAGTGGCTCATGCCTATAATCCCAGCACTTTGGGAGGCCAAGGTGGGAGCATCGCTTGAGCTCAGGAGTTTGAGACTTGCCTGGGCAACAGAGTGAGACCTCGTCTGTACGTAAAATAAAAAAAAAAAATAGCTAGGCATGGTGGTAAGTGCCTGTAGTCTCAGCTACTCAGAAGCTGAGGCAGGAGGATTGGTTGAGCCTGCCAAGTCAAGGATGCAGGGAGCCATGATTGCATCACTGCATCCCAGCCTAGGTGACAGAGTGAGACCCTGCCTCTAAATTAACTAAGTAATTAATTAAAATGTGTTGCTGTTTTCCTATTACCTGCTTTTCTTCATTCTTGGGGATTTGTGCCTTAAAAAAATCCCTTTACTGGTGCTCTAGGGGATTTCTAGAGAAAGCAAAAATAAATGCATGTGTTCAGTCAGCCACCTTTTCATTTATTTACACTTCTATGGACACATAATTTCCTTAAGTGTGGGAATTCTGTCTGCCTTGTTTACTTTTTCATCTATGCCCATAGTACCTGGCACATACTAGATACATGATAAATATTTGTTGAGTGACTGATTACTGGCCGATAGACCAGCTAACTAACTTTTGTTGGTTAGATTTCTGAACCACCTAAAAGGTGCAAAATTTGAAAATGATGGTGTTGTGGACACACCTACAATGAACTATTTCTGAAAGGCAGGACGTGTAGGGTTTCTTTAAATATACTTTCATCCTATTGAGTACTGTTTTAAATTTTTAAATTAATTTTTCTGTTTATTTTGGTTAGGAATTTAAAAGGGAAATATGAACCAGTATTAAGATAACAGTATACTTAGGGAAGAATATGACATAGCTAGAATGTGGTATATGGTGGCTTTTTTTTTAACCTAAAACTGAATTGTTCTAATTCTTTAATTTCCTTGGAGTTTGGTTGTTCCCTGTTGTCAGGATGGCAAATTCCTAGCACAGTTTTTAAGGACTCAATTTTGTCCCATAAATTATTTTAAATATTTTTGTACATAAAATAAAATTAATGTTCCTATAATGATAATGCCCTAGCCAGTCCAGCTTTAAAGTTTTCAATGGAAGGAAAATATAACAATCTGTAAGAAAAAAGAAAATGAAAGCAAAGGAAATTCAAGGAAATCATTTTTCTTTCACAAACCAGGGCCATGTTCCCTCAAGTAGCCTTGTGTGCATGTATTAATTAATTTAATAACATTCACCAAGCACCTCCTATGTGCTAAACCCTGGAAACTATGCCCTGTTTGAGCACTCATTCCACACTCATTTAATTAAATTGATTTGAAATTAACTTTTCTGTTGCTATTTTTTTCTCCATGGGAGCTTTACCATAGCAGTAAACATTTTCATCCACATACCAATTTGGTAAGGTGTGTACCACTGCATCCATTTTATAGCTAGCTAGTTATAAATTATAAATTGAGAGAATAAGTACTGTGACAACAGAAGACATAGAGAAAGCCCGTGTTGAAACCAGAATTAGAATTCACTTGAATCTCTGGTGCATTTGTTTTAATCTGGTGAGTAGTACCCTTGCCTATAGAGAGATGTTAATAATTCTACACACTTAAGGAAAAGAATAGCATTTCAACCTTGAATAATGATAGACATGAAATCCAAGAATATACAAAAATGAAATAGGAAATCAGTGTTGCCATATACTGCTTTAAGAAGTTTTTTTTTTTTTTTTTTTTTGAGACGGAGTCTCGCTCTGTTGCCCAGGCTGGAGAGCAGTGATGTGATCTGGGCTCACTGCAACCTCCGCCTCCCAGGTTGAAGCAATTCTCCTGCCTCAGCCTCCTGAGTAGCTGGGATTACAGGTGCATGCCACCACGTCCAGCTATTTTTTTTTTTTTTTTTTTTTTGTATTTTTAGTAGAGACAGAGTTTCACAATGTTGGTCAGGCTGGTCTCGAACTCCTGACCTTGTGATCCACCTGCCTCGACCTCCCAAAGTGCTGGGATTACAGGGGTGAGCCACCGCGCCCGGCCTTAAGAAGATCTTAATGTGAAATGTCTAATTTTTTTTCCTTTTCACGTATAAGTCATTCGTGGGTTGATAATAGGCATAATTTTGGAAAATTCTAAATACAGAGGTTAAAGGTGTGGTCCCTCCTGTTTGATAGTCTTCAATAATTAATCATGAATACATTTATTTGTGGTGAGTTAGGTCATCCGTATTTGTGTCCATTTTTAGGTTTATCAAATACAATTTTCTCCCAAAAGAGGTATACTGTGACGATACTGCAAATTTAAAATGCATAAAGTCTGCATATCTAAAATCATTGTCTTTTTCCTTTAGAATTTTTAAGTCATAGGCTGTCATTCTTTTAAAAAGGCTGGGATTCTTAGGCAGGTTTTTGGATCATTGTTTTGAATAACAAATTCTTTCTTTTTTTTTGCTTTTGTTTTTGTCCTGTCCCTCCTTCACCTTCTGCTTACCCACTCCCCTGCATCCACTCTCTACAAGCAGGGAAGATCCTCCTCTCAGGGAAAGACAGGAAGGAAAGTGAACAGCAATCCCGAGAGGCCAAAGCTAATGGGGGCTTTGCGGATCTTTCAGCAGGGGTTGTCAATGATAATCGTGCAGCAGAGGGCTCCTCTACGGGCGCTCTGACCTCTTGGTAAACTATTTGTTTCTCCTTGTATTGATTAAAAAAACAAGCCACCAGCCTGTAACTCTCTATCAACCAGGGTGTTGTTTTTAAGAATCTTCCACATTTAAAACATACTAACTCAAAAATCCCAGATCTTTGGCTTTGCTTTACTCTGTATTTCAGGTAAACCAGATCATTGATACTATTAAAACAGAATCCCTGAAAGAGGCAGAGGATACTTTTCAGGTTTATATCTTTTGAAAGAACATGAATCACACATTTCAACATTCAGTATAATACCCCAAATATTAAACCATCTAAAACAAGCATTCCTCTTAATTAGGAGTATCTAAAGACCACAAAATGTTTAATTGTACTTACATTTGGGTTGCAGAAAGGAATTCTGTTTTAAGTATTTGAACAAACTGAAGCTATTGTTTTCCTTAGTATGTCACATAAAGTCTACTTTTTAACCCTCACACCATAGTATACTAAAGTAAAATCCAAGGACCCAAGGCAATTTGATCGCTTGCAAGCATGAATCTAGATAAACCTTACAGTAGAGAGAAACCTCCAGGTTGTATACCTATTGACATTGCTTAATAAAAACTTCTAGAATAATGGTGCTTCTGGTTGTTTTTCCAATAGCAATGCGATTGCAGTGCACTGTGGATTAAGTTACTGATCCTTTGAATTCTGACCTTCTGTCTAAAACAGCTTTAGAGGTTACTCTTTTTTTTTTTTTTTTTCCGATTTGGGAGACTGGAGGAAGAAAAAATTAATACTGCTTGAAGGAAGAAAAAAATTCTATAGGTTATTAGGTTTGGGGGTTCCCTTTCCCCAGTCTCTGGCAATTCCTTTGTAGTAATAATAGAGCTTCTTGATTCTGAATACTTAAACCATACATCCAAATGCATCAGGAAATGTGAAGTGCACTTTTAATATAATTATTTCCTCAGTGAATAAATCAAGTGTTTATGATATAATAACTATTAAAACTAAAGCATATCATACTGGGTAACTGAAATTAAGAAAGGTAAAATGTAAGAAATTGATATAACTATGAAACAAGACATGCATATAATTGCTTATTGTAAACTCAGACTCTTTGCTTTTCCTTTTTAATATAAATAATAAGTTGGGAATATTTATAATCTCTAGGAAAATAATTAACCTTTTTGAATATGTAAGGAGAAAAAACCCACATCTCCTGATTTGACCACTTCAAGTTCAAGGATTTTTTCTCTATTGACCATTTAATGTACTTTTATTTTTGCATCCTTAAAGTAACTTGCAATATGTTTTCAGAAATAATCAGCTACTATATAGTGATTTTTTCTCTTCCATATTGAATATATTATTTTGCTATATATCAATATGTATCATTTCAAATATCACACACTTTTCTGGATTTTTATTAACTTTATGGGCTATCACCTTGCGTCAAAATGATGATACAATGAGGAGACATTAATGTCCCATTGCTCCATCTACTGTTTAGAAGTGACTTTGATGGTGCTAGAAAAATGAGGCAGGTTCCAGAACCAATAGTGAGGGAAAAAATCACTCATATTTAAAAAAATCAGGATTCATAAAAATATAAAATGCCTAGCACAGTGCCTGGCATGTAGTAAGCACTTCATAAATGCTAATTCCCTTCTTTCCTCCATGAGCTATTCATTGTTTCCGAAGAATTTAAAAACTGTGAACTCAGCTGTCATGAAACCTGAAAAACACAAAGCAAATTTCCAGATCCTCTTACATGTTTTGGGAGGTGCTGACAAGATTGGTTTTGCCCATGGCTTAGAGGGAAAAATCTTGGCGAAGAAACAACCTGGGTTTTCTAGGTTGCTTCATGTCAACAGAAACCCATTTCACAGCGCGAGAAAGCAAAATAACTTATCGCTGAGATTAAACATATGCTTCCAGGACCAATTATTTATATACTTTTTGGCAGGAGGAAGAAAAAGTAATGGTTTGCCATTTTGGAAAATCAGTTGATTTTAAAATAGGAAATCTGTTTTATCATTTTTTTAAGCACCTGCATTATCTCATCCCCCTTTCTTAAAAATCTGCCACTGCCCTTGCTATCACTATTAGTTTCAAGAAGTGCTGCTTAAAGTTTCTATTAAGAATAATAATTTAAAAAAAAATCTGATAGGCAGCCATTACTACATAGGATAACAAGTTTCACACCCTACATAAATAAATGTTATTATTAATATATAATAATCAACGTGCTCTTTAGGAAGTCAGGAAATAGGTTCTATTTTCATATTGTGTTGATATAAAGACTGTAATATGTATTAAAATAATTTTCCATGGTACAGCTAATAGTTAATTACCTCCTTAGCTTTACTGTTAAAAGCTAATCATGTTGGAGTTTGAATGGAAAACATTTCACAAAATATTGGTAGACATTCAGTTTGGCAGATATAATATCATTCTTAAAATAAATAGAGGATGTTTTACTTGGTTGCATTTCAGCAGAAGGCTCCTGGGAGCAGGACCCTCATTGTAGGTCTCATGCTGGTGGGGAAAGAGCAGGTCATGGAAGTGACCATTCAGAATGCCAACAAGGATCATAGTGTCAGCCATCCAGACACGGTTCCAAAGGCTCCATAAAGAAGCCAGGGAGGTAGTGCCATGGCATGGACCATAAGAAAAATAAATTTATGTGAAACCAGGAAGACTGGAAGTATAGTATTTTGGAATACTCTATTTGCCATTCTACTTTGAACAGTTTAAATTACAAAATGTTGAATACTTCCACATATTGATTTTAATCATGTGGAAGAAATAATGAGTGGGATTTCGCTTTTTTAAGAAAATGCATTAGTCTTTAAGTGCTGATTATATTTTGCAACTTACTATACTGTTATTTTTGAAAAATAATCATCTCATAAGAAGCATAGAAACAAAGAGATTAGTAAACTTTTGGACCAGGTAATAGCATGCATGCTTCTAACGTTATTTCAAAGTAAACACAAATAGAAGAAAAATAACTTCAAAGTGCATCATTTATTGACAACTTCACAACTGTAAAATAATTTTATTTTCATTATTGGAATTAAAAGGGAAAGGGACACCTGTATTTTATCCTTTGTTTTCTCGTGTTTATTTGTTATACTTAATTTGATTAATCAACTGTTAACTCATGAAGTTTTAGAAAAGCCCAAGTTACCTTTTAGATTGTTGTAATGAGTTTCTTGTATCTGTCCTTGTCTCTCTCTCTCACATATATATACATGACATTTGTAATATGTATTGAATATTACAAATGTAATGTAAATACCGTGTGTGTGTGTGTATATGTATATATATATATATATATATATATATATATATATATATATATATATGACATTTGCTTTTTTTTTGATCATGCCCTTAACCTAAAACACTAAACTCTTCTACCAAAATTGAAGACTTCCTTCATATAACCAGGCAGGTATCTAGGCAACAGCTGGCTCTGTCACATAAAACCTGTTTGGTGATACAGCATATGAAAGATCAACTGTCTCCTTGAGGGTTTTCAAACATTTCATATCAGTTGAATATTTCAAGTATTTTCCCTTTCCAGATAAAATTATGTATTTTTTATTGAGGAAAAAGCATATTGGAAAATTTTAAAATTCCTTTCCATACATTTATGTATTGAGATTTACATGGCAAATATGAAATAGCAATGATTTCTTCTATCACCTTTTACTAGTAGCAATGTTCAACAAATTTCCCTAAATTTTGTAGTTATATGTATGACTGTATTTAGGGAACAATTTAGTCCTTAAAGTATATGGTTACGTTACATACTATAGTTATAGTTGGTGAAGATTTAGAAATAAGAGGCTATCAATAAATACACTATAAACTAGGTGTTGTTAATAGCTTAAATGTGGCTCTTTATCATAGGGTAACTTACTTTTGGTTTAAATTGTATGCAATAGTAATTATTACATATTGGATATTCAAAAGTAGTAACCATACACAATTTATGGGTAAACGTGATTGTTTTTAATCCATCTAATTTTGCTTCAGGAAAATGAAACTCTTTAAAAGTAGTAAATATGCACATGGATATTACTTTTAGTCAGTGACTAAGCTCTTTGTTACATAATTATGAAGCATGAGCTATACCATATCAATTAGTGGTCACATTACATTCATCATGATTTTACTAATTTTCTTCATAATTATATGCATCATTTATTTAATATTTCATTTGGTTATATAAATAAAAATTAAATTTCAACATAAAATATGTAATATGATACATTTAACTATAATGTGGGCAAGTAACTTGTATATAAATGTGACATACTTTACATAATATTCCCACTGTTTTGATTTTATATAGTTCATATATTCTGGATTTGTCAATATAATCTTTCATGGATTAGAAAAATAATTTCTTACTCTCTTATGTCTAAAATAATTGTTAAACAATTGGAAGCATGAATACAATAGCTAAATGTAAAATTTCAAGCATTGTTTAATTCTCCAACATCTCAAATTTTAGATTTTATAGAGCTTAGAAATAAATGTGGTTGCAAAAGTATTTACTGTTTGATATCAGATTGAATTACCACAACATTACATTTTATCTGACAATGCTAGAAATCTCCATTACAAGCTGTATTTTATTTTCTGCATATATACTTTAGTATATTGAATAACTGATACTTCTGGTCTGAGAAAGTGCAGTAGGTGGTAACATAATTCTATTTCTGCTGCATATATGAACAGATCCAATAGCAATCAACTGTGTTTTGACCTGGCTTCCCAAATATGGTAGATGACTAGCCCATGATTCCTTGCTGGTACTATACAAAATGAAATCCTAGGTGAGTTTGCAGTTTAAACTGTCGTTTATGTTTGACAAAGTGTTCTTTTCTGAGGAATTCAGATTGGCATACTTTCGGTGGTTGGGGGGAAGTCTGTAATAAATTTTGGTCATTAGCAGCTTTTTATTTTTTGTTTGCATCGGAATGGTGCTTTCATTTACATATTAGCAATATAAAGTTATGATTGTGTCTATGTGTTTTATTAGTTGACGATCTGGAAATGTATTATAAAGTCATGCAAAAAGTTATTGTGATTTTTAAAATTTTTTTCACATCTATCAAGCGCCTAAAAAATGAGGACGCTTTTTTTTTCCTTAAATAAAAGACCTAATCAGCAGAATAGTATTCTATGGGTGATGACAAAACAGTTTTAAGAAAAATCCGATGGGCTTAAAGATTTTATTTTAGAGCACAAAATTGGTTACAACGAGTGACTAGTATCAAAATAAACATTTGTATTTGAATGTTGGCACAGGTCTGGCAAATTGAGATACAATCATTAGTCACATAAACGATGCCTTCTTTGAATATTTGAAATCAACATAATGGTTAAGTCTTATCACCAAAGTCATGTATCTGTATAAAACATATCTTAACTGAAGCTCAGCTCTTTAGGTGAGTGTTATAGACTGTCATGCATAGATTCCGAGGTCAGTAAGAATTTTTTTTTAAAAGAATAAGCTGTAAAGAAAGAGTTCTAGATAACATGAATCTTTTCCAAAAACCATTTAAAAATATTAACACTGAAACATTATCTGGTTCATAGCCAAGGAATTGTTCACAGAAGATTTGCCATTCTAGAAATCATTTCGGATTCATCCTTCAGGCTTTCATTATTAAACTGATAAAAGCTTGCACGTTTGCTTTTTCATTTTCTACTTAAAGGGAAATGGCCATTCTAGTTTTTTATTTCCCCCAGACCTGTTTCAGTAGTAGGTACGTTAGTTAGGAAATAAATTATGAAAAGTAGTGGATTCCCTAAGTTTCAGGGCCTGAAAAAAGTTTAGGAAAAGTGTAAAAGATAACGTGTAACTACTCCCCAAAGATCTTAATTGGTAACTACTGTTGCAAGAGGACGCGTGTGTGTTGACCACGTCTCAGAGAAGTTATTCTCACACAGCTGTTTATTCAGATAGCGTGGGGCGCGTTCATTTACATAATTTTTTTTTTTTTAAACAGCAAGGTTGAGTCAGACAGAGCAGTGCTCCTTTCAATTGTTGCATTTAAACCAATAAGGTTAGGACAAGAGAATAGCTGTGGTTTGCGTTGCAAAAACCAAAAAAAAAAAAAAAAAAAAAAAAAGAAAGCCCCGAGGCTCCATGGGCAGACCTACAAGGCTGCGCAAACAAATCGAGGGATGAGATTCTGCTGTTTCTTTGTCTAGGGTTCTCAGATGCTATCTGCCGCTGCTGTTTGGTGGGGAAGGAGCGCTGGGCGCAAAGCTGTTACCAAACAGAACGGTGGGAGCTGATGGCTCCGAGTTTGGGGCGAGGTAGAAACTCTCCAGTGCCACTTCCGACTTTAAGCCTTCCTGTTGCCGTCCACTGTGGCGGGTTTCTTCCTGGGGAACACGTTTTCGCTCAGTCGCTCGGCAGCCCGAGCCTGCGGCAGCGGCCAGGCGCCTGCCCCCTGCGCCGAGCTTTCCCCTGCAGAGGCGCTCCACTCCCAGAAGCGCCGCGGCTGCACCAGAGCGCCTGAGAGCCCCCGCGCGTACCCATCCAGGAGCAAAACTATGTCAGGAATGGAGGTTTGCTAACCCAGAAAATTCGAAGGAACACATTAAACTGGTGGATGCAGCAGATGTAAGCGCTGTAAGTACAAGCTGACTGTTTGAAAAATTGTAGTGACTGACAACAGCTGTCCTGTGGGCAAAGCCCAAGCTAACAGGAGCGCTTTTATTATTGTTTTGATTTGTTTTCAAAGAAAAACATTATGGCATGGGGAAAATTATGACACTTTGTACCTAGTACTTTATGAGCCACAGGGTTTCATCCTAGAAGTAGAATTCCCAACCTCCAAATTATGAGCGATCAGGATCATTAAGAAATAATTACAAATTAATTGTTAACAATTACTTTTGTTATGCTCTAGATAAATGTAATGCAGGACCATATTCTTGCAGGGAGATGACTTCATATCTCTTTTCTGAATTGCTGCACAAATCTCAAATATATTTGTGTGGTATTGAATAAAGCGGTACATATATGTTCATTGCAATACATAAGTAACTTTTACACACTTTGATATGAAAAAAATGAAGCATTTAACATTTGAAAGGACAACAGATAACAACATTAAATTGATAGCACTTTTTAAGGAAGAAAATATTTTTGCTTTAATAAATTTCCCAAACGTTATATTAAACAAACTTATCTTCAGAAGGTGATATAACAAACATTTACCCAATTAATATATTTTTCTCTTATTGACACTTTGTAAGGCTTGAGTGGACCTTGAAGTTTAAAACAAGATCTGTAAACTTTTGAATTACCATTTAAAATATTTGCCATTCAAAATCAGTATATGAATTGTTAATGACTCATGGGTTTATATTTATTGGGAGGAGGTTTTGAACACATTAGAGCATAGCATTTGCAAGAATTCAATAAATTCAGAGCTGTCATTGAATTTAGGCAAACGTTTTTGTTTTATTTCTTAAAATGGCAAGGGGTACAAAAGGTCGATAGTAAGCACATAGTGTAGTTTTATAGGTTTGGGATTGTTTTTATAATGTGTCTTTCAAAGTAGGTTTTATTTTATGCTTGCATGAGTCTTTTCCCCCACAGTCTGGGGTCTGAGGACATGCACACATGTACAGTCATGCTTTTGCATTATCAAATATTTGATATTTGACTTTCTGCATGCTTGAGTTCTCCCAAGGCCCAAAGTGTTCAGTAAGTGAGCAAGCAGCCATGGATTTTCAATCTTTGAACATTCTTTGCGGTGACAGACATAGAGGCCTAATTGAGCCACTGTTCAGTTTTAGAGGGCCAAATGGAAGTCCACTGCTGTGTGAGTTTCATAGACATGATAAATGATTTTCTCAAAAGAAAATTTCCATTTGTGAAAATCGTATTAAGAATACATTGTAAAGAAGAAAAACACTTGCAGCAAGAATAAAACCACTTGTTTATCAAATATCAAAAGTATTTCATTCAACATTTTAAGTAAATTGATATTGAAAACAATCCTTTAAAGCTATTGGTAGCATCCATGTGGTTTAAATACTTATTTTTGTTTTCATGCGGACTCTATTTTGTCATTTTCTTTAAACGACGCATTGCAAAAAGTAATGTACTATACTACTTGAAAATAATCAGCAGTAGTATTAAAGCATTTATTTTATGGAGTCTTTGATAAAGAAGGAAATATAGTGTTAACATTTAAAAAACATTGACGTCTCCCTAGAACTTCATTTCAATTTTAGGTTTAGGTTTTTATTTTTAAAATTTAAGTTTTCATTACAACAATGATGCCATAGTTGGAGATATCGATTGAGGAGAAATTTTAGCAAGAATATACCCTAAAACACAGATTTATGGCTAAGGAAAATTTTTTTTACATAAAATACATTCTGATGAGAAAATTGCCATTGTCTTTCAAATTTGGGAGTACTCAGGTTGATCTGTGGTTGGACAAAACTAGCTTGCCTGCCAACTCTATTTATTTAGATAAGCTCAGTACTTTCACTTTGAAAATTTCTTTTCAGTTTGAAAAAAAAGTTTTAAATTATAGTCATTTTATAAAAATTGCTTCTAGCAAGCAAAAAAAGCCTATGGAAAACCCGTAATTTAGACAAGTACCTACATTTTATTTGCTCTGTGCTGCTGAGATTTAGAATCCCTTTCCATTTACAGTTTACTTTTCACAGAACATTATTAACTTTTTGGCTTCATGCATGATCTTCTGTCAGATGCTTTTGATTTGTAATTTAGCAAAGTATAATAAACAGTGCAAAAGTCATGAATTTTGCTCTGCATCCTGAGCTCTGTGGTAGGGAAAATGTGATAAAATGTGTACCTTAAGTCTTGTTTGATGATCTCTCAAAGCAAGTTTGCCTTCTGGAAATAATTTCTGGGGTTGAAGAGCATGGTATTAACAGATTTAATGTGGCTATTCAATGGATTGGCGAAGTACTATGTGAGGTTTAACAAAATGAGAGAGACAAATTGAATATCAACAAAAGTTACATCTGTGAAGAATTATAAATTTAATTAGAAAAAAGGCAAACTTAAAAGACCTCATTAACTAATCAGAAGTCAAAGTTACTAGTTTAGGATTCTTGAATTTGAATTCTAAGAAGTTCTGCTTGTTGCTATTTGTATTTTCACAACTCTGTCAATATGCTACTATGGGTATTCTATACAATGAGTTTTAAAAAGCATTAAAGTGAAATGACTTGATTGTAATATAAGATGACCATTTGTTATGTTATGGGAAATATTTTTGCACTCATAGAAGTATTTAAATTAAAAATACCAGATTAGGAGAAGACAAGAAACATGCTAAGTTTATGGGTGTAAAGCAGAAAATGTGAACTTACTGAATGCCTCACATCACTTTTCTAGAAACAATAAAAAATAATATTTTTCTCTTTTGAATGGAAATATCCCTAATTAATTATTTTCAAAACACATTATGGTTTTAGACCTTTACAAGACAGAAACTTCCAGAGATATTATCAAACATGAGAGGAAATCAACAGCAATCAGAAATAGGTGTTCTTTTTAGATAAGTCATTATAAGACTATGTTTCCTTCTGCACTGTAATCTTGTACTACACATAAAAAACTAAAAGCATGTGAAGTGTAGCATTTTGTAAACTGTAACTAATTTTGCTCACATCTGTGTCTAATTGTTGTCTGCATTCGCATTCTTGAGAGTAGATTTATTTTTCCTGGACCACGATGTGGATTCAGCTGACCAGCCTAAGTGAGGATTAGTTGTTTTAAAGTTATTTTGATTAAAGAGTCATTTTTAAATACAGTAACACACAACACATGGTTTAAATAATCCCTGAGACACAAAAGAGTATATCTGAAGTATACTTAATGAAATGTAGATCATGCATATGGACTTTCAAAAGTTGTAGAGTATGAAAATACAGTAGAGTCTAGTTGAACCAGCATAAAAGAAATGTGTTGTCGTGAAAATGCATGTTTTCACTGAAATGTGGTAGACTAATTCTTGTTTTGAAGTTCACTTTTTCTTTATTAACAACAGTTTGACTTTGAAATTTAAATATGATTGGTTAAAGTACAAATATAAATCTAACCAAACTTTCAAAGTGTATACTGAAACTAAAATTATATTTCCAACATTGTACTTTCCAGCTAATGTTAAAATGGAAATGTATTTTAACATTTAACAGAAAGAATGCTTTAAATACTCTTTCACATAATTAAGCCAGGAGAGTTCTTAAAACTAAGTTAGTTCTCACCTATAATTTATTCCAGGTGTATAAAAGTGGAGAAAAAAAAAAAAGAAAAAGGAAATTTATCCTTGAGGTATATTGCTGGACTTTCTAAAGGAAACCACTTAAACTTGTGTGAGAACATTAATTTTTAACAAAAATCGCAGAAGGTTGTTATCACGGAATGACACATCTGTAGGCATTGAAATTTAATTTTTATCTTATACTCAAGCGTCTTTTAAAAATTGTTTTTCATCCTGCACGTATTGTAGAAACATACCTAGAAATTTTACGTAACATTATACCAAGACAGTTGGACTTTAATGATGCTTTATTCTTGCTAGAAAGGTAGTATTTCTTATTTCATAAATCATAATTTAAAAATAACAGGACTTAACAGAAGACGTTTGGTTGGATAACTGTAATGCCATTCGAGATGCTTTAGTTCTCATCTTTGTTCTGTAACCCTAATTGATGTCAGTTCAGGTTGAATGAAAATGCACATCAAAGATTTGGAATTCTGAGCCATTTTAAACGTTTTGCAGAATGCTCTCCTACTGAGGCGTTAGCCTGAGCTTACAAGCCAGCAGCCTGGCCTCACCTGAGCTTTATCACCTGCTGGCAGTTTGAGCTGCTTCTGGAAGAAGGGCAGTGACTGTCAAAGCCTGCACATTAGTTAAGTTGTTCAGTGAAGTCCTGAAGTACAGATTCATCTAGAAACAAGAGAGACTGAAATGTAGGCTGACTAGGATGGTGAATTGATTATTAAACTTTCCATTTTCTTCCTCGGTTTAAAAGATGGAAAATCCACCAAAAAAGCTAACTACATTTTCTGGTTTACCAGGCAGAACTGATAAGAACCCATTGAATTTTAAATTGGCGAGGGTAAATGAGCACATTGTTCAGTGGAGTGACTTTGGGTATGAAAACTTGCCTTTGCCTTATATAGTTAGTCCAGCATTGTCAGGAAGTTGCCCAGAAGCTGTTTTAGTGAATGTTAAATGACAAATAGTAAATGTAGGAGAAAACCATTATGATAAGGATAAGAAACTGTCAGGAGTCAAAGGGGTGGGCGGGAGCTCTATTTCAGCTGGTGATAACAGAAGATGAAAGATCTTCTGAGGATGCTGGAGGATTACTGCTTGAACTATTGCTGTTAAACACGATCATTTTGTCATTCGCTATTTTTTTCCAAGCACCTTTTCCAAGCTGCCTGGGCAAGGCTGCTTTGCATGTTGATTGGGGGAGGGGTAATCCCATTTGCAGCTGTCATAGGCCAGTGATGAATCACTATCACGTCATTTGGCTGCCTTCCCCCCCTGACAAGGGGAGGAGGAGGATAGACCTGCAGGAGGAAACAACAGTTGAGACCTCAACTTAAAGACAATATGCCTTTCACTGCTGCAGTATCCTCCTTTTTCTCTTTTGGTTAAAAGAGAGCATTGTCGTTCTCAGCCATGTGCTCTGTATAATTAAGAGCTGACACTGAAGCAGAGTAACAACATCTTCTAATTTTTTTACCCCTGATCACAGGTGCAAACATCTCAAGCCAGTTCAGATGTTGCTGTTTCCTCAAGTTGCAGGTAAGGATATTGTTGATATTTGACATTTTTGGAGATTACCTTTCTGTGACCCATATCTATTTTTGTCTAGTGTTTCTTAATTATTTCTATTAATAGTAACAGCCTCTGTTGGAAATTACTTAACAGTTTGTGTGTGTGTGCTTGTAAAACATTTTAAGTATGTAGAAAGGGAATAGGAGCCTCGGTTTGAAAATAATTATGGGCTATAGTTTCTAGTGTTAGGAAAACTGTGAATGTGTAATGAGAATCAGGAGAGAAAAATTGGATTTTAGACCATTTCTAGTTTGAATTCAGAATATTTGGGGAAGTCAAAGCTCACTTTAGAAGTAAAATGGTTCATGTTAAGCTGTTTTAAAAACTGATACCCATAGTCAATGTAAGTGCGACCTCTAAATTAAAATGACTGTAGCTTTTATTGACCTGATAGGGTGAGGAGCAAATAGTATTAACTTTATATATGTAAACATTAAACCTCCTCCCATCTTTTTTCTTAGAAAAACATACAAAGTTTAAAATAAAGTAAATGGGCCCTAAACTTTTAAGAAATTGGCTGTAAGAAAATAATGGAATCTAAGTGTGTTTTTAGTGACTTTAAATAAATTCTCTCTTCACTAATAGGGTATTAAATATAAATGTATAGTTCTGAAATTGTGAACATGAGTAGTGGCTTTTGTACCTTTTATGGAATAAGTAACTGCAGAGTCTAAGAACTTTCAGAGGGCATTTAACTGGTTTTATATGGTAAAATTGCAAAATTATAGCACTAAAGTAGAATTGTTGTTATTTCCCAGAGTAAGTGACAGCTGAGGTATTCCGAGTGCTAATGCTTGCAGGGACCCACTGTATGTTGGCCTTATCCTTTTTCAACTGGGCACACTGTATGTAATCCACAAAGCAAACAAGTGAGCCGACATCATAATGTTTTAATGCTGCATTTGTTTCAAGGGAAACAGAGGAACAATTAAGTAGTTTGCCAGAGTAAACACATGCATCAGGACTATCTCATTCCCTGTCACTAGACTATAGGTTTCAAGTGTTTTATTTGGTTTGGAGACCCATTAAATTACAACTGGGTGGTAAATTATAAGGGAGTACCTAGTGCTAATTTATTAGATGAAACAGATTCCACAGAAGAGTGATCTATTTCCATTTTACTTCTTTACATAGTTGCCTTTTCTTTTAGAAAAGTAATGCCTTTGGTCCTTTTTAATATAAAAAGACAACGATGACTGTATTTTTTCTTTGAAAATTATAATAGATGTCATTGTCTCACATTAGACCTTGTGACTTGATGAACTGTGTAAGAGAAAAATGAAATTTTAAAAGCTTCATGTGACTGGCTGTATAGGTAAAGCAAGTGACATCTTTTGATAGTGCATATGATGAAGGGATACCTGAAGTCAAAATGTGAGATGAATTATTTTGAGTCTAAGAAATAGATACAATGGGACTTTTGTGCAAGTGTGTTTCAAAGGTGTCAAGTCATTAGCGCATTAAATGGTGGTGTTATGAATTTGGTACATCTGTCAAATGGAAGGCTTCTTGTCTTTAGGTCTATGGAAATGCAGGATCTAACCAGCCCGCATAGCCGTCTGAGTGGTAGTAGTGAATCCCCCAGTGGCCCCAAACTCGGTAACTCTCATATAAATAGTAATTCCATGACTCCCAATGGCACCGAAGGTGAGTGTCTGCCTTCTCACTATTTACTTTGCACCTTGTTTCTTCATCAGTATATGCTTTGTTATTAGGTGGTTATGATTTCAGTTGTCAAAATCATAAAACTACTCTTATATTTCCCCTTTAGGTAATAATGTGACTTACCAATCAGTACTCATTGTTAGGAGCTTCATGTTTCCAGTTATTGTAACATTGCGTAGATTGGTTTCGTTTCACCAAATGCATATACATATATACACATGTATATTATACATATTTGTGTGCATAACATTTTTAACCTTTGAGTGTGTTTTATCTTCTTATTGATCATGTACACACTGCAGTATCAATTTGTGTTGTTTTGTTGTGTGACCAGTGAAAACTTGGAATTATTTCCTTTATTTTCCCTTTTGTTGTTAAATATAGCCGAATTTGTTTAAATGTAGACGTTGGACTGGATTGTTTGTAAATATCAATGAAATAATTTGTGTGCCTAGTGTTCTTAAGGCTTTGGCTATGAAAATATAAATAATTTTTAAAAAGTATTGTTTATGAAATATACACAGCATTTAGGTGATATACACACTATTTATTTACTTAAAGATTAGTATACTTTAAATGTAGAACAATTACAATTATTTCTGTGTAATTAATACATATGAATATTTATATAAATTTTATATAAGTCGAAATACCTACTTTGATCCACGTATACTTAAGATTAAACATATAAGGTTATATGTATTTTTGCTACCTGTTATACAGTCATTTAGGTACTATGCATATTTTTAGAACTTCAACATATGGAAAGATATGTTACATATTGCATTATATTTATTTCTACTCTAGTCTATTGAAAAATTATTTCTTCATAGATTAATATTTTGCTTATTTATTCGTTACTAAGCCTTAGGACCTTGATGACTCAGAGCATACCTTTCACTAGAAGTTCAATAAATTATCCATGTTAGAATTCCATCCATATACAAAACTCTTAACCATCATTTCCCAGTCACTATGGTGATCTTTCATTACACAATTTTTTAAAAAAATAAACAAAGCTAAATGCTGTAAAATTATTGTGTTTTTTGGTGTGATATTCCAATATGTATTAGTGAAGGCTTTTGAAACTTACAATGTTATGTAATTTTTAATAATAGGAAAGATATAAAATCAGTTGTTTCTGATATGAGATGCTTTGATTTTTATTCCAACAGTGATTCTTTTAATGTGTAAATATTCTGCATTTTTCTTTTAGCATAAATACATTCATTTCAAGTGTTTATGAAAATGGGTACTATCAAAAATTGAAATTTTGCGGATGTAGCAGAAAATTAATCTCTGAATGAGGTGCCTTTTCCTCTGAAACTTTTTTCTTCCCATTTTGATAGGCAATCAGAGAGAAACTTAAATTATTTATAGGAAAGTAGTTCTAGTGTGTAAGTGGATTTTATAGAGCAAATAAAATTAAAGCAAGCAGTCCTATTTCCTCTCCTTTTGGGCTTTGACTTCAGGTAAAGCATGCCTACTGCAGAGTACAGACTGGGTGTGGATATAGTCACCCAGACTGCCGCAGGTCCCTGCGCCGGCAGGCCTCATGCAGGAGTCAGCGTGAGGGCAGCCACTGACAGGAGCTGCAGAAGGCCCGTAGGTGACCTTTAACAGGCATTTCCATCATTGTGAAGTCCAGATAAGACAGTCATTCAAATTAACTTAAAAATAAGGAAGACTAAGTATGTTAAAATATTTTGCTCAATAGAATATACGAGTACATATATGGAAGAGCAATTATGAAATACTGGTAGTTAATTTTTTTGTATATGAAGAAATGAGTAGGACTAAGAAGTTTTCATTTTCTCAACATTTTATTGGCAAGTTGTCTCCTACAAAATAAGAACCATGCAGTACTGAAACAGAGTGTGTGTTTAGGGTTCCCCCTTAGATGGCTTTGTGTGAGTAATGTGTGGTTTGTTTTCTAAGCACATGTGGAGTAATAATATATTTCTGAATATTTACTTTTTATAGCTTGATATCACATTCATATTTAGGAATACTGCACTTTGTTGGATTTTTGCATAATTAAAATAAGTTGAAACTATTAAAACATTTTAGGTAATTATGTGATCTCCTCAACCAAACTGGAAAATACATAGAATTTGTTCTTTATCTTAAACTTAATTGTTTTATGTCTTGGAAATGAATTTTTTAGACTTGATTTCAGACGAATACACAATTACTCATCTCACCCTGTTTCAGGCAATCTTCATTAATGTACTTTACAAGCATGGTGGTGGTTAGCAAGTGAAGTTAGAAGGTATCAATATAAATGAGAATAAATGAAGTTTCTCAGTCTCCTGAGATATTGTTTTATTTTAGTACTCAGTTTGAAAATGTGGACCCAAACTTCCCTCACGATCGGTGTTACATGTCCGTTTAGATACAAACAATATTGGAAAGTTCTAGGTTTTTATTAAGTGTGTGAATCAGTTTATCATGCTACTTATATGTCTCATAATATATCTATTTCATTCCTCTCTGTCACCACTAGAGGAGTTAAGCTTAAAATTAGTGAATTCATTAATGTCTGACAAACTTCTCTGGCGTGTAGTCATTATAGATTTTCCTATTTCTTCTTTGAAATCTTATTTAGTTTGAAAACAGCAGTGTTTACCGATGAATTAAAGGAATGAAATCAAGAAATTCATTACAATTTAAGAGTCTTTAAAATGTCAATCACCTCCCCTAACTCTACAATGAACATTTTCAGCTACATATGCCATGATTTATATTTAAGTGACTTCTCCGCAGCCCAATTGAAAATCATCTCAGCCCAATAGAAATTAATTAGGTCGACAGAACTTCCATTTAGTTTACACAGTTGTTGGCTTTGCCTGCATTTATATAGGTTGTCTTTTTTCACTCAGAGTTATTTTTTATTTCCTGCCACCACTTGTTCCTATAATCAGGCTAAGAAAACAAGAAAATCTCCTGTATCAAAAACCATAACTTCATCTGAAGAACAAACAAGAAGGGAATGGAATGGAGAGGCAGAGAATATTAAGTTTCTTCTTAAGTCTGCTGCCAGATTATCCTAAGACTCAATGTTTGTAGGTTCTGTACTCACAGGCTAGTGCCTATTTTCATGGTTCATCTAAGGGATAAAGACAGAAAGACACTGAGCTACAGCCTCAAGTACTGTGCTTTTTTATTTCCTACATGAAATGTTCTTCAGTTATAATAGTTGTTTGAATGTTTCATATTTCAAAACTTTCAACTATTCACATTTTTATACATCCTTCCAACCCCTCTGTGAATTGTTACTGTTGAAGTTAACTGTTGATTGGTTTCACCCAGTTTATACATCTTTGCAATATAAAAATATAAAGAGGTAAAAATAGAAAATAGTAGCATAAATGAATGCTTGACTTGCAATGAGGAAAGCACTGTAAGAAGTGATATGTTTCCAAATGAATTAATGCATATTTTTGTTACTATTAAACAACTCAAGCTTGACCTGGAAGACACTAATGGATGCTTATGAAAACACCAATCATGGCCCGTCTTTCAACTGTTTTCCCTCTTCCTTTGGACAGTTAGTCTGAAAAACTTGTCTTGAAACACATAGATTTGTCTTTAGGTGACGTAAAACCAGATGCAATTGGAGGCCAAGATGGAATAGAAATTCTATTCCACGTATTTTATTGTTAAAGCATAGCTTTTAAGAAATAGGCTTCTTGGTGATACTTCTATTAGATGATCATCAAATCTGAGAGGATTTGTAATGTTTGGGAATCTGTGCAAGCCTCTGCGTGGCAAAGGCTTTGTGTTGATATTTGTGTTAAGCATGAGAAGTAGTTGGGAAAGGTTCTTTCGAAGGATTCAGGGCTGTGGCCCTAAAAGGATTTTTATTTACGTATGTAATTAAGGCCTTGTTTGCAAAGCAGTGATTCTTTCCATCTTTGTTTTCGCTGGTTGTCTTAAGTCCATGGGAGCTTAAGATTGGTCAGTTCATATATTGCTGGTTTGAGTGTTTATTTTTGGTTGTCTTGGAGTAAGGAGTGAGGAAGGCCAAAAAAGTGTGAGCAAGCAAAAATCAGAGCTCTAATTTTGAGTTTTCTCTATTGTAAGCTTAGACTCAAACTCAAGAAGAAGCTTAAACTTGTCTTGAAACTGATAGATTTGTCTTTAGGTGATGTAAAACCAGATGCAATTGGAATCTTCACTGCACATAGGGTTTCAGGAATTCTGATGGTAATTCAAATAGTAATTTTGAATTGGTATATCAGATTTCCAAGGTGGGAACAGATACTATCTTGAATTAGGCAGCTAAATTTTCTGCATTTAAAATTTACTGTGTATTACATATTTTAGGATGATAGATTCAGTTTTATAAATTATCAGAATCTATCTTAAGCTGTTTTTATCATTTTTACAAAGCTTAGAACACTAGTAAATTATCTGGATTTGTTTTTCTTGGTGTAATTTTAATTTTGTAAAATATAGTGCTATCCAACTAGATTATTTTTAAGAAACCTGATTTACAAGAAATATCTAAACTGGAGCAAATGTGTATAAAATTATGGTTTGAGGCTGTATTTTATAGGCTATGTTTATATATTTGTGGTTAAATATTCTGTTGTCAATAGAAACATGGTAATATAACTTTATTATTGTTTACATTCTGCACAGGATTTAGTTTCTGGAAGATTAAGGGACATTGTGAATAAAGGAGTTTCTAAATGACATTTTTAGTTTGTCTGTAACCACAGAATTGGCCTCTTATAAATTGTCCTTAAACAAAAGCCATAAAAGAATGAACAAATAATTTGTTAGGATTTAATATTTTCCTATGTTGTATATATGGGAATAATTTTCACATGTCTGTTGCTAATAAATTATAATAATGCTGGCTAATACTTATGAATAACCTATTATTAGTCACTGTGATGACCATTCTCTATGTTTTGCTTTATTAATCTTTAGAAAAAAAAATTTAAAACATTGTCAACAACATAGCTAAGAGTCTGGGCTTGAATTCCAGCTTCACTATTTGCTGGCTGTGTGAACTCAGACAAGTCAGCTTCTGGGTGGCTGTTTTCTCATCTGTAAAATGGGGACTTACATCAGACTTTCTGTGAGGACGTAACATAGAATTTGCAGCATAATTGGAACTTATAAGTGCTCAGTATTAACTGCTATACCGTATGTAAATAAGTCACTTCTACAGTGTGATTCCCATTTTATGCACAAAAAAAATCCAAGACTTAGTTAAACATGAAGTTTAAAGGCACATGGCTTGTAATTAGTACCAGTGGCATCTGAGTGGGTACTTGAATTAAGTTCTGAGTCCAGAGCCTGGATTTTTAAATCACCATATTTTTCTCTGGAGAGAATATGTGATTTGCATCATCTGCAGATGGCTTTTCTAATACCTTTTACTAAACATTGGTGCTTTCATTGCCACATTGGTGCCTTCATGGCTGAATGATGCCATTCCCTAGCAAACAGCAGCGCTGTGCAAGAACCAGTGGCAGAGGCTTTGATGACAAGGACTTCATTATAAGGATGACTCCTCAGGGTGGTTATAGTCCGGTCTTGAAGTTCTGGTGTGCGTGAGTGTGTGAGAGTCCTTCCTGTGGTCCAGGTGCACATTGTATTGCATCATTAGGTTAACTTTAGGGGATTGTTTTCAAATCCTTAGACTTAATTATAATTTCATCAGCTGTCTGATTGTTAAGCCTCTCTGAGATCAAATGGAGATGGGAAATCATCTCTGCTTTTCATTATAATGGTTATTATATGCACATTTGGATTGGGGCGGTGTTACTGTGAAATTTAAAAACTGGTTGCAGTTTTGCTGCTGCTCAGAGTAAATGTTTTCTACCTCACAAAATATTTCTAAGTAGGTGATAAATTTAGTCACACTTTTCTTGACTTTAAGAACTAAATTATACCAGCCAAGCAACACTGTTGGCATTTGTTGGGGGCTCCATTGGAATAGTAATGACCAAATCTGAGAGTCGAGAACGTGCCTGGGATGTTCTAGGATCAGCAAGGAGTCCAGTGTGGCTGGAGGAGAGAGAATGGCTGGGAGTAAAAGAGGTAAAGTTAGAGGAATAGAGGGGTGGCCCGTGTGAGCCTTGTAGGGTGGCAGATAGGCTCTAGCCTCTCACCTGCAGCTAACTGTATCTTTCATAATAAGAATAGGAACCCCAGTGCTGATTGCCTGCAACTAGGCTCAGGGTTTCTAGAGCTAGGCTTGCTGATAACTAAGGTCTAGATGTAGACAGCTTTTCCCTACTTCCAATTGCTAATAGTGCAGAGAATCACAGTTCTGTGGCATCTCTCCGCTGGTTGGGCCAGAACTTTGGTATGAGCAGAAATATATCTCTCTGAGAACATCCAATTTTCTGAGAGAAACCTCTGGTTCCCTCCTGGGAGATATGTGAACCTTAGTGAATGGTAGTATTTAGTCAAATTCATATGCCTTTGGTCATAGATTCCCTGCTTTTAAGTAATTCCTGATTTCTTATGATATCCAAGGATGCCTTGGTGTGAGCAGTATATAAATAAAGTGGGGTCTGTTACATTTCTTCTCACCTTGCTAACTTGGAGTAAGGGTCAAGAGTAATTCATTCTCCTCTCTTTCACTCTAAGCGTACAATATAATAGAAAAAAAATACATACATGTTACAAATTTTCCATTTTTGGTTTGGGTAGGAAAAAATTATCTGTCATATGTCAGTGACTGTCAAATATTGCCTATACTATAGTAGAGAGAAAGCAAGTCTTCATAAGCTTATCAAGGGTTTATGTTAACGTTTAGGACCCACAATTTATAAGTGAGAGCTTATTATGATTATGTTCATGGTAATTTGCTAGTTTTACAGATTTGGGGTTTTTTTTTTTTTTTTTTTTTTGCATGCCTCCAGTATCCCATTACACCAAAAAATGGTAGACAGACTCTACCAAACACATTCCAAAGAGGTATGTTTATGTACTCCTCATAATACAAATTGGGAACTTTTTTCTTAACATTGTAACATGAGTCAAAATCTATGATGCTTACCCATTTCATCATTGTATTTATTACTAATAAGGGGATTTTAAGTGGAAAGAATCCTTTTTGTCAAAATAAAGAATATGAACTGCATTGACTAAGTTTTTGAGTACATCATATGCCCTCTACATACATTTATCCTCAAAACAATCTTTAGGCACTTTGGGAGGCTGAGGCGGGCAGAGCACAAGGTCAGGAGATCGAGACTATCCTGGATAACAAGGTGAAACCCCGTCTCTACTAAAAATACAAAAAATTATCCAGGCGAGGCAGTGTGTGCCTGTAGTTCCAGCTACTCAGGAGGCTGAGGCAGGAGAATGGTGTGAACCCGGGAGGCAGAGCTTGCAGTGAGCCACATTCGTGCCACTGCACTCCAGCCTGGGCAACAGAGTGAGACTCTATCTCAAAATAAATAAATAAATAAATAAATAAAACAATCTTTAGGGTAACTTTTAGGCACCTCATTTTAGAGGGTTTAAGTGACCAGTCTGTGAATACAATGTGTTACTGTGTTGCAGAAGAGATACAAAGGCCTTTCAGGCTGATTTCAAAGCCACATTCTTTACACTTTAAAACATGGACTCCCCAGTAGCAGTGCTTAGGTCACTAGCCAAAAAGCTGAGTTCTTGCTGAAATAGTTTATCTTCCCTAAGAAGTGTTTATGTTACCTTATCTAAGATTGTGGCCAAGATGAAAGATATACAACATTCATTTATATGTGTGTTTCACCTAGAAGAGTTTCTAAGTTTCTCGAAGCAGGGACACAAGTGTTCACTCTAGTGTCCTTAGCATCTAATGGGAGGATTGGCAATAAAGCCAAATAAAAAAAATTGTTAAATAAATGCCTCATGTTACTAAGTATATAATATACATGAATGATTATAAGAGCATTCATTAAGTTTACAATGCATTAACAGATTCAATAAGTATCTAGAGCCTGTTTTTCAAATTTTTGAAATTGATCATTTCAGACAGTTCATATAGTTGCTATGGGCTGTCCATCCACAAAACATCCACAGTCAACATTGTTGCCTGTTTTGAATTTGATCTATAGTGACTGACTTGCTTTTGACCCATAGTAAATAACTGCTTCATAAATAGAAACTTCAACTGTTAGTATATTAATAGTGATAAAGCAACTTCCACATAGTCCAAGAAACAACTGAATGATATAAGGATAAGGAAGTTAGTACACTTAGGGTTAGTGTGTAGATGGTAAGATGGTAAAGGAATAATTGGAAGTAAACATTTTGAAGGTGGGGAAAACTGCAGGGAGAAGGATATATATAGATATATATATATATATATATATATTCACTGCAGTAAAAAAATAAAAGTGTGTATGTGTGTGTGTGTATGTGTGTATACATGTAGTATATCTATACTGTATATCCACAATTACATTGCTAATTTGAGAGCTGTTTATTAAGTGATTCTATCTAGAAATATACCAAACTCCATTCTGGCCAAAGAGAAGTTCACTATTAAATGTGATTTACCACCATACTTTAAGATAAGGACTATATTCTACAGAGGAGGAGGACATCTAATCATGACTGAAGTGATTGTGGATTGTGGGGACGCATGCTGGTGATGCTTAACCTGAGTCCTGAAGAAGAGGTAGGAGAATATTGAGTGCCATGCCAGGAAGAAAGAGAGAGCTTGAGCTTTATAGCTGTGACGAAGACATTCCGAATGGCAGAAGAGTGAGTGTGTGTGTGTGTGCGCGCACGTGTGCACGTGTGTGTGTGTGTTTGTGTGTATGTGTAAGATGAGGAGCATGCACAGAGATGGGGTTTAGACACCAAAGATGATGATGAAGGGCTCCAGATATGAAGTTCAAGAATTTAGATTCAACTGTACAGGAGCTGTGGAAGCTGAAGGCTTGTAAGTTGGAAAGTGATATGATTGGGTTTGTGTTTTAGAAATGCACTTAGGGAGTATTTTGAAACTGTATTCAAGGGGTAGTGGGCACTAAGAAGGGACCCCAGGTGAGAAGAAATGAAGGCATTTTATCTGAAATCATGCGCTTATTTACATATTATTATCTTTTTCTGAACAAATCTGATACTTGCCTTAAAGACAGTGATGTGGAAAATGAGTAATATTAGAAATATAGGAAGAATTGCATGCTTGTGAGAGCAGTTTTGTAGTCGGACTTACCTAAACTAAAAAAAACACAATCACAATTCTGCTGTTTATTCACAGCAACTAACATATGCATTTTGAGAACAGAGCAGGGAGCCAAGAGTCCTGAAGCCTGCCTGCCTCTGTTTGAAGCTCTGCCACTTACTAGTTACCAAGTATGATGATGAATACTTACTTAACTGCTCTATGCCTCTGCTTCCTGGTCTGTAAAATGAAGATGATAATACTACATGCCTGTAGTGTTGCTACAACTGTTAGATGAGTTGGTAAAGTGCTTAGAACAGAGTCTGACTCCTCGAAAATGCTCAATGTCCACTGGCTATTATTATCTGTTATTTCTGAGCCTCTGCCTTCTTTGCTGTAGAATGGCATTGCCCCTTCATCACAGGTGCTATGACAGTCTATCCAAAATATTAAGTGCACTTACTGGTATCTACTACATGCTCAAAACATAGCAGCTATTATTAAATAATGTTATATTTTTAAAAAGAAACATATCTTCTGGGACTGGCTACTGTAATGTCTCCAGGTGAGGAAAAGATATATTCTCCTCCTTTGGGATCCTGCATATCAAGCACAGCCTTTGCAGGTATTTGGAGTACTTGAGGTACTTAGTAATTACTATTTCCATTAATACTCAATGTGGTTAGGGTTTATGTCTGGGTGCTCCTGTGAGTTGGTGAAGGATGAGAAAAACATATGATCTGAGATGTACATTTAGTAGATTGATTGCCTTTTAGGCAAGTAAGCCATTTTCCCACATTGATATGATTGAGGTTGTGAGTCTGAGCCAGCTCATCTGCTTCCAATCTTCATGCACTAGTTTATTTTACCACCCGCTAATTTGCAACATACACTGATATACTTTTATTCAGTGCCCTGGTATTCTTAAACCTTCTTATTGCCGTGCCATTCACTGATTGTCCAGATCTATATCAAAGGAATGATTAAGGATGATAAAACCATATTCATAAAACACTGGGCTTTTTGGCTGATTTACAAAAGATATGGCAATTAAAGAAACGTGAAACTGTGTGATCATGGACTATGTATTTAGCATTTGAAGCTGCAGTTTCCTCATCTATGAATTACACAATAATAATAAATATCTCATAAAGTTGCCATGAGGAGCAAACAATGTACTGCTTGTAAAGTGCTTAGCAAAATGTATGGCATATAGTAGGTCCTCAATAAATATAAACTACAGTTAAAATTATTACTCTTCCATTCTAAAAGTCTACTTTAATATTGCCTGTGTCATAAATTGAGAACGTTGTATTGCTGTCTGCATTTTTTTTATTGGTACAATCTTTTCATACTGTTGTGCCATGCTTCCATTATTATAATAAGCTAAAAATATTTCAATCTCACTTTGTTTTCTGAATATAATATGTATCTGTTGAAAGTCATCGAATGGCACATTTAAGATTTGTACATTTAATTATATAAAAATTTTACTTTATAAAAAGTCAAAAATAAATATGAACTCTAGTTAATGATATGAATGCTGAAGTGTTTAGGGGAAGTGTATTATATCTGCAACTTACTTTAAAATATATTAAAAATAAGATGGTTTTTTGAAGGATAGACACAGAAAAGCAAATATAGTAACATGCTAATTGTAGAGTCCAGATGATAGGTTTATAGGTGTTCACTGTGTAATTCTTCCAACTTTCCTGTCTGTATGATAAATTTTATAGCATAATATTGGAGAAAAAAGGAATCTAATATTTATTTAGTTTTTACTGTATACAAATAAACTCTGCCAGATTCTAGAAGAAATATGAAGAGGTATATGGTACTGCCCTTGTGTGAAAGTTGATTTATGCCAATTGGGTCATTTTAGTTATATCCAACTGTACTAGTTTATTTTCTGTTGCTTATGACAGAATACTTGAAACAAGATAATTTATAAAGAAAAGGAATTTATTTCTTACAGTTATGAAGGCTAAGTCCAAGGTCAAGGGCCTGTATCTGGTGAGGATCTTCTTGCTAGTGGGGACTCTCTATAGAGTTCCAAGGTGGCACAGAGTGTCACATGGGGAGGCCATGGAGCATGTTAACATGCTAGTTCAGGTTCCTCTTCCTCTTCTCATAAAGCCGCCAGTTTCCCTCTCCTGATAAACCATTAATCCATGAACCCATTAGTCCATGAATGGATTAATACATTCGTGAGGGTGGAGCGCTTGTGATCCAATTACCTTTTAAAGTTCCCATCTTTCAATACTGACACATCGGGGATTAAGTTTCAAAATTTGTTTTGGAGGGAATACATACTCAAACCATAGCACCAACTAAATCAGTTGAAGGAGAAGGGGGAGAAAGCACTTGGGGAATATAGCACCAGCTCCAAAAACTGAATTTTCTTCAAGCCCAGCTGCTGAAATGGCCTGCTGTAACCTTCAAACCAGTTTACCTAGTAACTAGTGAGACAACCTGCCATGACTCCATGACTAATTTTACCTACTGCCACCAGTCACCAGTCAGAGGTTGGCAGCCTCCCAAAGCTTCTCTAGTGCCAATGAGCTTTTCAAAACAAAATGTAACATTTTCTAATAAAACCTCCTTCTCTTTGTTCTTAGGACATACTGAAGACCATCCTGCTCTGTGTATATGTTCTGAATTGCAATTCTGTGATTTTCAAACAAAATATTTAATTTAGATATTTATCTCTCTATTTTGTGATGACTATGACACCTGTCTTAAGGAGCTCACAGGCTGGTTAAGGCAGATAAGACTTTTTAAACATTTAGCAAAAACTAAAAGGTAATATACCAAATAAATTATGGAGACTAGGATTTTCAGTCTGTGGCTTACACTTCCTCAGTAGTTGGAGAGCAAGTACCAAAGGTCCGCAAATTCAAAAGGTTTGTCTGTAGGGTGAGGAAATTAACAGGCCACATATATATTTAACTCTTTCACATATGGACATTCTGTTATGTTTATTAAAATACACATTTTTTATCTACAAATTCATAGTAGGTTTTTGTCATACACTTTGGGTTCTGAAATGTTTTGGTGTTAGAGGGCTTCATTCTCAAGAAGGTTAGAAGCCACAGATCTGAACAAAAGTGCTCTCAGAGTACAGAAGAAAGAGCTCTTCAGCTTGCTAAGGTCTGGCCCAGCTTCAAGGAGGAGATGGAATCTGAGCTGAGTATTGGGAAATGGGTAGAATTTGAATAGGTGGAGAAGAGATGGAATGCATTCTAAATGAAGAAACAATACAAACAAAGGTAGGATAGTTTGGGAGACTGTGAGGAGACCAGTTTAGCTGAAGAAGGAATTGATAGTAGATAAGGTTGGAAGGATCAGTTGGAGCCAAACTGTGGAGGACCCTGAATAGTAAGCTAAGGAATTTGGACTTCATCCTGGAGTCGGTAGAGAAGCCACTGAATATTTTGAGCAAGGGGCTGATATGGTGGAAGTGTTTTAGGTGTTAGTCTGGCAGCAGTTGCAAGGATAGATTGGATTGGGGGAGAGATGAGCATTAGTATGGAGGCTCATGTAATCTTCTCAGATTGCATATGTTAGGAAACTGAGCTAGTGTGGAAGAATGAGTTGCAAAACAAAAAGGAACATGGAGTTGTAAAAGACATTACAAAGGAGCAGTCGTGATTTACCATATATTATTTCTTTTACAAAAAATTTAAATTAGTCTAGACCAACCCATAAGTAATTGCACATGCTGCTATTGATATATGCTGTACTTTCCATGAATAGCAGGTTTTGAAATAGACTAATGTTTCTTTTTGGCCATGTATACTCTTAAATTCAAGTTTAGTCTGGATGTGTTTATTTGGTTTTCATAAGATTGTACCAGGTGTACCATTGAAGAGCTAATGTTTTTTCCTGCCCTCCTTTAAGATAAAGAAGATGACCTTAACTTTACTTTTTGGAGAGATAATGATCATATGCTATATAGCCAATCCAAACATAAAGGAATGTCTTGTTTTCTAAATGGGAATTAACTAAAGAAAACACATTGAGTTCATGGATATATGCACTTTTAGGTGAAGCAGAAATAATCAAATGGGTACTTGTAATATTGAGTCAATCATGCATTTAGAGTGAGATGTCAAATATATAAATTTAGCAATGTTGCTTTTTTCCACTTTCGTACTTTATGCAACAATTTTATTCTCTTCACATCTCCCTTGCTGCCCCTTTTTAAATCATTTGACACAGTTTCTAAAAACACATTTCTATTTCTGCCTCATGGTTTGAGAAAGAGACTCATGAAATCTGTGAGTGATACTGTCATTGAATCCAACCCGTAACATAACGTTACATGGTTGTGCTTTTGTGATCCTCTACAGCATAATTGTGTTGCTTTATAAAGGGTCCTTTTAAGGCTTATTTGCAGCAATACCCAACATTTACTTTTGTGGGTCATGTCCCATGAATTATTACAAATTCATGGTAATTTATTTACCTTTCTTTTTACTGATTCGGGCGGGATCCTCTCTAAACATACAAAAATTTCAGTAATTGATAGTTTATGCTAATGTGTCTTCTCCAAATAGTACACTTTTCAAAATAACATAACTGACACATGTCCTGTAAATGAGACACTTTGCAAAGCCTGCATATCAGTAGACTGAGTGATGATTTGGAGGGAATAAACTGTCATCTTGTTTTTAGCATAAACAGTGTTTTGAATTGTCCTGTGCAATGTGTCTAGTAGTATGAAGTCAGTTGTAACCTGTCTTTTAAGTCAGTTTATCTTTATCCATTCCCTCAATAAATATTGAATTTCAACGCAAGCCAAACGTTGGGCTAAGTCCTGTAGAGATACAATCATGTAAATTAAAAAAAAATGTAGCTGAGTTTTTTTGGTCTTAGAGGATCATTTTAGGTCATGAAGCAGTTTATTATATATTGAAATGCATAAGACTTTCCAATATAAAATGAGGTAGAAGAGAACATATATTCTAAAGGAGTCACAAACACAGACATAGTTCAAGGAATAAGAAACCACCCCTGAGTACTAGATCACAGAAGACTTAAGGAAACAGGTGGGATTTTAGTTGAACCTTGAAGAAACTGTGGGATTTAGTCACGTGTAAAATTTGTAGAATATTCAATGTCAGAGGGAAGGGTACTACAAAGCTGTAGACTTGAGGAAGCATTAAACATCTTAGGATGCCAGTTGGTTTAAATGATGTCCAACTTATGGATATATGGTTCTTTATCTATAAATGGGGATAATAGTGCCACACAGGAAAGTTGGGACAACTAGATGAGATTGTGTATTTTTTCAGTACTCTTGTATTCTTGCAAATTACTATTTGTCATGCAAATAAAAAGTGTATGAAAGAAATGAAATGAAAAGTAAAGCAAAGAAAATAAGAAAAATTCTGTGTCAGAGTATGGGGGGACCTTAAATACATGATTAGAGATTGGGAACTTAATTCAGAAGACAGTGAAGAACCTGCTGAAGACCCTACAGCCAGGAGCGACTCACGCACATCTAAATTATGAAAATATAAATATTTGTTTCCAAAGCAGGGAGAGTAGAGGCTGAAAGTCCAATTTGCTAACTTTCATAAGAGAAGAGGCAGAAGGTAATTAGGATAGTGGCTGTGAAATTAGAAAGAAGACACTTGTAAAATATTAGAGTGGTGGAAATTATAGAGTGTGGCCAGGACAGAAATGATTGTGAGAGAAAATGCAGACAAGAAGGAGATGAAATTTTAGAACCACAGAGTAGTCAAAGGAAGAAAACCTGGAGAAAAAGCAATACATGGGGGAGAAGAGAACTATTGCTATGTTATATTGAACAATGATAAAAAGAAGTATCAAGGAATGAGGCTCATTCTATACCATGGAGGAAAGTTAGGATTAAGAAGAGTTTGAACTGGGCAATTGGGAAAGTCTTCTTGGTAAAATAGGTTAAACCCTGCTCAAGGAAAGGAAACTTTCATTGAAATTAATCCATGGAAAACTGGGAAATGTTGCAGGAAGATGAAGGATTTAATGCAGCATCAACATTCTTTAGAAAATAGTTGGTGTGGAAGGGAAATAGTTGGTGTGGAAGGGCCAAAGATGGTGAGGGATGAGGTATGTCTCGGGAGCGTAAGGAACGTGGAAAAAACTCAGTGGAAACAGTTTCAGACAGTTGTCAAGAGGTGGAAAAGGGGGTCTGGCAAGCAACAGGGTGACTCAAAAGAATAAAGACAGAATACAATGAAGTGGACTTGGCCAGCATGTATGGCACCTGTTCTGCTATACTCATCCATCTGGAACAGCAGCAGAACAGTGAACAATGAGAGATTGCCCATCCTGAGATTAAAATTTGGCAAAAAGAGATGCTAGGAGAAATGAGACCACACAGCATCCTAGGATGGGAGCTAGACGTGGCTGGCTCTGGGTTTCAGGCTAGGCAAGGGAGGCTGTGAAGCAGGAGTCGGAGAATAGATAGGGATTTGGAAAGATGGCTTGTTCTGATGAGGGGTAATAGCAACTAAGTGAATGAATGAGGTCAAAGGTGATATTTCAAGGAGGTAATGCAATTCCAGGCATGGGTGCAGCTGAACATTTTAATAACCAATATGGAATGAAGGTAAGTCTTGTTGAAGTAGAAGAGATGAAGGACTCATAAAGAGTGGGAGAGGGATGGTAAACTGAGTTTTTGAAGTCCCTGCATAATATAGTAGGAAACAAAACTAAAAGGAAGATTGAGTTTGTGCCAAGCAAAGACAAGCTGTGCTTACTGTAACAGTTTGAGAAAAGTTGTGAGATGAGCTTAGGTGCTGCTGGGGAGGGCCTGCAGCTCACCAAGGCTGCTGCCTTCCCTGCGCGTTGCAGCGTGAATTATTTGTAACACACAGGCTGGCTCCTAGTCCAGCAGGCAGTACTGTCCTTTGTGGGTGAACTTGCTTTATTAAAACAGCCCACTTATTTTATGGTGAAAAATATAACTAATCAAATGGACGAAATATTTGTTTCTTCTGAATGGTCTGACATCTTCTGCAGATGTAGAAGTCTTCTGTACGACTGGAACCTTCAAGGTATAACCAGAAGTTGCTTGATAAGCATGGAATCATGGTATGATGGGTTAGTGGCATGATCTTGATAGCTAATGTCACCGAGCTCCAATGGTCTGATAGATAGATCCACACTGAAATTTATGACGAAGGAAGATGGTTTTCTCATTTTTATGGGCCAGCCTCCCCTAAAAAATGTCAGAAAAAGATGGCCACATTTTCTCCTGGAATTATTGATCACAATTGCCATGTAAACCATTCTCCTTCTATTAGCCTGTTTCTTCAGAAAATATACACTGCCTTTTAATGATCAAAACATAAGTTTTCTTCATATAATCACAATTTGGTCCTGCCTTCTTGAGTTATTTCCAAGTTACCTTGATTTAATTTTGGCTCTCTTGAAGTGTGGCCTCATGGCTGATCTTGGATACATCCCTTTACTTCGGATTCTTCTAACTTTCTTTTAAAGGGGAAGCTTAACTTTAATGTGAAGTTCATGATACATTTGGACCCAGTTATCTATATCTTAAGAAAGACTTTGATTTGTCGTAAAGAGACACTATAGTGATAGAGTGACTATAAAAGCATGGGCCCTGGACCTAGCACAGTGTGGAATGATTTAGAAGCATTTATCTTTTTTTATTCTCACCTGAGTATTCACCCACACTTACAGATGAGGAAGCCGAGGCATACAGAAGTTGGCTAACTTCCAGATTCATGCTGTTAGATGCAAAGCTAGATTGAAATTCAACTGATAGTTCCAAAGCTGGTGCTTTTAACTGTTCTATATTGTTCCTGGTATTACTCCACAGGAGAAAGGAGGAAGGCATTCAGCCCAACAGAGAATATTGCTACTGCTACTTTTAATGATGATGATGAATATAGTTTTAGCTCCTACTTTATATCAGGTACTTTATGTACATTTTTATGAATTCTTATTCCTGTAATACAGATATAATTTTAAAACATTTGTATATGGAGATAATTAAGATCAAGGAGATTAAATCACTTTTAGAAAGTCTTATAGTAGGTAACTGGATTCTCTGACTTCAAGACCAAAACTCAAAGGCATTGGTGGAGGGAAGATCATTTCATATCTAGAGAGTAGCAAGTTGCCCAGCATTGCTCAGGCCTGGAGTGCATGGCCAAGTGAAGGAGTTGGAGGAACAGGGAGATTTAAGGGATAAAAGGGAATTTTTGAATATTTTTAAAGGATGAATATATTTTTAAGGATCAGAAGGAAGATTGGAAACTTAGAATGGTAGAAAAAGAGACTCGTGTGGGGGCAAAAGAGAACAAAAGTTGCTATTTTCTAATAGACTGGAGTCATATAATGAAGAGTATGGTGGAGATAAACTAATCCTAGTTATTTAAAGGGGAACAGATCATTCATAGTTTTTCCTTTTTAGATGGGTGGCTTAGATGGGATAGTTGTTCTCAGATGTTACAGTACCTTAAACCTCTAAGACCAAGAAAACTCAGTGTATGTTTTTAAATTCAAAGCGTTGGAGAGATGCCGTATTACATCATCTACAGCATATTTATAAATGTGGTGGTGCTAGTGGGAATGGGATGGATAAAATTTTGGTGGCCAGAGATCATTCTCATCTTTTTAACTCTCTGGTGGATGTATGTTTGGCTACAATAAAGCCAGAAGTAGTCTCTGTTTCTTTGGCTTTCATTCAGAAACTATTTTACATTACAATAAATCACCAGTCTTTAGCATCAGGTCCCTGGTGATCAAAGTATTCAATTACAGTACCTGATAAAATCATGAATATCCTGGTGGTTATTTTATGTACATCCTCTTCTCTTCAACAGTGAGCCTTTTAAAAAACTGGGTTCATTGGGAAAAGGGAGTCTTTATTCCTTAGTGTATAGATGGGTATGTTTGAACAATGGTGAAAAGCAGTGTTATTGGGGCCTAAAAGAAAAGTATCCTCTTCCTTTCCTTTCTAACCTTTTTGCCTAGTTTTAATGGATTTCAAGTATAATTGAATGTGCCTCTTGGGAGTGAAGGCTACATTCGATTAAGCTAATCATATGGAGAATAGCTGGTGTCAATTTTAGGGGTACAGAAACAGGAGTGGTTTTGGTGTAGTCAAGCATTCACAAAGTAGTTGCATCTATAGAATCTGTTGAATCATAGCCCTTAGATTTGACAAAGACTTGGAAGTAACCTTGATTGACATCTCACGCAGTGGAACAATTTTTTTCTTCACATCTTTTCCTGACAGTTGGGCATGAAACTTCTATGTGAGAATTTCCAGCAAGTTCACTAGGCTAGGAGCCCTAAGACCGTAGGAGAGCAGGGACTTCGCTTTCCACTCTATCCCCAGTGTGTGGCACTGTGCCCCAGCAGCCTTGTTGTGGAGTAGCTTGTACTATTGGAAAGTCCCACTTATTACTATTTCTTCAAGCTTTAGTCATGGGCCTTGGAGTCAAAAACATCCCAAGTTAAATCTTATTTCTGCCCCTTACTGTGAGTCTTTGGGTGACTTCCTAACCCCTTTGGTTTTAATGTGTGCATGGGAAACAAGAAGACAATACTGACTAGGGAGTTTGTCTATTCTGAGAACTATTTGTAGAGTTGTTTAAAAGGATGAATTATAATGTCTATAAATAACTGACACATAGTAGGCACTTTACAGGACCTGTTTCCATGGCACCTAATTCTAATCTTTTGCTTAGTATGTTGTATTTGATTCTGAGTTCAGAATCTTAGTGGTGATCTGTCTGGCAGAGAGTGAAATAGAACGATTGCTTTATGTGTATGGGGCATTATATTAGGTTTTGTGTGTGTGTGTGTGTGTTTTTAAGGAGGTAAGGTATGATGTGGACAGCTAAGTAAGAAACTTAGAAACTGTGTGCTAGCAATGAAATACTGCCTTTCCTGAAACGATGGCAGTGTAATGGTGATGAAAAGCAAAATCATTAGGTTGTCTGGTGTCATGGAGAGGGAAGGGAAATACAGGCTTATGTCAGAATTTTTAGCATCAACAAAGACTTCTAAACCCAAAACAACTGGCAGAAAAGTGAAAACTTCAGTTACAACTTCAGTTACACCATTGTTTGGTCTACATTAAAACAATCCAGCAGAGTGATTTCCATTAGTCTCACGATTGTTGTTTTCCAAAGCTTGTTTAGAAGCCATCTGAAAAATTATTTTTTTAAAAAGTGACTATCCGATGCATCTATTTATAATGCTTATTTTTAAACTACTCATTATGCATTAGGAGAATATTTGAAGATCCAGGAGTTATGTGAATGTGCCTTTTCCCTGGTGTTTATAACAGATTGGTGATGTTGAGAGGAGGAAAAGCTGCATTTTCTCCATCATCTTTTCCCGCTTCAAAATGTATTTGCTTTATAAGAGAGGCCTCCCCAAATATTCTCTCATGGGAGCCTTTGTTTTAGGAAGCATGTTAATGATTTTTAGGTATCCCTTAAAATATTACTGCATTCTTTCTGAAAATCTGTTACTAAGAAATGAATACCTTCCACAAAGCAGGGTAGGCAAATTCTGATGATGGCACTTCACCAGTAGTTTCTAAGGAAAACAACGATGCTACTTCTTCTTTTAAAAAAATGTAAAACTAGAGAGAACAAAGGCAGATGTGCTGAAGTTGTTGGCTTGCCTCTTTGGTAGGGGAACAATAACACTGTCACCATATCAGGGGAGTGGATTGCTTTAGAGAATCTGTAGCATAAATCTAAAAGTTATCTCACAGCACAAAGGGACTTGACCAAATATCATGTATGTATTTCACAAACTGTCTGCTATCAATACTGTTTTGAAATAGAAAACTTTGTTTCTGCTTCATTTACATTCAGTTATGTTTTTGGTACGAAGCATACATAAAATATTGGTGAATTGGCAGTCAGATATGGCTGGGTGGTAATGATGGTGCATTAAATCAAGCCCTTGGTTTTTTAGCCATGCTGGAGAACCCAGAAGGTGTGTGTGTGTGTGGTGGGGGAGACCTTGCCCTTGAGCATCAGGAAGACCTGCTGGTGTCGACACCCACTTACTTCCTGCTTCCCCACATCTTTCTGTTCTATCCTTTTGACTCTGACCAAATAACAGATTTTTTCCACAACCCCAGGAAATGATTTTATATCACATCATGTAGATTTTGAGAGATAATTTATCAATAAGTAATTCAGTAAATATGTAAAACAATGATGAATTTAATTACTTTTACAGTGCTGCTTTTAAAGGGTAACTTGTGACAATAGATTGTTTCCTAAGGGGAAAGAACTTAATATGTGAATTTTTTTAAAAGGAGTCTATTTATGCTTATGATATATGTTCAGTTAGGGAAAATGTTTTTTGAAATGATTTTCTTGTCATTACTCTGAATGTTATATCTTCTCTTCCATGTCTTTACAAATAACTATTAATTCAATATCGATGTATGTTGTTTATTTTTGTAGTTAAAACAGAGCCAATGAGCAGCAGTGAAACAGCTTCAACGACAGCCGACGGGTCTTTAAACAATTTCTCAGGTTCAGGTAAGGAATAAATATTAGATTTTCACATCAACACCAAGCATTTTTTCTAGTTTATTCATGTAATGTCCCTGTGTATGTATATGTATACATGTATATGTGTATATATGTGGGTATATACGTACTTATGTATATATACATATAAAATAGCTTTGCTCAGAGTCACATATTACCAATTCTGTTTTTATTCATTGTGAAGAAGTGGTTGCTGAAATGTTGCTATCCAATAAATGGGGTATAAAAAGGGTGTTGTTCTTCTCCTTTCTTCTACTAATTATATTTACTGTGCTGGTGACTCCTCCCCCGTTCTCTCTTAGATGTATTATTTTTCCAGGTCTTCAAATTTGGTTAGGCAAAATTTGGTGTTTTACGCTTCTAAGCAGACTCGCCAAGTCATCTTGCTAAGTAACTGTCATATCAACTATAGATCTAAATTAAATAGACTCTGTAAAGCAGCATTAAGTTCTTCAGTTAGTTTTTAATCTCCTTCACATTAATAAAACCTGCCTCCAATAAACAGAATATCCAAGTTTCACAAGTGTCATAATGAAATTACTGACAAGAAAGTGACTGTGATCATAAGGTGGTTGTGAGAATGTGATTATATGTTTGCCAAGTCACCCAGCCCAGTTTGGAATATTTCATTTAAAAATTATTTATATCAGAGGTAATTCTTAGAATTTTGACTTTTTTTTAATATTGCCTGCTATAATTTTAGCACCTCTCTATTGGAAATGCTATAATTCCATAAAGTTGTGATTGATTTACTCAAGCTCTCTGGATCATTTATTTAATACATACCACAACAAAAAGAAATTATAAATACAAAATGAAATGCAAACACACAACTTCGATACTAATGATACCAGGTGAAAGTGATAAAAATTAACAAAGGGTGTAATATCCATTTGTTCTTTCCTAAAACATTTATTAGAATTTGACTTTTGCTTGGCAATGTGGTTGGTGCCATGCTGACTTCATAGGTGTATGAAAATGGTCCTGATCCAGGGCTTAGTGGGATGAACAAATGAACAGACCATCACAGTACAGTTTGATGATGCAGAGGGAAGCCCAGAGAGCCCAAAGAACACCCACGAAGGGACCTAGTGGAGACCAGGTTGGGGTGGGGTGATCAGGGAAGGTGTCTTGGAGTGGATGCTCAGTCTTAAAAAATGAGTAGGAAAGAAGCACTGAGAGAGAGATGCTGGACAAATGGACACTCCATGAAAGGAGACAGCAGCACAGAGGGCGTGGATCTTTGGGGAACTGTTAATGGTTCAGGGTTCCTGGTGTGTGTACAGTATGAGAGCAAGGGCATGTTGCAGAGGGAGGCAGGGGCCAGAGTCTAAAGAGGCTTGTGTGAGCTTCATGGAATTTGTGTTTTCTCCTGTGTGCAATGGGAGGCATCAAAGGAAAGGGGTCGCATGGTCATATTCATAGGACAGAATTATGGCCACCATGGCAGGATGAATTAGGGGCAGGTGAGCTGAAGTGGAGAAATCAGGGAGAGATTTTTTTGTATTAATTTGAGCAAGAAATATTGAAGACCTGAAATAAAGCGCTGGCAATGGGTATGGGAAGGTGATGGATTTGGTGCATTTCATTTACGAAGTAGAATTTATAGTGGGCAGTGACCAATGGGTATAGGGGTAAGTGAGGCAGAGAAAGAAGTTAAGAGCCAGGAAATGCAAGAGGAGCACGGTTGACAAAGGAAGACAGGAACCTCAGTTTTGGGCATGTTGACTGTGAGGCAGCATCTACCTGCAGATGCCAAGTATATTAGGGTTTGGAGCTCAGAGGAGATTTGGCATGGGAAATTTGAAGGTATACAGGGAGTTAAAGCTAGTGGGGTAAACAAAGTTGAAGACAGAACTCACGGAAAGCTAATATATATGACATGGGCAGAGGATCAAATGAAAACAGGTAATTCGGGATAAAGCAAGTTTTGGCCAGGCATGGTGGTTCACACGTGTAATCCTAGCACTTTGGGATGCAGAGGCAGGAGAATCATTTGAGCCCAGGAGTTGGAGGCCAGCCTGGACAACACAGGGAGACCTGTCTCTACAAAAAATAATTTTTAAAAAATTAGCTGGGCGTGGTGGCATGCGCCTGTGGTCCCAGCTACTAAGGAGGCTGAGACTGGAAGATCACTTGAGCCCAGGAGTTCAAGGTTGCAGTGAGCTATGATTGCACCACTGCACTTCAGCCTGGGCAGCAGAGTGAGACTCTGTCTCAAAACAAAAACAAAACAAAAACAAAAAAGCAATAGTGTTGAACTGGAAGCAAACACAGGGAAGAATTTTAAGGAAGCACTGTCAATAATGTGGATCTGTACACAGCTCTTGAGAATTATTTTTAAAACGTGTCTTGAGAAAATGTTAACTATATTAAGAGAAAAAGCAAGTTATGAAAGAGTCATATTTTCAGTATAATCACAGTTTTGCTTTCTTAAAAAGGCATCTGTATGTACATATATGGGCCTGTGTATATGGGTCTAAAAATTAACAGTGATTCTCTCTAGATGGTGGAATATAATTTGAATATTATTCCTTCTGCTTTTGTCTTATTTTCAAAATTTTTACATTATATATATGTGTATATATATATATAAAACATTTATACTTTTAAAAAGTAATACTTTTAAAGTCCAAGTTAAAAATCATGTGCTACAAAGAGATAATCTTTTTGAAAATATCTGTGGAAAATAGTATTGCATCACTATCACTGTTTTTCCTGATTTTGATAACTGTACTGTGGTAAAAGAATTCTTTGTTTTTAAGAAATACACATAGAAATATATATATGTATATATATGTGTGTGTGTGTGTGTGTGTGTGTGTGTGTGTGTGTGTGTATTTATTTATTTATTTAGAGACAGAGTCTCACTCTGTTGCCCAGGCTGGAGTGCTGTAGTGTGATCTCGGCTCACTGCAACCTCTGCCTCCTGGGTTCAAGTGATTCTCCTACTTGAGCCTCTCGAGTAGCTGGGACTACAGGCACGTGCCACCATGCCCAGCTAATTTTTGAAGTTTTAGTAGAGATGGGGTTTCACCATGTTGGCCAGGATGATCTCAATCTCTTGACCTAGTAATCCACTCGCCTCGGCCTCCCAAAGTGCTGGGATTACAGGTGTGAGCCACTGCACCCGGCCAGAAATATTTATAAGTAAAAAGACATCATACACAAAACTCCAACAGAATGTGAGGTACATATGCGTATGCATACACACACACACACACACACACACAAGAAATCAAGGATAAAGCTAATAACATGTTGGAGAATTTGGATGAAGGCTATCTGGGAAGTTTTTGTGCTGTTCTTGCAACTTTTCTGCAAGTTTCAAATTATGTCAAAATTGAAAATTAAAAAATTACAAGCATCAATGGATTAGCCTGTGGCAGTTTCAGTAGATGGATGAACTTTATCCTTGTCCCTGCTGGACCACATGACCAACTTCTGTGTCTCCAGCATAGCTCTTAGCAGATAGTATGTGCTCCTAAAGTTTATTGAATGAATGAATGATTCATGAATAATGTGGGGGAGTGAAGATGAGGAAAAGAAAAATGTCTTTCAAGTACATAGTGCTAAAAAGAAGGGAAGGAAAGGAAATTCGTTAGAGAGAGGGATGGCATTTAGGAGGTCAGGGTGGTTTCATACAGCTGACACAAACTCAACAGAGGCAGAGGTTAGAGGTATGGGTAAGTAGGGGGATAATTGATAGAGGAAAGCCCCTGATGGGACAGCAATAGCACAAATCCAAAACAGAAGCGGATCAGGCTAGAAAAGGAATAACTTTTCCACTGAAACATTGGGGAAGATGCAATATGAAGTGGTGCAGATGAATTTGAAGTGGATGAGGTGGCAGTATGTTGAGGGAGTTCCTATCCGATTCTTCAGTTCAGACCCTCCAAAGGCTCCCATTCGGCTCTACGGGTAAAAGCCAAATCCTTAAAAAGCCCACAAGCCCTATCATCATCTGCCTCAGAGACTGTCTGACCTTGTTGCCTGCCCGCCTTGCTTACTGTTCTTCCTCCCATGTGGTAGACATGCTCCCCACACAGTGTGTTTTTTGCTGGCAGTCCTTTCCCTGTACACCTGCCTTACTCTCCCTAACTTCGTCTGTGTTCAAATCTCACCTCATCGAGGCCCACCCTGACCACTTGACTCGGTGCAGCTCTGCTGTTCTACTTCTGTTCTACCGGATCAGGTTACTCCCCACTCTTTCCTGCCAATAATTATGAGCCTTTTGCAAATGCTGTCATTTTCTTGTGTATTATGTTTAGTTTTGGACTCTCACCCCACCAAAACATAAGCTTGTGTTGGCAGGGATTCTGTCTTGTTTGGTTCACTTCTATATCCCTGACACCTACAACAGTACCTGCCACATATTAGGCACTCACATATTTGCCTAATATGTGCCACATATTTGAATTAAAGAAAACATGAATGAACGAATGATGGCTTCTACTTTTTCCTCCGAAGTGACTCAAAATAAGAGTAGTGATAGGCATGTGAGCTTGAAGAGTTGGAGAAGACTGAAATTGATGTAGTGGATGCTGGGGAAGTCTGAGGCTGCCTAGAAACAGAGAATAGGATGGACAGTAGAGCTGAAGGTTGAACAAGGCTGGAGCTAATGAAGATGGGCCTGTATGGTAGAGTGATTTTTCTCTACAAGGGCTTAGCAGACCATGTGAAAAGATGCTGGGCTTGATCCAGGGTCAAGGGTTTGCCAGATAGAGCATGAGAGAATATGAAATTAAGAAAATTGAGAGTATCAGTAAAGGAATGGTTTAAAATAATTTTTCATGTATTCAAGACGGGTAGAAAGAAGAAGGTAGGGGCTAATACCGTGAGAAAAGATAGGGATGTCAGGGGTTCTTCATCTCTTGATGAGGTTGGAGAACACATGAAATGAGAACAAAGGAATGAAAATTCTAGACAGAAATGATATTCCTTACTTAAACTCAGTGAGGCCTTCACCACATGCCTCTGTAGTTAGTTCCGCACCCTTCATCACTACTTATGGGATTAATCCTCGGTCTCTGTCTTCCTGCTAAACTGTAGCCCTATGAGAACAGAGATTCTGTTTGTATTATTCAGTTGCAGTCCTGATGGTCTTCATGGCATCAAGCATACAGGAGATGCTCAGTAAATGTTTGCTAAGGAAATTAATGAATTGATCAATGTGATTGTGGCTTGAGACCATGGAGTGGGGAAAAGGGGCCAGGATGTGGTCTTGAGCTTGATGACTGAAGTGGAAGGCCAGGGTTGAGGCCTAGACAGACTGAGAAAAGCAGTGGATGTATAACCCAGGGTGATGTTGGGGAGACATCACCAAATCCTAAAGTTTTTGATAAATGTAGGCAGTGTCCAGGATGTGGGTCATTCATGGAAGTGTTGAAGATCTGTCATCAACCCCAGAGAAAGAAAGATTTTTATGGGAGAGTAGAAAACCAATGGTTTGGAAGAAGCAACAATGAAAATATGTTTTCAGGTCTTTGTGACATCTGGAATCTGAAAGAGCAAGCAGCCTCAACTTGAAAAAGATACACAGGAGAAGCGAGGGCCTTGGAGAAGGGCTTAGCTGAAGGTGAAGGGGTAGGTGGTGGAGAGGCTGAAGCTGTAAAGGATCTTGTTTTCCATAGTTTGATTCTCCATGTTGAATACAGCGGAAAGAATCAGGAGAGCTGAGGGGGCTGGGTGAAGGCATAGGAAGCACAGAGCACCCCGGAATCGGTATTCTCTTGTTTTACATTTTCTTTTCTCTCTCTTTTATAAGTGATGAAAGAGACAAAAATCAACATACTGGAATGGCTATGAACAGGGCTTACGGTTTGTAAAAGAAAGAAGTTTCTAAGCCCTTAACTCCAAGCTGTCCTTTAGCTCTGTGGCCACCACTCCTACTTTCTTCTCCACAATGGCTTAAAAATTCACATGAACTTGGCTGGGTGCAGTGGCTCACACGTGTAATCCCAGTACTTTGGGAGGCCAAGGTAGAGAGATCACCAGGACAGGAGGTCAAGACCATCCTGGCTAACATGGTGAAACCCTGTCTCTACTAAAAATACAAAAAATTAGCCGGGCATGGTGGCGGGCACCTGTAATCCCAGCTATTCAGGAGGCTGAGGCAGGAGAATCGCTTGAACCCAGGAGGCGGAGGTTGCAGTGAGCTGAGATGCACCATTGCACTCTAGCCAGGGCGACAGGGTGAGACTCTGTCTCAAAAAAAAAAAAAAAAAAAAAGAACTTAAAGATTCCCGCCCTAACTATTATTAGTGTCTTAACAAAATAGACAGTGAGGATAAAGAAGAAATGGAGCCACTCTGATGTTGGTGATTGCTATCTCCACCTGTCTTTCAAGGAGCCCTAGCACCTGCAAGCCTTGAGGACATAGTGACTCACTCTCACTCTTCCAGGGAAGCCCTCAGGGATCTTGGCGTGGGGAGAGTGAAAGAAAGGAAGAAAGGGGAGGCTGGTTTTCCAAGGCATGTGGCTGAGTTGAAAATTGCAGCATTGTTTATCATGGTTTCCAAATATCGTAAAGTGAGGCCCATTTACTCTTTATCAATGAAAAACAATACTTTAATGATTTAAATTTTAAGAACAAGAGGGATTGCAAACAAAGTGTTCTTAATATCTTTACTGCCTCTGCCATTTCTACAAAGCCTAAATTTGTTAAGTTGTTAAGTAAACTGCTAGTTGATGTCTGGTGATATTTGAAAATTGAAAATAGAAGCAGGAATGCTTCTGGAGGAGAAAAAATATTGTGTAACAAATATGGTTTCTCTTTTTAATTGTTCATAAAAGGTATACCCTTCTAGGTCTGATTCGTTCATTCAACAATTATTTATTGAGCACCTGCTATATGCCAAGCAATGTTCTAGGCAGTGGGAATATAGCAGTGAAGTGGTAGACAGGGTCTCTGCCCTCATGGAGCTTTCATTCTTTGGGAGAGACGGATAATACATGGGTAAGTGTTAAGTGCTGGTGTATGTAAATAGACAACTAAAACTGCTAAGAAGAAAACAAAAGCTGATCAAAGAATTTAGTAAAGGAATGAATGGGAGTCTCTTTTAGAGGACAGGGCATCTGAGCAGAGATGTTGGTGAAGGGCAGCAATAAGTTTGGGTTCAATGAAATGTGATAGGATAATGGAGGGCTTGGGGTTGAGGGTCAGGGGGTTTGTGGCATGACTTAATTTATGTTTTTGAGAGGTCACTGTTTGATGCATGGAAGGTGCTTTATGGGGTGAATGGTGACATGGAAACAGGGAGACCAACGTTTTCCTGGCTCAGAAGAAAGATGACTGTGTTAGTTCACATCTTCCTAGAAGAGCCACCAAGGCAGGATTAACTGTGCCAGGATTTTGTTAAGGGAAAGGAGAGAGGGAAGGAAGGGAGGTTAAGTTAGGTGGGAGTGCAGTCTCAGGACATTTCAGCAAGGCCATCAGAGGAGCCCCAGCTCTCCCAGGAACAGGCCTGCCTTAGTATCCCTGGTGCATTGTCACTGGTCGGGTTAAGCCCTTTGAAAGTGTCCCCTCACCCCCGCCCTGCATGGCATGGATGGATTGCAGAGCTTAACAGCTAGGCCCTTGTTCAGCTTCATCCCCTGCAGCAGAAGAATCAGGAGGTGCTTCTTCTGTTTGCCACAACATTGGTGACTGGAACAGAGTGATAAATGAGAAGTGAGAAGTTGTAAGGTTTGGGGTATATTTTGTTGGGAAAACAGACTGGACTTATGATAAAAGGGTAGGTGGGGTTTGAGGGAAAGAGAAGAGTCAAAACTTACTTCTAGGCTTTTGACCTGATTGGCTGAATGGTGTTGACATGAAGGAGCCTGGGGGAGGAATGAGCTGAGGACCTGCCAATTTCGAGAGTTCTTTTGCTCTTCCCAGTGGTCCCAAGATTGTAATTATTATTCATTTTTGATTCTCCTCTCCCTTCCTACAAAAAGATTGGAGGAGATTCTTTCTATGTTGGACAGAGAATGGAATAATTGAAACAGATGAAGAGATATTGGTTGTCCGTATGTTCCCAAGGCTCTGTGGCATATGTAATTTGGAGTGTTCTAAGGGTAAAAGGACCATTTAATTTACCTTGATAGATGATCTGGGGTCATTCCCTTTGTTTTAGATGATTTTGGTCCTGTGAAATTAAAATTAATCTGAATTCCTGGGTTACTGTTTAGAAAGTTTAAAGTGTTTCATGCCATTACAGAAAAGGTACTTCAGGTATAAGATGGTAGATTTTTGACTACAGGCCACACAGAGATTGTGCGAGCCATACAGAGGTTTGGATTTAAAGAAAGCCCAAAAGATATGACTTCTTATATGGCCTTTGACACATTCAGTAATTTTAAGCACACCTAACTAGGTGAGTAGTTATAAGACAGCATTGTGGGTTCTTCACATTTATTTCATAAGGTATACTACTTACTCCAATCTATATTGCCACAGAACTAAGTTAGGTTTATTATGTATGTTTATTAAAAAAACTTAAAATAATTGAACCATTCTTCACGTTATTGTGGTTTGAAACATCTACTTTGCTTATGACCTAATTCTCACATTCTTTTTAAACAAATAGTGTGTGTTGATTCCCTCTACCACATACCAGGCCCTGTCAGGTGCTGAGGAAATAGGATAATAAGAAGACCCTGGCCCCAGAAGCCCATAGTTAGCAGAGGAATGTAACCATCTATACACTACATACGCTAGTTATAATGCAATGTTGGGGGTGCTACATTGCCAAGGATTGCAATGTTCCAAGAAAGTACAGAGAAGGAAGACGTTATCCTAAAGGGAAAATGATGACTTAGTCTCTGTGGTGGAATGTTTGTCAGGCAGAGGAAAGAAGAGCTTTACAAGGAAAATGAGTCTAGTGTGAACAACAACCAAATCAGACATAAAAGTACATGCCATGGATGGGCAGTTCTGAAGTCTGGGAGCCTAGATAACCTACCCAGGAGGGAGTTGAAGCTTGAATCTCTTTGTATTCTGTGCCAAGGAATTTGGAATTTATCCTAGGGATAATGTGCACTGTCGAATGATTGTGAGCTAGAGAATGGATATGAAGAAGTTTCCATTTAAGAAAGAACATGGTGTTGACAGTATTGAGAGTCAGAAGGCACAGGTGGCCATCTCTGAGTGGGACAAAGGGACAGTGGCTCTGTAACTGTTGCAGTAGTCCAGGTGAGACATCATTATTGGGACCTAAACCAGGACAGGGATCCTGAGAGTATGGATGGAGTATGCAGGACAGACCAACAGGCAATTCTGGATTGGGGGTCGGGGAGCCACCTGAGTCATGAAATAGAGGGGAAAACAAGATGGCTGTGAAGTTCTAATTTCCACGCAGGGGGTCGGAAGACAGTATGCTTTGGTGGGAAAAGTTAGGCAGACCTGGGTTCAATTTGCTTAGATACGTTACTTTACTTCTATCAGCCCTTAGTTCCTTATATGTAAAATGGAAACAGAAAATCCAACCTTGAAGTATTTTGTGGGACAGATGGTGATGCAGTCCACTGAGTAGAGTTGAAAACACAGAAGGAAAAGACAAGTGTGGGGTAAAAGTTAGTGGGAATCTGGGAAAATTATCTCAGTCTTCATGACAATCCTATGAGGTGTAGGTAGTATTACTGCCATCATTTTATAGGAGAACATATGGAGACATAGAGGGAATAACTTGACTAAGCCCACATAGAAGAAGTGGGATTTGAATCTGAGCTGAAATTCAATTCTGATTCCAGAACCTAGGCTTAATTCCCACGTTCTGCAGCCTCCTAAGTCTTTCATCATATGTATATACACACATACTGTGCATATCCTCTAAATCAAAGCCTTATGGGACTTCCTGTACTCTGTGTAGTAACCCATAACCCTGATATCTTTTATTCTGTTGTTTGTTAAAAAGAAAGAAAAAAGAAAAAAATTGTTGGGTACAACCTATTGAGTTTATGAACTTTTCATGAGCCATGACCCACAATTCAAAAAACATAGACATAGAGCTAGGAAAGAATAAATGGGGTTTCTGTGGCTTCTGTCAGCAAGTAGCATTGCATTTTTTTGTTGTTTGGTTTTTAACCAATTATTTTGAACTCCAATTGTCCCAGGAAGAGATTACTTCTCCAATAATTCTGCTGGGTAAGTCCATGTTACCCTTGGCCTGTTTTCTGTCTTAGAGGAGCAGAAGAGGTTTTAGTTGCAGATGACCTGGGCAAGTGGTAGTGCTCATAGTCCAAGTGTTCTCTCACTAATCCCTCTCTTCTATAAACTGCAGTCTTTAACTGACCATCCCACAGTTCTTTATGTGTCACCCTTCCCATGTGTATCAGACAGATCTAGTCTTTGCACCTTCGCACGTGCAGCATCTAGCACAGCACCTGGAACAGAGTAGTGGCTCAGTATGTGCCAGATGATGGGGTATACCAGCTGGGCCGGCTTGCCATCTCTTCAGTACAGATGCTGTCTCTGCCAAGCGGCCAGCCAGATGTTTGAAGTCTGGGAGCTTGCAAGAGTGGTACTAATCTAGATCTACTGTTCCTGGACAGGCCTTGTTTGTTTTACAAGGAAAAGATTACTCATAGATTTGAAGACTCTAGTCCAATTCTACCATTGTCATCCCAAACACAAGCTAGAAAATTAAATTTGAGAAACATTAATGTACCAGTGTGACAATGGGAAAACTATATGAAACTTTGAGTACATGGAACCTCCTAAAAGGATTTTAGTGTAGAATAGAATTAATAAATAATAGAGCCTCCGAAGATAGTAATTATTGGTAGAAGAATAAAATAAACATTACATCTTATAATAATTGCCCCCAAGGAATATGCATCTTAGCCCGATAGAGATTAGAGAATTGGAGGAAAAAAATATGTACATGTATACCCATAAACGTAAATATGTGTAGATATATATGTATGTATATATACACACATATATGTAGATTTATATATATGTAGATTCACTGTGTTTACAATGAAAGAAGCTGAAACTGCCATTTTCAGGACTTTGTTAACATAGGTTTTTGCTTCTTCAGTTCAAAATTAGAGCACAAGAACATTTGCTTGGACTTCAGTGCATTATTTAATCAAGTAAACGTGATTAAGAAGTAAAGTTCTGCTTGAATGCTTAAATACCTCTTTAAAAAATAAAGGCAAACCTTTTTTTAGTTGAACATTGAAGTTGATCACATATAACTAAAAGGCAAAGGAAGACCCAGATCAGCACAGGAAAAAACAGGCTTAGCTTGCAACTTGAGAAATTTAAGATAGTTATAGGAACGCATTTTTACTAAAAACCATTGCTAAATCAATGCAGGCAAATGAGGATCTATCCTGTTTCTTCTCACCCGAGAGAAGATTAGACCATGTTTCTTGGTAATACAGCCTCAGGTTTGTGTGTTCTTGCTGAGCACAAACAATAGGCCAGCTGACCTTTCACATTCTCACCCAATCCTGCAATTCAGCTTCATACCTCCCCTTTCAGCACAGCTTTCCAAACAGTAGCCAGGACTCCTTGTACTCTTTAAGTATTGCCACTGTAAAAACTCACAGCATGCCAGCAGGTATTTGCGAAGATTGTGATGACGTTTTCTAAGAGTTCATTTAAAACTAGAGCCCTTAATCAGTTTCTATTCATTCCTCTTTATAGTTTAACTTTCTGTTAGGTGGAACCATATGAAATTTCCATCTCCGCAGGTCACAAAGACCAAATATCTGAAATTTCATATGGCCAACCTATAGTTGAAAATATGTCAGTGCTTTCTATATATTTTGTGTTTTGCTTGGATTATTGTGCATTATTTTGTTTTGTTTTTGTTTTCCAGCAATTGGGAGCAGTAGTTTCAGCCCACGACCAACTCACCAGTTCTCTCCACCACAGATTTACCCTTCCAAGTAAGATGTATTTTCTCTTAATCAATAAATAACTTCTCTGAGTAGACTTTTATTTATTTAAAGTCATGTCTGTGCCCACATGTTCCATCTTAATTTAAATGAAAGTGCATTTCATAGAGATGTAAACATATTGATACAAATTTATTTTGAGCATCATGTAGTGGAGACACTGAAGTATTTCAGTGCTTTGTCAATTCTGTGTGAAAGTTTTACTTTAAGATACAATATTTAGCTGGAATTTGTGATGTGGTTGTTAATCGGTTTGCATGTTTCCATCTAATGCATGGGCTTTCTATTTTCTGTCATTTCTGACAAATAGCAGACCATACCCACATATTCTCCCTACCCCTTCCTCACAAACTATGGCTGCATATGGGCAAACACAGTTTACCACAGGAATGCAACAAGCTACAGCCTATGCCACGTACCCACAGCCAGGACAGCCGTACGGCATTTCCTCATATGGTGAGTAACCTGCAACTGTAGTGGTGGCGTTATCGCATGGGCATGCGTGTATTAACATGTTTGAGTGGTACTTAAAGACCCAATCTTTGGCCAATTTAGAACGTGTTGTCACCTTCTGTGTCTAAATTCTTAGTATGATTGTTTCTAAAGAGCATTATAAGAACTGGTAGCTCCTTATCTTGAGGTCAGAGGTAGCGAAAAGATTATGTGGTTCGTATGCCTTCTTGCTCTCATTTTTCTCGATTTACATCTCAACCCTGAATTTGCCATTTGAGCACTGGGCTCTGGAATCCAAAATATTTTTGTGCATATTTGTGATAAAACGTCTGTGAATGAAGTCTTTTGGGGTACAGATTCATTTCCTATTTATCAGATGCCTAGCTGTGATTAGGAACGTACAAGTAGAATTCAACAAACTCTTGCTTTAAACTCGAGGGTGGTAATAGTCTCAAATTTCAGCATTATCAACCATTAGGAAAAGTGATCTATATATCACTGCCTGGAGTGTACTTTGAAGAGGCAAATCGGGAAACATTTAAGGCTCACATGGACATTTGTTCCTTCCCACCTGGAGATTATCTTTATCTTGGTGTAATTTAACTCACTTTTTATGGGTCAATACCTGTAAATTAAAAATAAATCCAACAAAATCCCAAAGCTTAATTAAAAAAATTTCAGAATTTCAAAATACCTTTTCTTCCATTAAATTGTCATTGCAATTCTAAGTAGATTGAACTGAATAGAAACACTTGAATTATTGGCATTTTATTAAGAAAAGAATAAAAACTAGTGATCAAGGAATAGTACATGGACACTTGGAGGAAAGGATTGATAGAATAAGTAATTCTGTGCAACAAGTACAGAATTTTTTGTGACCAGTATTCTAATTGTGCTTCTGCTTGATACTGTTTTGTAGTATTCTTTTCTGTGGTATATAAAAAGAATTAATGCTCTTCTTTAAGTATTTCATTAATAATTAGAAGGTAAATTACTTTATTCCTTTTAATTCTATCTCAAACAAAATCAACTGTATATGAATTTCTTATAAAATATATACAAATAATCTAAATTATGTACGACTTCAGCATTTATAGTTTTATTTTAAAACCATCAGAACCAATGTTTTCTAGATAGGTATTTTTAAAGTAGACTTTAGAGACAGCCCTAAAATGGAATTTTTAAAACTATCTCTCTTTTCCATAACTTTTATTCACAGTTTCTCATAATAATATTAGCTATGGATTAAATTTAGCTGGAATTTACTTTCAAACTATTCTTGGACTACAAGAAGAAAAAGGATCAGCTCCCATTCTATAATAGAAGTCAAGGCAGTCTTTGATTTACGTTCTCAAAATTTATTTGTGAGATGGTTATTTGAAGTATAAATGTATTTTCCAGTCCACACAGTTCTAAAGTACTGTCAGCCTACCAGTGCTGCCATTGGAAGGTGCCATTCCCATCACTGCCCTGGCTACCAGCCACACATCTTTCTTCTTCCTTCTCCTCCCCATTCAGTCTTGGTGGGACCTGGACATCTCCCTTTGCCAATTTCTGAGCTCTGGGTTAGGGGTTCCTCCAGTTCTAAACCATTAATGAATGTCCTTGTCTGAAATAGCTGTTCAAAGAGTGTGAGATGAGCAAAAGATCTGGGAATAGAATAAGAACTAGCAGAGTGAGGATGGGGATTTTAATGGGATAGATGGGGATAAGGGAGGGGGAGAGAGCGAGGCTCAGTGTGAAGGGCTTTGATTCCAGAGTTTTCCATGGTTATAAATTCCCAGGGAATAATTTTCAGTTCTTAGCATTTTCCTAATAACCCCCATCTTCTCTTTTGGGAACTTGAGTAGAAGGAGATGCCCTGCGTACTTCTGATCCAAAAGTTCTATTTTGGGGGCCAGTGCATTGAAAAATATGGCATCCTTCTCCCCTTTGCTCATTCATGAAGGAAGAGCACATAGCTTGGGTTTTAACTGCTGATAGTCAAGGCTCAGATGGTCTTACAAAACTTTCTCCAAGGACTTGTACTCTTGACTTTTTATTTAGACCCTGTAAGAAAAGGTTGGTGTATCTTTTTATCATGAGAATGATAGATCAGTGGGGAAACACAAATTCATTCTGTTTTTTTGCTGGATCTGCTTGGAGTCTGCCAGTGAAATGAGTTTGCCACCTTGTAGGTAGAAGTCACAGAGATAGGTGTGGCTATGGGTGCTTTCTACCTCTTTCTGCCTTTCCTTACATGTTCTTATCACAAAGATCCCCATCTGGAACCAATAGGCTAGAAACAGAATAAAAATACATGACTTAGGCCAGGCGCAGTGGCTCACACCTGTAATCCCAGCACTTTGGGAGGCTGAGGCGGGCGGATCATGAGGTCAGGAGATCTAGACCATCCTGGCTAACACGGTGAAACGCCGTCTCTACTAAAAATACAAAAAATTAGCCAGGCGTGGTGGCGGGTGCCTGTAGTCCCAGCTACTTGGGAGGCTGAGGCAGGAGAATGGCATGAACCTGGGAGGTGGAGCTTGCAGTGAGCTGAGATTGCGCCACTGCACTCGAGCCTGGGTGACAGAGCGAGACTCCGTCTCAAAAAAAAAAAAAATACATGAATTATTGGTATTTTATTGGTATAGGTGAAGGCTGGAAGCAGATCAGTATAGTCTCAAATGCAGCAAGAGGTGGAAAATCCCTAGGGGTGACAACATGGAAAGAAAGGGATTTTCTAAAGCCATCATGCCACCTGTCTGGGGCAGGTGTATTTCCAGGGACCATTTCTATGTGTGGGTTATTCATTGGTTTGGGATCACCTTTACAGGGAAAATCACATTTTTAAAATGTTAAGGTTGTGTTAAGACTTAAATGTTAAGGTCATTATGAAGTTATTTAGAGATACTGCAGGAATTAAAGTAGGCACTCTCAGCCAAGAGTCAGATTCTCCCACTGCCTTAAAACAATTACCTAGCTGTACTCTGCTGATGAGATTCCCCTAAAATGGAAATAAACAGTAAGACTACTGTGTATTCTAGATCCTAAAGATATCATTTATCTTAAGTACGAAGCAAAATTATTAAAAAATGTGAATTCCCTCGGCAGAAATTTTTCTTCCCTCCCTCTGTGAGAATGAAGGAGAGTTGTTAACATGTATGACTGTCTTTAATTGTAATTAATTAAAGACAGAGCTGAGCCCCATACCTCAGTGCTGCCAAATCCAAGTCCCAAAATTACGATGTTAGCCTGGTGTTTGGGGAAGTATTTGGGGGCCACAGATACATCATTTTTATATTATCATATGATAAAAACAAAGGTACTTTAGACTACATCGAAAACAATTATAGTCAAATATTTCACACTAACAGGGACAAAAGGAAACTGCTGGTCAACCTCACTTGTTTATAAATCACTGCTGTTTTATAAGATTCAGCTCATTAGTGTTCTGCTTCCTTTGTGCTTATTTTCTGATAGGACCTAGATATTCAGGAAAAGCCTTTCCACCATGTTGTTTAGTTCTGTGCCCAGTATTGCTTCTTTGGACTTCAAAATGAGTTGGTACTGAAATCAGCTTTGTAGTAGAAAGAGTAAAGGAGGGAAAAATACTGTGATGGTATAGGATCTAATTAATATTTTTAATATAAAAAAGGATTTTATTTTTAACACTAGTCAATATAGCAACTTTGGGAACATTTAGCTAAAATTTAATTATGGCTATTTCTTTACTGTGAAGGAGATGATCTTCAACTCTTACATAATTAAAACAACAAAATTAAGTATGAAAATATATCACTGGAGTTACATTTTATAGAAGGGATATGTCTTGAAGTGCAATAAAACAAGAGAGAATAATGTGAATAGACATTCAAATCTGTAATCCTGGATTTAAAAAACTGAAGTTGTACTTTATGGTATTTCACTGAATGCATGTATACCCTTTATTTTTGAGATAAGATTGGGGAAGCATTTGTAGTTAAACGGTTGTGGAAGTGTATGTTTTTGTATATTTACCAGCTTTTGAAAATGGACAGATAGATAAGCTATCACTAACTGATTTAGGTGCATTGTGGGCAGGCATCAAGACTGAAGGTGGATTGTCACAGTCTCAGTCACCTGGACAGACAGGATTTCTCAGCTATGGCACAAGCTTCAGTACCCCTCAACCTGGACAGGCACCATACAGCTACCAGATGCAAGGTCTGTATATACACATTGCTATTTTCCTTAACCCTGTAGGTTGATAGTTAACTTCTAAAGTAGAACCTGATGTTCCATGTAAATAGTAAATGATGATGGCAACTGGATTGGGCTTAGAGGCAGGACACCTGCTTCTAGTTTGATTCATCACTTACCTATTTTCTAGGCCTAAATTTCCATATTTATAACATCAGGGGGTTAGACTGGATGATCTATAACATTCTTTCCAAAAAGCACTAAGATTTTTTGTGAAGTTGACATTTTTGCCTTTGTGTCTTCTGTCAGTTATAAAAGAAATGAAAAAGTCAAAAGTCAGCCACGTAGGAGGTTGTGATATGGCATGTACTAAAAACTTACGCACTTGGTATTACCATCCAACTTTTCCAAAAGGGCTGTATTCTTTATTTTCATTATGAAGTGAAGCTTGGGGAGTGACAGTCATAGCTGTAGAAATAAAGTATGTGATAAGTGTTGAATAATGATCTCCCAAAGAACAGCTTGATCAGATTTACAGACACCCAGTGAATCTTTAAGAAAATGCTTGTAAGAATCAGTCCCTGGGTTCTGTTTTTGAAAATATAGACAAAACATAATGTAAGTACAAGTCAAATGGAATGACAGCTGTCATTGTCAAAGCTGGTCTCAAGAATACATAGACATTACTTAAAGTTAGCACATTGTTATCTTGCAAATAGATCTTTAAAGTGCTTGAGAATAGTTCTCACATAATTTAAACATTTTCCTAATATCTTGTCTTTACTACAGTTCAGTTCAACGAATCATATTTGGCCTCCTAATAGTGCCAATCCATAGTTGAATTAAATCCCTGATGATCTCTTTTTGATTGAAGGGGTTCTTTTTATAGTTGTTATTGTTTTTGTATATTTTAGCTTATTCTTCATTACATTAATAATATTTGTTTATCACAGACAAATTAGAAAATACAGAGAAGCAAAAATATAAGTCTCATACATTTATTATTATCATTATGATATATGTTTGTCTAGATATACAGCATGGGCTCATTATTTAATACAGTATTGCAGCCTGCTGTTTTTAGTAACAAGTACATTTTAATCATCTTTTCACATCAATAAGTTCTGTTCTATGGTATCCTTTTGATGGCTACATGGAATTAGCTAAATAGGTATATCTTACTTGACTAATTCCCTAAATAGATATATCTTATTTACCTAGTTCCCTACTATTTGACATTTAGAGCAATGCTATGCATATCTTATCTACACACCTTTAATTATTTCCTTTGAATAAGTTTAAGTATAGAATTTCTAAGTAAATTGTTTTATGCTCCTTTAAGGATTTCCTATATATTTACACAAGGAAGGGCTGTGTGTTAAAGTATACACATTTGATACCTTTCTTTGAAAAAAGTGTCATTTTGGTAGGTACAAGATTTTGTTTTTACACACATTTAGAAAAAACATAAAACGTTTTTTCTTCTCTTCAGTGGTTGTCATCTTTATCTTATTATTTTTCACATTAAAGATCTTAGCCTTTTTAAATGTCTTATTAATATGTTTCCTTAAGAATGATTTTTTTTTATTTATCATTTTTAAGAGTCTATTTTCCTGTATGGCAAACTACAATTTTAGTGGACAAGATCATTAACCTTTTCATATTTGATTTTGCATTTGATTCAAAAGGCCTGAACTGTAAAGTTTTGACATATTCAGTGATTATAAAATAAAAACTATTTTATAACAGATAGCATTTATTGGTAGAAGGATATTATTTATGTGCCTCATTCCAAAACTTTTATGCAGCCTTGGAAAAGAACTGTTCTGCACATGCTGAATATCAATTGAGTAAAGGAATATAAAGAACAAAAAGTGATGGAAAGACTTTATTAATGAATTTAACAGTCCTAGGCTCTAGTAATAAAATGGATCATAAGGCAGACAAGGTCTGTTTGCTCATAGAGCTTTCATTCTTGCCAAAGAGAGAGACAGTAGACAAGCAACCAACTAAATTATGCAATTGCAGATTCCTCCGGGAGACATCAGGAAAATAAAGAGTGCTGGAGGGGTCCCAGGGTCTAGCAGGGTGCCCGTGGTATCCAGGTCTCCTTGAGGAGAAGTGGATCCTAAAAGTGGGAAAGAGGCAAGTGAAGTGCCCTGCCCAGAGCAGAGCTACAGAATTGTATGGTTCTGGGCCTGCGCCCATCCACAGCCTTGCCATTACCCGTCCACCAAAAGCTAAAGCTAAGTACAGAAACTGAGAGTTAGCATCTAGAAACTTTCATAGTCAGTCAATAATAAATTTTATGTTTATTGAATCAAATAATAATTTTTTAAAATGAGACTTATACTGTCTCTTTTTTTAGAAAATTTTTTTTCTTTTAGAAGTACATTACTTTGTATTTTGCTCAGTTGTCAGTCTGTGAAGGATTGGAGGAAAAAACCAATCCTGGACCTCAGATAGTTTGAGAAATATTGTGCTTGAGAGTTACTTTCATCTTGCTCTTCTCCCAGATCAAAACTTATGCAGCAGGAACAATTCAGAAAAAGACAAACCAGCCATTACAGTATAGTGCATAAAAAAGGGGAAATGAATGAGTAGAAAAGGAAATGAATTTGGAAGAAAATAAAATTATCATTTAAAAGAAATAAGGACATGTATAGCACCAAATTAGGCACTGCTTTTCTAGCCATAGATTTATTATCATCTGGGCTTACTGGATATTGCATTAAAACTTTTTGTGTGTTTTTATTCATCCCTTAGTTGAATGGCCTTTCTGTGGGACATTAGGACCCATTTCCCATGACTGAGGCATTATTTCACATGACTATCTTTATAATGATAATTTACTCAGTTTTAGACTATTGGATATACAGGTTGAGTATTCCTAATCCAAAAATCTGAAATCCAAAATGATTCAAAATTTAAAACTTTTTGAGCACTCACGTGATTCTCAAAGAAAATGCTTATAGGAGCATTCTGGATTTCAGATTTTTGGGTTAGGAATGCTCAACCAGTATATAATGCAAATATTCCAAAATTTGAAAAAAATTCAAAATCCAAAACATTTCTGGTCCCAAGCATTTCAGATAAGGGATATTCAACCTGTAATATGACTTCCACATATTAAGCCAGATGATCATATACTATTAATTTGAAAATTAACTTGCCAAAATGATGATGGATAATGCTATATAATTTGCTACAGAATGTATATGGCCAGATTTGGGTACTTAATTGTGATTAATACGTAGTTCTTAAATATTAAATGCAGTATGTATACTGCTTCTCATTATTCAATGATTTTGTGCACCTAGTTGCGGGAGTCTGTTGACCTTTGAGTGTCTTTTTAATACATGTTTTTTAATATAGCAATTTCTACAATGTCTAAAATTATTTTCAAAATTCCCTCAGTTCTTTTAATCCTTAATGAATAACAGTGATTATTTGCTTTTATCAATTTCATCTTATAGCTATTAAAATGTATTTGAATCCTGGATGAGAATATATTTTGGCAATATGGGGGATATTTTTGCCTAGCTTTATTTCCGGGAAATCTTTTCAACTTTAAAAATATAAGGTATGATGACTAGTTATTCAGAGATTTACCTGTTCAAATTTAATATCAGAATTTTACAATGATAGAAGAACTATTCTAGTAGCCCAGGGGAAATATTCTAGTAGCCCCAAAAACTGAAGTGTGACATGTATGCATCCTCTAAGTGTTTTGCTGATTAATTTAAAGAAAACTTATGATGATCAGCTCTTTGGTTCTATCAGACTTAGAAAGACTGGAGTAAAGGTACAGTGAAATCTGGCTTCCTGGTTAGCAGTATGGGTTCTGGAGTAAGATTGGCTGTCAGCAGTTCTACCTTTGCTTTCTGTGGGCCTTCAGCATGCAATGACTCCTTCACATGTGTTTCCTTATCTGGAATATGGGCATGAGATCTACTCCCACAATACTGTTGTGAGATATCATTGAGATTGTCTGTAAATCACTCTGACCAACCTGTGGTACATAGTAAGAACTCAAATGATTGTTGTCAATTTTACTGCTCTCATTGCAGTGGTGATGTGATTACTATTATTTTCATTATTATCATTATGGTCCAGCTTTCTGGAATAGTTCCAGATTAGGTAGCATTACCTAAATGCTCCTTCTCTTCCCCCCACAACACACAAAGTGTAATTAAAATTTTAATATGTGTAATAATATATATAACAAAATATATTTTAGACATGAAAGAGAACTTTAAGAAACCAATAACCAAATAAGCATAGCAAAAAAGGAGCCAGATGTAATTAATATGCTGGCATGGAAGGAAACTTACTATCAACAAAGGTCAAGCTTTTTGTACATGATACCGAAAAAGCGGGGGAGAAACAACATGAAGAAAAAAATCAGGAGAGAGGAAAAGCTGTATGGCAGCAGTGGTGAATGGGGTGTTGGAAAATGAGAGTGGGGAAGCAAGGAAGAGCCGCTGGCAAAAAATAAACTCAGCTTTGCAGTGGTGGTGGGAGAGAGACAGTCATCAACCAAGTCCTTGTTGGTCATGGGCCCTGCAGTCACATCTCTGAGTGCTAAGAATGGGTGGAGAAAGAGGTCTCCACCAGTCATTGAAGCATCAAATTGTTTAGTTCAGAAAATTAGGGAAGAAGATGGGAATGTGATAAGCTGTGCTATGTAGAGATGGAAAACTCTAGTGCCCATACAACAAAATAAAATAACAGTTGACATTTATTGTTTACTTTTTATATGCCAAGGACTAACCTAGTTATTTCCCTTGTGACATCTTATTTAATCTTTACATAACTCTGAACAGTAACTTTGAAAAGATAAGAACCTATGGCTCACGCCTGTAATCCCAGCACTTTGGGAGGCCGAGGTGGGCAGATCACCCAAGGTCAGGAGTTTGAGACCAGCCTGGCCAACATGGCAAAACCCCGTCTCTATTAAAAATACAAAAATTAGCCAGGTGTAATGTCACGTGCCTGTAATCCCAGCTACTTGGGAGGCTGAGGTAGGAGAATCTTGGGACCGTGAGGTTCAGTGAGACAAGATCGTGCCACTGCACTCCCGCCTGGGCAATGGAGTGAGACTGTGTTTTCAAAAAACTAACTAAATAATAAATAAATAATAAGAACCTGAAAATGCTAAAGAATGCATAAAATTAGTAATTTAGTTTGTATGATATCAACAGTTAAGAATGGCTACTCAAAACGGAGAATGGCTTAGAACTGTCAGACCTCGTTGTTGTACATACACCTAAATTACAGAGCTCACAGGAGTGGCTTTTAAAGAAAACTACAAAAAGCCAAAATGTTGTTGCTTGGTCTTTAAATTTTTCTGAAGGGCAGGCTTGATCGTTAGAACTAAACCATTGCATTACATACTTAGTTATATAACTAGTCAAACACCAATTCATGAAGCTCTAAAAAAAACTTCTTAGAAAACTCATTTCTGAGCACTGTCAGTGCTTTGACACTTGCACAGCCTTTTAAGAGCAGATTTGGCAATTTACGGCCATTTTGCCACTGTCAAACCTTGTGAACTGGGCCAGCCTTACTTGGTGCCCTCATTTGCTCCAAGTGATCCTTCTGGAATCACCCTTTCAGCTCCAACTTTCAACACTTCTGTCCTGCCAAGCAGGCTTCTGTGAATCTGACACATGCCATTTTAAACTAAACAAGGATCAGATTTTCGTCGTGCATGCTCTAATACTAAAATTCCATGAAATAAAACCTCAGTGATTGGGAAATCTGATTGTTTTCACCTTTGCTGTAAGATCACTGGAAAATTCTATTCATGCTTTAATTTTTCTTTTGTGCACCACTAAAAGATTAGAAACTTAAGTTCAGCTGAGAAAGACAAAGTGTTCTTCTTCATAAACAACTGTAGAGTTCAACCTGAGGAGGTGAAATCTTTGCTTATTCATTTTTGACATTTTCCTGTTCCGCAGTGTTAGCTTTGGTTTTTCTGGAAGAAGTTTTGGAATGGTCTGAGGGGGTTTTTCTTCACACACCATTGACAAAGCTGATGCAGATGAGTTAGCTGAATGGGTGGGTGTGGATGGACAGAGTGTGCCTGGAGACCCTTGGGTCAGTTCTGCAAACAATATGTTTTTACTGCTGCTTACCAATCAAAGGGCACTGGCCACAATAGTGAAACGGGGTGTTGTGTGTGAGTTTGTGCGTGTGTGCACGCATGCATGAAAGGTAAGAAAACTGCTTAGCAGAAGCAGCTTCGGCCTCTGATTGCTTTCACAGAATATCTCCCCAGTGTGTCATAAATAACCTTTATTCTCCTTTTATGTAAAAGAAACAACTAACTTGAAATCAAACCTTTAAAAATGCAAGGTCTGTACCTATCACTGGTGTCGCTATCCATTTAACTCCACATATAATATAGATTTATGGTTCCATCTAATACAGAAAACAATGAGCTATCTTTATAATGGTGGTGCCCAATCATATGAGGAAAATAAAATTTTGTTTAGCAATTTGGCTGAGGTAAGGCAGTCTGTAGTTCACGTGCAAACAATTTTCACACACCTACAAAACAAAACCATTAAAATTAAGTTGTTATTTAACTGGTTAAGCCTCAGCTCTGTGGAAAACCCAGCTTTCCATAATAGCTTAGTTCTAGTGATTCTAGACTATTAAAGGTAATGAACATCTTTAGTCATATTTTAATCTCCAGTATCTAGTATTATGTCTAAAATATACAAATGTTTGTTAGAAGTGGAGAGGTCTATGTCACAATGAATGTTAGAAATTAAGGTTCATAAAAAACTCTGATTTTCTTCATTTGGGGAAATGAATTTGGAATGTAGCATAATAAAAATTCAGTTAATTCACCATTTAGAAGAGCAAAGACAAAGTTATGGAATCAACCTAAATGCCCATCAATGGTAAACTGGATAAAGAAAATGTGGTACATATACACCATGGAATATTATGCAGCTATACAAAAAGAATGAGATCATGTCCTTTGCAGGAACATGGATGGAGCTGGAGGCCATTATCCTTAGCAAACTAACACAAGAACAGAAAACCAGCTACCATATGTTCTCACCTATAAGTGGGAGCTAAATAATGAGAACATATGGACATGTAGAGGGGAACAACACACACTGGGACCTGTCAGAGAACGAAGGGTGGGAAGACAGAGAGGATCAGGAAAAATAACTAATGTGTACTAGGCTTAATACCTGGGTGATGAAATAATCTGTACACCAAACCTCCATGACACAAGTTTACATAACAAACCTGCACATGTACCTCTGAACTTAAAAGTTAAAAATATATATAAAACATAAATAAGACATTTCAGCTAATTTATTGTCATCGTATGTTTAATGCCATCTTTCCTTGTGTTAATACTCGTAGATAGAGCTGGTTGGAGACATCACAGAATCATCACGATGGTGGTATAGAATGCCTTTCTGAGTGTTTTATCGTCCCAGAATATCAATAATGGTATAGGACATTCCCATCATCCCACACCAGGGAAGGTGTCAGGATCTGCCATGATAGATCGAAGGGGCTGCACAGATGTACATGTACTAAACTCAGAGGGCCCTGGAAACCCTGCTTTGTTTATTTTCCTTTAGGTTTTATTGCTCTCACTTAGAGAAGAAAATAACACAAATTCTCACTCCCTCTTTGTGTATAATGTTGTTTGTTCTGCTAAAGAGATTGGGGTTCAAACTAGTAAGGAAAGACAATAAATCAGGGCAGAGGTTTGTTAAAGGGTACGTGGAAGAGGCACAGCTCTGCGGCCATCACACCTCATGCATCCCTGCCTCATTATGAAGTGGGAATGATCCAGTAACATCACCCTTGTTTCCTTTGATCTGCCTCTCTGTAGCTTTTCAAATGTACGCCTGAACCATTTAAGTTTATTAGTCATTTATAACCTAAAAATTGCTTAACTAAATATGCTGTTATGCTTTAAAATTTTTTTATTATCTATAGAAAAGGTATTTTTACTTTAAAAGATAGTGGTTTTAGGAAAATATACATTAAGCTTAAAAAAGTAATCTGTGATAAAGCATTTGAGATTTGTACTTTCTGACGTAAAATGAAATTGAAGAATAGCTATTGCAGCTTGCACTGATGTGCAGAATTGCCCCTTAATTGCTTTGCCACTCTTCTCATATTTATTTTTTAGTTCTTGGCATTTTATGTTCTAGATTTTTTTTTTTTTTGCTTAAATTGATTGTATAAGTAATATTTTGTTTCACTTCTTTTGGCATCTTGTATATTTCAGGTGTTAAAAACTGGATAAAAATTTCTTGACATCTAGGCACAGCAATAATTAGTGACCCATACCAACATTGTTTTCTTCATGAGTTGTTTTTAATTAAAATATATAGAAATATATCAAGACAGGTAAATGTAAAGGCTTTGCAGTCTTTATAACCTGTGTTAAAAGTTCTCTTTGGAAATAAAAACTATTACTGGGACAAAAAGGAAAACTTGGTCATTTAAAATCTATCTTCTAAGGAAGGGGGAAAATCCTGGTTTTAAATAGCCCATCTGGCCTTCGAAAGCTTTTCCCCAGGGAGCTGCACTAACTTCTGCCACATAGATCGTGCTTGATGATGGACATAGCCCATGGCAAAGAGGCCAGAGATGGAAAGCAAATGGACTTCTGTGAAAATACACGAGGGACAAACAGCATCCTGCTTGCCCAGTAAGTGCTAGAAAATGCTCTAAAACATGGCAAGTACAGACAGGCCCCAGCAGGTTCCAGCATTCTTATGTTGGCTGGGATTCTGGTTTTTAATGTGAGTCCTTGTTCTCTGTGAAGCAGACCTTTGACCTACTTGTTACTCCTTTTTTTTTTTTCTTAAAAAAAAAAAAAAGCTTTTTGAAGTTATAACTGGGCAGTATTATCCAGGTTAAATCATACACAGAACTTTGATTTAATATTTTAAGTAATGTTTAAATCGACATAGGCTGTGTTCTTAACTACGAAGAGGTAGTGAAGATGTATTAAGAGAAGTTTTGAGGGATGGGTTTGTTTTAAAACTAAAATTGCTTAGCACTTACAGAACTGCATGTCCCATATAGGATCTTCAAGCAAGACTGTTTCTTGTTTGTTATGGTTGACAAGGCCACCACTCTTTCTCTGTAGGAAGCCAACATTGATAAGAAGAAAGCAAAGCAAAATCTTTGTGATGCACTGTCCCTGGGACACTTTATGTAATTTACTTTTAAATTTACTAGCCTAAAACGGAGTTACAATGAAGAAGTCCTTTAAAAATGGGATCCTTTGATTCCAAATGTATTTATTAAATGTCTTAGGTATGATTATTTCTGCCCTTAGTGTGTCTATGATTTTTGTGTAGCCAAAAATTAATACCACTTAATACCAATTTGCTTTCAACATTACCGATTCAGAAAATCTAAAAGGTAGATTTGGCATGACAGATTAGAAAACCATAACCTGGCACCAGAGATAATGGTCACCTTATCCATCCTCTACTTTTTGAATGAAGACGAGGACCCTGCCTCAGCCATCTCACATGATGATGTTGGAAATAACCTCAGAAAATGGATGTGGAAAGATTGAACTATAAATGTACTCTAAAGCCATAGGATGTTATTGCATTCTGAATTTGAAGTTTTTCTTACACAAGCAAGACTTGTTTTCATTAATATACCTGTGATATGCCAATGTCTGAGCTATGAGAGTGAGTAGCCTTCTTAGGAGGGCAGAACCTGGACCATGCGTCAGTGTTCTGTTAGGATCCTGACAGCTGGACTAACAAGGTTAACATCCTAGCGGCATGCTCCGATGGTATGTGGATGCGAAGTTCTTGTACCATGTCTGGGGTCCAGTGGTATTCATCGCTCAAATAGGTGAGATTTTATGAGGTAAAAATCCATGGATACTTAATCAACTTAAAATTTTATTTGATTTAAAGTCTGCTGGATTATTTACTGGAGATTCAAAAATATTTTAACTCCTTTCAGAAGGTGCTTACAGGTCCAGAATTTAACTTTCTTTATATAATTTAAATCTATAGTGATTATAATCTGATTTCTAAGATAATCCTTTATACATCATGTAGTTTGAAAGAAGCCAGTCAGCCGAGTGTGGTGGGACGGACACGCTTGTAATCCCAGCTACTCAAGAGGCTGAGGCACGAGAGTCGCTTGAACCTGGGAGGCAGAGGTTGCTGTGAGCCAAGATCATGCCACTGCACTCTAGCCTGGGTGACAGAGTGAGACATTGTCTCTAAAAAATAAAAAAATCCCAGCAAAGTGTTCAGATAAAATCTGTTAAATATCAAAGTTCTCCAGATAAAGTCTGAGAAATAAGCTCAATTATTATTTATCTTTTCTTTCCCTACTCACTTTTTTAAATTGATGGAAAAAGTTGAGAGACCTTCTTTTCTCTCTTAAAATCTTTTGTGGGCCTTAAAGTCATTCTTCCAAACTGTCCCCCTCCCCACCAACAAAAATCTATGGAAAGGTCCTCACCTGTCCCCACACCTAATACTTTATGACAATCGTGTTCTCACTAAATCCTTTAGTCACTTACCACATGGATTGAAATTATCAAGCAACAGTACAGTTCTGGCTCCCACTCCAGCCTAGATGAAGCCCTTCAAAGGCATGAGTCAGACATGGTTTATCCATCTCTATGTGAGGCAGACAGGATAAATATAGAAAATGAGCTTAAGGAACTTAGGTCAGAATGAAAACAAGACTAAGGGAGACTTGCTTAGTACTGGTCTAATGGAGAGGTCAATTACCTGCTATCAATTATTAGGGAGCTCAGGTTTCCAGAAGATAAACTCAGTACAAAGAGTAACAGTCAAGGAAAAGCTTATTGGACAGATGAGACTTGGGTGAGGCCTTGAAGGATGGAAAATGTGGAGTGAGGGAGGGAAGCATTAAGAGGAGCAAGACTGAGCAAGGTGAGTTTCCGATATAGCAGTGATCACATCCTAAAGTACCATGGTGAGCTGTGCATGGGGAGCTGTAGGCAACAGCCTGGTTATAATATTCTCCTGAGCACCCCCATCCCAAACCCCGAGTGGCATCTCCAGGCCCAGATAAACATTTGTATCCTTGCATTTGTAAGGGTTCTCTAGCTTTTCCCCCACCCCCGGCAATTCAGAATCGTAACATTTCACTGGTCCCAGTATACTAATGATGATTTGTTGGACATTCAGATTCTTGCATTTTGCCATTAAAGGATGCCATTTCTTTTCCTGAGCTGTTTTTCTTAAATGATCAAGAAACTTCCATCACCCACGATCAGTCACACTCCTCACCCAACTTCCCAAAACTTTCTATTCTCTGATCTTCTTTGGATAGTTTATTCTCACCCTGTGCCAGGAGTGAGTACACTTCTTCCCTTTTTGGGGAAGCATGTGCTTTCCTTCCCAGTCTAACCAGGTGTCTTCATGTCATTTTGCTGAGCACCTCCTTAGCAGGGCTGTGGCACCCAAGTGAGTAACACAGTGAGAGCTGTGACACCTGGGTGGGTGATGCAAGGTGATGTTCTTTGTGTCATCTTCATGAGTGTGTGGGATTTTCAAACTTTCTTCGAGGGATAGGTTCATGATGCCCACTTCTTTTGCATCACAACAACCTCTAGAGTTGCACCTATAAAGAATGCCAGTAGATGCTGTTAATGAAACTAACTTGAAAAGCTGTGTGTGTGTGCGTATGCGTGTGATTAGAGATATAGTATCTTCCCACTTAGAATATAAAAATAATCAACTTTAAAAGACAGCAGTGGAAGGACAAATAATGCTGTATCTTAAGAGATGTTGTGAAGGGAAAAATTTTCCAGTTTCCTGTTGTGGAAATGAGTGTCTCCCCTCCATGTCAAAAAAAAAATAATAATAACCATGACTATGATTGTTAACAATTATTTATTTATTTATTTATTTATTTATTTGAGATAGAGTTACACTCTTGTCACCCAAGCTGGAGCGCAATAGCATGATCTCGGCTCACTGAAACTTCAGCCTCCCAAGTTCAAGTGATTCTCCTGCCTCAGCCACCCAAGTAGCTGAGATTACACATCCGGCTAATTTTTGTATTTTTAGTAGAGACAGAGTTTCACCATATTGGCCAATAGTTATATAACTAGGTAAGCTTTTCCTTTTAACCAATGAGTAAGAAGGTATCCCCACTCCCACCCCAAACTCTATTGAGAATTATTGAAGTTTCACATGAAGCAATCTCTGCCAAACTTATTGATTGAGAAATAATGGGTTATAATGGGAATTCTTTCTACTTTGAGGAATTTTCATGATATAATGTGATGTAAAACCTTGCATTATAGGATGTAGCGGCTCTATTTTATTTATCTGGAGGTGTCTTTTGATGTAAAGTCATTTGTTTCTAGAAAAGAAAATACTTCTATATTATTTTGATTAAAGAATTCCAAACATTACAAATAATTCTGTGACCAAAAGTTGTAAGTGAAGACCCTTGCAAATCCAACAGAAACTCTCAGTGGATTGATGTTAAGGGAAGGAGGTCTGTTTTATCCTGGTCATGTCTTATCCTGTCTCTCTCTAGCATCCAGGTTCAAGCCTGGTGTGTGACAGCCTTCTACACAAATGTGCCTCTCTTGCTAAGCCTGCAAGTGAGTCTAGCAGCCCATACACTGAAGCTTTCTGGGGAGCATGAGCATTGTTGTTTTGCCTTTGCTTTGTGGCGTTCTAAACTTCGGTGAAATCCATCTGGTAGTGTTGGCACTGAAGTCTCCATTGAATTAGCTATCAAAGTGGAGCCCCTTACTCCAGATGATCTTTAGCTCAGCTCAAGAACCAGAAATACCCCACACAGATAGGCTCTGAGAAGCTTCAGCTCTGAATGCTTGAAGAGAATGATTACTTTCTTAGTGTATAAGAAGAAAGGTTATACTAGTTACATATTTTTGAAGCAATTGCTATAACACCTCCTGAATTGGTACTAAAAATCAGACACTTATAGGTATTTGGTAAACATGTGGATTTTCAGATCACACCCTAGTCCTTCTGCCTCAGTGAGACTGATTTCTGTGTCTGAAAGGGAAGCCCAGGTATTTGCCTAGGAAGAATAAGCACTTCCTAATGACTCTGAGGCAGTTTGTCAGGCATATTTTGGAAATGGTCATAAAAAAGGGAAATAACTCACAGACAAAAACCTTGCCATTCTGAGATGCAATTTACTATAGAGATTAAGAGCGTCAGTTCTGGAGCCAGGTGCCTGGGACTGAATCCCAGCTCTGCCACAGTTGCTTATTACCTCTGGCAGTTTCTTCGTCTATAAACGGGATGTAACAGCATCCACCTCCTGGGGTGGTTGTGAGGAATCGGTGAGTTCTAATAGGCAAAATGCTTTATTTGGGCTGGCTCAATGTAAGCACTCAAAAATGTTTAAGTATTATTATTTGTTCTTGTCACTTCTATTTTGCTTCTAACACTTTTTAATATAATTATAAAATAATCCCTGAGATTATTTACAAGATATAAATATAAATTATTTTAATATAATTGTTTTATAAAATAATGCCTGGGAAAACTTTAGTGTATATCAGAACTTCCCATTATACAATATAGAATCGAGCAAGAGGAGGCAAGACAGCATTGTATAGACCTTAAAACCAGACAGATCTGTGTTTGTGTTTCACCTTCATTCCTTGGAGCTGTGTTACTGTAACCTGACCCTCCGTTTCCTTATCTGCAAAATGGGAATGATCATACACCCTGTAGTATCAAGTTGTTGTGGAGTATAGGTGAAGCATGTACGGGCGAGCCTACTTCCTAACATAGAGAGAGTACTCAATGGGTATTTTGTTTTATTGTTATTATATTTTGCACTCTGGGGATATTTGTATGTTCCAGTCTTGGAAGTAGCATTTAGTCTGGAAAGTCACTTGGGTGCCATTTGGAGTACTGAATTGTGATTTACTTGGTCAGACCCTAAGTCCTATGTGAAGGCAGGTGGAGCGGCCCTGCGAACTTGATTCTGGTCGTGAAAAATTAATATTGCTTGAGCCTGCTTCTCTAGTATGTACACCTCTAGTATTGTTATTATATTTTGCACTCTGGGGATATTTGTATGGGTTAGGTGTAAATATCCAATTTTTTATAGGAATGTCGAAGTTTTTTTAGTTGTTTTGTAGGGGAAGGACTAGTTTACATATAATTAGTATTTGTTAGTTTACAGGTCAATTAGTACTTGGCTTAAAATACTGATTAGTAAGTCATGGATGTGTGTGTGTGTGTGTGTGTGTATATCAAATGTACGTACATCACAGAGATTGATAAACACACACATATATCATGGAGATAGATGGACAGATGATAGGTGGATTGATTCAGCAACCCAGGTTTAGAGGGAAAGAGGAGAGAATGGGGATTCAGGGAGGCTTTTCTGAGAAAGCGGATTTCAAATTCTGCTGAATTGTGAAGTGCAATCAAAGTTAACCTGGATTTGACAGGAGGAAGTAGGAGCTGTAAGGAGTAACATTAGAAAGCCTGCTGCATGTTGGTTTACTAGGGTTAGGCTGGAATGTATGCCCGGGTGCATTGGAGTCACAGTTGCTGGGAAAAGACCAAAGAAGTTCAAAAGATAAACTGGGTTTAGACCAGCTAAGGCCTAATACATAAACCCTAGTAAGCAGTTTGAATATTATCCTGAGGGCAACAGGGAGCCATTAAAAGTTACTTTTTTTAGCAGGGGAGTGACAAGATCAGTCATGCACATTAGAGAGTCTACTGACTTTGCAGAGAATGGGCTGGACAGTACCCAAAGATGGGTAAAGAAACCAGTAGAGGAGGCTGCTGCAGAAGTCCCCTGCTGTGGCCTGGTCCGAGTTTAGCAGCTCTGTTTGCCTAAGTCCTATGTGAAGGCAGGTGGAGTGGCCCTGCGAACTTGATTCTGGTGGTGAAAAATTAATATTGCCTGAGCCTGATTCTCTAGTATGTACACCTCTCCCTAAAGTAAGATCCTTTTGGAAGTTGCATTAAGTCTCCAAAGCCACTGGGGTGCCATTAAACTCCTGTTTCGGCATACTAAATGGAATGGAATCTCAGCCTGCAGTCAGCCAGCAAATGAGTATAACTTATGTTGAATTCCAGCTAATGTACAGTCTTGGAAGTAGCATTTAGTCTGGAAAGTCACTTGGGTGCCATTTGGAGTACTGAACTGTGATTTACTTGGTCAGACCCTCGTGGCCTGTGTGTGCCAATATAGCTTCCATGGTCTTTCCTACTTCATTTCAGGGGATAACTTATAGAATGAAAACATCCATTTTAAAAATATATTTTCTATATCTTATTCATTTTCTTGGTGGATAGGGATTATTGAGGTCAGTATTTATTGCTTAAAACTCTGTCATTTAAATGAAAATAGCAAGTCGTAACCTAAAAATGTATAGTTTAAATGAAAGTAACGGATCATAACCCAAGGTAATTTTTCCTCTAAAATGCATATAATAGCTGAAGTTTCTTTTAAAAAAGCATTGATATCCACATCTTTATCCAAAAGTAATTTAAAATTTCTTTTACAAGGCATTTTTAAATGTTCATCATGTATAAGTTTGCTTTATATATAATATCAATAATAAATTGTTCACTGATATGCACGTAAAGAATGAGTCATATGCCTGTAAGGGACAATGTTTAAAAAAAAAACAAAAACTGGTAGTCTGATAAGCCCTGTGAGGTCTGAGGCTATGTCTTAGTCATCCTTTTAGCCCCATGTAATTGTCACCATGAGCCTGGCATTGAATATATGTTTCCTTTGCATGTAATTACCACATGCAAATGAACATTAATATGTGAAGCCTGTCTATTGATGGCTAATTGTGGTGGCTACTAGCACTGTGAGAGCTCTCTGCCTATCTGAGATAGGTGTTCTGGGAACTTCAAACAATTGATATTCCTGAAATATACAAATGAAGAAACCTCAAATAGAGTCTCTGTGATAACTAAATTTAACACTATTTTAGGATATAGATTCCCTTCTTAATAAAAATAATTCTTGGCTCAAGCTTTTAAAGTTCATAGATGCTTGATAAGTAAATAGGAATAGAATTTTAGATATGTAAAGAGATTAAGTCATATTTATCTAATTCGGGAAAGTAAAAGAGGGAAAAGATACGTAAATAGAGAATTTTACAAGTGCTTGCTGCCATAAACCATAATGTGCCTAATGTTTATGTGATATTGTAGAGTGTCCATTATGCTTTCCAAAACATTACCTCATCTGATCTGTTAGGAACACTGCAAAGTAGAGTTTTTGCAGATAAGGAAATTATGTTTTAGAGTGGCTGGGAGACTTGTCCAAAGTCCAAATAGCTCATAAATGATGAACTGGAAACTCTGTTTTCTGACTCTTAAGCCAATACTTAAATGTTCAGTAGCAAGTAAATAATTGGCATATATTACCACATTTTATACCTGGAGCCATCTGAATAGTGAGTTCACATTGAAGAGATTCCTCCTTGAACTGCCAACACATTTATGGCCTATACTGCTCATTTGCCGTAAAACTCTAACTTTTTAAAAAATGGCTTTTATTTCTAATTATAGAAGCAACATAGGTTCCGAGTAGAAAACTTAAAAATGTAAATTGGCTTAATGAATGCTATGTGACCATATATCAAATCCTTCAGAGACAGCATTTCTTAGAATTTTGTGCTTTTTGAAAATTTGTCATGCTTTAAAAATATTTTAAATGAGATCATCAAAAATACTTTTTGTTATTTTAGTTTTTGCTTTCACAAAATAATATGAAAATTTTTCTCATGCCATTAAACATCATTGTAATACCGTTTAAACAGCTTCATAGTATTCCATTTTCTGAATAGTACCTGTTATGGAGTTGGGGCTGCTTCCCTAGGTTTTCTTATTAGAAGCAACACTGAAGAATATCTTTGCTATCTCTTTGTATAAATCTATAATTTTTTTTCTTAGAGTAAATGCCTGAAATAAAATTGCTGGGTTAAATGGCATACGAAATTTCTCAATCATAAGCCAAATAGCCAAACAGAAAGATTGTGCCTATGTAAATTCCCATTTTGCAGTGTATGAATGCCGTTTTTTATATATTTCCCAATCCCTGATCTTACCTTCTTAAAAAAATTTTCGCCAATATGATTATCAATGGCAGCATATTATTGTTTTGCATAGCTTAATAACAAAATAGTAAATCATGTGAAAGAGGGAACCCAGCTTTGCTCAGGTGTTGTATCTTACACAGCGCCTACTGTTCATTGTTTAACAATGTGGACATTCAACAGACAGAACATTATCTTGACAGCATATGTAACAGATAAAACATTAATCATATTCTTCTTTCATCTTTGTTGTGTCAAATTTATCAGGTGCTGCCATTCATTCTTCTGTGAAATGAAATGGCTTTTTCCATACGCCATTTTAATGACCATATAATACAAGTCTGAAAGCATTTTAAGTTCTTGGAAGTAGTATCATAGTTTTTGAGCTAGCAAGAACCTTAAAGATCATCTAATCTGACCCCATCATTTTACATTATGTGAATTTAATATAAAGACATGAAAAATCTTGGTGTGTTTTGCAAATTGAAAAGTTCATTGTCTAATATTTTTACACAAATGTATTATTTTGTCATTAGTCTATATAAGTTACTAACATCCTTGGAAATTTAAACCTCTTTGTTTTTTAATTTTGTAGTAAAAATAAAATCATCAACTATGTTAAGAAAACTACATTTTAGACATGACAACAGATTCTAGTGTCGAAGATAAACCAAATACCAATTCTGCCTTTTCTAAATGCTATTTTCCTGTACCCACATTATTCCACAAGCCTGGTATAATCGTATTTCTTTTCATTTTGTTTTAGGTAGCAGTTTTACAACATCATCAGGAATATATACAGGAAATAATTCACTCACAAATTCCTCTGGATTTAATAGTTCACAGCAGGTAATTTAAAAAGCCAGTTTAACTTCTGAAAAATATCTTTAAATGCAACATGATTTTCTTATGTAAAGAAAGATCTGTTTATAAGTGAGAGCTTTCCTAAGGCTTTTAGTAGTTTTCTTTTAAAATTCACTTTAGCAGTCTTTTGTGGTGAGTTGTTTGGTTTTCAGATTGGTTTAATTTTACCTAGTATTGCATCATAGAAAAGCAAAAATATGAAGAATGTGTATAATCTTACATAAAATTTGTTTGCAAGTCTGAGCTCTTTAGTTAATGTGTACTTGTATGCCCCCGTGTGAATTCAGAAAAGGCTCAGAAACCCAAACATACTTACAGTTACACTTTGATATGTAAGAGATAAGCAGCAGTATTTTGACAGACAATTCTTGTGTGGTTTGATTTGGTAGGACTATCCGTCTTATCCCAGTTTTGGCCAGGGTCAGTACGCACAGTATTATAACAGCTCACCGTATCCAGCACATTATATGACCAGCAGCAACACCAGCCCAACGACACCATCCACCAATGCCACTTACCAGCTTCAAGAACCGCCATCTGGCATCACCAGCCAAGCAGTTACAGATCCCACAGCAGGTAATTATGTGAATATTATTAGTCCTGCAGGTGATATTTTCAATGGTTTCAATGCATTTTTCTACAGTCATATATTCATGCAGTGGTTGCACAATTTTGGCAGCTTTTGGCAAGGACTAAATATAAGTCAAGCAGCATGACTGTGGCATTCATTTTTATTTATTTTTTTATTTGCTTGAAATTTTAAAATAAAGTATATAAACATCAAAAGCACATGAAATAGAGATTTTATTTGTAAATATACTCAATTTTTAAGATCTGTGTAGTTTTTGAGATGCATAATTATAAATACTTAGCTATAACTATAATTCATTGGCACCACATATAGAGCATAAAATGGCAATGCCTAGAATTTGGCATTTATCATTATTCAATATTTAGTGTTTTTCATCAAAGTAATATCTTGCTGATAGTTTGAAAAACAATCAAAAGTGAGCCTCTGCTTTCCCACATGTGGCCTGCTGTGAATTTCATGACAATGTGTCATGAGTTTGGGCATTTGTTATGCTTCTGCACAACTCCCTTGCTGGTCTCTTTCAAATGCCAGCCTCTCCATGTGGAAATCTTCCTACATGATGTCTTTGATATCTCTTCCCCTCATTGATTCTTTCTTTCTAGAACTCTTAATGGTGTCTGCCTGATTTCCTGAATTGGTCTTTACTTAACGTTTCCTATACTTTCACATACTTCTCACCTCCTTGCCTTAACTTTTTAAAGAGTTAATCATACCTTTCATGGATTACAAAATAAGCTATTATCCTCAAAGAGTCAAAGTTTTCTTCCTCTTGCCTGTTTCCAGAGCTAAAGCCCACTCCATTGCTACAAGTCAGGTTAAAATGGTCTTAACATTGAAAAAATTACCTCTCTGATATTATAATCATAGTATGCATTCTAGGTTATCCTAAATCATGAAAAAAAGTTCTGTATAATAAATGCTAATTTAATTTTTGACTATAGAATTATATTTTAAATATTAATGGGTGATTTCTCCCCCAAAAGTCTTCAAAATTTTTCATGTTCCACGTTTTTTTCCTTTTAAAAATAAGTATGCAGACATTGCTTTATTCTAAAGTTTCATCATTCTTGTCTTTCAATTAACTTCTAATGCTCATTATTTCTGCTGCACATTTTAACTTTAAATATTTTTGTCTTTGATAATTGTATTCCATGTATCTTTATTTTCCAAAAACTAAGCTGATTCCTCATTCAGTTTACATGTGTACATACAGTTTTCATAGAACTGAGTATACATATCTCTCTCTTCCTTTAATTAGATTTCACATCTATATAATGACACTGAAGACAAATTTTATTATAGAATGCATTGAATTTATTATAGGAGTTCTTATAGAACTTTCTCTACTTACATAAACTTCATATAGGCATCATGAGGAAAGGTAATGGCTTGTCCCAACTTTAGGGAGATCTTGCCTTTTCATTTGAACCACCTGTGTCATGCAAGCTTCCTGAAAACTAAAAGGAGTTTTGAAATGAAGATCATTATGTGAATGAGATGTAGCAAACCTCTTTTAGGATCTAGAGAGTCATAGAAAGAGAAGAGGAGACAGCGAATAATATTATTTAATTTCTGATATTTTGGCTGTGAATACTACATTGTAAATAAACTGTTGAAGACTTAATTGTGTTTCTTAAATTAAGGTTGATTAGAGCTTTTTTGAAAAGGCCATTTGGTCAGATATAAGTGTTTGTCTCTGAAACCAGACATTGTTCTAAGTGAGTATTTTTCCTAAAAGGGATGCTATGTGAGAGAGTGGGGATGGTGGACTATAAAGCCAGGCCACATGGAAAACAATGAAAAATTCTAATTTCAAAATCGGTCCATGGTTTTAAGAGTGAATGATGTATTTTAGCTTGTATTGTAAAAGTAAAAGTGCTTAGTGTTTTAGGTACTTATTTTAATTTCATTATCTTATGGGAAAAGAATAGGAATGAGTTGAACCGAGAAAAAAATAATACTTTTCAGATTTCTTATACATACCTCTTCCAACTAAAGCGAGTATGTCTGGATCAGCCTTTCTTGTGTTGCATAATTAGAAGTGGAAAGTTCACTGAGTTTCCACATTGAAAAAGAAATGGTTTTCTTTAAAAATTCAAGGAAGATCTAGTCTGGGTATTTTGTTTTCATTCTTTAATTTGTGAAAAGACCGCAGATTCAGGCTAAGTTTTTTGGCATTAACTTGTCTTTCTTAGTAGTCGTATATAAAATAATAGACTTACTATTCTTGATGAAAAGGAAGTTTTGATGGTAAAGTACATAAAACAGAAGAATTTATTAAACTAAATATTTAGAAATGACTTATTAAAAACAATTTCTGTTTTGAGGTAGAATTTTTTACATTGTTAAAATAATGAATGTCTCTTTTTGCTGGAATAATTTCGGGTCTTTTTTTTTTTCTTTTACTTTTAGTCTATTGGGTTTAAAGTTAGTATTTTATAATACTGGAGAGTTAGACTCTAGTCATTTTCTTATCTTATGTATGACCTGGTTTCTGCCTTTCAATTTCATTATATTATGCAGTAGGGACAAATCTAGGTATATGTGATATTTATCTCATGCTTCATGATTTCTGTTCCTGCATTGTTCTTAGAATTGTTGTGTCACAATGGACATATAAAGATAATTTTGTAAGGGTTTTTCAGGGCAAACATGTAAGGACTCATTTGTGGGTTTTTTGTGCCTTTTTAAAGTTACTTTTTAAGTCTGTGATGGTGTGCAGTATTACTTGTAAACGTAATTCCTTATGAATTTTGAGTTCAAAAATTATTTTAAAGTGTTCATAATGAAATATTCAAAGCTTTATTACCCTTTGGATGGATATTTTAATACGTTAAAAATAATATAACTTGAATCTGAAAGCTTCCAAAATTTTACTCTATTTTAAAAACTAAAAACAGTGCCTTTGCATTCATTCTTTTAAAAATGAATTTGTTAGCTCTTTCTTCACTATCTTAATTAAAAAAATTCACATAATCTGCAGATACATTAGAATCTACCTTGAGAAATATAGATATTTTCTAGTCAATGAGATTTTAATTTATTTATTGCCTACTCATGCCTACTCTTCAACTAGCCATGCCTTAAACTCATGCCTACTCTTAAACTCATGCCTACTTTTCAACTAGCCATGTCTTTAAACTCATGTCTTAAACTCATGCCTACTCTTCAACTAGCCATGCCAATCACCCCTCACCGCCAATTGAAGGACATCTTGGTTGCTCTGAGTTTCTGGCAGTTATGAATGAAGTTTCTATAAACATTTGTGTGCAGTTTTTTTAATAGATATAAATTTTCAACTCCTGTGAGTAAATACCTAGGAGTGTGATTGCTGGATCATATGGCAGCACTACGTTTAGCTTTAGAAGAAACTTCCAAATCATCTTCCAAAGTGGCTATACCATTTTGTATTCTCATCAGCAATGAATAAGAGTTCCTGTTGCTCCATATTCTTGCCAGAATTTGGTGTTGTCAGTGTTTTAGATTTTGGACATTCTAATTGAGAAGTAGTGCTATCTTGTTGTTTTGTTTCCTAATGACATATGATGTGAAGCACCTTTTCATATGCTTATTTGCCATCTGTATGTCTTCTTTGGTGAGGTGTCTGTAGAGATATTTTGCCCACTTCTTAAACAGGTTGTTTGTTTTCTTATTGTTGGGTTTTAGGAGTTCTTTGTTTATTTTGATACACATCTTTTATCAGATAGGTGTTTTGCAATATTTTCTCCCAGTCTATGGATTTTCTTTTCTCTTAGCAGTGTCTTTTGCAGAGAAGTTTTTAATTTTAATACTCCAGTTTATCAGTTTTTCCCTCATGGATCATGCCTTTGCTCCTGTATCTAAAAACCTATTGCCAAAACCAAGGCCATCTAGATTTTCTCCTGTGTTACTATCTAGAAGTTTCATAATTTTGCATTTTACATCTAGTTCTCTGACACATTTTGAATTAATTTTTGTGAAAGATGTAAGGTCAGGGTCTAGATTCATTTTTTTGCATATGGATGTGCAGTGGTTCCAGATTAATTTTTGAAAAACTATCTTTTCTCCATTATGTTGCCTTTGCTGCTTTGTCAAAGACCACTTGACTGTATTTAAGAGGGGCTATTTCAGGGCTCTCTCTTCTGTTCCATTGATCCATTTGTCTATTTTTTCACCAATACCACTCTGTCTTGATTACTACAGCTTTATAGTAAGTCCTAAAGTCAGACAGTGTCTGTCTTCCAACTTTTTTCTTCTCCTTCAGCATTGTGTTGGCTATTCTGAGTCTTTTATCTCTCCATATAATCTTTAGAATCAATTTGTCAGTATCCACAAAGTAAATTTCTGGGATTTTGGCTGGAATCACGTTGAATTTATAGATCAAATTGGGACAAACTGATGTCTTGACAATATTGAATCTATCCATATGCATGGAATATCTCTCCATTTATTTATATCTTCTTTGATTTCTTTTATAGTTTTTCTCACATAAAGCTTATATATAATTTTTAGAGTTACACCTCTTTCTCTCTCTCTCTTTCCCTCTCTAGTATTGATGGAAATAATGGTGTGTTTTTTTTGTTTGTTTGTTTTTTGAGACGGAGTCTCCTTGTCGCCCAGGCTGGAGGGCGTGGCGCTATCTCGGCTCACTGCAGGCTCCGCCCCCCGGGGTTCACGCCATTCTCCTGCCTCAGCCTCCCGAGTAGCTGGGACTACAGGCGCCCGCTACCACGCCCGGCTAATTTTTTGTATTTTTAGTAGAGACGGGGTTTCACTGTGTTAGCCAGGATGGTCTCGATCTCCTGACCTCGTGATCCACCCGCCTCGGCCTCCCAAAGTGCTGGGATTACAGGCGTGAGCCACCGCGCCCGGCCGGTGTGTTTTTAATTTCAAATTCCAACTGCTCATTGCTGGTATATAGGAAGGCATTTGACTTTTATCTATTATGTTATATCCTGCAACCTTCTTCATTGGTTTCAAGAGTTGTTTGGTTTTGGGGGTGGGTATTTGTTGATTTTTTTTTTTTATATTTTCTACATAGACAATCATGTTTTTTGTGAAAAAAGACAGTTATATTTCTTCCTTCCCAATTTGTATACCTTTTATTTTCTTATTGCATTAGTAAGGACTTGTACAATGTCGAACAGGAGTGGTAGAGGGGACATCTTTGCTTTGTTCCTTATCTTAGAAAGGAAACATCTAGTTTCTCGCCATGAAGTATAATGTTAGCTGTAAGTTGTTTTTTGATGTTCTTTGTCAGCTTTAGGAAGCTCTCTCCCCTTTCCTAGATTACTGAGTTTTTTTATTATGAATGGGTATTGGACTTTGTCAAATGCTTTTTATGCATCTGATGATTTGATCATATGGTTTTTCTTCATTAGCTCATTGATGTGATGGATTACATTAATTTTCAAATGTTGAACCAGCCTTATATATCTTGGATTAATCCTACTTGGTCATGACATATAATTCTTTTTATACATTGTTGGATTCAGTTTGCTAATATTTTGTTGAGGATCTTTGCATTTATGTTCATGAGAAATATTATTCTAGTTTCTAGTTTTCATATCTTGTAATGCCTTTATCTCATTTCAGTATTAGGGTAATGCTGGCCTCATTGATGGAATTACAAAATGTTCCCTCTGCTTCTGTTTTCTGGAACAGATTGTAGAGAATTGTAATCATTCTTTTTCTTAAGTATTTGATGAAATTTACCAGGGAACCCATCCTGGTCTAGTGCTTTCTGTTTTGAAAGATTAATTGTTGGCTCAATTTCTTTAATAGGTACAGACCTATTCATATTATCTATTTTTCCTTCTGTGAGTTTGGGTAGACTGTCTTTCAAGGAATTGGTCCATTTCATCTAACTTTGTCTAATTTGTGGATATAGAATTGTTCATAACATTTCTTTATTATCCTTTTAATGTTCATGGGATTGCTAATGATGGCTGTCTTTCATTTCTGATATTAGTAATTTGTGTATTCTCTGTTTATCTTGGTTAGCCTGCCTAGAGGTTTATCAATTTTATTGATATTCTCAAACAGCCAATTTCATTGATTTTCTCTGTTGTTTTCCTGTTTTTAATTTTATTAACTTCTCTGATTTTCATTATTTCATAATTTTTTTCTGATTGCTTTTGAGTTAACTTGCTTTTCTTTTTATAGTTTCCTAAGAGTGGTGCTTAGATGATTGATTTTTAGATCTTTCTTTTCTAATATATGTGTTCAGTGCTGTTAATTTTCTCCTGAGCGCTGTTTTTGTGGCATTTCACAGAATTCGATGGGTTCTGCTTTTTCATTTTCATTTACTTCACAATATTTTAATACTTATTTTTGTTTTTATTACCACTGGAATCCTCCCTTTTAATGATGTATATATTTATAAACATTTTATTGGAGAGAAAAATCTTAGAAATTTCATAGTTTACAGTAAATATAATTAGTTACAGTTACCCAGATATTAACATCTTACAGATTAAATGGCTTTCTCTTATTAGAAGATATGTGTAATTTATGAGTAGAAGGGTATTCCATGGTAAATTCAAATTTCACTCTCTATAAAATAAAATTTTGATCAGAACCAACTAGTTTTCCTTGTTCAATCAAAGACTGTAAGACAGTGTCACAATGAAATCCATGATTACTTTAAATAATAAATTACAGATTTCACTCATTTTTATTTTTAAAAACCCATCTTTTACAAAGCCAATGATTTTTTTTCTATGATCAAAATAGAGGAAGGGAAAAATAAATTTGAAGGTGTTTTCCTTTTGTGCTAATATCTAAACTAGCATTTTATCATCCCCTAGCCACTGAGGTATAGAGTAAGTTATCATCTTGTACTGATCGTAAAAGCTTAAGTCATATTACTACTAATCTAACTAAATATATTCTTTCAAAAGAGTGATAGAAATACTTTTTGAGTATTATTACGAAGAAAATTGTAATTGACTTTTATCAAAAGATCACTTAAACCATTTTTATCATATGATATTTTTCATTATATGATTCATGTGTATAATCAAAATTTAAACAATCATCTATAATCCAATTACTGTGCTGTATTTAAATAATTTGGCCTGACAACATATTTTTTATCCCAAATCTCTTAGAATATCTCATAATTTTGATAGCTATCATCACAATACATAATAAAATACAGTCGAACACAATTGTTGTGCTTAGAGCTCTACATTCATTACCACATGTAATCTTACAATATACCATGAGATAGGTACTATTTGTTCCATTTTACAGATAAGGAAAATGAGGCACATCACTCTTAAATGCTCAATAAGTGTTAGGTATCATTAAGTTAATCAAGAATGTTGAGGCTAAATTCTTAAAAAAGCACTATTTAGCTATAATATTGTATTTTTAAAATAATACAAATATAAAGCAGTGAGGGACAAAGATAAAAGTGAATGGTGAACGAAACATTTTAGATTAATGTGAAATAAAAGATAATTAGTTTTTAGGAATAAGATTTAGTATGAATGCCGTAGAAAAGTTTGTTTTTCAAAGGATTTTTTCATTTGAATTTCTTACATCAACTTGATGTTGAAATCTACCTTCACGTGTGCTGATCACATGCAGACAATTTACTGGTTAAGGTGTTGGACGGGAATCTTGCCGATATTGAATTTCAAGTGACAGAGGAAAAATCAGTATAAGAGGGAATTCAATATGCATGGGAAACCATTTGTTCCCTCTGCTTCTTTGATCCCTGCCAAGGCACAAGAAAGTAGAGCAAAGCGCCTGAAAAAGGGGAATGTTCTTGTTCAAAGTTGCAGAACTCTGAGCCCTCAGAGGAACTCAGTGTGACAGGTTAAAAAACTAAACTCCCGGCTATCTTCCCTGTCATGCAGGATATTTGAGTCTCGTCTGTACTTGCTAACATGCTTATGTCTGTTCATTGTGGAAATGATCCTGAGGTTTGCAATAGCAAGCGTCTTGATGCTTCCATTTTACTAAGTGAACGTTTTGGAAAATCTGCAGGCCATACTTGCTCATTTTCACAGATGCCTTGTGGACTTTGGAAAAGTTTGCAATTTGTTCAGCTCAAAAATAAACTATTTCAGCAAAACAATTTTAACTAATGTTTTGGAAACATTTGTCGGCAAAACAAATATTTGTATCTGAAATAGCTAGGCTATTAAGATGTGAGAAAACAAAACAGATGTTTGTTTTGGGTTGTTGGGTTTGTTTGTCTTGATGGCATTTGTTTTCTTTCTTTCTTTCTTTCTTTTTTCCCAGAGGATATATAGTGGTATAATAAGATTATAAAATTCATGGAAATAAAGTTCACTCTTTGTTTTATACTGTGAGAAACGTTATGAAAATGAGTTTTGTTACCTGTGAATTTTGGACTGTATTTCCAAGAAAAGAAAAATTCAGTCTTCTAAGCACTTAGCCCTTTTGTGCCTTGTTACTGGTTTCCCTAATTTTTTCAATTACTTAGCCATATGTCAGGATGCCTTATAGAGTCAGTTTTAGTACACTGGATTTAAATATGTAATTCTTTCTTATATTTATACATAACAAGATTTTTATATTAATCAAAATAATGCATATATTATTGAGCTAATTAAATTAGTTTATTAACCCTCCCAAACATTTATTATCTTCTTTTGTAACTAATTGATTCATTATTTGAAAAACTGTTACATATTAAGTGTCATATGGGACCAACACATATCAGTGTAATAATTTCTCGTATTTAAGTTGGAGGACATCGGCATTTACTGGTTCAGTTTTTTAATTGGAGATGGTTGTAAAGAGGACAAAGTTATGAGTGTTTGCCATCTCTTCACCTAATTTAATTGCGATTTCATCGTTTGGTAAGTGGCTTTTGGATTAAGTTTTAAATAAAGGTAGAACTGATGGATTAATGGGGCTACCAATGTTATTTCTATGTTGATAGTAAGTATTGTTTGATAAATTTTTTTACTGAATAATAACACATGAACATGGGACAAAATTATAAAGGCATAGATGTGTTTACAGACAAGAATAAACCTCCCTCCATGTTCTATACTCGGCACCTTGGTTTCATATTCTTTGCTTATATAAACATATACTTAACAACTGTCCCCCGCCTCTCTTTTTTTCCACATTCAAGTATGTTTAGCTTTTTGGTCCTTCACAAATAATAGAGTACTATACATGCTGTTCTGCACCTTACTTTTTCACTAGACAATATACAGAGAAAATTTCAGTAAGTATTTTTGTTGTGGGTTATATATACAGATTTAACAGTGGCTAATATTTTTTGAACATTTACTAGTGCCAGGTATTGTTCTAAGCACTGTTCATTCATTAACTTAGATAATTCCCACCCAGCTCCATGAGATAGAGTTGTATTGTCATTGTCCTCATTTTACAGATGGGAAAACTAAGGAAAGGTCAGTGACAACACTGAAATTAAACCTCTGGAAGCTTGACTTCAAACTTGAGTTTTTAATCAGTAAAGCATGCTGCTGCTTGAAACCACTGTGTCTGAAGTTTCAAAGGAGCAGAAAAATGAAAATGTAAACAGAGAGTCCTAAAGGTAGTAGCTGCGTAGTAAACATCTTCTTTAATCAGCACTCAGCAAAAGCATATATTATGAGGCATTCAGTTAACTATGTGTTAAATGTTTGAGCTCTACTTGCTGATAAAATAATGTAGGTCTGAAATTACAGGGAAGAGGTATGTAGTATATTTTGGGTTATTATGTCATAAGTATTCACTGAATTATAAAAGCAGTTTGTGGATATCTTGGATAATCCAACAGCTGATTGCTCCCATTCTCCCTCATTTTCCACTTCCTGAATCAGTTCACTCCGTGCTTCCCCTGTATCCTACTTAAATAGTCACCTGTCATGGACCTGCTTAGGGAACAACTTGCCACATCTCTACCATTTCCCTCCCCTTCCTTCCAGGGACCTCCTTGCATCTTGTCCTCCTTTTTTTCTTTATCTTTTAAAAAAAATTTTAAATAACTCAAATGGCAGCTCATGGTTGATGAACACTAGGTGTAGGAATGGTGACGATTCTATCAAGGAAAAGGGAAGCTATTCGTTTTAAAGTGAAGGTGGGGATCTGAATCCAATACCATCACCTTCTAACACTTTTAAAACTTATCTGACTCCTTCAGAAACTTCAGGGACCTCTTGATTAATTTAAATTTCATTTCTTCATTATCATTATTTAAGATAAGTTTTAACTCTTTCAGTTTTATGTGACTGCTGATATTTAAGGGTATAATTCTCTGCTATTTTGCATTATATTTGTGCAGTATTTCACCTGGATTATTGATTGATTAGGTAAGCATGAATTGGTTTGGAAATCATGTCTGACATCGTTTCTGTGAGAAAATAGCTTCTGAATTTCAAACAATTGATTTAAACATATTTAGAACGTAGCATATTTGTAAATAGACTACTCTCTTATATCTACAAATCCACTTGCGTAACCTTAGCAGGAAGCAGCTGGGCAATAGGGAAGCTTTTAATTTTCGTTTAGCATCGACTGTATAGATTCTTTTGCAGAAGACCTTCACCTTACTGAATATAAATAAGGAATCCAGAAAGATTAAATTTTTCCTAAGCAGCACAGCCTGCCATTGGTGACATCTCTGAATGGGACACTAGAGTGTCAGCCTTGGGAGACAGAAGGGTGTAGTGTGGCCTTTCCCATACTTCCCTGGGTAGCACAACTGTCTCCCAAAGATGGAGATGAATATCCTTTTATCCTGTAATGAGTTCCCAGGTGGGAGCAGTTAGGGATACAAGTTATCATATTTAAAGTTATTGGAGTTTCTCTACTTTAAGTCTTTTCTGATTTTTGATATGACAGTACTCATTGAGAATTGAGTGTAATGTCCAATGTTTCCCAGTCATACCTGGCTGGGGTTGGGTACCACTTTCCACCTGTGCTTCCCCCAACACCCCATCTGAGAATGTCTATGAATGTCTCTTGACCAGCACCCTCCCTTTGAATACAATTAGGAAAAACTGGAGTGGTGGCTAGGGATTTGGAGTTGGGCTAACCTGGGTTTGAATTCTGGCTCTGTCACTCACTTGGGAAGGCCACTTAGCTCCTTGGTGTATTATTTCTCTGTGGAATGAGCATAATACCACTCTTGTGTATAGGATGACTATGAGAATGAAATGATGTAAGTGGCTAGCAAAGTGACTGATACATATTAGGCCCTCAAATGTCCATTTCTTCCATTCGGGCATTCAAGAGATATTTATCAATGCTTGCTGCATGCCAGGCACTGTGCTTGGTGCTGGGAATATGGGGGTGACAAGAAAGGCAAGGCCCCTGGCCTCAGGAAGCTGATGTGTTCTTCCCTCTTGAAGTTCATTACTGTTGTACATTGTGGATTGTGGTTGTTTCAGACACTAAAGCCCCAAAAGTGTGGCTCACCAGTTTCTTTCATGTAGAATGACTGTGGGGAGCTTAAACCAGTGGTTGAAATGTGTAAGAAGAATAATTAGAGGTTTCTACCAGGTTATCCAGAGATTACTGGAAAGTGGATAATGGTCATATTTTAGGAGTGATGAAGCTGTCTTAATTGAGTTACTAGACCTTGACTAATGAATTAATTTACCTAGAGACCTCGATTAGTGCCTGCGTGAACAGGGAATAATGGCTATGGAATACAGGTAGAGAAGTCAAAGCAATTCTCTAAGATTAATTCAGTTAGTGTTTATTGGTCTCGGACTACTGGTTATCCCTATAAGGCTAGTCAACAAGTTTACTTGCCTTTAGTTTATTTTACAAAAGTTTTTTGTGGGAGATTTCTATGACTGAAAACAAAATTATTACAATTCCTTTACATTAAATCTTTTATTCTGCTAAGGTAATAGTCACTGAGAATCTAAACTAATATAATGTAATTTATTCAAGGTTTTGCTGAGGTCCTTTTTTTTCTTTTATGCCAAAATCTAAAAAAAAAATTTAGGCCAAGCGGGGTGTCTCACGCCTGTAATCCCAGCACTTTGGGAGGCCGAAGAGGGTGGATCACGAAGTCAGGAGTCCAAGACCAGCCTGGCCAAGATGATGAAACCCTGTCTCTACTAAAAATAGAAAAATTAGCCAGGCGTGGTGGCAGGCACCTGTAATCCCAGCTACTCGGGAGTCTGAGGCGGGGAATTGCCTGAACCCAGGAGGCAGAGGTTGCAGTGAACTGAGATCGTGCCACTGCACTCCAGCCTGCATGAGAGAGTAAGTCTCTGTCTCAAAAAAAAAAAAAAAAAAAAAAACTACCAATATGAAATTATCATGGTCACACTATCACACGTAACTTTGAAGGTTTGATGACCCATAACTTCATAGATCTGTGTGGATCCCAGGTGATTTTTGAGGAATATCATTGGCCTTCTTTCAGGACTGTGGCCTTCTACGTGGGAATCTTCCCTGATTGGGCCTGTAATTTTCATAGGAAAATGTCTATTTCTATTCTCAGCACAGCTAACTTAGTAAAGCCTATGAGTTTCCCCCCACTCAACCAAGCAATAACACCTTCGCATACCCTCTTACCTCACTGCCACTTAAAACTCAAAGGAGAAACTTGTTATTGTCAGCTGGCATAACAATATGTCATGGCTCCATGCCTCCAGATATTTTCAGTTTTACCCTTAAACAAGATGCCTGATTCCAGGGTTCTGCACTCTGCAGTAGTGAACTCCAGAGTTACAGAGTCAGCAGTAATCAGCCTTAGAAGAAAGAATCTTGTGACACTTGCTGTTTTATTTACCACGAGGGTGTGCTCCTGGCATTCCGTAGCATTCCTCAGTGAGCAGTTCTGTGAGGTGTTTCCATCCCATCTCTATAATGGGAACACCTACATTTTTTATTTTAAGTTCCGGGTTACATGTGCAGGATGTGCAGGTTTATACCTGGGTGAATGGGGCACACCTCCACTATTGTGGAGAAGTTGTTTGTCACATCTCATGCACACCATGAGCCATAGAACTGTTCCTGCCTTTGCCCTGCATGGACTGCAAGAAGACCCGTGTGGTCCATTTCCTCACTGGCTCCATTTTCCCCTTCTGATCCACATTCTTCTTCTAAGGTACTCATTCATTTTTTAAAAAGTTGACTGTATAGTTATTATGTATATATTTGGTGGGTTATCTTAAACCCTTCTTTTAGAAAAGTGGGATATCAATTATTCAGAAACTAAAATTAAGAATTAAAAGGTTGTATTCAACAAGAATAAGAACCAGAGAACAGACATGCTCAGGAAGAAATTACCTTGCAAAAACAATAAGAACCAGAGAACAGACATGCTCAGGAAGCACTTACTTTGTTAACAACAACTGTTTTGGAAACTTTTTGGTTAATATTTGCACAAAAACCTGATATGCACAAAAAAAGCCTTTTGGGTTAATATGCACTTCATGTTTTCATATAACTGTAGTCTCCCAAGAGCACATGCCTCTTTATCATTTCTTCTCTTTGCTCAAAGTTCCAAACCTACTTGTATAATGAATAGGCAGGCCTGTTATTCGTTTCAGTTCAGCTATTTCATGTATTTTTTGAAAAGCATGCTGCCCATGGTAAAATCTCTCCCAATGTAAGGAGTACACTTTCTCTGTCATGAATATTGTTTTCAGCTTCTGCAATTTATTTTATTTCCCATGCCTACCACTTCTTAAATGTTCTCCCTTCAAACATTCTAAGAATTACAGGATTTGCTTGGAGTCTCTCCTTTCTAGTTTCTCATTTAGTGTTTTTCTTAAAGTATATGTTTCCCTACACTTGTTCATCTAATTACTTGCCTTGATTCAGCTTTTATATTGATAAAGGTTACTAAGAAAGCACACTTCTCTTGAGATATATTTCTTAATTGTGCTATTAAATTGCATCCCCTGGTTCCCTAATTGAAGGCAAAGTAGAAAACGCAGTTTCTCCTACTGACATATGGAAATGAGATTTTAATGATGTTCGTCAACGTTTCATTACCAGCCATTGAGCATCTCTTACTTTCAAAGTACCATTGGGTTCTATGGAGATATAGAAGACAAGAGGGTCATTCACTGTCCTCAGGAGCATTTTGCCACTAAAGAAAACTATGTGTACAGCCAAACCTAATAAAATTTCCATTTTTAAAATGCCATGCTAGAAGAAACAAAGTCCTCAGGAAGAGTGCAACAACAGATTCCTTACATAAGTGTTTGAAGAAGAAATTAACAAAGAAGGTGAAATTCTCAGCATTGGAGGATGTGAAAGTGCGAGGGACAGAGGATAGGGAAGGGATATTTATTTGAGGCTAGAGAAATAGACCACTTTAAATGGGCTCAATGACAGGATATCCTTTCCATCAGAATTCGGTTAAGTTATATTTAAATTTTTTAAAGGATGAAAGCATTTTTGAACTGGAATATCACTTTATCATCATCTTTACAAATAAGGTAACAGCCCAGAGGGGTAATTTTGAACTATTGACTTAGAGCAACAACACAAATACACTTGTATAAAACACTTTAGCATGCATTATTTGATGCAATCTTGACAATGGTGCTGTTCCCATTTTACTGTTGAGGAAACTGAAGTCCAGCAAAAGTCCAGATAACTGAATAAATTATAAGCTATCAAGGCTGCTCTGGAATGTATGCAACCCTAATGTGTTAACTTGTAGGTTATTCTGTCCACTATGGTGAAATTTGAATGAATCCATTTTCTGTGTTATGCCCTGTAAGTTAGAGAGGATATGCAGATGTACCAGAATGTGCAAGATTCAGCTTCTCTGCAGGTGGGTTATTTTCCCAAAGAGTGAAAGGAAAGAAGGTCCCCTTACTGGAGTCAGTGAGGGTTCCATCACCCAAGCAGCCAAGCTCTGGTTGTGGGCAGCCCCTCTCCTTTAGGCCCAAACCTCCAGAAGAAGGTGGCAGCCAAGGGTCCCCAGGCAGGTACCCATCAGAGGCTGCACAGCCTGTCTCTGGCCTCCTCATTGACAAGTGAGACTTACGGCTTGGAGAAACAATGCTGTTTCTGAGGCCAGTCAAGTCTGTAGGGCGTCTGAGGTGGGAGCAGGCAGGTGGAGTTGGAGGCTTTAGAGAAGACAGGCCTGGGTTCAGATCCTGATATTGGTACAGCCTAGCTGGCAGACCTTTATTTTGATTAACTTCAATCTTTTTATCTGTTAACTGGGGACAGTAATACATCCCTAAACAGATCTGGGTAGAAATAATCCTAAACCTAGAAGAAGCCCTGTTCTCTCCACTCTTCCATCTCTCAACCCTGACCCCAGCCTCAAGTTTCTTTTGCTGTGATATGTCTTCCTGGCTTTGCACTGTTTCAATCAGTTGAGACCAGAGGATGGGATAGTGAACCAAGTGTGTTTGAGTTCTCCTGTCAGAGAAATGCTGTCCCCTAATGAACATGAAGACATTGATAAGTATTTCCCTGTGACACATCCCTCAAGAGAGAGGCTAAACAGACCCTTGGAGATTATCAATGATCATGTGCATTTTGCTGTGTGAACCAGAGATGCTCCACATGCCAGGTTGTGGAAAAAAAAAAAAAGTTTAACGAGCCTCTGATATGTTCCAGGCACTGTTCTAGACATAGGGGATTCTGCAGTGAGCAAAAATCAAGCCTCTGCCGTCAGGGAACTTACATTCTATTGGAGGCACAGATGATAAGTACATATAAAATGCATCTGGCAGAGTGGCTGGAAGGATGAACAGCTGCCTAAGGAGAATAGCGTTAGGGCAGGTAAACTGTTTCGGAAGAGTTGTCCATCGGGTGACACTTGAGCAGAGGCCTTCAGGAAGGGAGGAGAGAGCCACCTTAATATCTGGGGAAAGAATTCTGGGGAGAGGAAACAGTAGTTGCCAAGGCCTGGAGGTGGGGCTGTGCTTTTTGGATTCAGCAAGAGCAAAGAAGTCCCATAAGGCATTGGAGCCTCTGGGAAAGGAAAGTGGGAGGGTAAAGGCAGGGAGGAAGAGAAGCTGTAGTAGAAGGCCTTGTGGGCATGAGAAGGATTTGGGATTTTATTTTGAATAACATGAGCAGTGTTTAAGCAGAAGCATGGCATGATTTCTTACACCTGTAAATAATTTCTCTAGTCATGGACAGAGAATAAGTTGCAACAAGGCAAAAAAAAAAAAAAAACAAGGTGGTGTTGAAGAGATCAGAGCTTCTGCTTAGCACATGTGAAGTTTGAGCTGTCTGTTAGAAATCTAACAGGAGGTGGTGACTCAGTCATTGGATAAGTAAGTCTAATGTTTACAAGACAGGTTAGGGCCTAAACTTGTGAGTCTTCAACATCTGGAAGCCACTGAAAGCTGTGTGTGTGGATGAGTTAACCAGGACTGTAGGAGCAAACACAGAAGAGGAGACAAGCACTGAGCCCAGGGCCTTCCCACGTTAGCCAGCTGGGAAAAGAGGAAGAGCCAGAGAAGGAGATTGGGAAAGAGCACCCAGGGAGTCAGGAGGAGAACTGAGAAAAGGGCCTTTCAGAGGCCAAGGAACACAAGTGTTGCAGAAGGAAGCCATGATCAACTGTGTGTGGCGCTGGCAAAAGGCGGAGAAATATGGAAATTGAGACTTGACTATTTGATTTGACAGAGTGGATGTTGTTGGTGATCTTGACAAAGAGGAACATTAGAGAAAATAGCATGATGGAAGTGGGTTCAAGAGAAAATGGGATAAAAGGAAGTTTAAGCAGCAGGGATTCTCAATTCTTTCAGTGACTTTTGCTGTACACTGTAAGGCAGTAGAGAAAGAGGGCAGAATCTAGAGGAAGTGGAAGATGCTTTTTAGGCAAGAAATCTATCTAGCTTGTGTGCACCTGCAGGTCATCTAGAGTAAAGGGAACGTGGACTGGAATCAGTGACAGGGCACTGGAGTCTCATGCCAAAAGGAGGGGTTGGCCTTAGGAGTGCAGAAGGTCCACCCATCATAACCTGAGGGGAGGCAGACTGCATACAGAGTACTTACGGGTGGGGAGAGCCTGGCAAGGAGAGTAGAGAGAGTGGTTCCTTCTGTTTTCTCAGTGAATGGGAAGCCAGGTTCCTTGGCAATGAGAGAGTAGAAAGCTGTCCCTTGGTATTGCTCATGACACCCCTGGTGCATAATAAATATAGGCAGCGCCAATATTCTACAAGGTCATGGACCATCATCCTGCTCAGTCACATCCCTGGTGCTGAGTGTGTTGCCTGGCACATAGGTGCTCTGTGATACCACAGAATCCAAAAGTAGTGCTTGTTGCCCTGGCCTAGGAATTTGTGATAGCCACAGGCAGGACCAGCTGCAAAACTGGTGGGCCCCTTGTTCAAAAATAAAGAATTTTAAGACAGCACAGCAGACTACTGAACCAAGTTGCAGGCCCAGCTGAACACAAAGCCCTGTGGGAGTGCACAGGCTGCACCTCCAGGAGACTGGCCCTAGCCACAGGTACTTGTTAAATCTGATCAAACCCCAGTGATGCAAGAATCACAGTCAGCAGACCCGTGGCAGTGGCCAGAGATAAAACTCCCTGCAGAGACAAATTTTGCTTATTTTCCTCTTTCAGATGTTTAAGACTGAGTGCAAGCAGCAGTCACCATCTTCACAGATTAGCAGAGATGGAGGTTTAATGATTCTTGTAAGAAAATGAACAGAAAGATGCATCAGAGATATTCAGAAACTTTTAGGAGCAAAATGTTCACTAGTGGTATCTCTTAAATGACGATACCACAAATCCCTGCTGTAGGAGGAGAAAGGTGCCGAATGGTGGGACAGAGGGAGCTTCAGCAGTGTTGGAGGTTGCAGCCCATTGTGAGTATGAGGTGGCATTAATGACCATTCAAGAAAAAAACATTCTCAGACAAAACAAAATAACATAAGAAAACCTCCCCATTCATTCCCAAAACTGCAAAGGTAAAGAGTAGTATGGGTAGATTAGATCCAGTGCAAAGGTAAGATGACCTGTTTTATAGCTACTTCAAATTGAGTTGTTTCAAAGATTGTTTTTAAAAAACTATTATATAGAGACCTTTTTAATGGAGTTTTTCACTGGGCATGGTGGCTCATGCCTATAATCCCAGCACTTCTGGTGGCCCAGGCAGGCAGATCGCTTGATCCCAGGAGTTTGAGACTAGCCTGGCAACGTGGCGGAACCACATCTGTATAAAAATTACAAAAAATTTAAAAATTAGCTGGGGATGGTGGTGCTCACTTATAGACTCAGCTACATGGGAGGCTAAGGTGGAAGGATCACCTAAGCCCAGGAGGTCAAGGCTGCAGTGAACTGTGATTATGCCACAGTATTGCAGCCTAGGTGACAGAGTGAGACCCTGTCTCCAAAGAAAAAAAAAGCAAAACAAAGTTTTCCAACATTGTTCTCCTTTTATCGGAAAAAAAGCAAGTCAGCTGAATGAATGTGTGCACATGTATACATTCCATGTTGTGAGCATTTGGTTTCAGTGGCATTCAGCCACATGAGAATTCAAGCGTGAAGTTTAGGCCACCACTGGAATTGCTTTAGACATTTTAAGAATAAAAGGAATTTTGGTATTCACTCTGCGGATATCTGACTGTAGAGGTTGAACCTTGGCCAGCCCTTCCCTCTGACTGCCTTACAGGAGAGGAGAATTCATTTTATGCAATGTTGTCTAGAGGATTAGAGGTGGGTTTGTTAGAAATATCTGTCATATTCAGCTATGGGAGGTCACTTTAAGTCAGAGAAAATCTAAGTGTTCATTGTAAAAGGCCTACATATCCTTTTTTCATTCACCTTTTCACCTGAATTTCCTGGTTTTCTTACATAGTAAACAGCATGGCTTGACAATGGTAGGGTCTTCGAATTTTTCTTTTCTCAGAAACTCAGCTTAGCTCATTTTCTGGTGTCACTGGTATGCTTGTCTGCTCAAGTAAGTTGAGTTTGTGTCCCCTAGATTCAGCTGACTACAAAGAGCCTGGTAAACAAGTACGCCCAGGGACCCAGACCTGGGACAGCAGACTTGGTGCCTGCACCTGGCCATTATGTTAGAGATGAAATCAAAAAATCACTCACAAGATGTATAGTTCTGGTGCGTGTATCAAACCAAGCGGAATTCATAGCCTGTCAAGCATTTCTGTGTGCTGCTATGACAGCAGAGTGGAATGGTTGCAACAGAGACCGTGTGGCCCAGAAAGCCTAAAATATTTACTGTATGACTCTTGACAGGAAAAATTTACCGAGCCTTGCTCTAGGGTATAGGAACTCTCCCCTCCACACACACACAAAAAAGGAGAATTAAATGTTTATAGTGTTGGTAAGTTAGTCTCCGTGCCCCATCATATACCTGTGACCTGTACCAACACCGTCCAATGGGTTAGTTTCAGTGCCTTTGACTTTCACAGTGCAGCTGGTGTAGAGAAGTTCTGGGTAATTTTGATTATATTTCTTTGTTTACCTTGTCCATCCCTGGAGTAAGGGTCAATCCCACTCACTTGCCTTAAAGTAATTCAACTCAGCTTCACCAGTGTTTTCCCCCATAGGAAAACTAATTTCAAAATCATAACCAAAAATATGCCCAATGGATGTATATGATTCTTTTGGCCAATGTCATCAAATTTGATGCATCTGCTTCCCTATGGGGAATGCCACGGAAGAACTATAATATCCTTGCCTTCTTGACTTAGATTTCAACCTCTCTACATTCTGTCTTCCTGATCTGGCCTTGGTATACCATCTATTAAGATGACTTTTGCATATACTTATGTTGGTTTTGAGAGTCTCAAAGTTCAGGGGTGCCTTAGTGTCAGTTGTTGTCTGACATCTACTTCGTGCTCATGTGTACAATGTGCTTTAAGGCTTGAGTCTTGAACATGATGGAATCTACATTTAGGGAAGTGATATGCTCTGTTATTTTTATCTGAGTCTCCCATAATGGCAAATAGAATATAATTATTGATTAGCCTGTCTCATGTTCACTAAATTCAGATAATCTTTCTAAGGATTTCATGAAAAGCTCTGCACTTTGTGTTGTAAGCTATATTGTCTTAGCAGACAGATTCAGGGTCTTGCCAGAGATCGTAGCTACCCTGGCCTCAGTCCAATGTCATTGTACATGTGGTGAGAGCTTCCTCTCGGCTAGGAGTTCAATTACCTACTTCTGTTTAGGGAGAGTAGTCTTTCACCTCACTTAGACTTCAATATGAGTGAGGAGGGCCTCCACCCTCCCAAAGCACGGAGAAAGGAGCCTGCAGGAATTGTGTATTCTACTTCCTTTGCAACCACTACTGGCATATGTAGTCCCTGGGGTGTAAAGCTAGATCAGAAATCCCCTACTACCCTTAGAATAAATGTGAACACTTATCTCTAAATCTTCAAGGAGCCAACCAGGCCTTCATGTCGTGCAGCAAGACTCCATAAAAATAAAATACCTCTGTGAAGGAAAGCATAATTTAAGGAAATATCAGGCTGGGAGAAGTATCAGTAGATATGAAAAAAGGGTTAAAACTATTTTGTATAAATCAATAAAGGAATATTTAAAAACTGGCAAAGGATTTGGACTGTTCACAGAGGGAATATAATTTTTAAGCAAATATATAAGCATCTTTAATATATGCAAATTAAAAATGATGCACTGTTCTGTGTATGATAAATAGCAATGACTTTAAAATGATGACAGCCAATGTATATATGGTTATGGTAAAAGAGACACAATTTAAATTGATACAGTCCTTTGAAAACTATTTGGCAATATGTATAAGAAAACAGCGTATTAAGGAAGGCCTGAGAAATAAAACCACATAGGTAATTTGGGCTAGATATAGTAGGCAATAAACCCTGATGGGTTTTGAGGGTTGGAGTTGCCTGAGATCTTTTATATAGATTAATATGAAGGTAACTAATCTACTTAAGAGAGAGAGAGACAAAGAACTAATCATTATGAGGCTTTGGTAAGTGTTGTACATCCACAGGTAATAGAATTTTAAAGCTAAATAATCTAGGCTGTCGTCAATTTGATAAACAGAGTGGGAACTGAGGAAAAAATGGAAGTAACTTCCCCAAGGCTCAAGGAGGAGTTACTAGCTCAGGGGAACTAAATGGACTCTTGCGAGTTCCAGTTCTTTGTTTTTCTTTTTAATATTGAAGAATTTATGGAAATCTGTGGTATTTACAGATGTAAAAATTTAATTATCTTATGTGGATTTTAATATTTTATGACTTAATATATAAACATTAACTTTTAAATGAGCTCTTAATGATAGCTATTTCTCATTTATAAATATTTTTGCTGTCTTGTAGAAATAATTAACCTTTATAGCTTTAATAAATACTAGACTGAAGAAACATTTTTCTAATCATCAATTTTTTAATGTTTGCCTTGCACTCTAGACACTTACCATGCTCTCAGTGTGCAAACATGAATACCACTGTGTTCTGTTTTCCCAGAGTGGGAATGATGGACATGTGCTCAAAATAATTTCATCAAATTATTTATTATCCACCACAAATGCAAATAATTGCAAAAATGTTATAATCCTATAATAGAGATAAGAGTACATAATTACAAAGAAGGGACCAGAAGTTAGAGAATTCACAAAGATTCTTGAGTTTGATCTTCAGAGGCTAATAGGAATTTCTCAGACAGCGGAGAGGGTAAGGAGTTGAGAAAAGGAGACAAGGGCCAGGTGCATTGGCTCATGCCTGTAATCCTAGTGCTTTGGGAGGCTGAGGCAGGAGGACTCTTTGAGGCCAGGAATTCAAGACCAGCTTGGGCAACATAGCAAGACCCCCATCTCTACAAAAGATTTTTTAAAAAAATTAGCCTGGTGTCACGTCATGTGCCTGTAGTCCTAGCTGCTTGAGAGCTTGAGAGATATATATTGCAGGTCCCTTGAACCAAGGAATTTGAGGCTGCAGTGAGCTATGGTTGTACCACTACACTTCATCCTCAGTGACAGAGAAAGGTCCTGTCTCTAAAAACTAAAAAAAAAAAAAAAAAAAAAAAAAAAAAAAAATGTGTGAAGCCATGAAATAGCATGGCACTTTCAGAGAAATGAGATAATTAAGTTTGTCTATCTGAAGTAGACTATGAAGAGAGGGTAGTTAGAGATAAGGTTGTTGAAGGATGACTCGGTGACAACACTTTTTTCAGTTAGCTAACATCGTAGAGTGCTAACGACATGTGCAGCTCCAAGTACCTTTACATGTATGTTAGTTTTATTTTACCCCATTTATTCCCGTTTTACAAATGAAAAAACTGAGTCATGTAAAGGCTAAATAACGAGCAAGCAATACTACTAGTAAGTAGTACAGTCAAGAGTCAAAATGTGGCAGTTGAATACATAGCTCAGTGCCTTAAAATCTAGACTGTCGTTCCTGTTTCACACTATAAGGCTGAAGCAGAAGGGTCTTACCACTCTCTGTGATGGCAGTGCAGAAAATAGGTGGAAGACGAGCCTATCGATCCTGGAAATAGCCTGTTGCAAGAATTAAGGCAAGATATAATGAGAGCCTCAACTTAGAGCAAAAGTTTTTAGGAGTAAAAACCACAGAACTTAGTCTTAATTTGATGGAGACACTAAGGAGTTTCTGGATTGAAAAAGTGGATAGTTACTGGTACCATTAATTCAACTTGTTGATAGGGAGGATTCCTTTTGGTACAAGTTTAATTATGGTGTCCATGGAATACTTGGGTAGAGAGGTCTAGAAATAGTGGGATACTCAGGTCAGGAGATCAAAAGGTAAAGCTTTAGAATTTATCAGCTTGGAGGGCATCAATTAAATTCCTCCTACAAATATTACCAAGCACTAAGAGCCTACAGTGGGATAAGAGGGCCATGGAAGAAACTCCAGTGCACTGCTGCTCAAAATATAGTCCATCAACTGGCTGCCTGTCCACTAACTGTTTATTATTAGTGCAAGATAACAAAGGATTTGCTTCAGAATGTAATCGACCATGTTACTAAGTAATCAATGACGTTACATAGTGTTTTCTTCAGCTGACTATATTTTTAATATTAGCAAGACTTTTAGATGAAGGAAACATTGTGTTGATTCATATCCTGATGCAAAATCTGTATCTTGTCCCAGATCAGCACTTTGAATAACAGGGATGTAGAGAACACCAATATTCACACTTTGGTCAGAGCAGAAGTTCTCCAAAGAGACTGATAAGGGATAGTGTAAAGCAGAAGTAAGGGAAGTCAAGATATTCTGAATTGGACATGATTTAAAGGAGCAAGTGGTCAGCACAGCTGCAGAGGGGTCAAATAATATTGAAGACTAAGACAATAATTATTGGATTTGGCCATTAGAGGGTCATCAGTAACAGTTTAGGAGTTTTACCCCCTGTTGTTTCACTCTTCTGCCTCCTTGAATCTGTATTATTGCCATGTAGACCAAATGCCTCTTGACTCTAATCTAAAGTACTCAGATTCAGTCTTTATTTTACCTGTTTCTTGGGTGATCTGAAGTTATTGATCACTCTCTCCTTCCTGACATACTTTTTCATCTGCCATACATTGACTTTGGTTTTCCTCTTCAAACCTCACCTGTCTTTCTGTGCCCAACCCTTGTACACACACTGCATTTCTTTAACAACACTCATTTCCTTAATTACATATGGTGTCAGTTTCCAATCCTAAACCCAGCCCATATTTCTTTATGGAGCTTCAGAGTAGTCTAGCAGCCTACTGGACATCTCTACTTGGATGCCCACAGCCCCTTCAAATTCAATATGTCCAAAGCGGAACTGAATTCTCACCTATACTCTTCCCTGTAATGCCTTCTTCCTCCTAAGTCCCGTACCTTGTATTACAATCTTCACCCAGTTGTGAAACCACTGACATGGGCATGATTTTTTACTGCATCTTTCTTCCTTATCCACTTAGTTATTGATTTTACCTCCTAATGACACTTCAGATCTCCTTATGCCCGGCACCTGCATCACCATCCCTCACCTGGATCACTGAATTATCCTCCTGGCCGGTCTCCCATTCTCAGTCTCCTCTCCAGCACCCTGCCACGTGGAGTGTGAGCCCCCACTCCGTTGTTGAATTCTTTACCTGCCACTCCAGCCTCATCTCTGTGTTCTTTTTCTGTAGACTCAGGTCAGATTGGATTTTTATTTTCATTTCTTAAATGTGACATGCGCTCTCGCACGCGCTTGCGCTTGTTCACTCGCTTGCTCTCGTTCACTCGCTCTCATTCTCTCTCTCTCGCTCGCTCACTCTCTCTCTCTCGCTCGCTCACTCTCTCTCTCTCTCCCACTTTACCTTCACACATACTTATGCCCCTGTCTGGAACACAGTCATATTCCCTCTTCACTGGTGCATTTGTCCTCTGTCTTCAGGAAGCTTCTGTAAGCCTGCAAATCTGAGTTATGTGGACTTCCTCTGTGTTCTCCTAGCATTCTGCCTTTCCTGTGTTGTGACCTTTCCACATTACTTTGTAATTTCTCATTTTTGTCCACAAGTCAATGCCTTCCTCTGAATTGTAAGCTCCGAGAAGGCAGGAACCATGTCTGTTTGCTACATCATTATATTTCATGCTCCTGGTACAGTGCCTGCATGGTGTGAACGTGACATCCACTCCAAGTTTGTTAAAATCAATGAATGCCCTCCAAAGTATTTTCACATCCAGTATCTCAGTGGGGGTAAACTTGAACAATTTGGAGAGGGTTTTAGTGAAACATGAGCTGTCAGTGGATTAGAAGATTAAATGATTTGAATATTTGAGTTGTTTTGCACTAGGAGGAGGAAGGAGAAGTTAGAGTCTGGAAAGCTGGTTAAGAGAATAGAAGCATTTAATTCCACCTCATAGAAAAGGAAGGGATTTTGAAAAATAACTAGCTTGCATCACTTTTATTTTCATCTTCCTCCAGAAGTGGAGGCCTGCAAGGTACGGGTGTGGGTGTATTTTAATATTTAAAGGTGTCAGGTTGTCTATCTTTTAGGGGTTTTTTTCCCTTTACCTGGAAAAACTTTAGATAACATGATTTAAAACTTTCACTTTCTACTTTGCAGAATGAATTTATTTTCTTTTGGAAAGAGGCTTACAAAAGTAACTCACTTCATTATAGCTAGTCTGTTTCCAAAAAAAGTGATAATAATAAAGACAGAATATATTTTAAAAGATTGAGTTTTTAAAGTGGGGATAAACATTAGGAAATAAAGGAATGAGCCATCAATAGGAGGAAATCTAGGCTAACAAAATCTAGGAAAGATAAACGACTTTTACGACAAAATTATACTGTCGGTAAGTCAAGGAAAAAGTTGTAACATGCTAACTTACATTGCTCGATGTCTTTTAGCTTCTCTTCAAATACTTACTTCCAAAAGCCAGAGAGCTCCCAATTCAAGAGAGACTTTGTAGTAAAGTACTTGAAGTGCAGGTTGAATTAGATGGTGACTGTACTGGTTGTAAAATGAATGCTTGGTATCGAAACATATTAGAGATTGATGTGTGTTTTGTCTCAGATGGTGAATATCTGGTTCTGCATGGAGACGTACATTGCAGAATATTTTTTAAAAAGGAAGGCCAAGACTTTTTCCTCAAAGAACAGCTTTGAATCCACTTGACTACTTAAAATTCTACTCATTTGGAGCTGCTGATTCTCTTTAAAACATGGAAGAGAGATGCTCAGTTTGGAACATCTTAAGGAGAGGATGCCCTAGTTATCTGCCTCTGTAATAAAAGACTATTAATGTAGATTTAGAGAATGATTAACTGACAAGCCAGCATTATGTTGTAATGGTTCTGTGAGATGAGTCAGCTTAAAAATGCATCCCAAATAAACTAACCCATGGGGTGGAGTTGATTTGGACTTTCTTATTGTCATTAATAAGCTTACAGGTCATGATGGTGGTTTCTGGGTGTGAGAATCACATGACCAGTTTAGATGAGGAAGTTTGCCATCTTGTTATAGAAGAAGTCTCTTGCTTGTTTTCTATAAGTAATAGGAATCTATTTAGGTTTTAAGGTTAAATAAGAGGTATAGAGCTGTCTCCTGTGATTTAGAAACAGAAATTTATTCTGTCAAAGCCTTTCCTATCTACTCTGACTCAAGGCTTTGGAGAAGCACTTAAGCGTGGAGGTAATTCTGAGACCATGCAGTTTGACACGTGGATGGCCTTATTGGTATAGTTGAGGCTGATAGTGTGTTAATAAAGGCTACCAAGCCTTCAGTTGTTCTCTTCAAACAGTGGTTTTCTGTTTAGTGAAATAGACCAACCTTAACAACATCGTAGGGAAAATAATCATTCCTCATCTTAGATGGAGAGATTCCAAACTAAATCTGGTACAGAAATCTGGAAAAGAGTTTGTGGGGTGAGCCAGCTTTTTGGACGTCTGGAATTTGGGAGAAGAGGAGATATTCTGATGTATGTATTGGATAGACTAAAAAGTACAAAATTGGTGTGAGTAAATGGCTTTTTGTTCAGTCTGAACACAAGATAAGCATCTTCCCTCGCTCCACAATCACTGCCCGACTCTTCCTTTGAGCCTTTTGGGGGTTGTTCTTTATTTTGTGGTTTCTATGTAATTATTTTAGTGGCTTCTCTGAGTTACCCAGATGAGTAATTTTAATGTGCTGCCTGGTTTTGGATGTTTGGTTCAAAGGGACTAGGACCGAGGAAGAGCCGGTGATGGACAGTGTGTGGAGTACGGGTATTGTCCATGTATCTGCCTCTTTATCTTGTCACCCGCTTGTTCTCACATAAAATGAGGGAGAAAATGGGGAATGTAAAATTTTCAAAGAAAAATCTACCTGATGACTCAGTTTTCCCTGCCCCAGAGAGCTGGTTTTTTCTTTTCACCTCTTTGCATGCACCAGAACCTTTTTGTAGCTGAGAGAGCCACAGCTGAGGCAAATGTGTGAGCCTCTCAGTATGGCCAGGTGCTGTGACTGGAATGAATGAGAGAAGCGGGGAAAGGCATGGGGAGCGTTCTCTAATCACAGAGAACCACATGGAAGATGCAGGCAACCTTGTACAACCTGTTGCCTCTCACCTTCAATTAAATTTTAATTGTTCCTCATCACACTTTCTTTCAAAACAAATCTTGTAATCAGATATCTTATAAATTATTTACCAGCGCAAGTAAAAGACGATGTAGGATTTCAGCAGAATGAAATGTGCTTTACTATTGAAACTCCCCTTGTGAATTAAAACAAGGCTAATCTTGGCACCATGGTGATGGAAATAAAAGATGAAAGTCCTTCCTATATTCCTGCAGAGTACAGCACAATCCACAGCCCATCAACACCCATTAAAGATTCAGATTCTGATCGATTGCGTCGAGGTTCAGATGGGAAATCACGTGGACGGGGCCGAAGAAACAATAATCCTTCACCTCCCCCAGATTCTGATCTTGAGGTACGTCATAGCCAACACCCAAGTGAATAGAAAGGTGTCTTAATAGCTAACTGGTGGTTTTACATACCTGCTACGTAAACAGCAGTGGTTAAGGTATCAGATGCTTTTGTTACTGCTTTCTTTTTTATATTAACAATAGATAAAGTAATATTTTCTCTCCTTTATTAACTATAGGTTAAGCAATAATTTGTTTTTTCTTCCCTATGAACTATATGGCAAAGGGTCTGTTTCTCTCTAAAGAAATATAGTAAATTATGCAATTCTACTTGAACAAAATTCTGTTATGCTGATCTGTATCATTGCCATTTTAATTAAGTGTCATACTAAAAATACTTGGTAAAATCCACTTGTTAAAAGGCACAAAAAAAATAGAATGAGTGAGACCTACTATTTGATAGCACAACAGGGTGACTATAGCCAATAATAACTTAATTGTACATTTTCAAATAACTAAAAGAGCGTACCTGGATTGTTTTTAACACAAAGGACAAATGCTTGAAGGGATAGAGACCCCATTCTCCATGATGTGCTTATTTCGCATTGCATGCCTATATCAAAACATCTCATGTACCCCATAATTATATACACCTAGTATCCACAAAAATTAAAAATACAAAAAATAAATAAAATCCACTTTTTGTTGTTTTGAAGATGGAGTCTTGCTTTGTCACCCAGCGTAGAGTGCAATGGCGTGATCTCGGCTCACTGCAACCTCTGCCTCCCGGTTCAAGCGATTCTTCTGCCCCAGCCTCCCGAGTAGCTGGGACTACAGGCACCAAGCCCGGCTAATTTTTGTATTTTTAGTAGAGACGTCATTTCACCATGTTGGCCAGGATGGTCTCCATCTCCTGACCTCATGGTCCACCCACCTCGGCCTCCCAAAGTGCTGGATTACAGGCACGAGCCACCACGCCCAGCCATAAAATCTACTTTGAAATGAAAGACACACTTATATATATTGAGAAAGGAAAACCTGGAATGTTCTAAACTGAAATAGTAATCATCTAATGAGACATATTTTGGGGGAGTTCAAAAGCAGGAAGGATTAAGTAAGAACTTAAAGAGTGGTAGATTTCATAGCCTTGAATCCACTGCAACTAAGTTTCTGCTTTTTGCCAGAGTGAAATCTGATGGTTGGAAAACATGATTATTTTGGCTGAAAAAATGAAACTTTTAGCAGAATCTATGTATATGAATATGTACTGGTGTGAGTGGGAATAGGAAGAAGTAAAACAGGCTTGATAGGCTTTTTGTGGTATCCCAAAGACCTTTTTGAAATGAATTCCTTCAGTTCCCATTTTAAATACTTCAAGAGTATGTCTAAGAGCATGAGTGATGTGTATGCTTATTTTGTTAAATATCTATACCCTAAAGACTTAAAAAACCTGGCAAGAACAATGTGTATCCCATCCCTTTGATAACAGCTCAATAGGTAACATAAGGTGAATTTATTATGTAAGGTTTTAGTCTTTGGATGCAATTTTAATACTTGGCTTCCTAAGAGTAAAACATAAGATTCATTATTTTAGTGCTTCTCAATGAACAGAGATCAGAGGTAAGGAAAAGATAAATGATATATGATTAGTTGCTCATCTCTATCTCAAGTTATAACCAGACTAGCTATAACTCATTTTTTTCATTTATTCAGAGCTGAGACCGAAATTCTATTACAGAATTAGAAAGGACATAGATTATCTCTTTCCTATATTTATATTGACATTACAAATGTAATTATCCTCTTGCACCTCATCCAAAGTTATATCTGGAGAAAAGTTAGGAGATACTCTTTGAAACAGTTGTGTTTTTTTTGAAATAATAAATTCAGATTTTTCATTCATCTTCCGTTTCAAGATGACTTTTTCGTGTTGAAGTTAACTGAATAACAGCTTTCTCAGCCAAGGCAAAGACACATTGATTTGGTTCTTCCTTTGTAGAGAGTGTTCATCTGGGACTTGGATGAGACAATCATTGTTTTCCACTCCTTGCTTACTGGGTCCTACGCCAACAGATATGGGAGGGTGAGTACCAAGAGGCATCAGTTTTTAATTTCTTTGGAGTAAATATACCTCTAATTTGTTTATTATCCAAATGAATGTAATTTAACTTTAACAAATTTAAAATATAAATGGAGAAGAACTATATAGTCAAATATATATATGTAAGGTAAAAAATATGTAAAAGAGCCAAAGAAGATATTATTTTTAGGTCTTTGGCAATAAGATACACTTTGTTCAATTAAAGTCATGCTTATTCAGACCCCAGTGAATAAAAGTGATTGAATTTTATCCTAGGATGAAATATTAAAATACATAAGTGACATAGAAAGATGTTTCGTGTTCTCTTTTACTTTTCCTGTCTTTTTATTCCCTAACATTTAATGGAGCAAATATTTCACTTTCTGTTGTTCTCAGTGATTAGAAGCTTTGGTATTTTATCTTCAAAACAACTGCTACAAATGTCTCTATATGTCCCTTTGCTACTTGGGTTAAATGTATTTGAATGGTATGTAAGATTGATCCTCTGAAAGGCAGTGGGACCATGTTAGAGTTGTACAGTACTTATATTGGTATTATAGATAAAGAATAATATTATAGACCACCTTCTGTGAGTGAAACTTTGGTTTCCATGTTGTACATTTGGGTATCCCAAAAGTTTGGAATTTCTTTTTTGGCATATTGATGATTTCATAAGTCTTTCCCAGGCAAAAATGTTATTTAAAGTAGCTATAGGTAATTTCTCAAGTTATCCTGCTAATATTTCATTTCTCTTGTTTTCATCTGTAAAGAAATAATAAGTCTTAGGTTTTTTTAAGTTATTTGGAGCATTAGAGACTGAATTCTTATTATGTCCCAGTGACTTCAGCAGTTTATCATAATTAAGTGTTAGAATTAATACCATTAAAATGCACATACTGTTATTACAAATTTGACCGGGTGGTTGTTCTTTCAACAAATATTTATTTTAACAAATACACACTGAGTATCTGCTATGGATATGCAGTCTGGGGGATTTAGCTTCACAGCCCAGATTTCCTTTTCATCATCTCAAAGGTACACCTAATCAAAAATAGGCTGAAGCAATAATATCCCACCATTTTAATTCCTGTTCCGAGATAATATATCGGTAAAACACAGTATGTCTCATCTTATTGTTAGGCAAATTCTCTATAAGAAGACAACAAAAATGCAGATTATAAAATATAAGGCCATAGAATCAATCAGCCAAATGGTCTCTACTGCGTGATTAGCACATAGTAGGAATTCAAGAAACATTAGCTGTGCTTTTTCTTGTATTATTTCTTCTGTCAATACTATCACTGTTCCTATTTCTAGAAAAACTACTACTTAAAAACTAAAGACTAATATCTGAAATATCAACATGTAGTTAGTAGGCAGAACCTTGAAGATCTCCTTAACTGATCCATTATAAAATCCCTACACCTGTCTTCTAAGGAGACCACTGGTGCCTGTAACTCACACAAGAGTGTTGAAAAGAGTAGGCACTTAGAAAATGAGCATTTGAAAACCACCCAGAAAGTCTCCTATAAGCTCTCGCTAAGGGCCAAATTGACGCAAAAGAGAGTTATCTAAGAGTATTCTATTAGCCAATGAAAGAGACCAGCTTAGAGTTAAGGAGTTAGGCATCCCATGACCTACTGAACTTTCAATCTTTGGCCATAAATTATTGGCTTACACATGGAACTTACACTTAACCTAGAAATGCCTGGCTTCATACAATTTTTCATTCATGTCTAAACCATTCTCTAAATAATGTATTACAAATACCATGAGTTTAATTTTTTAATGTGTCAATCATTAGAACTTTGAGGCTTCTTCAAGTAGTAATATATTTGTTTGTTTGTTTAGTTTAGTTTTCTCATTCCAGGTCATGTGATAAAAAGTTTTATCTCGGCCGGGCGCGGTGGCTCATGCCTGTAATCCCAGCACTTTGGGAGGCCAAGGCGGGTGGATCACGAGGTCAGGAGATCGAGACCATCCTGGCTAACACAGTGAAACCCCGTCTCTACTAAAAATACAAAAAATTAGCCAGGCGTGGTGGCAGGTGCCTGTAGTCCCAGCTACTCAGGAAGCTGAGGCAGGAGAACGGCGTGAACCTGGGAGGCGGAGCTTGCAGTGAGCAGAGATCGCGCCACTGTGCTCCAGCCTGGGCAACAGAGCAAGACTCCATCTCAAAAAAAACAAAAGTTTTATCTCATATAATTTCCAAAAGCCAAATTTATATACTCTCTGAAGTACAGGCTATTTGAGTTTCTTAAATATAAGTGTATCCTTCATTGATAAGTTTATGGGGCTGTGGAAGAACTTCAGAAAGCCAGGTTTCTGAGGAAGATCTTCCTGCATGTGACTTTGGGTCTGAGGCCTGGAGTTACTGTATGGTCATCAGGAGAAAGGGTGTTGTAAGCAGAAGAAACAGTAAGTGCAGAGGCAAGAAAGGCTTTGCTGTTTGATGGACAGAGGCCAGTGAGACCAAGCTTAGTGATGGAGATGGAGAGTCAATGAGATGTGGTCAGGGATGAAGGCAGGTTCCAAAGGGCCTCCCAGCCACACACAGTCAACAGGGCTAATCTCACTGCATGTGCCATGGGAAGTCATCGGGGGACCACAATGGAGGAGATGAGAAGATCTGATTTACATTTTACTTTAGCTAAGTGTGAAGAATGAATGGTAGTGGAAGAAAAATGGGGGTCCAAATTGGAGGTTGTAGCAGTGATCTGAGGCACCAGCAGTAGAGATGGAAAGAATTATTTGGACTCTGGATTACATTGCAGGTAGAGAACTGGATTTAGAAATGATTTGAATTGATTGGAGTGGTGGGTAGTAAACAAGACAGAGAAGTGAAAGATGATTCCTGTGTTGTCCTGGGCAACTGAGAAAATAGTCGTATATTTGTTGAAATAGTAAAGAATTCAATTTGGAGGGAAGGGAGAGTTCAGTGTTGGACAAGTTTCAGATGCTTATTAGACAACTGCTTGGACCAGGCAAGGAAACCACTGGAAGGTGAGCCCAGGGCACTGGGGGGACTAGTCAGTACAGGAGATGGCAGATTCACAGTCAACATTGCACAGATTAGGGTTAGAGGCTCCTTGGAGTCTCTTAGCTTGATTTCTTCCTAAACATTTTTTGAGCACCTTCCTTGTACTGAACACTTGCGGTCAGCCTGTTGTCTCATTGCCTGGAGGTGTCTTTTCCTGGCCAGGTGACTTTTGAAGATGCATGGTTTAGGATGTTGAATTGTAGCTGGAAGCATGCAAGGAAGTCTACTTAATGATTTCCTCATTAGAAATCATTACAGTTGATAAGAATTGGCTCTCAAATCTGATCATCAAGCTTTGTAAAAATGTGATTCAACAAGGATTCTTCCAAACAATAATAATAAGCAAGCTGATCAGAGTGTCTTGCAGTCCTTTTGTTTCCCCCAGGGCACTGAGGAGAAAAGTCTTAAAGGAGTTCAGTGACAAGACTTCTTTTTAGGAGCACAGATTTGGTGGTGTTCCTGGGCATTGTCAAGGGGAGCATGTGGCTGAGCCTTACTCTACATGTATATAAAGAATGAATGCCTGACAATGTGATCGCTGTTCTGTCTCTAAGGGAACCAGATACTTGAGAAGTAGCTTAGTCACAGTGGCTTAGGCAACTCAATGAGTAGGCCATTCAGTAAGAGGACACAGGATCTGGTTGATACAATGCAAAATTAGGGCATGTTACAGCAATGTGTACCAAAAAAAAGTTTGAGAATGTCCCACCTTCCGTGTAATCCTAGCTGTGGGAAGAAGGCACGTTGGGTGTTATAAGAAAGTCTTGTTTTATAACAAAGGTGATAGGGACAAAAGAGGGTGCTGGGCACAGTCAGCCATGGCTGAGGAAAACAAGTAAGATGTTAGGAAATTGAAGAGCTTGTGAGTGCTACGTAAACTAGGATGTTTTAAATAGTATCTGACCTAGCTGTTTTTGTTTAATGCATTTTTAAAAGTTGCTTTAAAACTAATAACAAATTCCAGAATGTCATTGAAGAAAACTATTCTTGGGTTATTTTTCATTGAATGGTCTCCTTATAATAAACAATGTAATTCAATTATTGTTATCAAAGTGCACACCCAAAACTTGTATTTCAAATCAAAATTGTGCTGATGTCTCAGGCATGGTCCCCCTCCTGTGGGAGGATTACCCAAGATATCTACACTCAACGCCTTGATTGTTTCAACACTATCTTTTTATTGTTTAATGTCTGTGTCTCACAGTGATTTGGGCTAGAATGGATCTTAAAAATATGGATATTCATTTTTCATTTTCAACAAAAAACAAAACATGAACACTTAAGATAGTGTAAAGCTTAGTATGTTTAATCATAGGCCCTATTAAGAACTTTCTATATGCCCAGCATTCATTTAATTCAACATTAATGCTCCAAAGGTGCTGTTATCAAGCCTATTTTATAGATGAGAAAATTGAAACGGGAGAGGTTAGAGACCCAATGTAATAAATACTCAGCACCATGTCTAGCATAAAAAAAAATTTCAACAAATACCAGTTATATTTGAAAGTAGGTGAAGCTTCACTATCAAAAAAAAACAAAACAAAAACAAAAACTTGAATTCCTGCATAGTGGCCAGTGAGTAACATGGTGGCAGTGTCCTCAAATTTATGAATTACAAGTATACGCTATGCCTTAGAGTGTGATAGAAAGAGGATCGGATTTGAATTCAAGTAGATCTAGACTCAAATCCAAGCTCTGACTTTTCACCTCTTTGACCTTAGGCAAATTATTTATTCTTACTGAGCCTCAATTTTCTTATCCATAAAGCCAGCTACGTGACTTGCGGAATTGTTTTAAAAATTAAATTGTATCATGAATTTGGCCCAGCATGGTGGTTTATGCGTGTAATCCCAGCACTTTGGGAGGCTGAGGCGGGTAGATCACTTGAGCTCAGGAGTTCAAGACAAGCCTGGGTAACATGGCAAGAGTCCATCGCTACAAAAAAAAAATACAAAAATTAGCTGGGTGTGGTGGCACATGCGTGTAGTCCTAGCTGCTTGGGAGGGCTGAGGTAGGAGGATCGCTTGAGCCTGGGAGGTCAAGGCTGCAGTGAACTATGATTGCACTACTGCATTCCAGCCTGGGTGACAGAGTAAGATCCTGTCTCAAAAAAAAAAAAAAAATTGAATTGCTCACGAATGTAAAAGTCCATGCACAGAGTCTTATTAATGGCAACAACCGATAGTAAGAAAGGAAAGCATGTGTCACCTATTGAACTTGTAGTTGCTCTCTAGAGTATTTGTTTTATAACTCACTAGGCTTCTAAGAGGATCTCACTTGTCATAGTGAGTTTAGATAAACAGCCTCCCTTGTGGGTGTGTTTCTGTGATCATTCAGTACCTTGAGGAAAGAAAAACTGAAAGCAGTTTATATCGCCCATTTCATCAGAACAGCTCAGTTCGCCAGTAGAGATTGTTGTTCCTACTCTGCTTTAGGGGACAACACAACTCCAAGCTCTTTTGGTGGAGGATTTTCTTCCATGGTGGTTGATGAAGAAGCTAAACTCTTAGCATGGCACCAGAGCAGTAGGACACCAGTGTCCTCACTGGGTTGCAGGAGATCTGGTTACTTAACCAGGATGATCTCCCTTTTGGAACCTCCAGTCCAAGGGTTGGCAAACATTTTCTGTAAAGCAACAGATAGTAAATATTTCAGGCTTTGCGGGCCATATGCTTGCCATAACTACACAGTTCTGCCTTAGTAGTGCAAAAGCAACCAATGAATAAATGTGGCTGTGTTCCAATGAAACTTGATTGAATGCTCCCAAATTTGAATTTTATATAATGTTCATGTCTTATGAAATATTTTTCTTTTGGTTTTAAAAACTCTAGACCGAGGATTGACAGACCATACCCCATAGGTCAAATCTGGTTTATGGTCTGCTTCTGTCAGGCCTTTAAGAATGTTGTTTAAGTTTTTAAAGTGTAATTTAAAAAAATAAAAGCACAAGGAAGAATGTGTGTCAGAGATGATATGGCCTGCAAAGATAGAAATACTCCCTGTCCCTTTAGAGAGAAAGGCTGTCTGCCTGCCTCTGCTGTAGGTGATGCTCTGAGCTTTGCACTGGTTCATTTTCCTCCTGCCTTCCGGGACAATTCAATGACAGCAACAATGTGACTAGACCGTGAACTCAATGCAGGCAGTGCATACATGCGCCTGGGGCCCCAAGGAAACACAGACCCTCACGTGAATTCATTAGGGTAGGTGAAATGGCTGTTACAAACAGATCTAAAATATAATGGCACAAACAAAAGAAATCTGTCTCTTGTTTAGTTGTCTAGAGTGGGGATGTTCCAGGTTGCTTGGTTTGGGCATGGTTTGGTGGTACAAATAATAGTAGTGCCATTTTCATCATGCAGCTTTTGAAGCTTCTGGGATCATTAGCATTCAATCCCCAGGGGAGGGGGTGGAGGCAGGGGCAGTGTGAATGGGAGGCTTTGTAAGCTAGGCTGAGACAGGCACACACCTCTGCCTGTGCCATTGACCTCAGTCAAATGACCCAGTGCAGGGGAGGCTGGGCGATTCAGCCTTCCTGTGTGCCCAGGAAGAAACAGAGAATGGGTTTTAGTGAACAGGTAGCACTCACAGCCCAGTTCTCAACTATTTGACCAACGAATGAAACCCAAAGCACACTTTCAACCCACCTTGCAGCTCTAGCCACACTGACAGAGCCAAGCCCCAGGCTATGTGAGTGGTGGCTCTGGAGTGATGATGGCCAATCTAATCCCAAAGGACAGAGCCCTGATTTTATTTTCTTCCTTGTATATCAATGCCAAATTAGATAAAAAGGATGAAATAATATATGTGTCTATATATGAAACCTCTTTATGCTGTAGAGTGACATAGAATCTAAACTCTCAAAACAAACAGAAGCACATTTTTTCAAATGCCAGCCAAACAGGCATGCTTCATCTCTCTTCTGGCCATATCTTGAAGGTTTCTCTCTTTTCCTTTAACAGGCAGCCCCTCTGCCTCACTACCAGTAGTATACAGCGGAAATGTACATTCTTGCTGTTTAATGGAACACAGCCTTACTGTTCTTGTTCATGAATATAAAAGGGAATGCAGTGAATGAACAGGAATCATCACAGCTCCTTAACCACTGCACTGGCCTGCCACCTGCAACTTTGGACCTCCCTTGCTCTGTGGCCTTGGAAAAAGCAGCCTATAAAATGGGAGCAATTACAGGGCTGTTAGGGGAACAATGTGAACCACCTAGAAAAATACTCATAAGTACTTCATGAACAAGAGCTATTATTTATTGCTTACTTTGGGGGTTCAGAGGAGGAAGCAGGAAACCATGCAGACTTTGTTATTCCAGGCAGCAAAGAGGGAGTGGGAAACAGAGAATTACAAGTGGCAGAAATCATAAGCAAAAAGGGTAAATAGTGATAAAGTATATTTAGGGGATTAGACTTGAAGAAGAATAGTAGCAGAAAATGTGTTGGATCAGTAATAAAAAGACTGCATCTTTGTTCAACTTTTATGGTTTACACTGCTATCTCACACTTATTATCCAATGAACTCCTTCTTTTTGCCAATAAGAAAAGTGTAGCTCAGAAAAATTAAATTATCTGTCCAAAAGGCAGATCCATCAACTGGCAACACCAGTCTTGTAATTGACCCAGGCTTAGAGAGAGCATTGAGTGCCAGGATTTCGTTCTGTGGGCATGGGAATGCCATGAATTAGGGACATGATGGAAGAACATGATGGCAATGGAGGGACATGCTGGAAGTGTACATTTGGAAGACCGATTTAATAGCAAGGAAAACTATTGTGCAGTCCTCTGGTAGAAAATAATAAAGGCCTAAAAAGTGGCTGGAACACTCTGTAGGAAGGAGGGAGGTAGGAGAGTCATTACAAATGAAATCCTGATAGGTCTTTCGACTGGATTTAGCTGTTTAGCCTTTCCCTTAGCACCCCATGGGCCCCTTGGTGTTGAAGCCAATTTGGCCAGGTCCATGCTGGCTTTATTCTTCTTCCTCCCTCTTTGTACCACTTCTTGGCAGTTGGCCCATGTTTGAGATTCACTGGGTTTTCTCCACAGTCAAAATTAGTCTTTGGAATGTTGAAGTTCTTTCTCTTATTCTCTACTTGAGTATTATTTTCATGGTGTTGAAAGGGAGTCTCTTAAGTAAGGAGAAAATTAACACAATCGAGTGTCACGTATCTAATCAGTAAAAATGACCTGATTAGCCCCACCACAAGTTTGAGGGTTTTGGGGGTGTTTTTCCAGATCATTCAGGCAGTAGTTTAACCATGGTTTATTTTTTATGTGTATACAGTCTCTCTTGGTAATCTGTATTATTTCTTAATTGGCAAGAGAATCACATCCAACTCCCAAAATCTGATATTTCATATCTAAGTAGCCCAGTGATAGGGCCTTAAACCTTGAAAAAAGTTAATATTTTATTGATGATATTGCTCCCTTTAGACAGGAGAAAACACAATAATGGAACCTTTGGGTCTCGTAAGTTGTACAGATCATTTGGATAACACTTTTGGTTATGTGTTTATGTGTTTTTTATTTTTTATTTTTTAAAAAAACAATGTTTCAGCATAGTTTTTCCTTTCAAGATAGGAAGCTAATTTTCAAAGCTTAACCTTAATCCTTTCCTTGTGGGCAGCCAGCATGGGGTCTTAAAAATAAACCACTCATGTATTCAGAGTGCTCATTCCTGTTTTTCAGCTTATTTTCCCCCAAAACAAAAGATCTTGGATGGGGAGAATTTTTAAATGACATTCAGGTCCTGTTTGTGGCTGTAATATTAGCATTCTAAGTAAGGAATTGTTTAAGGTGCACTGAATGAGTATTTTTCTTTCTTTTGATTGATACTGCCCAAAGATTTGTCCTTGATTTGAGCATACTTAACAAGATTTTCACATGGACGAATAAATCTCATAAACCTGCTCACATTGTTAGCAACACACCTCACTGGGCTACCACAACTCCCAGTAATTGCTTGCCAGGGAGGCTTAGCTGCCCATGTAGGATTAGTACAGAGAGAGTTTAGGAACCTTATTTTCTTTTATTCCAGAAATTCAAAATGTAGGTAGCATATCCTGAGGAACTAGTCATGCTTTCTGAAATAGTTGCACTGTCTTCTGATAACTCCTGTCTCAAGATTAATTATTTAAATAGCACTTTTTTAAAGATAATATATTCTTTGTGATTCAAAGTAGAATAGCAATTGCTAGGAGTTTGTGTAGAGTATCATCTCATGGATATAAGTAGGTACATATTCAGAGAGGAGAGATACAAAAGACATACATTATGTATTTAATGTACTTATAAATTGAAAATAATAGGATAAGAATTAAAAGGCAAAATAATTCCCTTTCCTTTTTATTTTTAGTAAGAACACCATAAGTACTTTGTAGAGACCAAGTCAGAATGCTGAAGCTACTTAAAATTGGAACAATGACTTAGCCATTAAAATAGTTCTTAAATGTTGACTTAAAGCATTTAAATTAGACAATTTATATTATGTGTTTACTTATTTTGTTTTACTGTTAAATTTTTTGTTTTCAATTTAGAAAAATAGCATGGCCAAAGAAAATAAAGCTAAATGTGCAAGGGTGCATAAATAAAAACTAGAGCTACATTAAAAATAGGAACAATTTTTCTTTTGGTGCTTTACAGGTGTATCTAGCAATAAAGAGAACCTGCTTCCTCATTAATATTTGATGCCATTTTTAGTGGTTCTTATAATAAAACTAAAGTGACTTATTCTTAGATGACATCAGATCTAATGTAATACTTGTCACTTGTGGCATTATTAAATCAACAATAAAAATCTTGGGAAGTATCTTTTAAAACATAGTTACATAAAAAGGAGAGATACTTTCATGGTTAGAAAATGGTTACCTTTAACGTTTCTAGAGAAAGGAGAAGAGATATTTTGTTTTTATACTCAGAAATATATTCTGGATCCTTCTAAAAGCCCCAAAAGAGATAAACAACAGGTTTCCCTTCAACTTTCTATCTGTTTTGAGTCTCCAAAGACCGTGAACTATCTGAACTGAAAGTAAATAAAAACGGGTCAAGAAGATCATTTCTGAATCAGCCTCACTTCTGTGAGGGGTTGGTGTTTGCCACTAAAAATAGACTACATTGTCATTTGAAGCCAGGAAGTGAGAAGTGTTCATTTTTTCTTGCCTCTTTCTGATCATTTTAGTTCAACGCATAACTCTACCTTTCTCCAGCAGGCTGAATTGTGCGACTTTCATGAGTCTTACGTGTTTCTTTTATGCATTTTGCCAGAATACTGTGCTTAAATGGTATGGGGCCAGTAGAGAGCTCCAGGAGTGGGAACTCACTGAACTGGTAAATGACAGCAAGAGAAGTTAGGACAGATACCAGTGTGTCCACAGGTGACTCTTGGTGCTCTTTGGCATCTGTGTAATAAGGTAACATGAACTGTGGTGGGCGGGCATCTCCAGTCTGCTGTGCGGGAGAGGGAGGATTGATTGTAGAAAGTCCTTAGTGGTACCAAGAGAATGTGATACGGCTCTGGCTTGGTTGACCATAGACAGAGTTCAGGGTAAAAAAGGTATTTTGTTGTTGTAGGGAGAAAGCTGCTGGATTTATAGGAAAAATGATGTGTGCTTACCCAATACTATCAGTAAAATAGTGTCTGGCTGCTTTACATTTTTCTTTAAAAAACACTATAAATTCCACATTGCAATCCTTTTCTCAAGCACTCTGAATGGGGTCACTAAGCAACTTTGTGACACAATTAGCTTCAGCTGTCCAGTTGGTCAAATTAGATTTTACCTCTTCTCCCTTCCTCAATGTTTGTAAGCTGCCTCACGAACATGACTACAACATAAAACATTTAACTTTCCAAAGAGGTCAAGAGAATTGAGGATAAATACATACCGCCTTCAAAACAGTTTTCACAGTCCTTATTTACAAGATAGTTAAGATCAAATATCATGTACAAACACTAGAATTAGCAGTGCAAATGTAACTATAATAGTTCTCCACATAAATGGGCAACAAAATAAAATGAGCAGCATAAAGTTTAACCTAGTCACTAGAATAAAGCAAAATGGCATGTGAGAATGTACTCCCTTCCGCTCCTTCCTGGGGACCTAGAAAAATTCCTGGTGGTTTCTGTAGTGGGTAAGGTCCCCTGCTAATACCATGTGGTCTCCATGTTAGGACTACCCAAAGTTTAAGACTCCACCATAGAAGTATCAGGTGGTACTCAGAACGTTAGGCTTCTAGCAGAGATGAGTTTCCCTGTGGATAAATGATCATTAAAAACATCCATGAAGTAATTCAGAAAATTGTACCACCAAATGGCACCCTTCTCAAGTTGCACACGCAAAACCTCCAGGGCTATATGGACTCCAGTACCCAGAACACATGCCTGGCTGCACACCTCTCTCCTGCCTGAGTCACCATTTGTTTCCTGGCCTGACATTAATGAGTCATTCAGAAAGTCATTCTTTTATGATTTATAGAATACATAAACAGTAATGTTGTAGGTGCCTAGCCAAAATTTCTGCCTTCAAGGAGCTTTTAAATTAACAGAGGAGGCTGTTTGGTAGGGGATGGATGAATCTTCAATAATAGTCTGTCATTAGGGTAAAACTATTCTAAACTAATGCCACTCTAAATCCACTAAGGGTAAAACTGCAGAATCTCCAAAGAAATAACAGTGCTAAGAAGGCAACAAGTCTCTCTGTATTATTCATGAGAGCCATTCTCTAGTAGCTACATCATTTAACTAGCAAGAAATAGCCAGTAATAGGATGTCAGATGATAACACTAGCATTGTGAATCAGAAAAAAAAAAATCAGGATCCACAGGAGACATACAACCAAAAAATAAATGCCAGGAGCCTTAAATGAAATGTTTCTAGGGTTACTGCTCTTCTTAAATTACACCGGGATTTCTCCTTTGCAGCTGATCAGCACTGCAATTCAACACCGCTATTGCTAAATGTATGAGATGATCTTGTGGCTTCAAAAATGTAGGAGTTCCTCTGGGTTCCTGGAAAAGAACATCCCATATGGTAAAAATGAATAGAGTGAATAGAAGCCAAGCATCGTCTGACATACATTCTTGTGTATATTCCAAATCCTCACTTATATCTGGGTACAGATTACCCAAGTATGCCCTAGCACCTTCTTTTCAATAAAAGGTGATATGCTGAGGAACTTTGGCAGGCTTTTGCATTATGGCCTTTAAAATGTTTTTGGCATTTTAAAAGTATGGCTTGCACGTGTTTTAAATTTTCAGAATAAATATTTTTAATCCATAGTTTCACCACCAAAAACAGCCAATCTTGTCTTAGTGAATATTTTTATATTTTTTTTAACTTTTCATTATAGAAACTTGCAAACATAGAAAAGTAGATAGAATAATATGTATAATGAAACCCAATGTAACCACTCCAGCTTTAACAATATCAAGTCCTAGCCAATCTTGTTTATGTATATCTTCATCGTATCCCTCTGCTTCCTGGTCCTGTCCAAGGATGATTTTTCAAAACAAATCCCAGATATCACATTATTTAATTTGTATAGAGTTGAGTATGTATTTAGGAATTCATTAAAAGAATAGAATAGAAGTAATAAATAGTATTCAGCACCTTAGCCATCTAGTGAAATTAAAAATAATTCTGTAATATCATTAAATGTCTAACCAATAGTTATATTTAAAATTATTTTTTATTTTATTTTTTTTTTGAGATGGAGTTTAGTTCTTGTTGCCCAGGCTGGAGTGCAGTGGAGTGATCTCAGCTCACTGCAACCTCCGTCTCCCGGGTTCAGGCGATTCTCCTACCTCAGCCTCCCATGTAGCTGGGATTAGAGGCATGCGCCACCATGCCCAGCTAATTTTGTATTTTTAGTAGAGACAGGGTTTCACCACGTTGGTCAGGCTGGTCTTGAACTCCTGACCTCAGGTGATCCACCCACCTTGGCCTCCCAAAGTGTTGGGATTATAGGCATGAGCCACCGTGCCTGGCCAATTTTTATTTTTAATTTTGATATACACATAAAAAATTTTACCTTCTTAACCATTTTAAGTATACAGTTCAGTAGTTTTAAGTACCTTCACATTGTTGTAAAACCAATCTCCAGAAGTTTTTTATCTCTCAAAATTGAAAGTCTAAACCCATTAAACAACTCCCCATTCTCCCCTCCCCCCAATTCCTGGCAACATCTATTCTTTCTGTCTCTGTGTATTGCAGGTACCCTCATATAAGTGGAATCATATAGTACTTCACTTTTTGTGACTGGCTGGTTTCACTCAGGACAAGGTCCTCAAGGTTCATCCGTGTTATAACATGTCAGAATTTCCTCCCTTTTTAAGGTTACATAATATTCTGTTGTATGTATATGCCACATTTTATTTTTTTGATATATCTATCAATGGTCATTTGAGTTGCTTCCACCTATGACTGTTTTAAATAATGCTGCTATGAATATGAGTATGCAAAATGTCTTCCCTGCTTTTAGTATTTTTTGGGTATATAATCAGAAGGGGAATTGTGGGATCATATAGTAATTATATACTTAATTTTTTGAGAAACTGCTGTACTGTTTATCTTAGCAGCTGCAGCATTTTATGTTCCCACCAGCTGTGCACAGGGATTCCAATTTCTCCACATCCTCATCAACACTTATTATTTTCTGTTTTTTGTTTTCTGATAGTAGCCATTCTAATGGCTGTGAGATAATAACTCACAGTGGTTTGGGTTCACATTTCCCTCATGAATAATGATGATGAGCATATTTCATGTGCTTTTTGACCATTTGTATAACTTCTTTAGAGATGATCCTTTTCCCATTTTTTAAATCAGGGTTTTTTTTATTGAGTCATAGGAGGTCTTTACATATTCTGGATATTGACCCCTTATTAAATATATGATTTTCAAATATTTTCTCCCATTCCGTGGCCTGCCTTTTCACTGTTGTTTCCTTTGATTATACACATTTTTCATTTTGATGTTTTGAATTTATTTTCTTGGTTATTGCCTTTGCTTTTGGTGTCATATCCAAAAAGTCATTGACAAATCCAATGTCATGAAGCTTTTCCTATACCATTTTATATTTTAGGTCTTTCATTTAGGTTTTTGATCTATTTTGAGTTAATTTTTGCATATGGTGTAAGGTAACGATTTACCTTGAATTTTTTGCATGTGGATATCCAGTTTCCCCAGCACCGTTTGTTGAAAAGACTATTATTTCCTCATTGAATGGTCTTAGCACCCTTATTGAAAATCATCTTATCATACATGTGAGGGCTTATTTCTGGTCTCTCTCTATATTCCATTGGTCTGTACATCTGTATTTTTGCCAGAACCACATTGTTTTGATTACTGTGTCTTTGTAATCAGTTTTGAAATTGGCAAGTGTAACACTTCCAAGTTTGTTATTTTTTAAAATTGTTTTGGATCTTCAAGGTCCCTTGAGATTTCATATAAACTTCAAAATGGAGTTTTCTGTTTCTGCAAAAAAATACTATTGGGGATTTGATAGGGATTGCATTAGATCTGTACATCACTTTGGATAGTATTGACATCTTAACACTATATCTTTCATCCATGAACATGGGATGTCTTTCCATTTATTTGTATCTTCTTTAATGTTTTTAGCAATAATTTTTTAAAATTTTTCAGCGTACAAGTGTTTTCCCTCCCTATTTAAGTTTATTCCTAAGTATTTGATTTCTTTCATTTCTGCTATTGTAAATGGAATCATTTTCTTAATTTATTTCCTGGCTTAGTCGTTGTTAGTGTATAGAAACACAACTGATTTTTGTGTGTTGTTTTTTCATCCTGCAACTGTGCTGAATGTATTCATTAGTTCTAACAGACTCTGTGTGTGTGGTGGGGGGCGGGGTGGGGGGAGGTCTTCGGGGCTTTCTACACACAAAATTATGTCATTGTAAACAGATATCATTTTACTTCTTCTTTTACAACTTTGACGCCTTTTATTTGTTATTCTTGCCTAATACTTCTGGCTAGAACTTCTATGTTTTGTTACACAGAAGTGGCAAAAGCAGCCTGGTTGTCTTGTTCCTGATCTTAGAGGAAAAACTTTCAGACATTTACCATTGAGTATGATGTTCGTTGTGGGCTTTTCATATATGAGCTTTATTTTGCTGGGTAATTTCCTTTTCTTTCTAGTTTATAAAGTGTTTTTCTCCAGTAGTTTTGTTTATTTACTTTACAGTTTATTATATGTCTCCTAAGTGTCTATAATCTATAGATTCTCACTCAATCCCTTTTTATAAACCTTGTGTATTTCTGTTGAAGTAACCAGACTGTCTGTCCTACAGAGTTCCTGGGAGTCTGGGTTTTCTTGACAGCAACCCTATTGTATTATTTAACATGTTTCTTTGTCCTCTGTATTTCCTACAATCTGATAGCTAGATCTAGGAGCTTGCTTAGTTAGATTCAGTTTCCTTTTCTTTTTTTTTTTTTTTTTTTTTTTTTGGCCAAGACTTTATAGATGGGGTATATCCTTGAGCATCTAGTTGTTGTTTTTAAAACTTCAGTACTCCAGTTGGAGAAGCTCCTTCAGCAGTCCATTACAGAATGTTTTTACTTATGCTGTACATTCTTTCGTTTTAGCTCTAAGGAGGTTGACTAAGAAGAAGAAAACTCAAGAGTTTGGAAGTTTTATGAACCACAGATTCTTAATTGATCTGAATCAAATATCTGTAGCCTTGCTGCCAGAAAAAAAGACTGACAGTTCCTGTTGCAGATAATTAGCTCAGAGCTATTTTTGCTGAGGTGAAGTTTTGAGATGAAACTAAACCACTTGCTGAATTTTGATATTTTCTCAAGTATCAACTCTTCTTGAATAGCTCTACAGTATTATTGCATATTTTTGATTAAGGCTTCCTCGTTACCTTTAGTGGACAAGTAGGTGTCTTGAGTGACTCATGCTGAGTCACCTGGCAGGTGCCACATTCCTTTGTTATCTTTTCAATAGTGTGGTGAAGTTCAATTTACCACCCTTAGTTTCAAGTGAGAGAACTAACTGATAGGATCAGTGAATTAACATGGTTAGTCTATAGCTATGCTTGGTGGCTAACTTTAAAGGCAGATTCCAGCTATCCTACTTGAGGACATTTGCTCTACGGGTAGTTTCTTTGTCTCAGTGTAAGAATAAATATTTATTAGAGATTTAGAGATTTATATACAATCTAACATGCTAATCTTGACTGGGAAGTAATCAACTATTTACATTACAGAAATATGCTATACTCACATCAGAGAGCCAAAGAATAGACCACCTTTCCCCTATATAATCAGTTTGATGATTCAACCAAACTTTCTATTTGTGGGAGAAGGATCCTTTTTTATTTTTTAAATAATACCCCCAAATTTTAAACTCTTTATCTTCTTCCTGGAGTGGGCACAGTCCAAGTCACATGCATTTTACCCTGAGCGGACAGAATACCAGGTACTTGATACAGATACTCCAGAACTGATACTGGAAGACTCTACTTCTCTTTAGTATTATGGTAGCTGATATTTTATGTTAATTTGATATTCTTAAAGTGCTTTCACAAATTTATCCTTCGACTTGACCACAGACAAAACCTTTCTAAAATATTATGTCATTCCTGAAATGCTAAAGTATTGGATCATTTTATGATCACTGAAAAATTTCAGGGACTTTACATTGAAGGCACTAAATTTGGACTCTATGTCAATAATTCCTGTTTATAACCATGTATTACTGGCATACATTTGTAGATAAACTTGGTCAGGGTCAAGATGTTGCCAAGACCTATTCCCCCCAGTCATTTGTTAATTGATTGGATTTGGGCTAAGCTATGTTCACAAATTGTCACTGTTAAATGATTAAATGGTATAAGCAGAAAGGTATATGTGACTAACTTAAAGCAATCACATGACATGGCTATGCAAGTAATTGATTTTTTTGAAGAATAGTTCTAGGTTTCAGTTGAACTGGTGCATTGCTCAGATCCCATCTGAATGATCCTACCTTCCTCTTAGTTCCTAGATCTTCAGAGTATAGGACACCTTTTGCCAGCTTCCTAGAGTTGGGTCATCTTTCCTGGTGATAAAAGCTTGGTTGACATCTTTTGGAAGAACCAGTGATGGCCCCTTCTGGGAGTGCTCATGTTGCATCGTCTAGTTTAACTTCCACCTAAATTAGCTTTACTGATGACTGAGCTCTTAAAAATATGGTCACCTCAAAAATAATTGGTATGAGGAATTGTATGAACATTCTATCGAAAGTGCCTTGAGTAGTAAGTACAGCGAAAGTCTAGTTTGAATGTATGACTCCTTTATGGTAGTGCTGCAGAGATTGAGTGTGTTAGTCCATTTTCCATTGTTGTAAAGGAATACCTTTACTTTTTAGTAGGCACAATACATATAGCACTTCAGAAATTTGAATTTACCAAGATTCTCACATACACAGATGAAGGCATTGTTGGAAGCAAATGACTTAGCCCTGCAAAAACAACAATGCCTTCATCTGGTGTGTGTGAGAGTCTTGGTAAATTAAAGAATCAGAAGTGCTATATGTATTGTGCCTACTAAAAAGTCCATTTTTAATGATACTTGAAGTTTATCACATGCCTTAGCTCACTGATGAAACAAAGCAGGGCCCCAAGAGGAAATATCCCAGTCCTCTGATGATCTAGTACACACATGCATTTATATACCCTTTTCTTTTATTTACTTCAAACCCAATTACAGATTTTCAACATTTGAATTCAAAGCTGACAGACATTAATCTCTCTAGAGACTGTATTTAATGGCATTTCAGTATTTCTGTGCACTGCTTTTGTCCAGAATATTTTTCCTTTTTAACATTTTAATCAAGATCTACTGTGATAGCTGTGATGAGGATTAAAAAAAAAATCAATAAACAATTCAAGGTAGTGGACCAGGGTTGATGCTGGTGATTTGGGTACATGATGAAAATTTTAGTCTCTGCGAGCAGTTCTGTGTTGTAGAAATAAGAGAAAGAGATCTTGAGGCAATGGGATAATTAAAGACCACTTGACAGAGGATGAAGGCAAAACAATTGTTTTATTCCTGGTTCTACAGACACTCAGCCAATTTCATCATTATTTACTTTTTCTACATAATGTTACTTTGAATTAGTAGACATAATTTGCCTTTGATGTACTGAAAACAGCCATGGGTAGCCTAGGATGACAACAAGTTCCTTCACTTCACTTTAGTGACTTTAAGTAGACATTTGCAATTTAATATCATATCCAAATAATTTCGGAGCAGGGTTAGATTTCATTCCTGTGTGTGGGTGTGAAGTTAGATGTTGTGTATTGAGTTTTGTTTGGGTGAAGAACAACTTAAGAAGGCTTCCACTAGAAGAATTTCCTGTACATAAGAACTATAGTAAATGTACAATTTCTTCGTTAAACAAGAAAATTGATAAAACAGTTGACTGTATTTTTTTCCTTTTGAGCCTCTTCACTGTACTATTCAATTTCTACCAGAGAAGTAAATTTCATGGCACATAAGAACATATTTTACAAAATGGTGTAATACATACCACTACTGAGTTTACAAAATCAGTGTTATGCTGACCTTATGGTAATATTATCCACTTCATTAAATAGAAAAGTAAGGCTTCTTATGCAGCTATTCTAAGAATGGGCTCTTCCTTAATCAGGTAGATAGCATTTACTAGTGAACACGTTTAATGTTTAATACTATCTTATGTAGATCAAATGAGATTTTCAGATTCAAGTGCCCATTTTTTCCCTAGGCTAGATCATTAGGAATTGTTTTTTCACTGACAACACTAACAGCTAATGAAAGGTAAAATTTAGTATTTTCTTCTTTTCTTCACTGGAATTATTTGAAATATTCTCTATTTATTGCTTTTCATTCATTTATTCCTCCACCAAAGTTTGGGAAAGCCTTTATGACATGCATTGTGTTGAGTACCAAGGATATACAGATAAGGATATAGGGATAGGAAAAAACAAGGAATCATAGCCTAAAGCTTAAAATGTTGTTTAAAGGCTGTAAAGAGAGAGAAAAATCTAATTGAACAAAACATTCTACACGAAATAGAAACAGAGCCTCCCACTATGTTTTTTCAGAGGATTGATACCCTCTTTTTGATTCTGCAAATAACAGTTTCATACTAAAACTAAAAAGAAAGAAAACCATACTCTGAATCTAAAAAACAGGAGGAGGAAGATACAGGGATTAAACCCCTGGCCTGCCGAGACAAGAACACATAGAGCTGTGGTACCAGCAACTGTGGAGCCCAGCCAGCAAGGATCAGGGAGGTGGAGCTGCGGAACTGGGAAAGGGGCCCAGCGGGGAGCGCTGCCTGTAGGGATGGAGATGTGAGTGTACAGGCTCCATCTGAGACCACGGTTCATGAACCTGTGTGGACAGATTCTTTGCCCCAGTTTAGGCCTCTGCCTAGTTGTGTTTTGAGGAAAGGATTTCATGATCAAGACAACAGTTTGAAAAATCAGAAACAGGCCATCTTGAATATGTAAGCAAAAGTTAGACATATACGGGTCTTTTGTACTTGTTAAATGTTTGAATGTTTTTTGAAAGAGATGAGAGGCTGGAATGAAGATAGTGACAACCTAGGAATAGACCCCAGTGAAGGAGACCATACCAAATATCCACAAAAGACACAAGGCTAAGGGGAAAAAAAAAAAACAAGAAAGCAAAGAACAATGGCAATGACAATAAGGGAGGCTGAAATTTATGGTCCGAGTGACAGAGTGTTGAAATTGATTCAATATGGGGCTAAAAAGAGGTGGCTAGGAAAATGCCAAGGTCTGGGTTGGTAGGATGCCATTCCTCTAAAGAATGAATACAGTAGGTGTCCAGACGAAATGTGATGACTCCAACTTGCCACACATTGAATTTCAGGTGCTTTATGGGACATCTAGGTGGAAATGACCAATAAGTAATTGATATATGAGCCTCCAGTTGAGATCTAAGATCTGATAGAGGGGAGTGGGTGGTGGTTGAAGCCATCAGTGTGCTTGAGTCCACAAGGTGATCTGAACAGAATGAGAGATGGAAGGATAAGAATAAAGTCCTAGGAACCAACGTCATTGATATGGTTTTGCTGTGTCTCCACCCAAATCTCATTTTGAATTGTAGCTCCCATAATTCCCATGTGTCATGGGAGGGACCCAGTGGGAGATAATTGAATCATGGGGATGGTTACCTCCATGATGTTCTCATGATAGTGAGTTCTCATGAGATCTGATGGTGTTATAAGGGGCTTTTCCCTGCATTTGCTCTGCACTTCTCCTTGCTGCCACCATGTGAAGAAGAATATGTTTGCTTCCCCTTCCTCCATGATTGTAGGTTTCCTGAGGCCTCCCCAGCCATGCTGAACTGTGAGTCAGTTAAACCTCTTTTCTTTATAAATTACCCAGTCTTGGGTATGTCTTTATTAGAAGCATGAATGGAATAATACAGACATTTAACAAGCAGATGATGTATACATAGATTCTAGGAAAATGCCCATAAAAGATTGCTGTCATAGAGGAGAAATGTCAAGAAGAGAGTAAACAGCAGTGGCATATGCCACAGAAAGGCCACGTTTTGAAAAGAATGAGAACATTTGGCAATGAGATTGACTTAAAATGAGATGTTACTTTGAAGTGGAGGCAAAGCTCTAAATAATTTTTTGAAAGTGATATAACAAAAAATGGTGTTTTAAAAGAAGTCCTTTTATAACTGCAGCTCTGGAATTTGTTATTGCAAGAAAATTATGTATTATAAAAATAGTAAGATTAAACTAAAGACCTGGTGATTTTAACATCTCAGTTTTGGTTTAAGAACGTGTTTTTTTCCTTGTTCTTAATATGCCAAAATAAGCCATCAAGCCAGAGTAATTTATTAACTGTTCAATGTTAGCTTTTTTCACATTTGACTTGTACTCGTATGAGACTTTAGAAATTTTAACAGTGTTAACGTATTAGCTATTATAATAGGAAAATAAAATCTAACCTTGATATGAGAACTCCAGTTGCTAGAATATGTAAGCAATTCCATGAGCAGAATTATCTATCTGTCCTTCTGCTAGTTTCCTCTTGGGTAAAACACTCAGGGTGAGATGGCTTTGCACTCTGCTTGCTGGGTCATCACGCACAAATCACAACCCTCTAGGAACTCCGTGCTCTGTTTCTAAAGTCAAAGAGTAGGTGTTTTCTAGAGCTCTGCCTTTCAAACTGTAGATTGAGACAGGGCTGTGAAATGGACAGTGTCAGAGTATATCCACACAGTGAGCAAAATCTTGCTTTGGCAAATATATTTCAGCTGTGTGTGTGCACATAAGAGAGATTCTTAGATCCCAGTGTTAATTGTGTTTTTTACTGAGCATTGTGGTTCAAAGATGTCTGAAAAATACTGCTCTCAACTAGAACCCCCTTCCTATTCTAAAATTGTCTCATTCCAGTTAGCTGCCAGACTGTTCTGTTGGTGTAGTAAATGTTTCAAAACAATATCTTGGAGTGGCAGGTATAAAAACTGTTGAGGAATGACAGCTAATAACAAAAGAGATTAACATTAAGAGGTAAATAAGACCAACATCTGTGTTGTATTTTACCACTAGACTGAACAAGCCTTTAAAATTTATTAGTATTCTGACTAGCAAGTCATTACTGTAATTTATGAAGAAAAGTTAAAGTATGCTATATATTAACGAACAATAGAGTAATTCTTTCAATGGTCATATAAATAAGCAACCGTATCAAGGAGAAATAATACTTTTTCAAAAGTAACAATACTATGGCACATAAATTTTAAAATTGGCAATTAAATAAATGTGGTGAGGCTCCATCCTTGCCACATAAAAAGATTCATTGACATGGTTATGAGACAAGTCAGGGTATTTTTATTGGCCTGAGCTAGAGGGAATAAACACCTTAGTCAGGTGTTTTGTTTTAGACACATCTGTTTGAGCTTCCCCTACAGGTTAATTCAGCTGTAGGGTCTATTTGAGCATTTGCTTTTTCCAGCATGCCTACTGATACTTAAACTCCTTGTGAATGAGCAATTTCTTATAAATCCAAGAGTAAATGAGTTAGTTTTTCTTTACAGTAATTTGTAAACTGTAATTCTCCTAAAACCTATGAAATTTCATAGAATTTCATAGATTTCAGGTGTATTAAAAAGGGACAATTTCAGAATGCTAAGGAGTATGAATCATCATACACAAAATTTGAGGGAATCGTTTTCCTTTGTCCCTCCCAGCAGAACTCTTAGACACTCAGCCTCTGCATCTTTATTTCCTCTCTGCCTTCTTATCAACCCTGGGGTATTTGCCAATCTAACCCCTGACGTTTGGCAATACTATGTCCTCTGCTTCCCTTCCACTGTCAGTCAGCTGGCAGAAAAGGCACAGGCAGGAGAGGAACTGAGGTGAGTGAATTGCACCATCCTGCCATATTTCACGTACTCTGTTCCTCCTCTAGGGCTGCTGGAAGGTAGAACTTGGGCCACACTGGAGAGGTGGGGGCAGTGCTTAAGGGGGTGGGATGTACTGTAGGGATGTGGGTAGTGCTGGAAGGGTGTGGGTAGTGCTAAGGGGGTGAGAGGTGCTAGAGGGAAGTGAGCTGTGCCAAGAGGGTGGGAGGTGCTGGAGGGATGTGGGAGGTGCTGGAGGGATGTGGGCGGTGCCAAGACAGTAGGAAGTATTAGAGAGATGTGGGAGGTGCTGGAGGGATGTGGGTAGTGCCAAGAGGGTGAGAAGTTCTGGAGGGATGTGGGAGGTGCTGGAAGGGTGTGGGTGGTGCCAAGAGGGTGGGGAGTGCTGGAGGGGTGTGGGCAGTGCTAGGGGTGGGCAGTGCTGGAGGAATAGCCAGGTTGGGTTGGGTTGACCTCCAGGCTACAGCAGATGGGCCCCTGGCAGGTGCCCAGCAAGGCTCCGCTCCCATCTCCCACCCTTTCCAGCCCCTGCTCTCTCCTAACTGTACAAACATGTACGATTCTGACAAATGAAAGACAAGATTTTTTTTATTAGTCTATGTGAGAATATTGTGTTTGCCATCTTGCTCTCAGATTTATTAGTGAACAAACCAGGCTCGATGAGAGGATGACACCTAAGTGGGAAAGCAAAGGCAGGGTCTGGCCTACAGTCTAGGCCTCCTCTCTCACCACTTCTTGCCACTTCCCAAACTTAACAGGCATGGCAGATGTTAAAGAGTAGGGGTAACACACGGGCATGTCTAGATATTGGAGATAAAGTTAGAGTGTTCAGAAAACAAGGTAGATAGTGTACAAAGTTGACATTGGGCAGTATCGAATCAAAGTCTTTTCTTTGGATTGTATGTTCTTGACTCTAAGACTCAAAGGCACATGACACACATATCATGACACATGGCATACCTGCCCAATGGGGCCTACCTGAAGGCAGTTTCTCTGCTTACAATCCCCCTGGTTACATAATGATGCAAGGAGATTCCATACTTATTCCAAAGGTTTGCCGTGACAATAAAATAGTATATCATAAATTATTGTTCTTTGGAAGAATTGAAAATGGCATACATACGAAAGTTGGTATTATTAATAGAATGCCAATAAACCCTTAAAAAATTCATTTTATAGCCTTGTATACTTCCTGGAAATGTTATCTTTCATTACTTCCTATACAGGATCTTCAGCCATGAACCATGTTGCTTCTTGGATTTGATACACAGTAAATACAGGATAAAACTGCAAATACCTGCATATCCCCCAAGTTCATTTCAGTGCCAGTAGATGTCATCAGGGTGGCTTGTAGGGAGAGGCTGACTACTCACTGCTAATGTCCAACACTTGAATTTTTAGATAGAAACCACGGTGCACTGTGGAATGTAGCACTGCTCTCTGAGTATGGCATGGGCTGTTTGATGCCCGTACAGTGTCATGTGAATCTTAAGATCAGCTCCCTGAGCTGGACAGTGCCTGGTGGGGTCAGAGTGGCCATCACTTCCTGCTTTGAGTACACTTAAAATTGACAGGTTTAATGAATGCAAATAATGATAGAGAGTTATCTAGATTAAAATTACTATGTACTACCCTTCTGAAATTAACCTATAGTGCAGGGCTGTCCAATCTTTTGACTTCCCTGGGCCACACTGGAAGAAGAAGAATTGTTTGAGGCCACACGTAAAATACACTAACACTAATGTTAGCTGATGAGCTAAAAAAAAAAAAAATCATCACTTAGGCCGGGCGCAGTGGCTCATGCCTGTAATCCCAGCACTTTGGGAGGCTGAGGCAGGCGGATCATGAGGTCAGATCAAGACCATCCTGGCCAACATGGTGAAACTCCGTCTCTACTAAAAATACAAAAAAAAATTAGCTGGTCGTGTTGGTGCGCGCCTGTAGTCCCAGCTACTCGGGAGGCTGAGGCAGGAGAATTGCTTGAACCTGGGACATGGAGGCTGCAGTGAGCTGAGATCACGCCAATGTACTCCAGCCTGGGTGACAGAGCGAGACTCTGTCTCAAAAAAAAAAAATCATCACTTAAAACATAGTGTTATAAGAAAAGTTTATGAATTTGTGTTGGGCTGCATTCAAAGCCGTACTGGGCTGCACGCAGCCTGCAGGCTGCAGGTTGGGCAAGCTTGCTATAGTGTATCTATTTTCTGATATTTGTGACAGTGCACTTAGATGCTCTTAATGGATTGTGGCGTAACATAACCAGTGGCTACTTGATTCACTGAATTTTTTGCTCCTGAAATAGACATAAAAAGTTGAATTTCCTTTATTTTATATGTCTAAGTAACCCTAGATTTTAAATTTTAAAAAAGTAAAGAAAGAGTTTTTTCTTCAGTGTGTAAAGCACCATCAACATTTGGGGCTCTTTTTATAAAATAAGTCCCTGAAGTTTGCACACAGAATAAGTCATGCACACTAAAATAAGCAGCTGTTGCCCAAGTCTCTCTCTGTGTCTCTTGCTTTCAGCCTCTCCCAATGCCTGCTTCCTCTTAATGAGACACTCTCTTTCATGTAACCTGAAGTATACATGTTCTTCACCTGTCATATTCTTATTTTAGGATCCACCCACTTCAGTTTCCCTTGGACTGCGAATGGAAGAAATGATTTTCAACTTGGCAGACACACATTTATTTTTTAATGACTTAGAAGTAAGTTCTAATTTTTAATACATATTTTTGCATGTCTGAAAATAGGTGATTGGTTTTAAAATAAAGATAGGATATTATTTTTTAATGTATAATTGGAATAGTGAGACAGAGGTTTGTTGGTAATATGGCAATGTGTTTTGCCTTTATGGGATTTCTATTTTGCTTTACTTTGGCTGTTGATTTTCAGAGTTAGATCCTACATGACCAGTAGTAAAGATTAAAATTTGATTTCAAGAATCTTAAACTTTGTTGATTATCAGAAGCCACATATTTCTCAGTTACATAATCACCACTAAGATATGTCCAACATAATTCGTAACACTTGCATATGTTATGTCAGATTCTTTTTTTCTTTGAGACTGTTATGTCAGACTCTTACTGTATTAGGACCGATGCTTTACTTTCTGGCTGATCCAATTGGTAGGAAGATGTTTTAGTCTGGCCTCTGCTGTTTGGGTTGCCAGGACTGCTTATGTCACACTGCTGTTAATTTTATTGGTCCATTATGATTTCAGGGCAGACTCTTGTAAGATGGCTAGCTGAATTGTTACAGGCACTGACAATCACAATGGTCTTGATTAGCAGCATTCTTAAGAGTAGAGAATATTGTTTTTCATATCTCCATTATGAGAAAATATGACTATAACTACATTTCGTTCTCTTCTGAATAGAGACAGTTGTTTATTTAAATTCCGCTGTTAAGCAAGCTTGTGGTAGGGCTGCCAACAGGCATTAATCATCAAGTTGTTGTTTTGTTCGATTTATAAATGTATGTTATTTCAGACAGGAGAAGAATCTGAAAGATTCAAATAGAACTTTTACTGATCAAAGTTAATTGGCAGCAATTGGCCTTTAAATATTTCCTGATGTTTCCCTTTTCAAAATCAAGCAAAATGCACCTTATTTAATAGATGAGCCAAAATCATTTGAAAAATGCCAGTGTGTGACAGAACTTAAATGCGGTTTGTTCAACATCTGTCCTGTATTTTGATTTCTTTTCATCTGCAATGAAACTACTCAAAGACGAATTGGCAACTTCCAGTGCAATAAAGTTATTAAATATGCTTTATTTTTTCTCTTCCTTAGTGAAAAATTTATTTTACACTTAAGGGTAAAATACAAAATTTTTTTGCAATTTAAAGTGTTTTCCTCAAGAAGAAATTACATGTAAGGCATTACTATTTTTTTAAGGTAGAAATATTCCCATTGAGTGACAAGTTTAGAATTAATTGCCTTTAGAAACACATAATTATCATACTTATTTTCAAAAGCTGTTTCTGATTGATAATTGTTTTCACTTAGAGAGCAGCACAAAAAATTCCACATTTTACTGGTATGTTAAAAAATGCCTTTCCTAAGTTTCCATTTGTTTCTAAAGATACAGAGTAGACTGATTTTTTGTCCTGGGTACAATCTTGTTACCTTTATTGATGTTAATAGGTGTTAATAACAAACATCAAGAAGAAATTTGTAGTAATTTCCTATTGTTTTAAAACTCTGTACCTTCTTAAAAATGCCAAAACTTGGCTGGGCGCAGTGGCTCATGCCTGTAATCCCAGCGCTTTGGGAGGCAGAGGCAGCTGGATCACCTGAGGTTGGGAGTTCGAGACCATCCCGACCAACATGGAGAAACCCCCGTCTCTATTAAAAATACAAAATTAGCTGGGTGTGGTGGCCAATGCTTGTAATCCCAGCTACTCAGGGGGCTGAGGCAGGAGAATCACTTGAGCCCGGGAGGCAGAGGTTACGATGAGCCAGAGATCACGCCATTGCACTCCAGCCTGGGCAACAAGAGCAAAACTCTGTCTCAAAAAAAAAAAAAAAAAAAAGTGCCAAAACTTGCTTATACAGTGCCAAAATTAGGTGGTGAAAAGTGAGATGTTAGGCAGTCATAACTTGTTATAATATAGACCAAAAAACTTCCAAACTCAATTTCAATGTAGTATAATCAGATTTTTGTTTATTGACGTTATTTACACTGATTATATAGAGACTGAAATACTACTCAAATATATTAAAAGCTCTAGGTTTTTAGGGTATAGGAGATGTATTTTTTTCTGTAAACCCAAATTTCAAAAGAAAAAGAAAAAGCAGTCTATGAAGTTACTGAAATATCAGATTCTATTTTTGGCATGAGGACTATTCCTTAGTAGAGGTAAAGTAGAAAAGAGAATGAAGGTATAATTCAACCAAATATATAAAACAATCATGGGAAAATGTTTAAGCTTGTAGCCTTACAAAAGTTGATTTTATGTTAGGGATATTAACAAAAGTATAAATGAAAGATTCATTTAGTCTGTCTTTGGAAATTGTTTACTTGCCCTAGATTTGTACAATATTTTAAAAAATAAATTGGTTTTTTACTTATTTCAATATTTTTTATTTTATTTTATTTTTGAGATAGGGTCTTGCTCTGTCATCCAGGCTGGAGTGCAGTGGCACCATCTCAGCTCACTGCACCCTCTGCCTCCCAGGTTCAAGCAATTCTGCCTCAGCATCCCAAGTAGCTGGGATTACAGATACACACCACCATGCGTGGCTAATTTTTGTACTTTTAGTAGAAACGGTGTTTCTTCATGTTGGCCAGGCTAGTCTCAAACTCCTGACCTCAGGTGAGCCACCTGCCTCGGCCACCCACCCAAGGCACTGGGATTACAGGCATGAGTCACTGCTCCCAGGCCAATCTTTTATTTTATATTTTTGAAATTCAACAAACCTGGGACTGGTCATTGCAAATATGTTTTCTTCAAAATAAAAAGTAAAATTATTTTCTGGCAAAAAAAAAAAAATGTCTATTGGCATAATGCTCCTAAGAACACCAGAATTATCTCATCAGGGAGAAGTGATGTGGTAATGCCTGATTTCACACTCCAACTAGCAATGGATAGTGGTAGGGGACATGAATATTTTAATATATTTAAGTTACATGTTTTTAGCTTTGTAAGGTCTATAGCATAAGTAATTTCAAGGAGCTTAATAGTCTCTTGGTTAGCTTGAAGTATGATGCCTGAACTCTAATTGTTGACTTTTGGTCTTATTTTCTTCTAAATCTTAGCTTTTGCCAGCTATCTCTTGGTATAATTTGGTTAGTTCACTCCTTGCTTAATAAGACATTCTGACTAGTGAAATACACCCCCTCTGTGAGGGGCTTTCAGTAACATTTGTCATATTATGAATCAGTGTACATGCTTAAAATGGTTATTAGGATATGATTTAGAAAATTTAAGGTATAATTTTTGAAGTACTTTAGAAATATCTTAATCGAACTCTAAGAACTAAGTTAATTCATTTTAGTTTCATAAGTCTTGTTTGTAATCTCACTTAGTGACTTTTTTAATTTAAAGAAAATCACAATTTATATCAATTCTGTTGACACACCAGGAAAAACAAAAAGGAGAAAAAAATGTTTTCTGTACCATAAAAAATGTTTGACGTATGAAGGAACATGAGTGACAGGGAGACATAATTATCTTAGGAAATAATATTTTCCCCCCAAGAGAAGGGTTTCGACTTTAGTTCCGTAGTGTACGTCTGGCTTTCCTATTTCTAAGTCTGACTAACGTCCTGCATATCATTTTACAAAAAAACTCTCCATGTGCAATACGATGATGCCTATATGGAAGTCATTTTTTATGAATGACAGTATGGAACTGGAGGTTTTTTCAGCTTCTTTGGTAAAGTATGACTCTTTCTGACTGGTTGGAGAAAGAGTTCTTTCTGTTAGCTTTTTATTGAAAGGCAACCTTCAAACGGAGTGAGGAAAGGCCTTCAGCATACGATAATATTTCAGTTTAACCTGCTGCTGGTCAGTTCTCCTGCTGGATTTTTCCACAGTTAGAAGAAAATATTTTATGAAGATGGATACAGGTCTAAATAAAAATAATGCTTTAAGTTCATGTTGAATTTTCTTCTTCTGTCTGGTTAAGGAATATGATTTCACTGGCATTATGGTTGCCATCCTAACCCATGTTGACAGAGTGACCTTTAAGAGTCAGCAGGAACCAGATCTCTGGTCTCGGGTCACCCGTTACCCCTGAAGAGTAAGGATTGGGAAGAGTGGGAACCCTCCTCTCGTGTCTGTGAGATGGTGGCACATGAAACTATTGCACATACCACGCTCACCCCGTTAGTAGCAAAGCTGTTCTAAACTCCCCTCTCCACTCTTTCAGTGCATTGTTTAGTTGGAGCAGACCAGAGCATTCTTTGCATCAAGATTTACAACATGAATATTCCTTGGGGCCTTCAATATGTAGACTCCTAGCCCGGGTCTGATATTTGAACACCTAGACTTGTTGCCCCTTGTTTTCACCCTTTCTATTAAAAAAAAAAAAAAAGGCCTGGGGCAGAAAGTTCTGGTCCCACTAGAGTATGAGTTTGATGAGTCCAGGGCCAAGGAAAGGGGCTTGTGGATGGTCTTTAGGTAATAGCATTATGTAAAAGGAGAAAGCTGCAATGATTTTTCTTGTAAAGCAAAGAGAAGATTATCCCTTGGTTTAATTCAGTCTTTAAAGTTGCAATAATATTTTCTTACTTTAAAACTTAGGTTATCATCTATAAATTATTTTAATATGTGTTATTTATGTTTATTTTTAGCTAGGAAAAAATTCTTTCTGTAAAATATCAGTTACGCCAATGTTAAGAAACTTCGATTTCAAGTAAAGCACTTGGTACTGACATACTGTTTGTGCTTCCAAAAAGTGTGAAATATTTAATCCGATTCAGAAGTTGATTTCTCAAGTTGGGAAAATATAACTCACCTAGAAAGTCCTTTATTCTCTATAAATAAAGAAGAAACTCTGATGCTCTATGTTCAGCTTTTGTGTGGATGCTAGAGCTCTGGTTCTCTGCTGCCAAAGGATCTCACAGGTGCTTGCAAGGAAGACACTGTAGTTCTTTGCTGCTTCCAAACCCCTCCACAAGCCAAGAGTAGCCATATGAAAGGGTGTGAGCATATGGATAATTACAGTCCAAACCTAAGGGTCCCTATGTATATGTACACACATATGGAATGCCACTTGTCATTTTCAACCCTGTACACAGACTGGTATACTTGGTGATTTTCTCCTGACAAATTCAGCAAACATAAAGGACCACATTTTTTAAATCCTAGTAAACATCCCTTATAACACTCAGAATGTTGCCTTATATATGTTGACCATGAAATGGATATCCTTTAGACTGAATTGTTATGTGTTGTCTTAGACTAGAATACCGATTTTTGTTTCCTTCTTCATAGAAGATAATAGAGTTGACTTTGCCTTCCTGTGTTTTCAGGTAGGTTGTTCAGCCTTGTGCATTTCCTTAGTTGACAAGAGTAACATCAAAACCCTCAGTTTAGGGTGGGGAGGACAAAATAAGTTTTTTAAGCAAGAAATGATTATTAGTCATAATAAATGCGTATTGAGTTTAGCTGCATTGTAACTAATGGCCAAAAAGAAACAATGCCCATATTTTATTATTACTAATGAATAATTTTTATTGCTCTTCTTGTTTCTTCATCATTTCTTATAAGATTGTCATCTTTATTTTATCTGAAGTTAAAAATAGAAATATAAAAGTATATTTAAAGATTTCCTTAACTCTGATTTTCATCAGAACAGTCTTAAAATATAGCTATTTAACACAGTAAAAGATAATATATTATAAATAAATTTATACTCTGAATACTTTATATTCTACTGATAGCAAACATTGTACTTAGCAGTAAAATACTGGAAGCAAACTGTCATTACAAGTAAAAACAAGATAAGAATGCCTTCTATCAGCACTATTATTCAGCAGTATTCTAGGAATTTTGGACAGTACAATAAGACACAAGCTTTACTTAATGAAATGAAAGAGATTCAAATTATTTTTGTAGATAATTTGATATGTAGAAGACTGAAGAAAATCAACTAGAATATTCTTAGAATTTACAACAGCCTTCAGAAAAATGAAGAAATATAGAATTCAAAAATCAAATTGATTTGAAATTTTAATTATAATTTAAAATAGCGGTAGTTACTAAAACACAAAAACAAAAAATATCATAAAAGGAAATTTAGGAAGAAACCTTATAAGAAGTATTTGTGAAGAATATATGAATAAACCTGTGACATCTTACTGAGAGATATAAAGGAAGGTTTCAATAAATGAGATGTCTTTCTTTCTCATTTTTGTAATATGAAAAAATTGTTCTAAGTTCTATTTGAAAGGATAAATCAGCAAAAATACCTAGCAATTTTTGACAAAACATGGGAAATGAATGTCTGACTGAACCAATTATTAAAATGTTTTATAATTCTACAATAGCGTGAAGAATTATGCGGCCTAATGTTGACATTGGACTAAGTATGAGAGAAGAAACAAACTGCTCAGGCACAGACCCAACTTAAAGAAAAATTGTGTATGTTTTAAATAAAACCAAGCAAATTAATAGTGAAGTAATAGATTATTCAGCTTCTATGCTAAAATAGGTAAACAGTTAAAAAATGAAAGAATGAAACACAAGGAGAATATATAGGTAAATGAAAAGACTAAATAAGTCAAAATCTTCAGATGGCCATTTGGAAATAAGTATTGAGATCCTATAAAAGGTTAATACCATTTGTACCAATTATACATCTAGGACTTTTTACTAATCAGAGATAAAGGCAAGAATTTATAACAATAAACATTTCTAACTTATGAAATCCATCATATTTTGTTTCTTCATCTGGGTGTTAGTTATACCCATGCATTTAGTTTATAGAAATTCATTGAGCTGTAATATTTGTTTAATAAAAAGTTAATTTTTAAAAACTAATATTTGAGGAATATACACACATATTGTTGGCTCACAATTCTATTATAAAATGTATACCCTATGTATAATATATTCACTGCTAATTTCTCTAGCACAGGACCTGGCCCATAGGAGGACCCAGTAAATATATATTGCATAAATAATGGAAATATATGTTGACTGTCTTATGGAAATATAAATCGTAGAAGTTTAACATTGATTGTTTATGGAATTTGTGGTTTTATTATTTTTTTATTTATGCTTTTCTGTATGTCCCAAATTCTGTAAAGCATATGCTTATTTCTTCTGTAGTCAGAGACAAATACTATTTTTAAAAGCCACAGATAATATTAAAGACACAACTGAGCCAAATATAACCAATCAAAGAACTAAGATTACTGCAATTCATTAAGAAATAGGTAAAGAAATAGCTCAACAGAAGAAATGAGCAAAGACCATGAACAGATAATTCACAAGAGAAAAGCATTCAAATTATCAAGCTACAGACGAAAAATGTTGGATTTCACTTCTAATAATCAATCAGGGCGGATCACGAGGTCAGGAGTTTGAGACCAGCCTGGCCATCATGGTGAGACCCCATCTCTACTAAAAATACCAAAATTAGTTGGGCATGGTAGTGTGAGCCTGTAATCCCAGTTACTCTGGAGGCTGAGGCAGGAGAATCCCTTGAACCCGGGAGGCGGAGGTTGCAGTAAGCCGAGATCATGCCACTGCACTCCAGCCTGGTGACGGAGTGAGACTCCATCTCAAAAAAAAAAAAGAAAAGAAATGTCAAGTCAAACAGCCTCTTGCACATGAAATAGGCAAAGGTTTAAAATAAATAACATGATCTACAATGCAGTAAGATGAAAACTTGTGTACATTGCTGGTAAGGATATAAAGGGATACAAGTTTTCAGAAAAGCAGTTTCATAATATGTATTCAGAACTTTGATGTGCTGATCCTTTTACTCAAAATTCCACTTTTAGCATCACTTCTAAGAAAATAGAATTACAGATAATTAAGATAATAGCAATAAGCATTTGTCAAACACTTGTCCTATATCTTTTACATACATTATTCCATTTAACAGCATGATATCTCTACTATAGTAACACTATTAATATCTTAATTTTATGGAGGAGCCAGGTGAAGCTTAGGATAGGTAAAAGAAAACTTGTCTAAGGTCACACAACTGTAGAGTGGCAGATTCTAGCTCAGGTCTGACACTTTCCAGAAATCCACTCAACCCCATAATATACCCACCCCCCATGGTTTTTTTACCACTACAATAGAGAAATATTTTAAATATCCAATAACAGATTAAAAATGAAATAAATTAAAATACATCCTCATAAAACTTGTTTTAAGACAATTTATTGTATATAGGGAAGGTATTCATGGTCGATTTCAAGTTTTAAAAATTAGCTCTAAGATACAATCTAGCCTATTCAACATGTCATACCTCTTCAACATGTATGGCATATTTAAAAAGTGTAAAATTCGGCCAGGTGCTGTGGCTCATGCCTTAATCTCAGCACTTAGGGAGTCTGGGGCAGGCAGATCACTTGGGATCGGGAGTTTGAAACCCGTCTGACCAACACGGTGAAACCCCATCTCTACTAAAAATACAAAAATTAGCTGGGCGTGATGGCGTGTACCTGTAATCCCAGCTACTCGGGATGCTGAGGCAGGAGAATCAAACCCGGAGGTGGAGGTTGCAGTGAGCCAAGATTGTGCCACTGCACTCCAGCCTGAGTGACAGAGTGAGACTATTTCAAAAAAATAAAATAAAGAGTAAAATTTGTATTCAACACGTATGGCATACTAAAGAAAAACTGGAAGGGAATACATTTTTTAAAAGCCACGACGATATATTTTCAAGTTTAAAAGTGATCAGTCTACAAAATGAATGATAGTATATAATCCTGATTTAATGTCTATGACATATTAAAGGTAATATTTACAAGTTGCCAGTGGTTATTTCTGGGTGTTGGGGCTATAAATGCTATATTTCTGTGATGTTTCAGAACCGACATGCTATCGCATCCAGTAGTCTTTTTAGACTTTGTCATTTCTTTCCGTCATTCAATATTCAATACCTATTTATTGAATAACCATTAAGTACCTAGGCACAGTTCTAACTACTGGGGATACAGCAATGACTTTATTAAGGACATTCTCCTTATGGAGTTAGTGCTGTGGAAGAGAAGTAGGAATAAACAGTATGTAAACAAAACACTTGCAGGCAGAGATAAGTGCTATGAAGCAAATCAAGCAGTATTGGCTAAGGGATGAATTGGAGTGGGGCATTGTTAGCTGAGATGATCAGGAAGAGATGTCTCTGAGGAGGTAACATTTGTCAAGAAGGGAGAAGCTGGGAGGGAAGCAACTGCAAGGATATGGTAGGAAGTCATTTTGGGAGGACAATAGTAGGAATGAGTTTCACTCCTTCAGGAAGTGAAAGATGCCCAGTGTGGCTGAGACAGAGTAACTAGGGAAGAGCGGCAGGGTCCAGATGATGAAGGGTCTTGTAGACCATGGTAAAGAATATTTTTTTTCTAATTGCAGTGCGAAGCCATTGGAGAGTTTTAAGCATGGACATGATAGAATAGTGTTTACACTTTTAAAACATCAGTCTGGTTATCAAATGGAATCGGGGCAAGAGTGAAACCAATGAGACCAATTAAGAGACTGTCTCAGCCAGCCTAGGAGGACATTAGCTTAGGGCTGAGGATATAGCAGTCTGGATGTGGTGAGAAGTCACAGGACTTACAGTATCCTTTTATGGAAATATGGGCAGAATTTGCTAATGGATCAGACGTAGGTGGGGAGGGAAAGCAGAATCAAGGATGAGCACTAGGTTTTGCCTTGAGTACTGGAAAAGTGATCACACTTCTGAAGAAGAGTGTGTTTGGGGGGTGGCTGGGGAGGAGTTGGATTCAAGCATTCTGTATTGAGTGTATTAAGTATGAAATACATATTCAACATCCAAGTCAAGAGATGACATATAAGCAGGTAGACATACAGGTTTGGATCTCAGAAGAGAGAGGCAAATTTGAAGGTATAGTTTTGGGAGTCCCGACGCCATAAAACTAGATGGCACAGGGGAAGGAATGAAAAATTGAGAAGGGGGCCTAAGATTGAGCATTTTGGTACCAACAATTAGAAATAGGGCCAAGAAGAAGAGCTTTGAAGAGAGAATTGTATGGTAGAGAGAATTCCACAAGGTAGGTGGAAAAGTATGAGCTATCACAGAAACCTGGAGAATAGTGTTTCAAGAAGGAGGGAGTGGTATACTCCTGTGTCAAATGTGGCCAAAGTCAAGTAAGATGAGGACAGAGAAGTGAGCGACTGTTAGATTGGGCAAGAATGTTGGCTGTTAATGACCCTGATAAGCACCATGTCAATGAAGTGGAAGACATCAGCCAGATGGGAATGGGTTGAGAAGAGGATGAGGGCTGACAGTGAAGACAGAAAGGATCAAGAATTCCCACAGAGACAGACACAAAGAGATGGGCTATGGTGTGTGGAAGGCATCATGGAATCAAGGGAAGGTGGTTTCATTTTTAAATAAAAGATATTTAGGCATGTCTGGATGTCAGCAGGAATGATTCCATAGGAAGGAAAATACATGTGGTATGGCAAGGAGAATGACTACAGGAAAGAAGTCCTTGGATAGCAAGACAGAATGAAATCCGGAGCACAGGTTACATGGTGGGTCTTAGATAAGAAGGCAGGTAGAGTCTGCAGGTACAGTGCAGTCCAGGAGTGGGGATTTGGTCATGATCAAAGGAGCTGGTTCTTGCTATAAAAATATTTACTGCACTTTATTAAGATTTTCTGCATACCTCGGTCTACCCCCCACTGGGAAATCCCTTGAGGCCAGGAATCAGGATTTGTCCACTTAAATCCTGAGCTCCTGACACAAGATTTGGTACATGGAAGGCTCTCATATGTTTTCTTTAATTACTTATTTTCAAATTTTTCTAATAGTAGTCAATGATGAGCATTACCTTTATTATTTAGAAAAGTTAACTTTTAAAAGTAAATGAAGATTAATCTCAATCTTAACAATTAAAACACCCAAGATATTAGACTTTCATATTACGTTAAGTCAGATTTTCAAAATCCTTAATGTCAAGACACAATATACATAGAAGAGGTATGTTATAAAATGATATGCAGCGTGGTTCCAGTTTGGGGATTAAAAAACAAAGGTATGTATATCAAAAGAAAACAAAGGCTTTCTTTTTTTTCTTTTTTTTTTTTTTTTGAGACGGAGTCTCACTCTGTCGCCCAGGATGGAGTGCAGTGGCACAATCTCGGCTCACTGCAAGCTCTGCCTCCCAGGTTCATGCCATTCTCCTGCCTCAGCCTCCTGAGTAGCTGGGAATACAGGCGCCCACCACCACGCCCAACTAATTTTTTGTGTTTTTAGTAGAGACGGGGTTTCACTGTGTTAGCCAGGATGGTCTCGATCTCCTGACCTCGTGATCTGCCCGCCTTGGCCTCCCAAAGTGCTGGGATTACAGGCATGAGCCACCGCACCCGGCAGAAAACAAAGGCTTTCTATATTTAAAATGATACAGAAATAATTTCAACAATAAACACTGATTTATCTCTAGATAGTAGGATAAGAGAAATTTTCTGTTTTTACTTTCTATATGTAATGTTTCTTATAATTAGGAAAATGCTGAATGTAATCATGGCTCTCTTATTCCAGCCTGACTCAAAGCCCAGTGTTGTTTATGTGGTTTGTTAGCTTGCAGTTCTAGAGACACCAGAGGTGGAACTGGTGAATTCATTCATTCGTGAGGGCCCCCTTTATGCCTCAATTTCCCATCTGTAAAACTGGATGATGATATACCTCATCGGGTCAGTGTGAGAATTGCGTGAGTTAAAATCTGTTAAGTGCATACAACTAGCACTGGCTCGCAGGAAGCACTAAGGAAGTCTATGCTGCTGTTATTGTCCATTGAGTGTCTTCTACATGCAGAATGCTGGGTCAAGCCCTGTAAGGCTGTAGGGGACGAAGGGAAAGTGACTTAAGGAGGGACGAGGGAATGAAGGGCATGAGAAAATAAGTGGTTTGCTGCCAAATTCTCTTGTAGAATTCCAACAGAAATCACACCAGACACACCAAAAAAAAAAAAGAAAAGAAAAAAGAAAAAACATCTGTCAGTGGCAAATGCCCCTGCTCCAGGTAGATCACAGAATACTTCTTTGGGTCCATCCTTATTCATGGGCTCCTCCCACCCCCAGTTGCATGCCGGGAGGTGTGCTGTTGGCAGTTAAGTAGCTACTGTATCTGGTTCCCGTCACAGTGTGCTGTCCCTCATAGAAAATGAGGATGCTGGCTTCGTGTAAAAAGACACGTTTCCTTGGTTGTGCTGATAAATGTCCTTTTACTCGTTGTCTTCCTACCTCATGTTTTGAAGGATGGCTCATGGAACTTGCTGGTGGTGTCACGGCATGCAGCGGAGCCTGGCTGGGTGTGAAGTCACTGTGGAGCAGAGCCTCCCCTTCTCAGGCCGCTTGGACTGACAGTGCAGGCTGCTGGGCGTCCTTAGTGAAGTAGGAGGCAGGGGGCAGCAGTCCTTTGGGAAACTTTTCTCATGTCAGTACAAAAGCACTGACTCCATCAACACTGTGAATTCAATCTTATTATCTGCAGTTTACACATGTGGGAAATTGAAGGGAGGTGGTTGTTGCCCAAAGCCACTTGGTTAGGTGATGGTAAAGCTGAGGTTGAAACTCAGGTTTTCTTTTGCAAACATCATTGCACAAAACCTTTCTAGCCAAGTCAGAGAACCTGGCTATTCCTTTTTAGCAAAGGAAAGGAAGTCAATAACACCTTGCTGCTGTCACACAAGGATGCTATGGAGCGGGGCCTAATAACTGGATGGGGCTTTCTTGACTGTATTCTTTGAAAGCTTTCTTTCTCACTGTGTCTTACAAACCTGCAAGCCATAGTTGCCCAGGCAACTTAAAATCTATTTTGGAAATGTTGAGAGGTAGGTCAATAGATAGAGAGTGGACAGAAAGACATGTTGTTGTAATGAACAACGATAAAATAATATTGGAGCAGTCCCTACATCACAGACTAAAAAGAGCTACTTTGCGCTGAATGTCCTCATGCTCACTCTATTCTGGACACTAGCTAGGCACTGAGGATAAAATATGAAACACATTCTTTGCTGTCAAGGAGCCCAGATACTGGGTAGAGACAGAAAAGTGAAAGAATAATTCCATCACAGCAATGATGGAGATGTCTGTGGTCATTAGCTAGAGTCTGAGAGATGGGATGGCTATCCCAGATTGGGGAGAGGTGGCAAGGCAGAGTGTTGGAGCAGTGACTTCCCCAGGAAGAAACATTGAGCTTGAGAAAGCATGACATTTAGGAACAGAGCCTGTGTAGGTATAAAGCACAGAACACACAGAGAGTGCTTGTGAGATGAGAAAATGGAAAGAAAGACAGAAGCCATGTCATCAAAGGTTTTGCACACTCTGCTAAGGGAATTGGATTTTACAATGGATGCCGAGGGTAACCAGTAAAGAACTTATAGCACTACCAAGGAGATGAGTTGTATTGTAAAGTCAAAGGGGTCAATAATGATGAGAAATCAGTGGCATTTGTTTGTGGAGACAGAGAACAGGGGCTGATGTGAAAGCTACTGAGAAAGTAGTCTGGGTAGGATTTGCAGATCTATTCCGTGTAACTATTCAGTGAGCCAGTCTCTTAGTTTCTGGCTTGAGCAATAAGGTAGAGATAGAAAACCCAGGAGAATGGTCTGGCTCTGGAAGGAAGATGCTGAATTCAGATTTGAGATATTGAACCTGAAGTGTGTGTTGGACACACAAGTGGAGTCCAGTGAGCAGGTGTATGCACAGATCTGCAGCTCAGAAAACAGAAGCTGGAAGCCATCATTTCTGACATCAGTTAAGATTTCCCAGGAAGAATATATTGAATGAAAAAGAAGAGTTATGTCTTAGTTTAGAAACACAGAATCCAAATATGTATTGAAAATTCCAGATTCAGAAAATTAAATGATTTATGTGAGGCAACTGTGGCCATTTGGAGCAGCAGTTATTCCAACAGGCTGTTAATTAACCTGTTCATGAAACTGCTTTCCTAGTTTCGCCATAGTTTCTCTATTCTGTTGGGTGAAGCTACCAGGAACAGTGTGGTCTGAAGGGACAGTAAACACTTCAGAGGTGGAGAGACCTGGGTTCAGTCCTAGCTTCCTGCTAATGTATGGCCTCCACACAGTCAACCCTGACTGGCTTCAGAGAGGGTGACAGGTAGGTGTGGAGTTAAGGGAGACAACAGAATCTGGAGCTCCTGGCCGGTGCCTGCAGCATAGTGGTGCCTCAGCGAATAACAGAGTGTCTTCCTTTCTTGTTGAATGGAAATACCACTTCAGCACTCACACAGTCTGCTGGATTGCTTCAGTTTATTTTAAAGTCGTGTGAAATGGACCTGTCAGTGTCACCTATGACAGGCTTTTGGTTTAGATCTTGGATTTTGACAGGTGCTTGCTAATCTTCAATCTGGGAGAGAGTCACTGCTTTGTAGAGCCAGATTTTCCTCAGTTACCTTCATAGGAAGTTTGCTTAGTAGAGAAAGGAATTCAAGGTGCCCTTAGACCTTTTTTTTTTATTTTTTAAGGTTGAATAGTGCAAGAGAAGGCCTGTATGCCTGTAACTTCAACTTCCCCAAAATGTGTTTAAGTTGCAGTCCCTGGAGACTTCTCCCATTTCAGTGCAGCTACAATAGGGCCTCTATTTGGGCTCAGTTCAGTATTCTAGCAGCATTTCTAAAGAAAGGCTTTCTAAATGCTGGATCCTTCTCACTGCTAATTGTGTGCTACTCCTTTGTAAGGCAGGTGGACGGTCGGGGTATGGGGAGAGCATGTTGCTTTTGATCAACATTATTTTATAATCTTTTGCCTCTTCAGAAATAATCAACTAAGAATTAACTTCTGGAATTGGTATTTTGTCAGAAAGTTAAAGGGAACTCTTCTGTCCAAGATATCATCCTTTTCAATTGGTAGGAAACAGCTTGGACTAGAAGAATGTTACAGTGGTTACTTCTGAGGGATGGAATTGGAGATGAATTCTTTTATACGTTTTTTAGTACTGCACAAATTTTCTACATGAGTATGTGTCATTTTATAATCAAAATTATTTATTTCCACAAAACTAACTTCAATGACAAAATGCACTAACATTATCTATTAACTGATTGGGTCATCAATTCTTTCATAATCAAATCCTGTCAATCAGATAACCTAGAAGGTTTCAGTCCATGATATCTATGTGTTTGGTCCAGCGTTAGAAAATAAGTAGGAAAAAAAGACACGTGAAAGATGGTCTTTTCTTCAAAGAGTTTCTTATCTGGTAGTGTACACAGAAGTTGTCTGTGTAAGTCTTTGCTTATTCATCAAATGCAGAGTTTTCAGGAGAATTGGAAAGAACGTGAAATACACATGACACAAAGACTGTAGTCTGTCAATAATGGTAGTTATTATTGAGACTGTGGGTTGCAGAGAGTATGTCAGGGATGGAGAAGGGAAAGAAACCAATAAAAACTTAATGGAGGAGCACTGCCTTGAGGGAGAGAGAAGGCATTCCAGCAAGCAGTAGACACAGCTATTGTCTGGTGCAGGGAGGCAGGCTGTTCATGATAGAATGTGAGGGATGGGCACATTGGTAAGGTTAGGGCTCATTATAGAGGCCCTTGAATGCTCAATTGCATAGAAATATATTAAGTGTTTCCAATTTAATTTTTCTAATACATCTATTGAGGGAGATGGACTAAAACAGAAGTAAAACATATTCCCTGTCTCCCCTCCCGCTAGATGCTTTTGCTCTTTGTTGGAGACTGCCTTGCCTGGAACAGCAAAACCTACTTTCAGAAAAATGTATCTGAACGTGCTGCCCAGGGTGGGTTGGAAGAGGAAGGGCTTTACAAGAATCTAGTACCTTCCCTGACAGAAAATCATAGTGACAGTCACTGTACCCTTTCTCTCTAGCCAGTCCCCATGTTTAAAACCGTAAAGGCAAGATCTGCATCTCATTTATTTTTGTGTGTGTGGTGCCTGGAATAGACATAGGTGTTCAGTCCTTATTAGTTGAATGCATGAGAAAATGAATGAAAGAATCGAGAACATGTGGTTATGTATTTTCTAGTGACACTGCTACAGTTTAATATATAACACACATAATACTCATGCTATTCTAATGATACATAATATTTTCCTGAATAACATATAAACAACCAAAGCATGATTATTTATAGCTCTAAATTATACTTCTTGAGAAGAGGGATGTTTTTATAGGGAGTGAAATTATGAGTATAGACAAAACTTTCCCTTTTTTTTTTCCTTTCGGGCAGCCAACTCCATTTCCCCTTTTAACACCCAATGATTTGGGGGCAGGCACACCAGGGCTCCCCATGCTGGAAGAAATTTATCTCATAGTGCAGTTCACACCAAGGCAATGGAGCTTAAATAGTTCACTCTTACCTGAAGTCTTTGTCTTACAAAAGAAGATTCAGAAGGGATGATTTTGTGTGGTGGAATTTCAGACCCACGGATACTTAGAGGAGAGAATTTTTTGAGTAGGAAAGTGCCCCTCCAAGGTCCTCTCCTCGCCGCCAGGGTCTGACAGTGAGGGAGGTGATGATGGAACCCTTCCTGCAGCTCACAGGGAACTGCTTTTTAAAAAGTGCCTATGTCCGGTTCTGCATATTTTTCTTTCTGGAGTCAGTAATAATTACATGGCAGAGAAAATCAGCTTGGAAAAATCTTTATTAACTTATTAACTAAGGATATGATTGGGCCTGATTTATTCTGAGCTGTATGTTCTTTTATGCAAAATTGAGTGTTTCTTACTATTAGAAAATTATCTAGCAGTATAAGTTAACTGAAGTTCATAAATTAGCCTCTTTTAAACTTCAAAATTTCAACCCCACTCTCACCCCTGCAAAAGAAAAAGACATTTAAAAAGGTTAATTACAAGAAAATATTTCTTTACAAAATGCATTGACATATAGTTTGTAGTTAAAGATGAATCTATAGACATGTAATGGCATTAAACAGAAACTAATATTTGTTGCAAATGATTTTAGGAGGAGTGGGAAATTGCTCCAGAAAAAAAAATAATGTATGACCTATTTAATATTGGAGCTTATAGTTCATTGTTTTATATGAGCGAAACAAATATTTTTGTGCAAATGAAAGCTCTAGTTAAATGCTTTGTGAATAAATTGGTATGCGATTCACTTTCTGCAAATGGCCATGAAAGTTAAAAGAAAGCCGTTGCAGAAAAGGATGAAAGTTCTCTCGGTCTGAATATTTTTCCATGCTTCTGGCAGCAAGTTTGCAATAAAAAGAATGATTTTTATGACATTGTGATTATTCACAGCAAGCCTAGAGTTGCTGTCACTATGAAAAATTCTTCTTTAGTAGATTCTCTCAGCAGGAATAATAGATCTAAAAGAAAGGAAACAGGAGTTACAAAGAACACTGTTGCCAGTGACAAATTATGTTTGCAAAAATGATGAGCAAGCCCGTTGAAAATTGAGAAATAAGTTCAGCAGTAAATCAAAGGCTCATTCTTAAGAGTAGTTCTGAGTTGCTGTTCCAAAAAAAAATGATATTTATATTAGATGTGTGCTGAGTTTTTTTAATGTTCTGAATGATAATTAGCTTACACATTAATTCAGCCTTTAGTCTTTTATCTTCATACTTTGTTATATACCATTTTAAATATGTGTAATATTTTAATGATAAAATTGTACAATATAATTTGGCATTGTCAGCAAACACTAATGCATTGCCCTGTGTGGTATATGAAGGTTTGCACTGGTTATGATACAAATTTGTAAAATTCTATGTTCTCTTAAATTAACTGAACCATAAATAAAGCTGTGCATTTGGACATAACCTTTTGTGTACAATGTCAGCGGTAGGGACATAGAATGCATTGAAATACCTCTTACTATTGCATAAAACATAACTTAATAAAAGACGGATCTTGTACGAGATAGTATTTATTGTATACTTTTAAAAAAGCAAAGAAATTTACAAGTATTGATATCATTAGATCAAATGTAATATATGCTATTATCTTTTAATTATCCTTATATTAAAACTGTTCAACACTGAGTCACTAAGGTAATGGATTAGTTAATGGATTAATCCATTACCTTTAGAGACTCAGTGTTGAACAGTTTTAAATAAGCTCATTTTGTTTAAAAGTTTATTTTCAATTCTTTCTGGCTTTCATTAAGTGAGACTTTCTTTTCCTCACCCTAAGGTTGAGAGTGTGAATAAAGACAAATATATTTAATATCATGTGGTAAAGAAGGCATTCATGGTGACAAATATATTTAATATCATGTGGTAAAGAAGGCATTCATGGTGAGAAAGAAGGAACTCCACGCACAGTGAAACTGACATATCATATTTATTAACATTGTACTCACTAAGAAGGAGCTATCTTCATGTGATACCTTTGGGATTCTGTAAGCCACACGCTAAAGTGATATAATGATGTCTTATTTTTTTTAATTAGCACATTTTAAAAGGGATTAATATTATAAGAAAATATCAAAACTTTGAAAAACATGTGTTCATGCAATCTTCTAGTTATTAATAAGTTTGGGCATCCTGGAAGCCTTTACTTAGTGATCTCAAATATTTACCATAATTTTATGCATATACCAGCACATAGCTTAAGCACTTCAATTTATTTTTTACCTTAACATACCATCTTCAGGAACTTTCAGTAAAGACTTTGTTCTCTAAATATTTTATGAATATTAATAAATAGAATCAGATCAAAATAGCTAATACCTTACCTTTGTTGAAACTTCTGTAATTCAAATCTTGTGTTTCTAATACAAGCACTTAGGTCTCCTAGCTAATATAAACATAATTCTAGTAAAATCTCTCTCACTTAGATAATCTCTAAAGGATATTATAACATTAAGTATATTAAGACACTGTTTTTGTTTGTAAATGCCATATGTGTGTCCACAAGTTGCATCTTATTGCCACCTCTCGAAAATAGATGCTGAAATTCCTCTTTTTGGTTTCTGAAATTTGAAATTGTTTTCTTTTCCCATCGGCTTGTATAGTTGTGTCATCCTATTCCTACCATAACACATATAGATATTTAAATATTGACTTAAAATATCGGTTGGCACCAATAGTATGCTGAGTAGATAGTTTAGAGTGGGAATTAAAAGATATATTTGTCCAGGTGTGTCTTAATTCCTTGACTTGCACTTCCCAAAACTGCCAAACAGAATGGGGCAAATTTCAAAACTCCTTTTGTTTTTTATCCCCTGTGCCTTAGCCACAGGTATCTGCACCATTTTTTTCTTTTTCTGCAAGGAAGCATCATGGTGTGAAGGCCAGGGAAATAGGAGGTCACCAGGTGTACCCTAGACAGAGATGACAGGGTCTGCCAGCGATTGCCAGTGTGGAGAGGCTACAAACCACATACCCTCCCCATCTCCAGGAGTCAAGGGCTTCCAGAGAGTCCATGATGCTGGTGAAGCTGGGCAGAAGAAAGCCTAGCAGCGCTTGAGCTCTTCATGAGGTCTATTTGAAAGCACAGTGAGGGCTTGGACGTGCCCTTAGAAAGCACAATGGAATCATGCTGTTCTGCATCAGTAAGTATAAATACACAGTACATCAGTTGGGCAGTCTCCTCTTTACAGAGAAAAACACGCAAGTAAAAACATGGTTCCTGCAAATTTACTAATTCATGGACAGAGGGTCTTTATCACGGAGCCTACACTTGATGTACCAAATCAAATTGTCAGCTAGTTGGAAGCCAGTTTCTTCAAATCTGTTCCATCAATTGGCTTCTTCCTTGACTACTCCTCTCCCTCTGTAGAACTTCTAAATCATAGAGAAGTTTAGAAGATGTCCCATTTCACTTAGTTTTTCAAATTAGTTATGAAAATATCTGGAGAGTTGAGAGTTATTTCGAAAAACCACCATGGAGAGCATTCCCTTAAGACCTTTGTCACTCAAACACTGGTCACCCTGTAAGGCCATCTGTGTAATTTAGTTTTCTGTGAGAAAGATGGTAGTCTGGATAGATCCACAGACAGATATGCATTCTTTTTCAAGTGCTGCTAATGGCTTGACAAAATTAGCTTTCAGACAATTTATGTGAGTTTGTCACTAAAGTACTAGAACTACCCATGTCCCATGTATAAATAAACATTTTCACATTTAGAAATAAGAGGAATACTTCTTTTAGTGACCTATAGATGTCAAATATCAGGCAAGTATCTAAATTGCTCAATAGGGAAGTCAGAGCCATGGATGTAATCACTTAATGACAGATAAGAGGGGACACAGAACCCAATGATCACTTCCTCTGCCTTGGCCAGCTCCAGCTGGTCTCAATAGGCACATTGATGTAAAGACACAATGAAAACAGCTAGTTCTCTGCTGACTTTTATCCTTCCATTTTTGTTTTGTAAAAGGAAGTATTGAAAGTATTGAAACAATTAGTTGGCAGTATGGTGTTAGTTTTCTCATGGTAAATTTGGAACATGGAGCATACTATAGCCTTGATCAGCAGGATTTGGACTTGTGTAACTCAACTTCTCCAAAGACACATTGTAACTTTTTCATATTATTCCCTTTTATAACATGCAAACTGCCTCACAGTCTTCCTAGAGACTTCCTTCTCTGTTTATTCAAGGACTTCAGGTTTACTCTGAGTTTGTGTTTCTAGTTTCATGTTCAGAAGTATACAGCATCAGTGTCCTAGCTATTACGTCACTGTTGGCACAGATAATAAGACTCATTGTAACTGTCTTAATTCTCTTTATTAATTTTCCAAAACTACCTTGAATTGTATGGTGTATTTTTACATAATTATGGTACAAGTGAAAGGCTTGGGGGGAAAGTACAACTACTACAGTATCAAAGCAGAATAAATATTTGCAGAAAAATTCTGCCATAACTTAATATTTTGCATATGAGCCTCTGTACAAAATCTGAGTTATTCCCGGGGATTGGTCCAAAAGAACATGTCTGTGGCCCAGCCCTAGAAGGCCAGAGATGATGATGGATCAGAAAAAGGTCAGCTTGAGTCTTGATGCCAAGAATAATGACAGAAGGGACTAAAAAGGCAGAATAACAGTGCAACCAGAGTTCCAAGAGCGAATGTGCATTTGCCGCATGGCTGTGAGATCGTGCCCCATGTGGCTTTCTGCCCACTCCCTATACCTACACCAGAACTGGGATTCAGGACTTCATGTGTTGGCAGTTTCCCCAGCCACCCATGTGAGCATTTTATAATCCAGCTCCATGAGTAGTTAGATGACTGTTAGCTGAGGGCCAGCAGTAACTGAAGCTAACTTTATTTATTTTACTCCTCTGTGAAGCACAGGTGGTGTCATATAAGGGGAAGGCTGGCAAGGGTAGACCATGGTCATTTCAATTTTGGTATTTACTGAAAGATGCTTGTAGGATCCTGTTGTGGAAAAGCAGAGGTTTGCAGGCTGGTAACTGTGGGCACAACACCGCACCTCTGACTGGTGCCATCTGCCCTCTTTTCAGCTTCCCCTGCCATGACGGTGGCCTAATCCGTTTTCCTGGTCCTCAGCTCTCCTACTTAGGACACGCTGTGGCAGTGTGATATGCTAAAACCTATGCTTTCACCACCTACAGTTGTACTCTCTACCCTCCACGCCTGGCAGAGACCCGGTTACTACAGTGGCTCTCCTTCTGGGAGCATTTTCCTCTGAAGTACCAGTCATTTAAAGGCCTGCTGATGACATGAAGCGTTGGGGCTTGTGCTGTAGGATGAAGGACCCACATCCATGCTCCAGGCAGGAAGAGGGGTCCATGACCACGGACACAGAGCACAGGTCAGAGTGGGGCAGACAGAGCTGGAGTCCCCTAAACTCAAAACAACTGAGAAGCCTCTAAGAACCTAGGTCGTGACCAGTGTCTAGAGGGAGCAGTTGTCTACACTGTGTGAAATTGAGGAGCCTGGGAAGAAACGGCGAGTTGAGGGTCAAAGACATCAGCATCGCAGCATTTATCTCACATTATTTAGCTTTTCTGAATCTTTATTTTTCATATCTGTAAAATGGGTTGTAACATTAAATACTATTGCATTTTCACCATAAATTCAACTTAAGAACTAGGAGTCTGTGTAAGTGAGAGAAACTGAGCACCTGCCTCTGCAGGAACTCCACAATAAGTGTAAGGAATGCCTTCTGCAGAAGCTATTGCTGTGGGGGAAGGAAGAATATCCTCTACGAGGGATACAAAGTGCCAAGATGTGGTGCTTTGGTAGTCAGGTATCAAGGGATGATGAATCTCTGGTGTCTTGGGACTTCTGAAGAGAGAGACCAACCTCTGACTGGGAACAGCGGGCTGGATGCGTTAGCAATACCCAAGTTTGGTAATTAATTGTAAAATTTTTCTAGTGGAGGATAATCGCAACTTTGCCTCTTGCACTGGCCCTAGTTCTTCCACATAATCTATCTGTACTATGTGACTGTTACCAGTGGCAAATACCTGAGTCACACGGCACCAAATATGTTACCAGTGGAAGGTATCCGAGTTACCAGCAGTGAATCCCTATGGTCTGCAGCAACCTCAATTCTTACCTCCTCAGAAGAAAGAATTCAACTGGGGGGCATGAGGCAGAAAGAGAGACTGAGGCAAATTTCAGAGCAGGAGTGGAAGTTTTCTGAAAAAGGCTTTAGAACAAGAAAAAAGGAAACTGCACTTGGAAGAGACCCAAGCAGGCATCTTGGTCAAGTGCGGTGTTTAACCTTGATCCTAGGACTTTATATGCTCGCCCCGTTCCCATGCATCTTCCCTTAGGGTGGGCTGCCGGCATGTGCATTGCCCCCCTTACCCTTGGGAACTGAGCCTGTGCAGTGTGTTTAGGAAGCTGCACGCATGTCTATCTGAGGCTTTCTTCCCTTTTCCAGTGGAGTGCCCCCAGAAGGTCATACTCTGCCATTAGGTCTCTTAATGTGCATGCCCAGGGACCCTGGTGCCTGCATTCAGTTAACATTTAGTGCAACAGGTGTGGACCATCAGGAAATGGCCTCTCCCTGGCATTGGCTGCCAATTTATCACTTTTAGAGAGACAATGTGATAATTGCCAGACCATCACCCGACATTCCTAGTGGGTGGCGAAGAGCCCTCTCCTGCCCCGGCTCATGGCTAACTACCTGTATGTGAAAATTGGCTAAATAGAAATGTTTATTATATATTCCTCTACTGCTGACTTGTTTCTGAGCCCTTATGCAAACATGTTGAATTTTTCATCCCTTTGGGAAAGCCATTAACAAAAAATTACTCTCTTCCCACGTCTTGATCCCTTTCCAACTCCCATATCAGTTCTCACATCTGTGACTTGGGGGTGAAAGAAACATGTCTTCAAAGGCTTCCCCTCACCTCTCTGAGGCCTGGTCACTAAGCCCCCGGGGTTCCTTTGTACCTTCCCCGCCCCATCCCACCCCACCTCACTGCCATTTGAAGGTAGAGGTCCAGCATGGATAGTCTGGGACCAATAAGCTGTTTTGTTCCTGTCACCACAGTTCAGTTGTTAGGAACCATCTCCAGTAGGCCACCATTTTATCGGTTTGATTGTTTCAATCACAAAAGCCACAAGGACAAGCGGTGGACCAGGCTGTCCCTCCTGATGTACCAAAATATAATTTTAATTCTTCAGACCTTTGCAACTCTCTCTGGCTAAATAGAATGTAGGACGATGTTCATTTGGATCCTAGGGAAGTTCTGCAGGATTTACCATGATTTTAATTATCACGTGTAGTTAGTTAACTTCTCTCTTTCCCCCATAACCATGTAAGTGCCTTGAGGGCAAGGACTGATAACTTGACCACTGCTTCCTTGGCAAAGCCTGCTCCTTGCTGGGATCTGCAGGCACAGGGAACTCTTCTCCTCCTCTGCCCTCTCCTGGCTCCTTCCTCCTACCTCCTTACACCAGTGTTCTCCTGCCTCAGGGCCTTTGAACTTGCTCTTTTATTTGCCTGGAAAACTCTTTCCCTCACACCCACTTGGCATTGCATTTCTCCCTCATCTACTTTTTTGTTTCCTTAGCACTTACCACTATCCAGCATATGTACATTTTACATATTTTCTCGTTTGTGACTAACTAGAATGTTAGTTTCAAGGCAGTAAGGACTTTTGTCTGTTGTATTAAGCGCTGTATCATTAGCATCTGAAACACTACCTGGAACACAGCAGCCTCTCAATAATTTGACACGTACATGAATGACCACCTTTCTAAGCTAAGATACCCATTAGTTTACTGTGAGTGCAAAATCTTTCAGGAGTCCTTGAAATCACTATCTCTGTCTTCTCTGAGGTCCCAGGCCAGATCCCCAAACACAGCAGGGATCCCCTGGGCATCTCAGACCCTTCCACTACAGATTAGCGCATAAAATATGCTGAACTGGAGTGGCCCCTAGAAATGTGAATGCTGTCCCAAGATTTGGATTCAATAATGATTTCATCACCTTAAAAGTCTATCACATAATTTTGGTCGTGTATTTCAAAAGTACAGTTTCAGCACGTTTAGTCTGTTTTTGGAATAAAAACTTATTTTCCCATAGAATTATGTATGTTCTGTACTCTACTGAACACCAAATTAGGGTTTTTAGGAATATATATTGGCACCTGGAAATATATTAAGCTTCCATTTTTGTCTTTGTCAGTAGATTCTTCCAGGAGAGCTTTAAACCAGGTTGCTGCTGTTGGTTCACGGTGCCCAGAGCCCCTTCTGCCTAAGCCATGGACTCTGAAATCAGGCCCTGCACCCTCCCTCAGTTATCTCATTGTCTGGGTTTTAAACAAATTTGGAAGCTAAAAACAACCTAGTCCAGAAGGCAAAAATGACAACCTAAAATTTGGCTCTTAGGAAGACAAAAAGCTAGATAGATGGTGTCTGAGAAATGGTAGAAGGAAAGTTTCTCCCCACAGAAGAGGCTGAGTTTCAGGATATCTGATGGGAGACTTCAGTTTCTCATTTGAGAGCTGCTGGACTTACAACAGGTTAACACATTGTGCAGTTCTGCTGTGGAATATTGCAGTATCTTAATATTCCTCATTCTTTCATGAATTAAAATGTTAATAAGTAAGCATTTAGATAGCAATATTATAGTTTCTCCTTAAGATTTAAAACAATTTTTTAAAAACATACCTCCCAAGGCATTTTATGTCATTATTTGTAAGTTCCTACAAAGACACAGATAATGAACCCTCAGTATGTATTTTATGTATTTGAAGTTTGTACAATATAGTATTTTTCTATTCATTAAGTGAAATAAGCAACAATTACATAGACACATTTTACATAGACATTTTAATGATTTTTTTTTCATTCCTGGAGGTGCTGATGAGGCCCCTTAGAGATTACTCTTGATTTTTAAATCTCTTTTAATTAAAATCATTCTACAGAAATTCTGATGAGGAATGAGGATTTCCTTGTCACTACTCCGAACTTTGCTTTAATCAAGTCACTGTGAAGTGAGTTTGCTATCTGCAGGTAAAAGCTTGAAGGTGTTGACACTAAGAGCTAAGCTAGAGATTGAACAATACTTCAAATGAAGTCCTCAGCCTGGGAACAAAACGTTTTAAATGAAGCTGGCAGGAGAAAACAAATACAGGATGTGGAAGAACAATAGCAACAATGGGGTCGTTCACAGCTGTTAGAGGATAACTGCCTTCTCTGTTAGTAATGAGGATTTACAGCTAAATTCGCTTCAGAAAAGCATCTTAACACCCTGCTTTTTCAAAAAACTCTTTCCACCCTTAGAGGGAACCAGGGAATTCCAGGTCAGTTTTGATTCCTTGAATTAAATTCTTTTGAACATACATTTTCCTCTTCTACTAGTTCCTCAACTTCCTCCTCCTTTTTGTTCATTCTCCCAAGAGAGAAAATTTCTCCATCATGGCGCTATGGCCTTCCCCTCTCCCCCCACCCCCAACGCTAACCACACGCTCTAAAGAAGTTTTACAACATAAAAATTACATTCCTGGTTAAATATCAGAAATTTCTACTCAGGATTTAGTATGTTGTCGAAAACACAAGCGATCATCATTCATCTTCTAAAATAAGATTACATTAATAAATGAGAAGTTCCCAACCACGTTTTCCAAGAATGACCTGTTTTTAAAATGTTAAATTCACAGTCAGCATGTGAGGGCTCCTAGACTTGCTTTTCCTTTTCTCTTATCTGAGGTTATGGACCTCAGGAGAGCAGGGGAGGGTTACAAGGTCAAAGTCTTTTCCTCCTTGGAACTTGCTGCGTGCTGGGAGAGGGCTGCCTGGAAAATAGATGCTTTAGAGAAGAGGTTGGGGGTCACGATTTTAATTCTGTTAAGGAACAGCTGGTTTGAGTTTCTTTCCACTTCTATCTCCTCCTCCCTTCCTCACAAATCCATGGAGAGAGAAGAGTTTGTTCAGAAGGGACCGGCAACATAAAAATATACCTTCTATTATTATAGTGCTTTCTAAGTGTCATCTTTGTTATGAAGTTGAGTCTAAGTGCTAGAGAGATGGGCTAGATTTTATAAAATTAACTCTATCTGAAACATGACCAGACCTTCAGTCAAAAAGAACCTTTTAAAATACAGGATGTGCGCCTGGAAATTTCTTTTAATAATATTTTTAAACTAAAACTTTAATGGAAATAAGTACAATAAAGGCCTCTGGGGTATTTGGAGCCTGACTGCAAAGAGAGGAACATGACTGAAATATGAAAGCAGCCAAGTGGGGGTGTTAAGTTTCTGGACTAGAGTCCTTGTCTGCCTCCAAATTAATATGCCTTCATTCATTCAACAAATGTTTATTGAGTGCCTGTTCTTCCCACAATTCATCTGGGGATACGGTGGTTAAGATATATGGGTGCTCCGATATATCTGCAAACAGGTGCAGAAACGTTAACTGGGCCCAATAGAGCTTTAGCCTGTAAGCATGGCTTCCTATTCTAAGTAGTTTACACAGTTTGGGATTTAAAAATAAGATCTGTTCAAAATAACATTATGCCATAATAAACTCATAAATCCAGTGAATATGTAATAATAGTAAAACAGCTAAAAATAACACAAAAAATGTAAAAAAAACTAAACAGCAAACAAGCACATGGTTTGACTTTTTATTTAGGTTTTAAAGTCTCCCATGGTTTTTACCGTGCACATGTGTACACACACACACACACGTACACAGAGAGAGAGAAAGAGGGAGGATAAAACTCACATCTCTCAAATAAATGGAAACCAGTAACAGATTTTTTGTCTGGGCTCCTCAACACACTGGCCTCAGGCTGTGTTGGTGTGTGGCTCAACAGCAATCAGAGGTCATAATTTCATTGGCAGTTAGCATCAGGTTTAATTTTTCTAGCATGTTACATTTACCAAAATGTCTGGTTTCAGTTATGCTTAGGCACTGACTGAATCAGCTCTGAGCAGCATGATGGCTTAAGGTACCTGAGGTTTATGGAACACATATGCTAATTGTTTTCAATCACTTTCCTTTCTAAACACAAAAATGTGTTTTCTGAAGCTGAATAACAGTAGTCCTTAACGATGTTGCTTCTTTCTTACAGGAGAGGACCCTAAGTAGGTAAAAATGTCAATTTTACAAGACTGCCACCTACTGATTGACATAGTTGAAAAATCCTCCAATTAAGGTGCTTTAAAAAATATGTATGGTTTTTCCAAAACAAAACAAAAAAATTAGGTACTCTTAAAAAATTGACATGTATCATTTTAATTGCATTTTAGGAATGTGACCAAGTCCATATAGATGATGTTTCTTCAGATGATAACGGACAGGACCTAAGGTGAGCACCCTTGAATGTGAAGTGACCATCTCCCTTTTATAGTTTAATTACTTACCTAATTAAGATGGACTTTCTGTTCGGCTAACTTTGGGCTTTTCTTGCATATAAATAGCACATATAACTTTGGAACAGATGGCTTTCCTGCTGCAGCAACCAGTGCTAACTTATGTTTGGCAACTGGTGTACGGGGCGGTGTGGACTGGATGAGAAAGTTGGCCTTCCGCTACAGACGGGTAAAAGAGATCTACAACACCTACAAAAATAATGTTGGAGGCAAGTGATTACCACCAGTACCTCAGCAAGTTAAGACAGTCCAGATACAATTCCAAAAGTACTGTACACTTTTGTGTCACACTGCTTTGAATATAATAGCTTCTATTTGGGCAGTTTCATCTCACTGGCCATTATTCTGCTGTGATTTAGTGACAGAAATATTGCACTGGAGCCAGCTGCCCTGGCTATTCCAGTCTAGTCCTGTCTCTGTTACCTAGTGATGTGACCTGGGGCAAGTTTCCTGACCTCTCTGACATTCAGTTGTCCTTTCAAGGAAGGATTAGCATCCTTCGAAGAATTAGCCACCTCTGCCCAAATCACAAGATGGGTTGTAAATCTCCTCCTACAGGGTAAATACTTGGATTAGTTTGAATCTTTTGACTTTGGTTCATAATGGCTTTAGCATGAAAAGGAAATACAGTGACTTAATAATAAAAAGTTTAGGGGTGAGGTTGGTTTCCAGCATGGCTATATGCAGATGCTGAAATGATGCTGTCGGGGAAGCCTGTGCCTTCCTTTGGATAAAGGCCTTTCTAGGTCAGTCCCTCCCAAGAGGTGGCAAAATGACCACCAGTAGATCCAGCTTTATACTCTACCAGTAGTTTGGCACATCCATGAGGGGAGGGAATCTATCATTTCCTAATAGATTCAGCAAAAGTTCCAAGACTGACTTCCACTGGCCAAGTGAATGCTGCACACCTACCCTGGGAGCCAGAAGGTGGAGTCACCTCTGCCCAAACTACACTTAGAGGAATGTAGGAAAGTAGGTTCCCTAAAAAGAGATGACTTCTGTAACCAAACCAAATAAATACTTGTCAAATGAATGGTACTATGTGAAAGATACTTTGTATACTATAAATCTGGAGGCTGGTATTCATAGTACTTTTTAAATGTTAATTACTTGCAAAGCCGAAGAAATATGTTGGTCAGGAAGTAGTTCATCATGTGCTTTTAAATCCTCAGGTCTGCTTGGTCCAGCTAAGAGGGAAGCCTGGCTGCAGTTGAGGGCCGAAATTGAAGCCCTGACCGACTCCTGGTTGACACTGGCCCTGAAAGCACTCTCGCTCATTCACTCCCGGTGAGGCTCTCTGCGGGGTCTTTGCCAGGAAATGGGCAATGCTCGTGCTTGTTCATTTTGGAGATTTATTTTTCAACAGTCTTTGTTTTCTTTTTGTTCTCATAGGACAAACTGTGTGAATATTTTAGTAACAACTACTCAGCTCATCCCAGCATTGGCGAAAGTCCTGCTGTATGGGTTAGGAATTGTATTTCCAATAGAAAATATTTACAGTGCAACTAAAATAGGTGAGCTGCTTTTCTTTTCTTTTTAACAATCAGCTCTTTTCCTTCAGGATAATAAAAACGAAAGGCAATAAATGAAACTTTTTTTCCAGAATGCTACATAGGTCAAAAAAAAAATACAAGAATAATTTAACCAATTTGCAAAACTGGATTTAGACGTAAGAGAAACATAAAGCATAATACAGTAGCTGAAGTCACAAAATTTTACTTGACTGGCTAACGTTAAGACCAGGGCATTTTAGGTAGAGTAACAGCATCGATTCTGGATTATTATCATATTTTTATCCTTTTAGGCAACATTAACAAAAATATCTGATTTTCTAAGCTAAAACAAACAGCAAGATAGAATTATAAAAAGTAGAAATGAAACAACTCTAATAACAGATTTATTACTAGAAATATTTGTTTTGTTTTTCATTCAATCTGTATAATCAATTGAGTTTCCATTTTTGTTGTGGAGATTTAAAAGCTTCTTGCATGAAAGAAACATAGTTGGGAGGAAAATACTTATGAAATTTAGTTAGAATATAAATCAAGGCAGAATCAACATAGGAATAAAAAGACATGGCTCTTGTTCTCAGGGGAAGCAGACAGTTACATGACAATCCAATATGATACAAGAGTATGCAAATGAGCATTTTTTAGTTGTCTACTAGATGCCCTGAACTGTACTAAGCATTTTGCATTTAAAGTCAATCTTTATAATCTTTCCATTTTACAAATGAGGAAACTAAAGTCCAGAGACTTAAGTAAATTGTTGCAATCAATAGTTCACAAACACAAGGCTCAAGCCTCATGTTTCTCTGATTCCAAGGTCCAGACCCCTTGCTGTATCCTACAGGGTCCTATTGCTAAGTGCTTGAATGTGCACATGACTGAGGAAGCATTTACTGCCACCCAGGAAGAGGTAGAGGCCAAGTGTCTATGAAAGTGTGAAAGCTAAAGGGAAGAAATGACATTTGATCTGGGTATAGAAGAGCAAGTAGGAGTTCAACAGGTAGATGGGCTAGTGAGAACAATGCAAATGGACAGAGAAATTAAAATGTGTTCCCTGCTGAGGGACTTGTGAGTGGCCCTGGGTAGCTAGTATGCAGTGCTCATTAGAAGCCAAAGCTGAAAAGGTATACTTGGGTCTAGGCATGAATGGCGTTGTATATCACCCTAAGGAGAGGAATGTTATTTTAGTCCAGGGGAAGGGGTATGAGCATTCTAGCAGGTGGCAAGAGGGCTGTCTTTGGCTGCTCGACTCCATATAATAAAAAGGGGCAAAAATGGAATCCCTGTAGGTCTAACTTCCGTTTGCCTGCACTTTTACACTTCCTGTGCTTCTCCTTCAAAGCATTTACTAAATGATTACTAAAAAATTACTGACTTTTATAATTATTTGTTCATAGTATGACTTCCCCGTCATACTGTAATAATCTTGAGGACTGGGTTTGTCTCTCTTGCTCATCATAGTAGCTGTAACACCCAGCACACAGTAGGTATCAATAAATGTAGAGATGAATTTGTTGAATGAATGGCTGAATAAATTACCATTTATTTTGAAGAAGGCCGACACAAGATTTCTTTTAGGCACGTGCGTCAATAGCGGCACAATTAACTGATGGGGAAATCAGGTTTTATTTTTATCAGTGTTGCATTGGAAGAGACCCAGTGGGGTCTTCAATCAATGGCAGAAAGACACAGTCAGCAGGGTGCTGATGGGATTCATCCAGGCTAACCTTTCAAGTTAGAAATACATATCTGGAGTTTGAGAATGACTGATGCTTCCCAAGAAGGGCCAAGAACAAATTGTTGGAAAATATCAAAAAGCAAGAAATATATCAAATAGAGTAAAATTCCTAGTAGCCCATTATAACCAGAACTTTTATGTGCTTTCATGTTCCATAAAAATAGCAAACAGTTTAAGTCACATGTTAATTCTATTTTCATCTATATCAATTAAGAGGAATTATAATTATATTGTGTTGTAAACAGGGATTGTGGAAAAGGTTTACCAGCACATGAAAGTTGGAACAAATGCCGAAGCAGCCCATAGTACAGAAGCGGGTAGAGCTTAGGTTCTCAGAAAGAAAGCAGGAGTAGTGTATTACATAGCATGTGCATTGAAGTTTAATCCCAAATAATTTGAAAATGATAACAGGAAATTACAATCCAGTAAGCATTGTTTTTTTAATGGGCATTTTGTTTAAAATATTAAGCTTTATTTTTTTTTCAATACAGAAAAAAAATATGTGGTGGTGGAAGTAGGATTTCACCATCAAATAAGGTATATGTGGGGAATCAATGCAGAAAACCCAGCAATTTTTTTTTTCTTTTGACATGGAGTCTTGTTCTGTCACCTAGGCTGGAGTACAGTGGCACCATCTCAGCCTGTGCCTCCTGGGTTCAAGTGATTCTCCTGCCTCAGCCTCCCCAGGTAGCTGGGATTACAGGCACACACCACCATGCCCAGCTAATTTTTGTATTTTTAGTAGAGACGGGGTTTCTCCATGTTAGCCAGGCTGGTCTCAGACTCCTGACCTCAGGTGATCTGCCTTGGCCTTCCAAAGTGCTGGGATTACAGGTGTGAACCACTATGCCTGGCCCCAGTAATTTTTATTGTAGGCAAAATGCTAAAGTCATAGGAGGAGATGACTGGTATCTCAGTTGGCAGAGCTATGATGACCTTTCAGACAAAATGGACTCATCAAAATGAATACTTCATATAAAACTAATAGTTAACTTCTAAAATCTAAGCTTCATTTTCTTAACCTCTATTGTGAAAAATTTCTACATGACCCCAAATTGGCAATGAGCCCAATAGGAGATAGATAGTATATAGGCAAGGATTTTTTTTGTCTACCACAACTTCATCTTTAAATTACATTGAATTTACCTTCCTTTTTCCACAAGAGGGAAACTTTGCAAAAACGCATAAGCATTTCCCCGTAAGGAGAGAAAAAACTTTCATGACATCGAAGTTTTTGGTTGTATATTTTTGCAGTGAAGACTATACTTTGCATTTGCTTCTTAAAGTGATTTAATATTTCACAGTTTAGTGGACAACTAAAGAGGCATTTAAATTGCATCTTTGAATAAGGCTAGCTCTATTTCATTGTGTCAGATGCAAACTAGAGATTTTAGTGCAAAATACAAATATAAAGCAGACATTTGTTTAAGCAAACAAGCAATTTGTTCATGTGTATATCTGATCCTTATTTGAAAGAGGTGCAGGCTTCGCTCAGCCATTCACATTTGAAAACTATAAACTGTCCCATTGTCCATTAAAATGACCCTATTGGCAGTCCAAGAGTTGGAACACCAGTTTCTTCTCTGAGAAGAAACAATGCTTGCATTAACTGTGGGAATGTGCTGACAGTGTAGCCACCACAGGAGCCCAAACTAAGTCATGACACGGGAAAGATAGTAGACAGATAAGGGTATTCTATTACCTTTATTCCAGTTTTCCTCCAGGAAAGTGCTTCATTGAACATTAGATGCCTGGGTAAGGCAGGTACCATCTTGCTGCACTACCTCAAATTATCTGACATTTATTTGAGAAGGAGTTTTACAAGACTACATCAGACTTTCAGGGTCTTTAATTCAACCTGAAAATGAAGGAATAAGCTAATTCCGATGTTTGCGTTTTCTTGCTAGAACAAAAACAAGTCCAGTTATTTTTTATCATTCTCAATAGTCTTTGGATCAGATATTTTCAAAGTTTGATATATGAAGAAAAAACTTTTTAAAATCAAGTTAAAATATGTTGCCAGAATTGCCTATGTTTGAGTTCAGCTTATATATAGGGGGAAAAAGAAGTCCCACTGCAAAACAGTACTTTCCCCCACCACCCCAATTGCAATGCTGTGATTGACTAGATTCCATTTTTTAATAAATGAGTCCTTGGGAAGAGAGTATTTAACTATCAATTTCCAAAGGACAGGACACCACACTGCTAATTAATTTACTTTGTAATTTATTGTGCTGTGGCACATACAACCCAAGTGGCATAAAAGCATTCCTCTTAGAGGTACTAGTGGGGCATTCGAATCAGAGCATGAAGAAAGCATTTTATATAAAAAGTTCAAGCACTGTCACATTAGGTTACCCAAACTTCACATTTTCTATCATTTATTTTTGTTCACTAGGAAAAGAAAGCTGTTTTGAGAGAATAATTCAAAGGTTTGGAAGAAAAGTGGTGTATGTTGTTATAGGAGATGGTGTAGAAGAAGAACAAGGAGCAAAAAAGGTGAGCATTCCTAGATGGTGCATCTTGTCTCATTTGTTTTTTCAGTCCTCAGTATTCTCATAACTGGATCATTTAAACAGGTTCCATTTATGTGAAACGTGATGAATATGTGCAGTACTCTAAGCACTGAACAGGGTAAAGTAGAATTCAATAAATATGGAGTGATCTTTCTGAATAGTAGTGTGCACAAACTCAAGGGCCACAAGTGGTGTTCATAGAAGGTAGAATTTGGGAGCAGAACTGAAGTGTTGTTAGTGGTGTAGCTGTCATCCAGAGCAGAGATAACACATGTGCCAGCAGGACCTTTTCTGTACCCATGGCAGACATGCCAGGTGGTTCAAACCTTGTTACCTGAGCCTGGACGCAGCCTAAGAACCTTTCAAACATCCTTCAGAAAGCCTCTATCAGTTGGTCAAAGCTGACTTGGAAGATAAAACTATCTGCTGCCCCAGAAGACTCGATGTCTTCTTCATATCATGAGGTCCTACCTGTCTCTCTCAGGGCAGGGGGAAGGGAGTGGACCCAACTATAAATCTCTTGACTCCCGCTTTGCCCATTGCTGTTCATTATATTCTTCTGAATCTCTGCAGGTGTAATTCTATCATTTCTCTGAGCAAAAGCTTTCTCATTGGGCCTCTCATTGCATTTTTAAAAGCCAAGGACCACCTTCCTTAGCCTGGCACTGAGGGTCTCCACAGTCTGGTTACAGCCTGCCTTTCTGATCTGTCTCCCTCCTGTACCTTACACTGTAGTTGTGTCAGTCCACTCAGCTTTCCTTGACCATGCCCCACAGCTTTTCCTTCCTGTTGTGTCTCCTTGGAATCTTTTCCCTAATACCATTCCGTCATTGTCTTATTCATTTGCAAAATTTAATTCATGTACTACCTTTTCTGTTATGCTTTTAAGAGATCAATTATAATCATGCTCCCTTATATTTTAACTGAAGGAGCTGTAGTGATAAATAGCTTGGATTCTTGAGCCAGACAGCATGAGTTTGAATTATGACCCTGCCACTTACCCTTCCTGTGACTTTGAACAAGTTCTTAACCCTCTGTTTCCCTTTCCTTGTCTATAAATGGGGATAGTAATAGCACTTAGCTCATTGGGCTAGTTTGAGGATTAGATATAGTAAAGATATATAATTCCCATAATATAGATATGTGTAAAGTGTACAACAAATGGTAGCTATTGTTATTGTTTATGTGCCTGTTTCAGCAAAGAAATGTGAGCTTCACAGATTCAGGGATCTTACTTTGCTTGGTTTGTTGAGACTGTCTTCAGATTTTTTTATAACTCCCTAAATCTTGTCATAGTTGTACTCTGTAAATGTTTCTTGAATTGAAGAACAATTAAATATTTTATGGGATTAACCAACAGCATAATTTTCCATTCCCTTCCTTACACACTCCCTCATAGGAATCCATGTATATTTCCATAAATGATACAATATCTCAGCCCTTCTGGAATATTTCAGCATATACCAGAAACAGCATGTAAGGTCACCAGATTACAGATGCAGCACTGAGCCTAAGTATGATACATGGCCAGCCTTCCTACAGGCTCTGAAGATGGCCTAGTTTACCTTCAGTGCCTCTGAGTTCCACTAAAATCATAATCACTGACCCTAATTTTAAACTAGATAATTTCATGAATACCCATAAATACAGAATGTATCCCAGTCACAAACCTGCGTGAGTCTGGTTGGTGCTGGTAGAAACCCACACGTGACTTCAGGTCTCCTCATGCTCAATGTGAAGCAGCATTTGCCATTTAAGCAGTAGTTCTAATCTTCCCACTTCACCGACGACCAACCACTAGTGTCATTGGGTGCCTCTGTTACCTCTCTGGGCTGTCTTTATAAAATAAAACCTTTCCCAGCCTAAGTCAGAATCCTCAAAACACAATCCTGGAGAGTTGAAGAGAATGTTTTCTGACATCCAGACTCAAGTCTTCTTTCTAGGAAAGCCTCTGGCATTCCCAAGCCATTCCTATTCAGGACCCTCCTAGTGGCCAGCAGGGCAGGGATGGAACAGATTTGTACCTCTGACCAGTATGGCCCTAGGCCAAGGTGTGAAGCCATCTCCAGGCTGGTCCTTCTCCCTCTGGTATCTACCAGAAAGTTTAATATCAAAAATTGCTAAAATGTGGCTTTCTAGCTTGTGGTAGGCAGAGAGGGATGTTTATGAAAGTGATTACTTAAAATGCAGGGAACACAAGTGAAATCCTTTGGATCTTATCAAGGTTTCTGTGAGTGAGTCCCTTCCTAAACCTTTCTGATAAGTACAATTCTTAGAAGTTTGACTTCAGTGAACACAACATGGAAAAAAACAAAGGAATTCTTGGTTTCAGGTTAGAATTGAAAGTATTGATAGGGCTAGAGTATTTGCTGTCTTTGAAGAGCAGTTAAGATTTTTTTTTCTTTTTTTTATTATACTTTAAGTTCTAGGGTACATGTGCACAATGTGCAGGTTTGATACATAGGTATACATGTGCCATGTTGGTTTGCTGCATCCGTCAACTCATCATTACATTAGGCAAATGCTGACACTTCCTGGTAGATTCTAATCCTGACAGCTTTGACAAATGGGTGCTCAATACATTTTGTTGGTAGAGCGGACATGAAAACTTTATGTATTTCTGATGTAATAAAAGGTTTTAGTTAAAAGATTTTAGTTAATTTTTATACTGGAAATAGGCTGAGGTTCGTTTTTGGTTTTTTGTTTTATTTGAGAAAGAGTCTCCGTCACCCAGGCTGGAGTGCAGTAGCGCGATCTCGGCTCACTGCAACCTCCTCCTCCTAGGTTCAAGTGATTCTCCTGCCTCAGTCTCCTAAGTAGCTGGGATTACAGGCATGTGCCACGATGCCTGGCTAATTTTTGTATTTTTAGTAGAGACGGGGTTTCACCAGTTAGCCAGACTGGTCTCAATCTCCTGACCCCAAGTGATCCACTCGCCTCTGCCTCCCAAAGTGCTGGGATTACAGGCATGAGCCACTGTGCCCGGCCAGTTTTAGTTAATTTTTATACTGGAAACAGGCTGAGGTTCATAATTTTTAAATCTATAGACAGTTCCTAAATGTTTGCCTCACTGATTCATAGTCTTTAGAGGGTTTCCAATTACTTCCATGTATATTATAAAGTTTTAATACTAATTTAATACACATAGAATGTTGGTGATAACAGTAGGAACAACCCAATAAAACACTTAAAATTCAAATGCTGGTACAATTCATTTACAACAGTACCAAAGAATAAATTATAAGGTGTACAAAACTATTCTATTACAATTATTTGGAAAATCCTTCTTTGTACAAAAGTATTCTATTACAATTATTTGGAAAATCCTTTTTTTTTTAACCTTCTTTCCTAGATCACTCTGATAATAAACTCTGATATTTGTGTTTTCTCAACAACCAATCAGCAATTACAGAATAAAATTAAATATAGAATGGCTTAAAAAAAGATTGTTTCCACTGTTTATCTTTGGACATGTCTTTTTTTTAATATAGGGCACACACAAAAAAGAAATTAGGCAGCCACCTGCAGAAAACATACTGAATTTTTTGACCAAATGAGTCCTCCTAGCTTTCCATTTTTATTTCATGGATGACTGTACGTGACAAGAGTCCAAAAATATCTGCTGCAAACCACTCTTTGTACCTTGAGAACTGCCTGTGTGGATGTGTAAAATGGACAAATTTTTCACAATATCTCGATTTCTAATAATCTTGCAAAAGATTCAGACGTCATCAATTTACAACAAGTTGAACATTCCTTTCTTATTTTCTAACTTTATTGAAGGAGAATTTTTGTCTAGCCTTTTCAAGTTAACTAGTATATAAATAGTCGTCTTTGTATATGAGTTAAGAGACAAGGATCTAATCATTCACAAAAGATAATGAGTATCTTTAAAGTGGAGTGCTGCACAGAAGTAGAGAATACTTAATATTTAACCTATGGGAAATAATTTAGGAGGAGGAGCCCTCTACAGTTCAACAACATCTCATTTTTAAAACTACATATGAAAACTCAAGCTAAAGAAACTAAGAGATGGCTTTCTATGCTGTAGGATTAATCATAATATTAGTAAGTAACAAAAATTGCTACCAAGGCAGGCTCACACTTGTAATCCCAGCACTTTGAGAGGCCAAGGTGTGTGGATCACTTCAGCTCAGGAGTTTGAGACCAGTTGGGGCAACATGGCAAAACCCTGTCTTTATAAAAGATATAAAAATTACCCGGGCGTGGTGGTGGGTGCCTGTAGTCCCAGCTACTCAGGAGGCTGAAGTCGGAGGATCACTGGAGCCCAGGAGGTCAAGACTGCAGTTAGCCGAACTCATGCCACTGCACTCCAGCTGGGATGATAGAATGAGATCCTGTCCCAAAGAAAAAAAATGCTACCAATTATAAAGCCCTTATTATATCCCAGTCCCTCTTTTAGGCCTTCCCATCCATTTTTCTCATTAAATCCTCATAATCCTATGAAGGAATCCTTAGACCTATTTTACACTTGAGAAAACTGAGGCACTGTAAGGGTGAATAATTCGGCCAAAATCACACAGCTAGAAAGTAGCTAAATTAGGATTTGAACTCAGGTATTTCCTCTGACTGTGAGATTTAGTGAAAAGTTTCTGCAGTCGGAGAGTGGTGGCTCACACTTGTAATCCCAGCACTTTGGGAGGCTGAGACAGGTGGCTCACTTGAGCCCAGGAGTTTGAGGCCAGCCTGGGCAACATGGTGAAACCCGTCTCTACAAAAAGTACAAAAATTAGCCCAGCATAGTGGTGCTGCCTGTAGTCCTAAGCTACTGGAGAGGCTGAGGTGTGAGGATCACCTGAGCCTCAGAGGTCAAAGCTACAGTGAGCTGTGATGATGGCACCACTGCACTCCAGCCTGGGTGACAGAGTAAGACCCTGTTTAAAAAAAAAAAAGTTTCTTCAAACTATAAACTACATTTATATATCTTAAATATGACTTGACTTACAAAAAAGAATTTACATGGTTTTTCAAAAAATTATTAGAGTAAAATGCAATTCTTCTTTCTTTTCAGGAGTTAGATATAACTATATAAGTGTCTTCTTTCCCCTAATTTTACATTCATAATTAAAATTTTTAAAACACATAATTCTGATATGTGCTTTAGCTCCTGAGCAATTTAGTTTATTAAATAAATTAATAGCAAACCAATGAAGTTCTGCACATTTGAGCACTAAAATGTTTTGCCAAATCAAAACATTTTACATTGCTTCGAAATTGATTTTAACTATTTAGCTTGTCTCTCTTAGTTTCCTGTGTCCTTCAAAATCTAATACAACATGCTCTTCTTTCCCTTGTAGAGATCTGTCATCTCCTTAAATAATGTTCTTTTGCTAGAGATTGTTACTTTTTTTAAATCACAGAAACAAAACCCAGTAAGTAAATCTGCCAGTTGCCTCTTTCGTTAATGGTCAATTGAAATCTATTCTGTCATCCTTATTCTCTTTGCCAATGTAGTCCAAGGGCTTTCATCAGTAATTTAACTCTATAATTTGCATCATAAAAAGTACCTCCTTCAAAGAGAAGAAGTTAGAAATACCTTTGTTTCGTAAAAGAACAACCTCATATTGAAAGGATCTCTTGCAGGAGTTTGTGTGAGTGCCTCTTTGTTCTTAGAAAGATTGTGGGAAGTCTCTACCTATGGAAGTCTTCCTTTGACGTATGTCTTTTGTTGTCAAAATCCACCAGTTGTTCTTTTTTTACCATAAAATTATTTGTTTCCCTAATGCAACATGGCTTGAGAGAAAATGATTAGACCTAGGTATGATTGTTTAAAAAAAAAAATGTAGGAAATAGTCTCCTGTACATTGACATCTAGTTTTCATTTCTAGAGTAGTAAAAGTGGCCTTGTTAATAAATTATTTTCAGAGAACTATTTAAAATAAATCTCTTGTTTATGGCAAAGGGAGAAAAAATGGCAAGCATCCATTTTCTGCACAGTGAGAAAGGCGTCATTAAATATGTTCATTTTATATGTACATTCTAAAACTTGCTGAAATCCAAGATGAAGCCGAGAACCTGATTAATAATGCCCAATTTCAAGCTTATTTAGGAGAAAAATACAAGCCACTTTTATAAAATAACATTTGTAAAGCACTTTTTTGTTTTTAGTTTAAGTGGGACATCAAGGTTATAAACACCAAGTACAGTGAATGTTATTTTTGTAAAGTCATAAATTCATTTATAGTTAATCACTTACTATATGCCAGGTTTTGAACTGGATTTCATCGTCATCCTTAAAAAGCATACTTATGTCTAGAGGGCAAGCAGATATATAAATAAAAGAGCAACGTTGCACAATAAGTTTCATAATAAGTTCTCCCTTGATATCTTTCTTTACAATTTGAAAAGTATTTGTAATTCCATCTGCAAAACTTTCTAAATGTTATATGTGCACATGAAAGCACAAATAAGTATTTTTTTACACAAATGAGAAGTATACACTTTTTTTCATACCTGCTTTTTCAGTTAATTCATCCTGGCAGTTATTCTATATCAGTCCATGAAGCTTTGCATCTCTAATGCTTTTAAGTGACTGCATCGGTATTCCATCATGTGGATGTGCTATTTAACCAGTCCTCTGGGGTGAACATTTAGATGGTTTCCAGTATTTACTACTGCAAACAGTTCTGCAGTTCATGCATGTGCAAGTGCATCTGTAGGATAAATTCCTAAAACTGCAATAATTAAGTCAGAGGGTATATGCTTTAAAAACTTTGAAACATTGTAATTAACACATTTTTAATAATTCAGCAAAATTCTGCTTACATATATGTATCCACATACCCAGCTTTTTATATGGTTGTTGTTATATGTAGTCTAAAAGTATAAATGCTAAATATCAGATGAGGAAGGATGGAGGAAGGAGATTTTTGAAGTTGCTCCAGGAGGCAAGAAAAACAGGAAGGATGTGTCATTGTTTTCCCATCAGGCAAAATTTTGGTTCTGGAGACACAAAAGCATGTGCTAATTTTAGGCCTTGATACCTACTTCTCTCAATATATGCCTAATCTTGATAAACGAATCACATGCATGTTGCAGTTCCAGCTGTCATTTCTGTTAAGATTTGTGGGTAGCTCTGTTTTTGGTCCCAGGGCTTCAGCAACCTGAGAAAATATCTCTGGGTAAATATCCCATGTTCTACCCATCTGAATGTCTGAATACAAGCAAATGAATTCAGCTATCCCAAACCAGTTGGCCCACTCAGACATGATTTGGGGTTCTTTGATTCCCACCCACCGCTGAGTCACATGAACTCTCTTCACAATATGTCTTGCATCTATTACACCCACTCCATTTCCACTGTAATTCTACCTAGTTTCTCTGCTACCAGCCAGAAACATCTTTGGTCCATCCTTCCCGACTGCTGCCCTAAATTGCTTAAAATGCCCCCACCTATTTGTGTCTCTTGGCACTGAGGAAGTGTTAGCCTCTCGCTCCTTCCATTTACAAGACAAAAGTCTAAACTCCTTAGTTAGATATTCCAAGTGCTGCTACCTTGACAAACCTCCTTAACATCTCTACGATTTTACACACCAGTCCAGCCCCATCCTCCACAGGCCAATTACTCCTCCTAACTGGGAACCCTATCCACTTCCCTTCCACCTCTCCAACTTCACCCATTCTTCAAATTCAGCTCAAGCTCAGTTTACCCTCTCCAGGTTACAACTGAGCTCTCTTCTCTCTGAATTTGTCTTTTTAATTCTTCATCCCTCATTGCCTTACACTGTAATAAAATTGTTTCATCAGTTATATCTTGCCTGCTGGTCAGCTCTTGGCATTGGGGATATATGTCTTTTGTGTATTACGTATCTACTGTAGCTACGGTGCTATGCAGGTAACAGACTTTGTTTTGATAATAAAGTCACAGACTTTCTTTGACCTAGAAGCAACCCTGAGTCATTTTCCCTAAACGCTCATGTTATAAAGAAACTAGGGCTTCAGGCAGACTGTGCCATAATTGAAGGTCACATAGCTAATGTCAAAGTTGAGAATATAACCCAGGTCTCCTCATTCTAGCATGTGTTTTTCTTTTTCTCTTTTGCCACCATTTCTCTCCGATTTCATACAAGAAATGTTTGTTCTAGTGGCTAAACATTGATGCAAGAGAAAAAAAAGTTTACTTTGTATCCAGTTGTCCTGAGAAGCTTTTATAAATGCATAAAATCTTCACATCAGTACGTACTTAGGGAAAATATTATCATTGTGCAATATTAGCTCTGATTGTTAACAGGAGTTTGACACCTCCTCTCCTCTAGACTGTCTTCTTATAGTCATTCACTTAATACAAAATGTGCATTTCTTAAAGAAGTCTACTATTTTTGTGAGAATGAAACTGCTAACTACAGCCGACATCACTACCCTGCATGCCATGAAAGAATGCAGAGGATAGAGTTGCTATCCTTGTGGGTGGAGTGTCCCCAGAATCTACCAGTTTTCTTTCATGTACACCTAAGATTTGCAAAGTTTTCATTGTAGAACCTTTGGCTCTTCTGCCCAAATGAATGGCCCATCCCCACTGCATTGTGATGAGTTGTCTGTAATATACTACAGGAAGTTTTATCCTTTGACCTCGTTTCTGGGTGCTGCTTGACCAGGTGGTTCTTATTAATACTCTGTACAGGAAGACTAAAGCCATTCGTATTTTAGTGCCAGTAAACAAGCCAACTTAGGGTTGTTTGCAGATTATCTCACCTTTCCCGATAGTGTTGAGTATGGTTTAAAAGAAAAACATGTGTTCTGTAGGCGGCATCAACCCACACACATGTACAGATGAGACACACAGCCATTGAACCAGTCCTTTGTTTACTATGAAATTAAATGCCCACTTTATACTTTATGTACCAAAGAAGTAGCTGGATTTTTTTTTTTTAGTTCCCTTTTTGATTTCTCTGAGAGTCATGGCATTCTTCAGTGCAGGATTCTGATTGCACCAATAGTTTTCAGATTTGCATTGTTAATGGTTGTAACTTGTCTGTGGGGAACATATGGAACCTCAGACAATTGACATGCAAAAGAATTTGACTGAACCTGCTCTGAAAAAAGGCATTCCACTTTGCACAAGTATTTTTGTATGTTTTTATGAAGATGGTTGTCCTAAAAGTTTCTAGATGGATTATCTGAAGAGCTTTCAGCATCCTTTGTTACATTCTGAGATAATAGTACTTAAGATCAATAGAAATACTATCTAACCCCTTTAGCTGTTGACAAGAAACTTTGAGGAAGGGCAATAATGATTGGCAAACCTAATAAGAAAAACAATTAGAAATAAAGAGAATATAAAAATAGATACCAAGTAGGTGGTTAAATAGCAACACTGCACAGTTGAATACTTGAAAACTTTTAAAATAGTTTTCTTTTAAAATGTGTCTAAAATGTAAAATGAATTTGAGATTAAGTAGTAAAATGAGTAGGATGCTGAATGGAACATACTTGATAAACACATAATTTCAAGTATGTTTGAGTATGTACATATATAAAAATATAAAGAAATGTTTATAGTGGTGACCTTTGTGTAGTAGGATAAGAAATGATTTGTATTTCTTTATAGGGTTCTATATTTTACAACATGAATTTCTGTTCTAATGAGGAGGAAAGCTATAGGATCAAACGTTTTTCTAACCCAGGTCTATGAATCTTCTGGTGTCTCTTAGCCCACAGAGAATGCACGGGGGCAGAGAGAGAGAGAGTTAGTTTGAACCTGTGCTATGGTGCTGATAATTTACACAGCTGAATAAAAAGCCTACAGAGAACAGGTAGGAGGCATTACAGTATATGAGCTTCAGAGTCACACCTGGTATATGGATCTTGGCTTCACTCCTTACCAGCTATTTATTTAAACCTCTGTGTTTCATCACTAAGCCTCAGGTTGTTTTTTTTTTTCTTTTTTTTTTAACTAGTACAATAGTAATAGTAGTACCTCTGTCTCTTTGAGGTGCTTAGCATAGTGCCTAACACAATATCCAATAAATCATAACTATTGGGATTTATGAATTAGGAGTTTATTACAAATAAACTCCTTAGCAGGGCTTACTAGGCCCTGCATCAGCTGGCTCCTGCAGCCACTCATGTCACCAGCCAAGTCTTTTCTCTCATACCCATCTAGTATGCCAACAATGAATTTCTCCATTATTTTCTGTCCCGCAATGCACATAACCATCAGAGTGTTTTTCTGAATGTTAATCTTTCATAACTAGTTTTCTGTCCTGCAATGCACATAACCATCAGAGTGTTTTTCTGAATGTTAATCCTTCATAACTAGTTCAGCTATCACCTCCCTTCAGATATTTTCCCAGTTCACTAGGCAAAGGTAATTGCCCACCTCCTACAAGATATAAATGAACACTGATGATTGTTGTGCATGTTTGCTACTCAAAATAGGGTAGGCAGCGACACATGCATCTCTATATCTTCTACACCTGACACAGTGTGCTCTGTATGAATGAATGCACAATGCTACGTCTTACAGTGTGAAGTTTCCAAGAGGAGCATCCTTCTAGAAATCTACAAAGAAATATTTAGTACTAATTTCTGGACTATTCTGTTATCACTCAATAACATATATACAGATACACCAAAATAGTCTTGAGTCCAGAAAGGTCTACATATTGGAATGTGGTATGTGATTTCAACAGATAATCTGAGGCAAATACATTGTTAATAAGTAATAGTTTGTATCCCAGTATGTAGCAGCTATGTGATCTACATATCAAAATAGTCATGGCTTTCACTGTCACCTACACATTTAAAAAACAAAAACAAAAACCCTCATTTCTCTTTGCTTCTATGCCAGATTCTCCTATTAGTCTGAAATTTTTCCAAATTTCTCAGAACTATAATTGCAAATTATACTCCAGGCACCACATTATTTTTTTGCTTAAGAATCCTATTCTATAAGGTAAACAAACAGAATTTTGTTCTCCTGAGGGTGATGATTATCTTTCCCTTAAAAAGGTTTTGCTCATGCATTAGTACTTACTATAGTGCTTTGGAGCAGTGAAAGTTCATCACATTTTCACCCTTCATGGATGATGTAACTTCTGAGTTCTTCCCCTTGGTTTATTCACGTGTATCACAAACATTCCCACTTCTTAAACTAGATTTTTAGATTGAGGTTTAAATAACAACAACTGCAAAAACCTAAAACAAAACAAAAAAAACAACGTTAGATGTTCATTTAAAACGTTTTCCATATGGTAAAGCCATTTTAAGGTCAATATGAAGAATAACTGAGGGAAATAAATGGAAAAAAAACTGCTTCATATGTGAGCCACAATTAAAAGTTAGAAAAAATGTAAACTACTACTAACTAAGGAAAACTGCTTAAACTCATAAAGTACAAGCTTTTTAAACTTTCAGCATGAAAAACCCACTGGATACGTGAACAGCTGCCATATTTGGCAACGTTCTTTTATTTAAAGCTTGGAATTGGCATTCAAGTCACAGTGTAGATCCAGTTAGGAAATATCCATCCCCTTCTTCAAAGAAACAGACTCTAGATTACATTTTACAACTCAGTCCAGTATTCTTAGGGGAGGATTGAGTTTGAATTTTTGTTTTAAACAGATGTGATGTTAAGATGTTAGCTGGCATTTCAATGATACTGAAAATGGGGGTCAGCATGGGAGTGGATTTCCAAAAAAGCTGGCAGGGCTGGCGCTGGGTGCTCTGTCCTCACATGTATGTGTGCCTCTGCTGCAGCACGCGATGCCCTTCTGGAGGATCTCCAGCCACTCGGACCTCATGGCCCTGCACCATGCCTTGGAACTGGAGTACCTGTAACAGCGCTCGGCACTTTGACAGCGCACAGCTGCTCTGTGACCAGGGACAGATCCAGCAGGCCCCAGTCTCGCATCAGCGCCGGCCTCCAGAACTTAGCAATTTCCGCCTGGTGATGCGCAGTTGCTGTCAGTCTTGACCTCTGCCTTTGTGGTGAATGGAGGACCACGTCTATTTCATCAGAACAGCTGTTGACTCTAGTACTGTGAATCCAGTGAAAATAAGCCATGAGAATGTTTTAGCACAGCGTTATGTGTCTGCCACATTAACTACACGGTTCAAACCTGTGAAGAAAGGACCTGCAAACGCTTCAGTTGTTAGCATTTTCAATGTGATATAAACAGCTTCTCCAATACAGCAAACCTAATTGCACAACAGAGACTGAAATGTGTTTCCTGAATACCAGTGGAGGAATTTTCTTGTAAAGAAGGTTTACTTTTTGGTGTCTCATACCCAGGGTAATCTGTACATCTCTACTTATTTATGAACAGACTTTTTTTAAAAAGATAAAAAAACAGCTTTATTGAGGTATAATTCACCCACCAGACTTTTTTAAACATCAAATAATTGAAGAGACAATAGCATTAGAAATAAGTGATTAAAGGCCTCTGCCTCACAACATGGCAAGTACAGTACTTTGAATTTTAGCACATTGCATAGTAGTTTTAAGTATGTCTAATTTAAACGTATAATATGTACATCACTGAGACAATCATGTACAGAAAGAATTTTTGGTGTAAATTTGTAATAATGGATAATTCTTTTACATATTGTTTAGGGAAATGATATTGAAAGGTAGCAATGCCTGGATAGTGAAGCATGAGGCAGCACGTGCACAAATTCATGTGCCGTGCCTTATCTGAGTTTTCGGTATAAATATGTAGATAATGGATTTTTTTTTTTTAGATAATGTTGTCAAGACCAAAAGCATGGATGTCAAGTGTCAGTAAGGATTTTGTTTTCTAAAATTTTTTCCTGCATCAGTTCTTCTGAGGGCCTTGATGAAATAACACAGCAGTTTCTTAAACAATTTGAAACAAAATGAGCTCTCCTACCACCTCACTTTTTCATTTCCACACTAATGTATTATATGTAACTACTTGGAAAAAATAATTATTCAAATGCTTCTTCCCACAAAGAATATAGATGATAGTAGATATATTTTATTAATAAAATGGTTCATGAATCGGAGACTAACAAAGTTTTCATGTGCTCAGAATTATTAATTATCGTGTCTGCATTTTCTTTCGATAAAGGAAGACACACGATGCTAATCCGGAAATCAGCAAACTTTGCATTACTCCCTATGTGCGTATTTTCTCTTTCTTCCTGTCACCCTGAGGAAGGTTCATTGCCATTGTCATCACCATGGAAACAACGTTCCTCTCCACCTGCATTATGTACTACATGACAGGCATCAATCTGGGGAAATAATAAAATTATCACCTTTGTCAGACCATAAGAGTTTCTCCAAAAGTGGTCAGTTTGGCTGGGCAATATTTTCTCTCATCTAACAAACACAATCCATTGTCATGAAATTACCCTTAGGATGAGTCTTCTTTAATCAATCATATATTGGGCGGGAAAAACACCAGCTTTGACCCGAAGTAGTTGAAGAGCTACTTCATTCTTTTCTGAAGTTGTGTGTTGCTGCTAGAAATAGTCATTTGTGAATTATCCAAATTGTTTAAATTCACAATTGAATTAGTTTTTTCTTCCTTTTTGCTTGAAGCAAACAGTTGACAATTTTTAACCTTTTCATTTTATGTTTTTGTACTCTGCAGACTGAAAAGACAAAGTTTATCTTGGCCTTACTGTATAAAGGTGTGCTGTGTCCACCGTTGTGTACAGAATTTTTCTTCATTAATTTTGTGTTTAAGTTAATAAAATTTATTTGTGATGTACTGTAAGCTCCCTGACTGTCGGGATCATCTTTTTCTCTTGGTTATATGAAATAGCAGGATCTTGGTTACATTAGGACACCCAAAGTCCAACAAAAGGAAGTTGTATGAAGTAACTGCAGTGATGGCTTTATCAGTCCTTTAGGGGACTGAACTTGCAGGGTAACAGCTGTTTCTTTGATCACTGTAAGTACTGATGAATGGAAAAGTTCTTCACTTCTCCAAAAATTACATAAACTAGACCCTTACTCAAATTTACCTACTGTAGAACATAATTCAGCATAAAGTGTCTTGGATTGCAGAGCACAGATTTAGCCACTTATATACCCAAGGGACAACACTATAAAGCAGTTTCATCAATAAAGAATGCCCACAACAGATACCTCTATGATTTGGTCAGATTAATCATTCACAGAGAGCTATAAAACAGCACAACTGGCTTCCTCCTGAGAATTTAATCTTAGAAACACACATTCATACATGAAAACACATGAAAATCAAACATGCACTGCCTCACCCATTTGTCAGGCCCCTGAAGTGTATTTTTCATACACACACACCAGGTCAAGTGGCCTGAATCATGAGGTGCCTGAGCATGCCCCGACACCCCAAGAATGAAAAGACTTTGGGGAAAATCTTAAAGAGAGACAGTGGTGGGGAGTAAAGGGGTTTTTAGGGCTTAAATTAAGCATAAAAAATAGGCCAAATGGAGGGCATACCCAGAAGATGAGTTTTCTATAAAGCACCACCTCTAACATGACAACTGCTGGTCAAAATTTTTAGTGGCTCCTCTTTGATCATGGATTTAGGGCTCAGATTTCTCCCCTTGGCATTCTAGAGCCTCCAAACACAGTCTCTACTTTCTTCCCAGCATTCTCTCTCATTATTGAAATTAGCAGATCATCAGTACACTAGGCTAACATACTAAGCTCCTTAATGCATCAAACAGCTCTCAAGCATCTCTGCCTCATCTTTGTCCAAAGCATTCTCATTTCCCACAATGACTTCCTTCACCCTATCCTCAATCCACCCAAATCATGTCCAGCTCAAGTTCTTCCTCCTCTACAGACTTTTTTTTCCCTACCATGGTGAAGCAGCTTCATTCATCATCTCGCACCAAGAAGATTAAGGACACAGACACACAGGAGCGGGTTTAGGAGTGGAGGTTTAATAGGGAAAAGAAAGAAAAAGAAAAAGGAGGACAGCTCTCTCCCTTGCCCACAGATTGGTTGGACCAGCTGTGACATTCACATAGCACGTGGGGAAGGCTGGCCGCCCTACCCTAATGTTATGCAAATGGGCTTTCCACTTGGCCAGCCCATCTTGTTTGCTCCTTACTGTACACATGGCTGGCAAAGAGAAGGGAATATGGAGCCACCATTTTGAACATGCCTAGTCCTAGGTAGCCATTTTCTATTGACACAACTGCTGGCACTCACCTGTGCAAGCTTCCAGCTTGCTTGTTTATGTCTGCAGCTCAATTTTACAGGCTACTCTTACTTAGAAAAGAAAATTATTTTGGGGCTGCTTTTCATTAAAAGGAAAACCTTACCAAGGACTCTTCTACCCTCACTATCTGCCTAAATGATTTTTTCCTAACTCCGGTATCAATGGCATGCAGTGTTAGCTCCTTCTCTTCTCTCCCTCTGTCTATGCCTTTATTGGAAGTCCATATTTCATTCAATAAAGACTCACTGCCCCCTACCCCTCAATAGTGTGGCACTGTCCCAGGTGCTGAGGGTAGGATGTCCATGCCCCAAGGACTGAGTTTACATTGGAGTTGGTGGAAACAGACCATAATGAATTACTAAATGAATGAATAAGCTACATTCATATCAAAAGGGTTCTTTTTGGAAAATAAAACAGAACATGGGTCAGTGACAGGTGTAAGTTTCCTCTAATAGAATGGACAGAGCCAAGATGTCTGAGCCAAAACCTGACTGCTAAGAAGGTGGAAGCATGTAAAGATGAGAGGCAGGACATGCAGGCAAAGGTCCACAGAGGAGAACACTCTGTTTATCCTCCAAATGAGAACCACACCCATGGGTCCAAGAGGAGAGGAGCAAGAGATGACTTTGTAAAGGGAAGGAGACCAGGAAGACCTAGAGGTCGTGGTCTGGAGTCTGGATGCTATCCTAAGTGAATAGGAGGTCACTGAGATTTTTACCTAGTGGGGGGACCTGGTCTAGTTTACTCTTTGAAATGATCACCCAGCTGCTGAGTGGAGAAGAGGGTGGAGAAGGAGCTGGACAGGAGCAAGAGAAGAAATGGGGAAACCAGTTATTCAGCTGTTAGGACAGTCCCAGCAAACAGTGGTCAGATTCAGACGAGGATGGTGGAAATATAAACCCAGGTTTTTTTTTAGTGATGGCTAAATATTTACATAGGTCAAATGGAGGAAGTAGTGAGACAGAAGAGGAATCTGGACACGCCCCAAGGGAAGGGGTCTCAGCACCACTGTGGACAGTTCATCCCAGTGGTTAGGAATTTCCCCATCTGTAAAAATGGAATAATGATTGTATCTACTTCAGAGGACTATTATGAAGACAAAATAAGTTAATACAGTTGAACCCTGAACAACCGGGGCTGGAATTGCATGGGTCCATTTATACGTGGATCTTCTTCCACTGCTGCCACCCCTGAAACAGTGAGACTAACTTCTCCTGCTCCTCCTCAGCCTAATCAACATGAAGACAATAAGGATGAAGACCTTTATGATGATCCACTTCCACTTAACGGTAAATATATTTTCTCTTCCTTATAATTTTCTTAATAACTTTTTTCTAAGAATATAGTATATAATATCCAAACGTGTGTTAATTGACTGTTTATGTTATCGTTAAAACTTCCAGTTTCCAGTAGGCTATTAGTTGAGTTTTTGAGAAGTCAAAAGATATACATGGATTTTCAACGGCAGAACGGTTGGTGCCTCTAACCCCTGCCTTGTTCAAGGGTCAATTGTATATGTGAAGTGCTTGGGACACTGCCTGGAAGATTCTCTAATGTTGTCTATTACTGTACTAGCTAACTTTTCACAAAAATATTTCCCCAACTGAAGAACCAGCTTCTTGGATGCACAGACCCTACAAAAGTCCACTGCATTGTTTTGGCCAGGTCTAGAAAACAAGCTAAAAAAGTCTCATACCTGACTTTGAGCATTGGGACAGTGACTGTTAAAGAATTCATTACAATTCTCGGAAGGGCTCAATGAGCAAGACTAACAGAGGCGAGGGAGTGATCTACTGTGGGCAGCCTGGGCAGGCAAGAAAGGCTTCCCTGAAGAACCAATGTCTCAGCTAAGACCTGAAGCCTGGGGAGGAGCTGGCCCAAGGGGAGTGGGGAGAAGAGAAGAAAATGAGAGCAGCTCAGAGTGAGAAGGTGGGCAGCAAGCTAGGGAAGGATAAGGGAAGGGCAGGAGAGCCAGGACTGTGAGTCTGGGAGGCAGAGATGACGGGTTGGGCAGCCAGGAGAGAGAGGAGGCAAGGGCTTTAACTGTCCATCTCAGAGTAAAGCTACAGGCTTTGTGCCTTTATGGTATGTGAGCATGACTGCTTACCCTTCACGGGAGAAAGAAAAGGCAGAGGATAGGAATAGAAAGGGACTGAGACTCCTACATCAGCATACACAGCCTTCGCTAATGGTGATGCTTCTATGCTAAACAAGCCTTCAAATATGAGGTCTAAGGAGTATCTAGTTGAGCCCATTTTACAGGTTACAAAACTTGGGTTAAATGCTTTGCCCGATGGGTCACAGCCAAGTAAAGCAAAGCCATGACCCCAAACCACCCTCTTGGATGCAATACTGAATCATGAAAAGATTAGGAGCTCTCAGGCCTGTAACAGTTGGCTTTGCCTCCCTGATCTATCACTAAATAATAGGGTAAGTTTAGGTGTCCTCTTTGGGTTTTCCAGGAATATTTAGTGCTTTGTCCACAGTTAGCACAATTTTCCAATGATGTCCAAAGGCCTTTTGTCTTTTTTACCTTAGTGCCTCAATCCTTTGTCATCCTTCCAGAGTTTGGGTTAAAACATACCTTCCAGTAAACACCTATACATATCAATGAAAACGTATTTCATAACTTTTCAATTTGCTTTTCAGAACATTTGCATGTATCATGGATGATTCCCAATTCAAATGACTATAAAGGAGGCCATTTGCTTAACAGAATATAGAGATGATGGACACTGTGTGTTCATTTAAGACTTGTAAGAAATTTCCTTTCAGGCACTGGCCCTTTACCCACACTATACGCAGCTACAAAAGCTTCAGCTGGAATAGAGTTCGCTATCATGTTCAAGACAGTTTTTTTACAATCCAAAAGGCTCGAGAAAGTGAGCTACTCTTTTCTTTCAGTGTCTCTCTGCACATCTCCATTTCTCTCCATTCTATGTCATTATACAAACTGACAGGATGACTTGCGGCAAAAGAAATGAAAGGGTTTGTAATTTAAGAAACCTCTGGCCTTGCTGACTGAAAACAGGTTGTTTGTAAAAAGGAAATCCTGACCTCAGCTAACTGGCAAACTCTGTCAGAAGCAATAGAAGGATGCGAAGGAGAAAGAACAGAGCTGGGGATTTTTATTGGCAACAGAAGGAAAACGGATGCTCTGCCAGGGGAAAGCCTTTTGAGAAGTCACCCGTGAGGGGGCAAGACATGCCTCAGGTCTCAGAGTGTATGCCTGGACAGTCACAGAGCAGTTCTGTTCTGGTTTTGTGGGCTGGTTGGACAGGGGAATTTACTTCTTGTGACAATAGCTAGGCTGACAACCCTGAAAGTGGATTCCCTCCAGGTAGCTGAAGTGGAGATCCTCTGCTGCAGGTACCCCATGGCCTGTCCATCTTCTATCCTGGCTTGACATAAAGCCTAAGGTGCACAGGTGACAGGGGGTGTTCCAGGTGTGCAGGAGGTGAGCCCACACCATTTCCCATGTGCCAGCCCACCCTCACTTCCTCCCCACCTCTGTGTGCTGCCTGTTGGGCAGGGCTCTGCAGTGACCTCTGGTCAACTCCATAAAAGAAGGCCCCTGAAAACTCTAATCTCCTTATGCTAGTAGGATTCCCAGTTGGCTACCCATTGAAATCAGCTGGGATGCTTTGAAAAATCCCCATGCTTGAGCTCCAGCCCAGAGATCCTCATTTGCTTTGTCTGGCATGGGGCTTAAGCAGCAGCATTGTTTTGTGCCAGCCAGCTATGTGAGAAAGACCTCCATTGCTAGTCACCCCCAAGCAGGGCTGTCCAATTGGCCAAGTGCACTTTCCAGCTCTTGGTCTTTCCTTTCTAATCCATTCTGATTCCCAGTTACCCAAGCCCATGCCCATGAAATCTTTATGACCCAACTCAACACCATTCAATAACCATCAGCGGGAGCTCCTACTGTGAATGAAGAGTTCTGACCAGTGTCAGAGGTGTTCTCAAGGGGCTGACCTTCCAGTGGGAAACAGATTTGTGATAAAAGGCATCCTATGATGAGGGCCTCGCTAAATTCCAAGGATACCCACAATCTAGGGGGGCAAATTTTGTAAAGAATTTTAATTTATGATGGAAACTCAGAAGATGCAGGAATGAGTGTTGCCTGGGGGAAAGAGGAGAAGTCTCATTGAAAAGATGATACTTTCATTGAACTAAGTGAAATAAAAGAAACATTAAGATGCCAACTAGGTTCTTAAACCCAGTCCTCCCTAAACTCCCCCTGTAACTGGCTAACTTGCTCAAGCCACATATCTAGTAATCAGAAGACATTCTCAATGTCTCCCCATCTCTCTCAAGCCCCACTTTCAGCCTTTAACTAAGACTTGCCAATTTCCCACACAGCACATCTCTGATCATTCTGCTGCTTACCATCACCTGGTCCCTGTCACAGGTATCCTTCACAGATCTCCTGGAAGAGCTTCCAGCTGATCTCCCAACCCTCATCCTCCCCTCCCTGAGCCATTCCCTACACCACAGCCTCAGGGGTCAGTTTAAAATGTAAATCCTATCCTAGTACTGCCTATTACTACAGTATTGCTTTTAGAAAAAGATCTCAAGCTCCTTGAATGTTCTGATTTGACCACCACCCACCTCTCTACCTGCAGTCTGCCCCCAGCTCCTCACTCTTGAAGCTTTTGCTACACTAGCCTCCCTGCCGGTTCTTGAAAGTCCTAAGTGCATCTCCATCTCAAAGCCTTTACATGTGCTCTTTGCCCAAAGGCCTCTTCCCATGCTGGTTTTTTCCCCACATTTCAGGTCTCAGCTTAAACATCACACCCTCCACAAGCCTTGCTGACAAGTCCATCTCAAAGACACAGCTCTTCCCCAACAAGACCCTACTCTTTTCTTCCCTCACAGAGCCCCTCAGTTTGTTCCCTTTATTGCATTTCCCACAATTGATCATTTTTGGTCTGTTCCATTACTCTTCTGCCATCTGCCTCTCTCAGGAGGCTGGAAACTCCAGGAAGATGAGGGACACAACTACACTACACCTCGCATCAAGGCCAATGCTTGGCAGGTTAATGCATTTTCTACTTATGTTTATAATAAAATTAAGATATTGGTTGACTAGATAGATGAATAAATAATGGGTGAATGAGCAAAGGCCCTGGGGACTAAGAGTACACCATTGGAGAAATTTCAAATTCAGTGAAGCAAAGCTTCCATGTGGGGTGGATAGATGAGGAAAGAAGGAGAAAAAACCTGAAAAATTCAGTGGGTCCAGATCAGCAAGGGTCCACACTCAGAGCCCCAGGAGTTGGGACTATATCTGTCATGATGAAGATGTCAAAGAATTTTAACCTGGAGGATAATCAAATCAAGTGTATATTCATTTTACCCATGATGGAGAAATGTATAGACACAGGAGGCTGGCAGACATGTGGGAGATTCTGCAACAGTCCAAGCAAGGTGTTGTGAGAGTCTGTCCAATGGCAGGGATGGAAACATGGAACTGACATAGCAGGTATCCCAGAGGCAGAGCCAGGCATTCGCAGGTGGGATGGGCTTCAAGATCCTCCTGTCTTGTTCTTCCCTTTCCCATCCAACACTGGAAAGGGTCTGACTGGATCCAGCCATGCACAATATTGTATATAATTAAGTCAGAGAGTTACAGCTGAAGGGAGCATGTTGGTTCATTCTAAATCTTCTCACTATCCCAGGACTGGAAGGCTTTGCTGTCTGGAAGTAATTTTATATATTATTGAAATTGTGTGTGTGTGTGTGTGTGTGTGTGTGTGTGTACGCACACTGCAGTGAACCGTTTAGAGGGACAAGAATAGCAACCTGGTTTTCCTGATGGCTCAAGAAAGTTCAGCAATCAGGCAGAAGCCCTTTACTTGCCATTGAGAAAATGTCACTTTTCCATTACAAAATGGGGAGGTGGTTGGCTGAAAGAGATTATAAAGAGCTAAACCCTCCATATGAAGGCCTCTATCATCTACCTCTAGTCACTACTAAAAACAGCCTAGAGGTGGTCTCAGGCTCAGGCCCCAAGCTCATTGTGATATATAGCCAAATTTGGGACGACTAAATCCCAGATACCAGATACCTAGCAGGACTTTTGGACCTAGGTTTCTGAAAACACTCACACCTTGTGCTTCCCTGTAACAAGGGTGCTGTATCCTTCTAGAGAACCAAGCATCCAGAGGCTGCTTGAAAGTCCTTGACACAAGACCCCTTTGATGCTGTCCCTAGCACTTCCTTGTTTACAGGCTCAGAGCCCACCTCAAACAGCAAAGCAATGAAGAGGAAAAGAAGAGAAAGAAAAAGAAAAACCAAGACCAAGAGCATACTAGAGGGAAGGGGAAGAGATTGTTGTGTTAACTTGGACATTAAAAGGGACTAGACATTGAAAAGGATCAATCCCCTATGCTTGCTTTAGCCCTCATGTGTGCAAGGCCAATATAAATGCCAACTCAGTTGCAGGGATCAAAGTCTACAAGTCCAGACAGCCCAACGGAAGAAGGAAGGGGCCAGGAAGTCTGAGCAGGAGGAGGCCCTGCTGCCTCCTCAGTCCTGCAGAAATGGCCACCTTCACCACCCCACCTCTTCATGGCCCAGTCTGTAGGAACCTCTCACTGAGAAATCACCACAGGTTCCACCACCTAGCCTACTTAGTGGTTCAAAAATACCAAAGGCTTTCCAGACTTTCCATTCTTCCTAAAGTAGTTAAAATGCAAAAAGGAGGGTGAGCAAGTGGATGGAGAAAGCCCACACCCTTATTGGAACAGTCTTGTTTTGAAGAACTTCTGCCCTCTGGGGTTGAAAGCATTTCTTGGCTCAGTAGAACCAAGAGGTGCCACGATAGCTCCATAAATGCTTCCAGCCCCTGACCTTGATATTTATTTGCAAAGCCTGACAGGAAATTGGTGCAACATGTTCCATGAAAAACAAAAGAATATGCAGGAATCAGAAAAAACAACAGACTGCTCTAAACAGCCTTACATCAATAGACTTTGAAGAAAATTACAGGCTAGAAAAATAGTTCTCTTTGACATAGAATCGTCCACATGTTTTAAAGATCCACTATGTGCCCAGCCCAGTGCTAGGTACTAACAGAGTCTGTGCCCTGAGAAGTTGTCTTCCCTGAGTAGGAGCTGGGTGCTGCTGAGATCAAGGCAATGGGTGATTTTGACTTTACCAGTAAGGAGTAGAATGAGCTGAAGGCTTCAGGTGCAGAAGAGCCGGAGGGATTATTTGAGTAGACTCCTAGGACGATATAATATTTCATCTGTACTGTGAAGATGAGGTGGGAGTTGCACAGATGAAAAGGAGAAAGGAGATCATCACCGGGGAAAGAATGGATAATGTCTAAAACAGTTTCAGAAATGGAGCTTTAAATTGGCTATAAAAATTAAACATGACATTGAATGACCTGATAGTCATTTATAATCATTTATGCAGTGTTTTCTGCATCTATTATGAGGTCTCACAGCATAGCAGGAGAGATGTGCCGTGTTTATAAATGCCCAGGATTAAATTCATTAGGGGTGGCAAACTCAAATGCCAACAAGAATGAGGTAAGTAATATAAAGGAGTGAATGATAGAGGCCTATTATATAGAAATCCCAGGGTCCTCTTCTTTTTTTTAATTCCTCATTTGATAGTGATAGGAGATCAGAAAGTATTTCTACAGTATAAGAAAACGTGTAAGAAAAAGTACAAGTCATCGGCAATAGGCATTCATCCTCAGAACTAGGGAGACAGTAGAGAGTGGGGGACTGTGTCACACAGAAAAGAGCATGGCTCATGTAAAGAGGATAGCTGTTCTCAACTCCAACCTGTTGTTTCCATTTAGGAATGCTGGCTCAGGGTGTCAGGCTCTCCAGTTTTCAAGAGAAGCCAGCTATCCTGATATTGGGGGCAGTTGATTATAGGAGTCTTAAACTTTATAAATTATGGATAAAAATAAAAAAGTTTATAGACCAGTTAAAACATAATGGTGGCCACATGAAGTTCACAGTTTAAAACATTCAGATAATGGGAAATGTTTCCATCCAGAATGTCTAGGAAGACTTGATGGAGGAATTGATGTTTAAGCTTGACTTTTGATAACAATATGGGCAGAACTGAAGACCTGAGGTTAGAGTCTCAGGGGCAAAATGGCTCAAGAGCATTGTTCATACAATGTTATTTGTTTATTTGAGACAGAGTCTCACTCTGTCGCCCAGGCTGGAGTACAGTGGTGCAGTCTTGGCTCACTGCAACCCCCTCCTCCCGAGTAGCTGAGATTACAGGCATGTGCCACCACACCTGGCTAATTGTTGTACTTTTAGTAGAGATGGGGTTTCACCATGCTGACTAGGCTTGTCTCAAACTCCTGACCTCAGGTGATCTGCCTGCCTCGGCCTCCCAAAGTGCTGGGATTACAGGCATGAGCCACTGCACCCAGCTCATACTATTAAAAGCCATCTAATTTAGTGATCCCAAATTTGTCTATACATCACGATGAGCTTAGGGATTTTCCCCCACATTTATAAAATATTTTAAATATTTATTTTTAAATTTTATGTACATTCTACAACATGGATAAATCTTGATACATTATGGTAAGTTAAACAAGTTAGACACAAAAGGACAAAAGTATGATTCTGTTTATGTGAAGTGTCTAGAATAGGCAAATTCATAGAGACAGAACGTAAAATAGAGGTAACCAGGGGGTTGGGGTAGGGAGAAATGGAAAGTAATTGATTCATGGGTAGACAGCTTCTGTATGGGATTATGAAAAAGTTCTAGAGGTGGATAGTGGTGATGGTTGTGCAACATTCTGGAGGTACTTAATGCCACTGAATTGTACACTTAAAAACTATTAAGATGGTAAAAAAAAATTTAAGTGATGCCTGCATATTACAAACAGAAATGGAATATAGAAATAAGTAAAATTTTTAAAGGATTTTTGTTTTCAACCTGCCTCCAAATGAATATACAATAAACCATCATTCTTATCACGAACCACTAAGAATTCATCCCACTGGGTTCTTGCATTCCAGTTTTGGGTACTTCATAAGCAACAACTCCAAGTATTTATATTAAAATTATTCTGGGTTTCATATGGTTTGACTCTTACTTATGTCCTACTGCTCATTTATATGGATTTGGATATAGGATTTAAAGAATTTGGATATACGAGTGATGATAGGAAGGAAGCTTCATATTTCTTAGAAGAGACAGTCAATGTGACTGTCTTGTATGTGTGTGCAGGAATATGTTTTCAACATATTGACTTATACAATACTTAATTTTCTGCTTCTTGATTTTTTAAACTAATTACGATAGATGTCTTTCCACTTTGGTACTTATAAATTAGCTCTTCACTTTAAACAGCTACCTCGTATTATACTATATGTGACATAATTTATTTGGTACATCTTCCATTGATAGAAATTGAGGCAGTTTGCTATATTTTACTATCATAAATTATGCTAGAATAAACATTTTTATATATGCATTTATAAGTGTGCACAAATAATTCATGTAATTTCCTAGAAATATAATCACAAGGTTAGCAGGTATGACTATTTAAATACCAATAAAATTTGCCAAGTGGTTCCACAAAAAGATTATACCAATTTTTACTTCCACCAAAGGCTTGTAGACTCTCAAAGGCTTTTTAGACTCCCAGAGCCCTATTTCCAGAGATTCTGATGCAGTAAGTCTGACTTAGGGTTTGGAAATAAATATTTTAAAACTCTACAGATAATTCTAATACTTGCCCACTTTTGGACCTACTGATCTAAATACAAGCTCAAGGTTAAATTATTATCTAATTGCAGCTGAAATCTGAAAACCACAGAACATTATCAATAAAAATTATAGAACTCTTAAGTAAATGGAAGGAGATACCATGTTCATGAAATAAAAGACTTAATAATGCAAAGATTCCAGTACTCCTCAAGTTGGGAATCCCTCGTCAAAGAAGAATGAAGGGAGGGAAAGGGAGAGAGGGTGGGGCAGAGGAAGAATAAAGGAAAGGAGAGGGAGAGGAAAAGAGGAAGGGAAAGAGGGAGGGAGAGAAAGAGAACAAGCTAATTCCTTAAAATAAACAAAACTGGAGAAATTATATAAGCAGATGTTAAAACTGATCACAGAACTATAGCAATTAAGACAGTGTGATATTGGCCCTAAATAGGCAAGAACAAACACAAAACACAACTACGGAAAAGTAAGGTAGAAACTACACATATCCTGTCATGATTGATGACTAGGATGACAGCATAGTAGAGAAAGGATGGCCTTTTCAATAAATGATGCCAGAACAATTGAATTTCCATGTGGGAATTTTGAGCCCCACCTCTTACCATACACACAAATACACAAAGTCCTGATAGACTTTGGGTCCTAATGTAAAATAATAGAGCTATTAAAAAGTTACACATGAAAGTATCTTTGTGACCTGCAGATAGTTAGAGGTTTCTTAAGAGGACATAAAATATTAATCATTTTTTAAATGATAAAGTGAACTATATTAAAATTAAGGTGCTTTACTCATCAAAATACACCATTAAGAGGGTGGAAGGGCAGTGCCAGCATGGGAAAAGATGTTTGCAATACATATATCTGACAAAGTACTCATAAACAGAATATGTAAAGAACAGCTACAAAACAGTATGAAAAGAAACGTCAACATTGAAAGTGGGCCAAAGATTTGAGCAGACCCTTCATATAATAGGATATCCAGATGGCCTATAAACATAAGTTGTTCAATTTCATTGGTCAAAGAAATGCAAATTAACACAATAAGGTGATACCTTCCTGTACCATCAGAATGGCCAAAATGAAAGAGATATAACACCAATACACACTAGTGGGAACATAAATTGGTGCAGCCTCTTGGCAAAATTGTGTGGCAATACCTACTAAATTCAATCACAGCTGCACTCCTCTGAATTACTGAGGAAGATTCTATTTATGCCATTTATTTGGAATTGTTCTCTATTGCCTTGAAAAACAATGATTGGTTTTTCACATATGCATTCTTAATTCCCTGCCCAACACTTGAACCTTCTTGGAGTAGGAATAGTGTCTCTGAGCACCAAGTAAAAACACAAAAGTATCTGTTGAAGATGCAGCTAACTTGTACTGTAGGTCAGAGTTCATTTATATGTTACCAGGAAAACACAAACGCCCCAAGAAATCTCTCTGATTCATTGTTTCTTTTTAAATATCTTCTACATATTAAAGTGTAGATGTCTTACATTTTAAACAATTTGCTATAATCCAATTTCCGTGAATTTATCCAGAGAAATATTTCATTTATTTTATTTAATTTAATTTTTTTTTTGAGACAGAGTTTCACTCTTGTCACCCAGCTAGAATACAATGGCGCAATCTCAGCTCACTGCAACCTCTGCCTCCCAGGTTCAAGTGACTCTCCTGCCTCAGCCTCCCGAGTAGCTGGGATTACAGGGGCCCACCACCACACCCGGCTTATTTTTGTATTTTTAGTAAAGACGGGGTTTCACCATGTTGGCCAGGCTGGTCTCGAACGGCTGACCTCAGGTGATCCACCCACCTCGGCCTCCCAAAGTGCTGGGATTACAGGTGTGAGCCACTGTGCCCGGCCTCATTTATTTATTCACCAAAAACTATGCTAGGCACAGAGGGTACCTAGCTAGTGGTACTAGACAAGTGGGCTAGACGAGCAGTGGATCACCCAGGCAGGTGTGCAGTGGCAGTCTGGCTTGAACCCCTCTCTCCACCATCAATAATATTCACCTTTCTACATGCATTCAGTGAATATCCTTGTACCTAGACTCTGAATATCTGTGCTAGGCCCTGAGCTAGACAGGAGGAAAACATGAGGTATTTCCTGGCAAATACTCCATGCCCTGAAGGAGACCTCAAGCTCCCTGAGACACAAAACATGTGCATACTCACATGTGCACACACAAGCACAGGTGAGTAGGAAAGAGCAAAACTATTTGTCTGCCTCCTGAAGGCCATGGTCTTCACATTGTTAAAGTGATTGCTAGCCACTCCTAGAAGCCAGTGTACCACATGATAGCAGATGGCATTGACTCTTGTCCCTTTCCAGCTTAATTTAACTGCATTTTAATATTTTCCAATAGTAAAAGTATCTGCTTATGGTAGAAAATTTGAAAAGTACACAAAAACATAAGGAAATAAGAAATAAACTCATGTACAACTTTTTCATTTAAGGAGGGACCACTATTAATATTTCAATAAACTTTTTTAACTCTTTTTTCTTACATAGTTGAGACGAAATTGTATATACAACTTTTTACCTTGTTTTTCCCAACAGTTTATGATTGATATTTACTAATATCATTAAACATTTCCTAAATGCCATTATTTAGGGCAGTACGATAGTCCATTAGATGAACACCTACTCTGTGCCCGATGCTGTGCTAAGTACTGTAGCAGCAGTGAGGGCTGACGCTAGGGAGTGCTAACCACTTTTCTAAAACCTGGAGAAGGGAATTATTTCATTCAATCCTTATGACTTTATGAGATGAGTAATATTACTAATTCTGTCATTCATAAAAAGATAAAAGTCCTCAGTTACAAAACTGTAAGGCAGTTGCCCAAAGTCACAAAGGCAGTAAAGGCAAGAACTAGGATATGAACCTAGAAAATCTGATTTAAAGCCTACCTACCTGCCTTCTATTATTATGCTGCTTCCCCTGAATTCACAGTAATGGCTGACACCTCTTGAGAATAAGCCATATGCCAGTCATGCAGCAGAGCCCTTTACCTACATTAACTTATCTAATTCTCAGTGTCATTCTATTACTCTCACCTTTTTACAGATGAGAAAGCTGAGTCCTAGAGAGGATATATAACGTGCTTAAGATCACACAGGCAGGAAGTGGCAGTCCCAAGTCTGAACCCCAGGTCTCTGACTCCTGCCCCCAACTTAACTGTTCTTCCCTACTAAGACATAAAACAGTCTCATAGCCAAGTCCAATGTCATGAATCTTTTCTTGTTTTCTTCTAAGACATTTACAGTTTGAGCTTTTACATTTCAGTCTTTGATCCATTTCAAGTCAATTTTTGTATTTGGTATAAGGTAAGGGTCCAACTTCATTCTTTTGCATGTGGATATTCAGTTTCCCCAGCACCATTTGTTGAAAAGACCATCCTTTCCCCCATTGCATGGTCTTGGTACCCTTGCCAAAACTTATCATATATGTGAGGGTTTATTTCTAGGCTCTCCGTTCTATCTCATTTTCCTACGTGTTTCTCTTAATACCAGTACCACACTGTTTTGATTACTTTAGCTTTATAGTAAGTTTTGAAGTCAGGAAGTATAAGACCTCTAACTTGGTTAGTCTTTTTCAAGATTGTTTTGGCTACTTGGGGCCACATGAGTTTTAGGATGAGTTTTTCTATTTCTGCAAAAAAAAAGAAATTATTGGAATTTCAAAAGAATCCACAATAAAGACATGCAAACTGATAATCATAATAAAATGTTGTGAGTGTTGGGAGCCATTAATCTCCCCCTCACTAAACTGTAAGCACTTTAAGGGTAACAATTTCATGTTTGTATCTCCCGCACATTGAATCATGTACTGGGTGGTACTCAAGTAATGCCTCTGAATGAACCAGGATTACAGAGCATCACATGCTTCTTTCCTTGTCTTATAAGAACCAAGATGTTTTAAGAGCTGAACAAAATGAACTAAAAATAAACAGATTTCTTTTTTATGAACACACTTCAGATTTCTCAGTAAAGTAAAACAAAGTTGAATCCTGGCTGGCACAAACATGCCAAAATTTCCACAATTATGTAAGAAAGAGGCAGATGCAAAATAAAATGTGGTTTTTCTTCCCCCTACAGTTTAAAACAAGTAGGATATCTCCCCTTTCCTGCCCCCTCCATCCAGCTATAGCTTAATAAAATCTAAGGATGATATATACAAAGCCTGGCCATCAGGAATAAGTGGTTTATTATTTCAGAGGCTATATTACCAGCTGCATGTTTATTGTAAATGCTCAGAATTGGTCAAGGTTTATTCTATTTATAGCATTAATACTATTTTTTAAGTTTAAATAAACTAAACAGATCGAAGAATTGAAGTTTGCATAGTAATGTTGTTATATAATATAAAAGGTATGAAATATAAATCTCTTCCTTCCTTCTGTGGAGCCTAATGAAACTGCCAGTTGTTTATTTTAGCACAAGAAACTCTTGGCCTGCAGAACACAGGAAAGACTGAAGAAAAGCTTGCTTTGATGCTTCTAGAATTAACCCAAGAGGCCTTGTAAACCAAGATAGCAAAACTGCCCTTCTGCCAGCCCAGGCTCTGTCTCTACTCTGCCCCCTTCTCTTGGCAAGCAAAACTCCTAGAGCTCATGAAGGAATAGCCCACCAGTGGTGTGAGGGGAGATAATTCACTTTTACGTAGGCCAGGAGTGCTCAACCTTTATGGGACACAGACCTCTTTGAAATCTAATGAAATATAGGAACTCTGATCCCTCACCCACAGCCAAATACAAACATATTAGCAAAATATGACATGTGATCTCAAGAGGTTCCCAAAGCAGAACCTTTAGTCCATTTAGTGTCATTCTTGTGCTAGATGTGGTGCTAAGTGAGTAAATACAATGTGATATAGCTTCATCTGGCAAGTGAGGACGTTTGGATCCAAAGGTTAAAGGGAGATATTATAGGGTGACAAGTTGACCAGTGGTTTTTTTTTTTTTTTTTTTTTGAGACTGAGTCTCACTCTGTCGCCCAGGCTGGAGTGCAGTGGTGCCATCTCGGCTCACTGCAAACTCCGCCTCCTGGGTTCACACCATTCTCCTGCCTCAGTCTCCCGAGTAGCTGGGAATACAGGCACCCGCCACCATGCCCAGCTAACTTTTTGTATTTTTAGTAGAGACGGGGTTTCACTGTGTTAGCCAGGATGGTCTCGATCTCCTGACCTCGTGATCCGCCCGCCTCGGCCTCCCAAAGTGCTGGGATTACAGGCGTGAGCCACGGTGCCCAGCCCAAGTTGACCAGTTTTAATGGATTTGCCAGGCAGAGAGCCTCAGAGGTGGAAAACATAGGGACAGTGAAGAGACTTGCCAAGCCACTGTGTAGTAAAGAATTTGGCCTTGCCTCTCAGTTTCTGGGCAGTAACCTATGTCATACCCAATAGGAATTTCCTTGGTTAGGAAGGAAGCTGGCCACCGCAGAAACATCAACCATGTACCTTAGAGTAGAGGCTCTGGGTCATGCAGTTGACCTGGAGGCTGAGATCAAGCAAGCATGTGGGCAATCAATCAATCATACCTACGTAATGAAGCTCCAATAAAAATTCCAGACACTCACGTTCAGGGCAGTGTCCCTGGATGGCAATACTCCATGCATGCTGTCACACATCAATACTCAGAGGAAAACATGGCCCTAAAGACAATGGAAACTTTGCATTTGAAATGATCTCAGACTCTGCTGTGTGTCTCTTCCTTTGGCTAATTTTGATCTGCTTCCTCTCTCTGTAGTAAAGTGTAACTATGATTATAATAGTTTTCAGTGAGTTCTGTGTGTTCTTTTAATGAATTATTAAACCTGAGGGTATTCTAGGGAAACATCATGAAGTTGCAATTGGTGTCAGAGGTGACGATAGTCTTGGAACTGTTCAATCCAACTTTGTTGTTGGATCCAAACTCCTTGATGTTGGTGTCAGAAGTCCTCAGTTTGGCTAACCCTGGGTAGCTGCTTTCAAGCAGAACCCAACCTTGGCAATCAGCTCCCCAAGGATTGACTGGTAAGCTATAAGAGAATTTCTAGACACACTGCCCCGGGGAAAAGCTAGCTATAGAAAACCACCTGGACTCCTGATGTGGAGCAGTGGTGTGGAACCTCCGAACCATCAAAATCCAGATAAGTCAACGCCTTACTTAGCCATTCCCATGTAGAAGCTACTTGGTTAGCCTCTCTCACTCACATTTACCCCAGCATTCTCTCACTCACATTCCACCCCAGTGGAAAGAAACTTAGCAAAAATGGAAGCTCACGTGCACCTGAGGCCCAATCTTGCTCCCTAGAACAGGCTTACACTAGCCTCACAGTTCCTAGGGCCAAGGAAATGCCTTTCTAAATGGACACCAACTGACACATACTGAGGTCCCTTCAGTATCGGGGGAACATTTGGTTCTGAGTTTGAATTGAATTTTCTGATGAGATCATGAAAAGAGCACAGAGCATCAAAACTACTAAGAAGAGTTGGCCTTTTTTAAAGGCACATCCATTTTTATTACTTATTGAGAAAGAAAACCAGGTGACAAATGTCTAGTCGACAAGATAAACAAATCAAGTAAGCTATAAAATGCCTTAGAAGGGTGGAGAGGCAGGTAATTGTCTAACTATTTTCAACAACCTTTTATTTGATCTCTCCTTTCCTTTCTCCCAAACTAGCATGAGAATCAAAGCTAGAAAATAAGTAGAAATCAATACCACTCTACTCCTTCCTAAAGTGCTCTTGAGAATGCACATTCATTAATAAATGCATACTGAGCACCTCATGTGCTTGAAATACTCTGCTGGGTCCTTTGAGATTATGGGAGCTTTGGTTCAAGACTTTAAGATAGGACCCTGCTTCGAAGGACTCACAGCTTGGTAAGGTAAACAGGACACGTACACCTGGGAATATAAGAAAAGCAGGATACAGTGGAGACCATGTGGAATACACCAAGCAAATGAATAACAGCTTATGGGAATTCAAAGGAGAGAGATTTCATTTCCCTCTGAGGTGACCAGAGGAAGTACTAGGTTTTAAATGGAGGACCTAGTGTTTTAGGTCACCTAAGAAAAACCAAATCATAATCACTACAAAGAAATAGCATTGACTAGATGAGAAGAGACTTTGGCTATGAGGACTCTGGAGAGGTGAAAAGAAAAGAATAAAGGAAGTAACTTTATTTTCACCAGAGTTGCCCTAAGACAATTGAGACTAAAACTCAGAAAGGGCTAGATCTTATCATCCTGAGGTTTTTACAGTCAGAAAGCAGGCACAACATGATTCGAACGACTGAGGGGCTTGTCCAAGATCACACAGGGAGCGAGTGGCTGACTGGTGATTCCAATTCAGGCCTGTTTAACAGAAAAACAGACAGCAAGTCCAAAGTGCAGTGCCATAGCACTAGAACTATCTCAGGGATGGCCCAGGATCCAGGAGGGATGAGGAGAGGGATCCAAGAGGGGCAAGGACGGCAACCAAGAGGGGGAAAGAACACATCATGGAGAAGCCTCAGAGGCAGCAGCAAAGCCTCAAATCAGGCCAGGTGGACACTGGCAATCAGGATTTTAAACAAACTGCCTGTTCGTGGCAGGAAGTGAGGGTAGAACTGGGGGCTGTGACCCAGCTCTGCAAGCAGATATCACAGCCTAGATAAAGACTTTGGCAATGGGCTCAAGTGGCCAGGAAACAACACAGTCACCCAAAGCAGCAGTTCCATCACCTGACTTGCGGGTACAGACAGGGATGGAGAGACTACTGGCCCATGGGGGCTGACAACAAGTTCTGCAACTTCAGTGGAGCTGAGACTTCTATAAATCCAACTTGCCCATGAGTGGATCTAACTCAGAGAGCCAAATATGGCAAAAGAAGGGAGAAATGGCACTGGTCATGGGCATTCCCTTAAAAACTTGAAAGTCCCTTTTTCAGGGTAAACAGAGGGAAATACTCGAGGAGCCAGACAGTAATCACATGAGGGAATTCAATGGTATTAAAAAAATAGAACAGTGAAAAACATGGTTGGGAACCTAGGATCAGAAGGATGCTCATTTAAACATTGGGGAGTTATTTTAGACTAATACTATCCAATTAAACTCTCTGAAATGGTGTAGATGTTCTGTATCTGTTGCTGTCCAATATGGTAGCCACTAGCGCATGTGGCTATTCAACACTTGAAATGTGGCTAGTAGTGGTTACCTTATTGGACAGTACACCTCCAGAACAAGCAGCATATATAAACAGAGTATTTGGAGAGGCTGTAATCAATCTAAATGAAGTTCACCCAAAATTGGTTTGGATAAAGTTGATGATAAATCCATGAGGGGACATTAGTGGGAGTGTGTCATTGGCTGGCTAAGGCCTCCTCTCTGAGATGTGTACTTAGGTGCACAGCCATGTCCTTCTGGAGTGTGGGTCTCTGCCTCTGGGAGAGATGCCATGCTGGGCCAGATGGACAGAGGTAAATCGTAGGCTTTTATGAGCATATGAAGTGTTTCCTGCATTTTTCTTTGATCTCACTACCCCCACCAAGGCAAGGGAGCCAACAAGGGGATTCCTTATATTCTCACTACTACCTAAAAGGAAGTTATACTTTCTGGACTTGTTCTTGTGAAAACATAATTTAAAAATTCTGTCCCTGATATACATCTAAAGTAGTTACTAGGCTTAAACACTGAAGCTATATCTCTATATTTTTTGAATAGAGAAATAAATGTGATCTATATATGTCCATAAACAGCTTTCCCTTCTTCCACAAAGAGCCCAAGAAACTGACTGGCGTGTCCAAGAAGATTCTGGAAACTACCAAGAAAAGCACTGGGAACTCCCCCGCAGGCTCTAGGGCTCCTCGCGTAATTCCCACGATTCTCCCACTCTTTACAGTGAAATAATCCGGGGAAATGCTACGAACATATGCAAAATGAATTCAATCCTAGCAGAATTCTTATCTTCTGAAATTCTACTCAGGTGCAATTAGGATAAAACAGTAAGGTGGGAAGTAGAATAAACAGAGGAGATGAACCCAGCCTCACCAGAAATAATCTGTTGAGAAAAAGAAGGAAGCAGTATAGTCACACATACGGATACTGAGAGACCACAATTTGTTCTCAGTATCTGTGAGTCCTCTTAAGCCTCAGTCTTCTTGTCTGTAAAATAGAGATAAAGTACTTACCTCAAAGGGGATAATTCTGAATCAAGAGATTTAACGACCAAATGTAATATGTAACCTTACTTGGATCCTGCTATGAAAAAGACAATTGAAAGATACTTCTGAGACAATCAAATTTTGAAGATGAACTGGGTATTAGATGATACCAAATAATTATGTTTATGTTTTGAAGAAAATGTCCAGATTTTTAGATAGTCATGCTGAGATAGAGAGGTAACATAGGTTCTGGAATTTGTTTTAATATACTTACCAATGAAAGAAGGAGGGAGAGAGGAAGCGAGGGAAGGTAAGGAGGGAGGGAAAGAGGGAGAGAATGGAGGGAAGGAGAGAGGGAGAGAGAAACAAACAGGAATTACAGTTTTGAAATGCTTCTTTTCGGCTCCATCCACTGTAAACAGCCAATTTATCCAAACCCTCCTTCTCTGGAACATGACGCCACATTTAAAACCCAAACCTTCCTAAAACGTTCTCACATATGAACCACACAAGATGTTGGCTCCTGGTGGGGGCTACCTATAGGTATTACATATTCTCAAATCAATCATTTGACATTTTTATAGCATCACAAAATCTACACCTTCGCTCCAGCCTAAATCAACAACAAAAGCATCAGCCAAGACTGCATATATTACAGAATGCTTGTAAATCAGCAGTTGCCTTTAGGCTCGAGGGGCCTCCAAACTTGACCAGCTGTTCAAAACAGTAAAATCTCATTAGTTCAATGTTTAAGCACTCACCGGTGAGACCTACTTCAAAGTCATGAACACTCTGAAACTGATGAGAGAATAACCAGGAAACTTCTGTATTTTTAACTTAATTAACAAGCTGAGAACTTGATTTCCTGTCAACAGGAAAAAAGGGATAGCATGCTATTACAAATTGTTTTTCTTTTATTATTCCTCCCCTTCCTCTCTATGATGAGACACCTTTTTCCTAGTAGAAAAGAATTGATAGGACTCTGCTTCCTACAGTCAAGGTGAGCAACCAGATGGTAAAAGCTATTTATATAAGCTTGGTGTTGACTTTTTTGATCCCTAAAAATTTGAATTAGTGATCATGTTGACATGGGCACCAGAATGGACAGAAGTGGCATTATCTTTTATCTTCGCTGAACAATGTTATGGAAGGTTGCTTATCGGCATTTAAGTAAAATCCGTTATACAGCAGCCATCTTTCTTAAACATATGTCAGGAAGCACTGAAATGGTTGTTGGCAAGTGTGTTGTGGACAACATCTGTCCTGACATCTATCAGATGGTAAAAAAAAAAAAGAGGAAGAAACTGAGGGTGTTATGAGTTTATTTATTGTTGTGGTTTTTAGTTTTACTTGCTTAGGGCAGAGAGAGAAAGATGAGAGAAGCTATTTACCAAGTCCTGTTAACTCTCTGATCCTTGGCTGGGCCAGGCAAGAGATGCCACATCATGCTGTCATTTAGCACCAGATGTTTTCATCACTTTGTTAATGGTCTATATAGACCCAAAGTGTGTGACAAATATGCAGGTTTTTATTTGCCTGATGGGAAGGTTCTGGGCAGCATGGTGGTAGGTCACTGGCATTGAGAGAAGACAGGAGGTAGAAGGTAGTGAGTGTGACTGTATCACCCACTGTTTGCCCATCAGAAGCTCCTGTATGGAACATGTCTGTCAGTATAGCAAAGCCCACTGACTGGAAACAAACTCTTGGGGCCAAGATTTGGTAAGGGGAGTCCAGCTGGCACATTAAGGAATGGAGGCTCACACCTGGCTAGACCAATAAATTTTTCCCCAAAGTGTGCATGCTGTCATGTTGGAGCATGCCCAACCTGTTCTTAAGTCTTGTCTTTTTGACATTTTGTTTTTTATCTTACTAATGGATTCCACCTCTCTCAGCTTTAAAAATGAGGAGAATAAAAGGGCTACCAGTAACCTTGTCATTGTCCCTATTTTGTTAAAGAATCATATCACTATCAGATTATTTTCCTGGTGCGTTTTGAAAAGGAAGCTTATTGACAGTAACATGTTTCTATTCAACATTGCTCCACTGTTACAGGACTTCACTAGACAGAGTTTCATGGGAGCAGTAGTTTGACACCTTCTAAATCATTAGTGTAAGAATCATGCTGTCACATCGTCAACGCTCAATAGATATTTGTTGGCTGAATGAATAAATGAAATCAATCTATTTTACCTGCTGTTTGGTGGCAAAGGAAAAGCTACCTCCTGTTACAGTCACAAGGTCATGTCTGAAATTAACTTCTCTAGGACTTTTCTGCATTCCTTTCCATGTTTCTCTGATATGATACAATTCTTGCATCTTCTAAAGGCAATTTGACTACCCATTTATCACATAGATTCCAAACACATTAACCAAAAAAGGGATAAGCAGGAATCATGCTGTGCATATTTTATGTTCTTAAAAACAAAAACAAAAAAACAAAAAAAACACACCAAACCAACCACAGAAAGCCACTGTCTAAGAACTTAGCTGACAATTTTTGTAGCGCAATCGGCTCTCACTGGCAAATCTTCTCAATTACCAGAATGGTTTTGGAAACCAGACCAGAGACAACATTAACATGCAAAATGCTGCCAGATTCTCACACAAGTTTTTAACATCACCCTCCATATTTGGTACAGATGAAAGGGTAATTGGAGGATTGTGGAAAATATGAGTAGTGGGGTCACAGATTCTTCTTTTCTTTGCTTCTCACATATCCCTCCGCATTCTAGAAGGGAAGGAAATGGCTTATGTAATGTTATGCTAGTGTGAAGTGACTATTGTTTCGAAGTTGGTGCTAACCACCTAAGGCAGGTCGGGGTGTGGATCTGGCTTTCCAGCAGAGGGAACCGCGGAAGTCATGAGTGCCTTATGGTTTTGTTCCTCTTCCAGTATCCAACGCGAACTGAGCGCAGCGGCACAAAACAAAAACACTTCCAAAAACCTGAGGTTCTTCTCTCCTAGCCCAATGATGTGCTTAACAGGAAAGAGGAAATGAAATTAAATGAAAACAGGTTTCCAAAAACATTATACTTACTGGCCAAATCAAAGTCCAAAAAAATGTTAACAGCCCATGATTATATCCTTGGTAAGGGAGGATCCAAAACATAATCCATCAGGAAAAAGACAGTCGAGTCCAAGATATTCCTTGAGAGGGAATCCCAGTAGTACACGAAGTAGCTCCAACCTTCCCCGCAGCAGGAAAAAGCAGTCCCTCTCCCTCTCGATCTGGTACATGAATCTACCATGCCAAAAACCCATTACAAAGCCAGCTCCCCAGCTTGGAAAGATGAGAAGGGCCTAGCAGAGTAGGCGTGCAGCTCTGTGCCCTGTGTCCTGCAGCCATCTAAGGCAGTTTAACATTTGGTCACTAAGCTTTCAGGGCACATGCTTCCAGACTGGCAAGGCATTCCAGAAAATGAGTTGACATTTTTTCTAACATGCTCCCTCTGCCATGGCTAATATTATGTCATCACCCATGCACTTAGGCTCTGGCATGTATTTGTTCACCTGGATCCTGCCAGTCATTTGAGCAATTAGCATTTTTCTTTGTGTATGCCTATTTCCCTAGGCATGTCTCAGCTTTTCTGCCTCACAAGTACCATTCTGTGGCTTCTACTGCTCCGTGCATCTTTTCAACTGTTACTTACAGTTTCTCCTCCAAAGTTATGTAGATCCAAAAAATTGAGTCATGTGACACCACAGATTTACCATTAGAAAGTTAAAGTCTCAGTTCTTTCACCAGACACTAATTTGGAGTGAGTTAGGGTGGAAGAAATTAAGTATTTATTTTTTCAGTTTGTCATATTGACAAAAGAGCAATACAAATACACACATTATATAGGTTTGGGTCTGAGCTTCGAATGATTTAGAAATCCTACCATTTGTTCAATTTGTCTACTGAAATGAGTTGTAGGAATAAAAATCCATTTTAATCAGTCATACTGCCTTATTTAAACTTCTCATTAATATAGTTAAGAACTTCCTTTAGATGCGTTCAGACACTATATATTTAGAATTCCTTCTTTCCTTCCTTTACACTCTTGACAAGTTACCTGTGATACTTTTATGGGACAAAGATTTAGAATTGCTTTGCTTTAAAACATAACATCTCTTACATCATTGTCCAGATTCAAATTGTCCATTATTGTATCCATTTACTCAGCTAATATTAAGTGCCTATCATGTGCAAGTTTCTGTGCCAAGAGCTCAGAATATAAACATAAATCAGAAATTTTACACTCAAGAGACTTAGATTATTAAGGAAAATAATATGAATAATCAGAATGCAAGATAAGAAAGGCAGATAAGGGAAATACAGATAATTATGCTAGGGCAGTTCAGAGAAATACTTTTAGATAGAGGAACTTCAGAGAAAGTTTCTTGAAGTCATTTTTAAGATCAAAGAATGAGTTCACAAACATATACATGTGGTGCATATATATTACCACATTGCATTTTTAAAATTTGTCTGTCTCTCTCTGTCATTGCACAGCAAGTTCCTTAAGGGCAAGGGACACTGTTTTATCCACATTATGAATTTTTCCTAATACCTAGACAACACCTGGGATGTGCTCAGTAAATGTTTATTGAATGCATAACTTTATTAATAATTAATTTGGTCATGGGGAGAACTCCAGGCAGAGGCCATAGATAGCAGTTGATTACAGACAGATTCTTTTGATTCCATTATTTGGCAAATACAGAATCTTTCAGCTATGAAAAATAAAGCAATATGTTTCTTGTTCCATTTTAAAGTTTATTTTTATTTGAAACAATCTTCTTTGTCTTCTCCCCATGTCCTGTTCCATGAATTTGCTGGGTGTGCCTGAATATGCTGAGAGTAACAGGGCTCAGGGTAGAAATTTCCTTTTCTCACCCCAGTTCCTCAGCACCTTCCTGGCTGAGTGAGGGTTTCATTCGTGGCCTCTCGAAAATGTGGGAATGTTTCACCAAGGCTACACTGAGGATTAACCAAACTCAGGCAAGTGTTTGGAGAGATTTAGATGAAGGTCCCCCTGGACTTACAAGGTATTAATTCAGTGGAATGTTTAGAAAATCATGCAGCTTGGCTCAATTCTTCAAACTTGTGAGGCTCTGTTTTGGAGTTATTGCTATGTTCCCATTTCTAACAGATCATAGTCCATTACCATTCACAGCATGGGAAAAGACTTAGGGAAAAGAGAAAGAGAAAACAAAGCCTGAAGCCTACATCACTTCAATATCTGTGTGTGTGCTGTGCATGTGCGTGTGTGTGTGTTGTGGGGATGGGTGATTGGGAAGAGTGTGCTAAATAACTAGAAGAAAAGTGAGATCCAAAGAGGTTCAGGGTAGATAAAAGAAAAGAGACCCTTCTCCCATTTTATAGACAGCCTAGGACTGAATCTTTCTTTCCCATTTCCTTTATTCTCAGTATTGTTTATATAAGTTAAACGATAGAGAATACCCTTTTATTTTAAAAAGATTCTTAGTAAATCCATTTAATTATATTTGAGAGGTGATTAACATTCAGGCAAACATTGTGATCTCAAAGTCATTTTAATTAAAGATCTTCACTTTTTGAATCATGGGGAGTGCCTGGGAATGGCATTTTCTTGACAACTCTTAACAAAGGCCTATAACACCATTTTACATACAATTACATGTACAACTTAGTATGTTCATACTTATGAATTATTGGATACTCACTAACACCCTAGAAGGGTCATCTGCCTCATTTTTTAATCCACATTTCACAGAAAAACAGACTCTAGCTGAATAACTTGATTTCCATTAACTACTAATTAGCCACTTTCTAAATGTTATTTCATTTAATCCTTACACCAGCCCTACAAGAGAAGTGCTAACATCCCTCAATACAGATTATTTCTTCAAATTAGAGAAATCAGGTACTTTCCAAAGTATCACAGAATTTGTAAAATGGTGACTGTACTTAGTTAAAATGGCCATTAGAGCATCAATGCTATTCTTTAACCACATTCATTTATTCATTCAACAACATCTGCATGAGTGCCTATGACGCATCAAGTACTGTTCTAGGTACTCTAGATATATCAATACGTTTCGGTGTTTACATGTTCAAAATGGAGATAAATGAATTATTCTCCACGTGTATATGTGTGTACACATACCTACTGGTGCTCTATTGCTATGAACCACCAGTTTCACCAGGACTAAATTTCACAAGTGGAAACAGCTTATATGTTTTGAGTACATCAAACACTGCTCAAGGGGCTGCAATAGCCACTGCCAAGATTTTTCCTGCACTGTTTAGTCAGAATCCAACGAGTACATCTTGCAAGAGCCACCCCCAGAGCCTTAATGGCTAAATGTAGTTTCTTAACCCACAATCTTAGTCTCAGAACCCACTGTTAGACAGGATAAATCAGTGGTAAAGCTAAGGGTATTCATATTAAATTATATCTATTTACGTTTTGTCGATGGTCCAAAGAATTTGATGATTCTGATCTTGAACTTAATAAAATGTTGATATTTTTGTGTAAGAATGCATGGTATTATATAGAAATGATTAGTTTACAAGGTTGTATGCAATTCAGCCATCAACTGTTTCTTAGGGAATTTGGAGAGCACTACGCTACCATTCAAATATTTTCTTTCTTTCTCTCTGCCCCTACTTCTAATGTTAATTGATTTGCTCCATGAAATGCCCTGTAAAATGGCCAGATGTTGTAAGAGAATCTTGATAGTATGGGAATTCAGCAGGAGACTCCAGCAGCATAAAGCGATGCTCAAATTTCTCCAGCTCTCAATTTAGCAAAAACAAAGACTCCCACTTTAAGTGGGATTATGAAAAATCTCCTGGATTTCACTAGTAATGTCTAAGAAAAAGAAAAATTGTCCACTACTCCTACTACTAAACACACAAAACAGGATTTTATTAACACAGAATAAGTTACGGTGGACTGATAGCCAGGAGATCTAGGTTGATTCTTAACTCTGCTATTGTCTAGCTGTGTGATCCTGGACAAATCAAATGCTCTCTGTGTCTCATGATCTCAGTTTTCCAAACAGATGTTGAACATGGTAAGTGTGCTTCCATTAGGTATGAACAAACTATTGTGGGGATTTAGGGGAGCAAGTAACACTCCCAGGGGAAGTCACAGATTTCACAGAGGTGGTCCAGTCTCTGAAGGAGTTTTGCATGCTGAAAAAGGAACAGTAATGAGGGGAAAGGATGAGATAAGGGTCATTGTGTATTTACAGCAGTGTTTGTAGTCACAATCAACAGCCATTTGCAGAGATTATCATAAAAGGGGGTGAGGTGTGATGGCATATTTATGGATTAGGGAAAGGCAGCGAATAATTGCAAAAAAAAAATTGCATAGACAAGGCTGTAAAATAGTTCTGCGCAAATTATGCAGGACCTTATGTGGCTCACTTAGTTTAGATTTTATCCAGAAGGCAGCAAGTGGCCAATGGCAATTTTTGTTTCTTCTTGTTTCACAGTAGGACAAGATTTTTAACGTAGGATGAAGGATGAGAAGGTAAACAATGCTTAGGAGATCAGTTAGGAATACAGTGCTCTATACCAGGAAAGACATAAGGGTATAGATTTAAAACCTAGCAGATGTTGAAGATGTTCTTAGGGAAAATTAACAAGATATTGTGACTTGGGGGAAAAAGAGAAACCAAAAAATCAATAGGGCTATGGAGTTTCTAATTTGAGAGGCTATACATAAGGACATTTTGGTCAACAACAGACTACCTATACCACAGTGGTTCCATCAGATTATAATGGTGCTGAAAGACTCCTATCGCCTAGTGATGGTCATAGTGCAATGCATTACCTTTTCTCTGTTTAGATATATTTAGATACACAAATACTTACCATTGTATTACCATTGCCTACAGTATTCAGTACAGTAACATGCTGTACAGGTGTGTAGCCTAAGAGGAATAAACTACACCATATAGCCGAGGTGTATAGCAGGCTGTACCATCTAGGTTTGTGTAAGTACACTCTGACATTCACACAACAATGCAATCACCTAATGAAGGATTCCTCAGAACATGTCCCCATTGTTAAGTGATGCATGATTGTACAGTGATCCTATAGAGACAGATGATCAAACTTGAGCACACGTCAGAATCACTGGAAGGCTTGCTAATGCAGACTACTGGGCCCTGTCCCCCAAACTTTCAATTTAATAGGTCTTGGTGGGGTCCAAGAGCTTGCATTTCAACAAGCTCTCAGGAGATGCTGCTGCTACTCTGGAGATCACCCTTTGAGAACCACTGATGTAGGATTTAAGGGAGTGGAGAGTTCATTTAAAAGGGAAGCAAGCTGACGGGTTAATTTCTAGGTATGCAATGTTTGAGCAACTTATGGAGCATGTTATACACACACATATATGCATATATATACACACAAAGATACATAGGATATATATGTGTATCCATATATATATAGGATATATATAGTATCCATATATATAATATATATATGGATATACTCATATATAGGATATGTGTGTATATATATCCTTCTATATAATAAGGATATATATATCTCCTTATTATCTCTCACCCCTCTAGCTACAAAATCCAAGACAGCAATGGTGTGTTTGGTTCACATCTATATCCCCAGTGCCTAGCACAATGCCTAGAACATACCTGTTGCTCAGTAAAAATCTGCTAAATGAATGAAAGAATGTTGAATTAATCCAGGTTGAGTTGACCAGGAGGTAATTGTAAATATGGATTATGAATTTTGGAAAGAAGTGACATCTGTTCATATGAATCGGGATATACAGACTGAAGAAGGATGGTTGTTAAAATGGTCATACTGCCCAAAGCAATTTACGGATTCAATGCTATTCCTATTAAACTACCAATAAGATTCTTCACAAAACTGGAAAAAATATTTTTAAAATTCATATGGAACCACAAAAAAGCCTGACTAGCCAAGGCAATCCTAAACAAAAAGAACAAAGCTGGAGGCATCATGCTACCCAACTTCAAAATATACTGCAGGGCTACAGTAACCAAAAAAGCATGATACTGGTACAAAAACAGATACATGGACCAATGAGACAGAATAGAAAACCCAGAAATATGACCACACGCCTACAACTATCTGATCTTTGACAAACCTGACAAAAACAAGCAATGGTGAAAGGATTGCCTATTCAAAAAATGGTGCTGGGAAAACTGGCTAGTCATAGGCAGAAGACTGAAACTGGACCCCTTCTTTACAACATATTCAAAAATTAACTCAAGATGAATTAAATACTTAAATGGAAAAACCGAAATTATAAAAACTCTGTAAGACAACCTAGGCAATACCATTCACAACATAGGAACAGGCAAATATTTCATGACAAAGACACCAAAAGTAATTGCAACAAAAGCAAAAACTGACAAATGAGATCAATTAAACTAAAGAGTTTCTGCACAGCAAAAGAAACTATCAACAAACAGACAACTTACAGAATAGGAGAAAAATTTTTCAAACTATGTACCTGACAAAAGTTTAATATCCAATATCTATAAGGAACTTAAACAAATTTATAAGAAAAAAACAACCCCTTTAAAACCTGGGCAAAGGACAGGAACACTTTTCAAAAGACCACATACATGTGGCCAAAAGTCACATTGAAAAAAAGTTCAACAGCACTGATCATTAGAGAAGTGAAAATCAAAATCACAATGAGATACCATCTCACACAATTCAGAATGGCTATTGTTAAAAGGTCAAAAAATAACAGATGCTGGTAAGGTTGTAGAGAAAAAGGAACAATAATACATTGTTAGTGGGAGTGTAAATTAGTTCAATCATTGTGAAAGAAAGTACAGTGATTCCTCAAAGATATAAAGACAGAAATACCATTTGACCCTGCAATCATGGTTACCGGGCACATACCCAAAGAAATATAAATAGTTCTATTATAAAGACACATACACACATATGTTCATTGCAACACTATTCACAATAGGAAAGACATAGAATCAACCTAAATGCCCATCAATGATAGACTAGATAAAGAAATTGTGGTACATATACACCATGGAATACTATGCAGCCATAAAAAAGAATGAGATCATGTCATTTGCAGGGACATGGATGGAGCTGGAGGCCATTATCTTTAGCAAACTGAGGCAGGAACAAAAAAACAAATACAACATGTTCTCTAAGTCGGAGCTAAAGGATGAGAACACATGGACACAAAGGGGAATAGCACACACTGGTGCCTATCAAAGGGTGAAGGGTGGGAGGAGGTAGAGGATCGGGAAAAGTAACTACTGGGTACTAGGCTTAACACCTGGGTGATGAAATAACATGTACAACAAACCCCCATGACACAGTTTGCCTAAGTAACAAATCTGCACATGTACTCCTGAGCTTAAAAGTTAAAAAAAAGAAGGCAGATAAATTCTTTAGAGCTGATATTTTTCAAATCCTTAAGAAGTCCAGGAGAATTATGTATAAGAAATTCCACAGAGCTCATAAACTTTATAGGTAAGTACCAATAAATGGTTGAAGATGGAATCCATGTTTTGAGTCTCTCGCAGTCTGAGCAATAAGTATATAACCTGCAAAGCTAAACACCACGTGTTCCTACAAGTGTGGAAACAAACACTGAAGGAGGAACTTCTACACTTGGAGGGAAGCCGGACTAGGTAATCTCTCAGTTCCTTTCCAATTCTAATACAGTGTATATTTCGATTCTATGGCTAAAGTGAGGAGTGGGGAGCCATGGGCAATTGTAAGTTCACATGAACTTGAAAGGAGGGATACAGTAGTTGAATGGGGGCAGTAGAGCCAACCAAAATTTATTTCAAAATGGGAAAGACAAGCATAATAAAAACACAAGAACGAACGAAGATACCACAGGGAAAAGAAACATGTGAATCAGGACACCAGTGAAATGCAGGCCATGACCCCACCCCCAACCTATTGCAAAAAGTGGATGGACCATTTCAAATCCTAGCCAAGACCATGCCACATACAGCATTGCAAATCAATAAACCAGGCAGCTACTCTTCTATTGTCTCTTCTTCCTTGCTAATTAGAAGTGAATAGATTCTTATGGGAGAATAAAGCTTTTGCTTATCAGAATACCATAGAACATCCTTGTGCTGAAATATCACAGCTCTGGCATCAGAAACATCAAGAAAAGACATATATATTCTAATTCTGGCACTTACTCTCACAATGGATTATTTTTAGAAGGAAAGTACATAAATTAGGCAATATTTTGCAGAGAAGAGAATTATTTTTATCAGTAAAGGAAATTTGTGGCCTGATAGTGATATAACGTGGTCCTCTCAAGTTAGAATACGCTTTTTCCTCTGCTACTAGTTTAGAAATGCCTTAGAAATACACAAAGGATTAAAAAAAAAATAGGAGTGCAGTGCCTCAGGGAGTACCGCTAGTTTAAATAACACATGAAAAGTATTTATGAGCCCTTTTTTATGAGGTGGTCAAAGAAAAGACCATCCAGCATGTAACATAAGACTGGCTGAAGAAGAAAGCATTTCCAAACCACATTGGAGAGTTAAGCATGAATGGAATTTTATTTCAGTCTCTATTGCTTATTTAAATTAATGGTGTTTTCAGATGGGGCCTAAATGATAATGCAGATCAAGGTGAGGCTTGCCAAGGAGAAAATATACTAGTCTATTATTCAAAGAATGTTACTAGATAATGCTGAAATAATTTCAAATATATGGGTTTAGCAAAAAGGGGATTTATGGAAGAGATATGTGGCTGTAACATGCCCAAGTCCATTTCGCATTCTGTGGGTTGAGTATTTCGCTAGAGTCAGGGCTTTGGAACTACTCCATGCTCAGCAAATGTGGCTAGGTTGCCTATGGCCTACAAGGTCAGAGCATTGCACACACAGAACCACAACATGTTGTTATAGAACCAGGTCCAGTCGGCTACAAAATGGGCTGTTCTTCATTTATTCAATTGTTCCAACTGACCCCCTCTAAAGAGTGCATGCCTTTTGCTTTATTTCTCCTAAGTGGTAATGGGTCTGAGCTAATCTACTCATGATCTACTTTCTGGGCCCCTTTGTGACAAAGAGCATGCCCTGGTGTGTGACAGCTGGCAAAGATTATGGGTTGTGGATGCAGCCATGGAACAGAATAAAGATAACTGGCCCCTAGAGGCATTAAACTGAGATCCTAGGCCTCATTAATTCCCTGTCTTATAATGAGCATCTGCCCTGTGAGTTGTATCAGTAACAAACTGTAATGGTAAAGTGTTCCCTGAGGCCACCAGTTGATTGAGTTCCATAGCTGTGTCAAGAGTATTGATGTGTTCAACCCTTAAATGAATGCCTAATGCTTCTGGTCATCCATTCATTTATTCCACAAACATCAATTAAGAACTGACTACATTCTAGACACTGTACTAGGCTATAGCCAAACTTATGTGATTTTCCACCAAATTCCTTTTGGATACTACAAACATAACACAGTGTACTAAATCTGAAGTTAGCATTTCTGGATCAGAAAAGCAAGCCCCATTTTTTGTTTAAAAATTTAAAATAGAAGCCACTGGATCATTAACACAGCATCAGCATTCCTTCTCAAAAAGCCCCTGTTTCAAGTTCAGAAGCATCAAGCCAAATTATATATTTTAGAAATCTCACACTTAATAGAGACATCATAGAAGTCCACTTAGAAAAAGAAATGCAATATTAGACAGTATATGTCATTTGTGTATCCACAAAGTAACTATAAATACATAAATAATAAAAATACAAAATAATTTATGTATTCATAAAATATTATGAAGGTGAAGAAAAGCAAATTAGGTGATAGGAAATTCCTTTTTCAATTAATTTAGTAAAACCAATCATTTTTCATTCCCTTTTACAGAACTAAACTGATTTTATGATAAATTTTAAGCATTTACTTCTTTTTCCCCTTGGTCATCTTTCTTATCACCAAACTTTTGGTTTGTGGTGGTTTGGATAGTTATGGAAATGACTGATGTATATCATGGACCCTGACTTCTTTCCATTTATAAGGGACACCATCAGCTGGCACGCAAGGCAGCTTGGCACATATATAACCCCCATCTCCTCCTCCTTGGTGCCTATTCTCCACTTCCCCGATCTTTCTTTCCAACCTCCTTGCCACATAGAATAGTAGTTTACCAGCAGGAGGGAACCCCATCCTGTGACTGCTTCTATGCAAGAACACTGGATATAGAACAAAAAGTTGTCTACTCTTCAGTAGTTGTCAAGCCGAACCCAAGGTAAATGAGCCCTTCTCATCTTGTGGTGGGAATAACTCTCCAAGAGGTAGAGGGGAAGTTTAATTTGCTTTTAGTAAGAGCTAATCTGCAATTCCTCACTTTTCATTATAGCAAAGTAATTTTCAAAATATATCCTGCCATACCAAATACAGATCAAATGAAAGCAGAAAGCAGGACACTGCCTCCATTTATTTGTTGCAGTCTTTACTGAGCCTGGTGGAGGCTGAAGTCTGTCTTTTGCGCAGCAACTCACTACAACGTTTACCAGCACAATGCCATGTGATGGAAAGGGTTTTTAATCTAATTGTGGGTTTCCAGCCATATTTGAAAAGCAAAAATTTATGATTTTTTTTTCAATTAATCTATCTTGCAGTTTGGCAAACAAAGAACAACTTAACTTCTGCAAGACCATATTTGTTCCATTTTTCCTTGAAAATACACAATGTAATACCTCCAGTCTGCCTAATTAATTGGAAAATTTTTCCTTTTTCTTTCCCAGAGGCAGGCATACTTTCATTCTAAAACAAAAAGCTGTTAATGACTGAATCCAAATGCAACCCGAGTGTCTCCAAGAATATTTTAGATTATCTAGTGGTAACCTTTTTTGGACTGTACCAGCAGCTTAAAAGTTATGAATATGAGCTCCTACCAGTGTTTACCCAAGAAGCTACTTCAGTGCATTTTCATAGGTGACAGAACATTGTTCATGAGGTAAGCCTTCCAGCAGTATCAATTAGTGAGCATTTTAACTATGATGAACACACACAAGGTCTTGGCTCCCTTGACAACTAAGTCTGAAGCAATATTTTTTTTGATATATAGTTTTCCTATTATGGATATCTTGCAACCAAGAGCAGAATTCCAGTTCATACTCTTGACGACTGAAATGCCCTGATTCACTTATTGTACTACAGAATACCTATTCTATGTCAGAACTGTGCTAGGTACTGGGCTATTTGGGTATACCAGATAGCAGAGTTGCTCCAGTACCTAGGGACCTCTGAAAATAGAAAAACCTGACTTGTATTAACAAGGATTAATCAAGATTCTTCTCTGCCTTGGCCATCATGTCTGGCAGTTCTATGAAATGCTGCGATTGCCTATGGACTTAACTGTAATAAATTTGGAAAGAGAGCCACTGAGTCCCTGATTCATTCATTTATTTGAAATATTTGAGTACCAACTTTGGACCAGGCACTGTTCTAGGTCCCAGGGCCATTCTTCTTGCAGAACCTGCACTCCATATCCTTAAATTTAATAGCATTTTATCAAGATGATTTTCTACAGACTCAACAGAGGTTGAAAAGACCTCTGTTGTCTGAAGCCATGAACTGTTATTTGTACTGATTGTATTAGTGATATCTATTGGCACATATAGCATAAGGAAAAATCATTTAGGAAGCCATCCTTCTGCTTTCTGAGACTTATGGATGTATAGTTCCATTGACTGAGGCTTAGTTATGTGCCAGTGGAAATATCCAATTTGAAGACCGAAGCCAGTCCTGCAGAGTCACCAGAGGACTTCATCATGGGCAAGGCCATCTCTCTGCGAGGCCTCCAAGAGCTCCAGCTACCCCTGCTCCCAAACACACACGGGTCTGCTCCAGCACTGAAACATGGGATAGGAAGCTGTGACAAAGGCAGGAGGGCATTTAGTAGATGGATTACATTTGCAAATATCCCTTAAAAAGCAACAGGGAGCTTGAGGCTGATGGGCAATAATTTTTATTGCATTTATTATCATTCTGAGCAGAATAAAAAGTAATGTGAGAAACCCTGATTTATAAAAGGACTTTGCGATCACAGCAGTCTAAGTTCTCCTTCTGACTACACTGCCTGCCACCTGAGCATTCCAAGCAAACTCCTTCATCTCTGAGTCTCCATTCTCCTGTCTGTAACATGAAGACTATGGTGCCCACACCTTCGGGTTTTTCTGAGTAAGTCAAGAGAAAGTGCCTATCTTGGTGCCTCATACAAAGTAGGGGCTCAAATGTGTTACAAATCTGCCCCTTTCACACTTTATATAGTGTAACTTTGTGCCTTTATGGATGACTGAGAAGTAACACAGCATATCCACATCAGAGTTCCATAGCGTACAGTAATGTGAAAGTGTCAATATACTATTCACCCTATTCAATCATTCTACTAACTAATGACCATGTTCTGTGTGAAAGGCACTGTTTCAAGGAGGACAACTGACATCAAGATTTGTGTTATCACATAGTCATTTAATTCCAGATCTGTAATATTTTTAGGTAAAGCTTTGAATCAATTGCTTACCAAGGATATTTGAAGAAAAAAACAGATTTTCTTCTATACTTCCTATGTATGTCCAATTTCTTTTGTTTGTTTGTTTGTTTTGTTTTGCTTTTCTGAGACTGAGTCCTGCTCTGTTTCCCAGGCTGGAGTGCAGTGGTGCGATCTGGGCCCACTGCAACCTCCGCCTCCTGGGTACAAGTGATTCTCCTGCCTCAGCCTCCCAAGTAGCTGGGACTACAGGTGCGCGCCACCACGCCCAGCTAATTTTTGTATTTTTAGTAGAGACGGGGTTTCACCATGTTGGCCAGGATGGTCTCCATCTCTTGACCTTGTGATCTGCCCGCCTCGGCCTCCCAAAGTGCTGGGATTACAGGCGTGAGCCACTGCACCCGGCCTGTTCAATTTGTTTTTAAGAGGCAGGATTCCAATCTCACAGCTAGAAAATGTGGTATTCAGGGTAGCAGTTATAATACTGTAACTATATTTCTCAAGCCATAAATTGACATGTGGTCTGACAAGCATAAAGTGTACTTCTGGAGACAGTGGGATAGAATATTTGAAATCAGAACTGGAAAATTTGGGACATATGAAGGCTATAAATAGTGGGCAGAGACTGAGCTGGTTCCAGCAGAGACTCGATTCCTACTGAGAACCACATAATTAGCCAGCCCCCATTTGTTACACATATAAATACTGGTACATAAGACAGGCAATTTAAACCAGCAGAGTAAACAAGCCATGCCTGTGCCAGAGGGCCGCCTGTCACACACATTGTTGTTCCCAGAGGTCTGCAAAGCCCTGTGCAGGATGAAGCTGCCTTTGAGGAATTGACAATTCAGCTGGGAAAGAAAGCTAGCACACTGATATTGAGAGCTAAACACACCCACACACTGCAGTGTGTTCACTGACATGAAATGGTTAATCTTCATTGGCGCTTCCTTCTACAGGAGGGTGATTTTACACAGGAGATTTTAAGGCATCCATGCTTCTTCCCGGTGGGAGAAACTGCCTTTTGCTCAAATCCATCAAGAAGTCACTTCTCCTACCCAGGCTGACAAAACAATACTGGGATTAGAGCAAGATAGAGAGCTGGAGCTGGGAGTAGCAGCAGGCAGCAGGCACTTCACAGAGCATCTTTCAGGGGATTATCCTTCTTTTACCTTCACATTATTATTAGGAATAATGGATAGCATCTCTCTACAAAATATAAGAACCCTGATGCAAGACTTTGACTGTTCCAACACAGAATGACAATGAACAGGAAGTGTGTGGGGCACAAACTTATCAAAATAATGATCAAAACAATCCCCATGGTGAAACTATGAAGATGAAGGAGGTTGCTCGGAATGCTCTGGTGGCAGGCAGTGTAGTCATAGTTGGTACCTATCAGACACTCTAAGAGCCTTGAATGTGTCCTCTCTTAATCTCATCTTTTACAGGGAAGGGCATTGAGGCTGAGAGACATTAAGAGACACTTGCTCAAGTTCATACAACTTCCAGTAAACTGTACAGCCCCAAATTGAATCTAAGTCTTCCAACTCCATGATTCTAAACATAACACCCATGGCAAGAGGAAAAATTTTGTAAAAGGACTCATCCATTTCCAACGAAAGACCAGAGCAGAGACTATTCTTTCAGCCTTACAGCTCCTCACCACACAAGCATCAGAATCACTAAGGAACATCTTGGAAATATTGATGCTTGGGGCCCATCCTGCAATTTCTGATTCAGGGGCCTGAGCATGGGCCTGGGTCTCTGGATTTTGAAGAAGTTCCTCAGCCTATGCTGGTGATTTTCCTACAGACTTATTAAAAACTTTGACAAACCCAGTTCTATCTGGCTGAGCTTCCACTTATTTCTTAGTGAAAGGGATTACAAGTCTGCATCTAATGTTACTATTTAGTATTTGTTGGTTGCCAAGTATAAGTCCACCTCTGATGAACATGCAGGAATGGCCAAATAGCTCTAATTCCTTGGTAGTGGTTCAGGCATTCTCCAAAAAATTTTGAGTTTTTCATAAAATTCCATAAATTTCATAAAATTCTCTAGTTGATACCTAGAGATTTTATATTAGGTTGAGGTCTACTCTGGGTGACACATTCTTGACTACTGTAATAAACTAATATCAGAATAAGCCCAAACCAGGCTAAAGAGCACTCTCACAGAATGCACTCAGGATGGCCAAGTTTGTGAAAAAACTAGAGGCAAGAAACAGCAGCCAGGGGGTAGGTATAGCTATGCAAACACTGTGCAAACACAACTCAGGTGGCTTTTGCTAAATGGAATATATAAATTTAAACACATGGCATACATACATACTTCCACTAACATCAAATTCCAAGAATACTAATCTCTACAAATTACACAAAATAGGAAGGCAGATAGAATGAAGAAAATGAGTCCATTTCCAAAACCTTCATTTGAAAATTTTTGGTCTTCTACCACAGAGATGGGTACGAAAGAAAAACATTGGACCAAAATATTCAACTCCATATTTCTGTAAAGTTCAAACCTCAGAAGTTATCTATTCTTTAATGTCTTTAACTCCATTCCTACTGAAGAATGGAGTTAAACATGGTACACTGGACTCTTGGCTCAATGCTGGAAAAGAGAATGGTGCCAAGGACAACTTATATTTCTGACCTGTCTCTGCTGCTCAGTGGTTTAGGTAAAAGATTTGACCTCGATGCCTCCATTTCTCAATCTGAAAATCTGAGAGGAAGGAAGAGGAATGTTGGTAGATGAGAAGCACCACATTTGTACTATACTTATGCTCTAATTGCAAACTACCCACAGCTATGTATATTCTGTTTTATGTACTTTATAAGAGTCAGATGTGGAATTCCCTGTGGTGGTGGTTGGTTTAACTCTCTAGAAACTTGAAGGCAAGTAAGAACTAAAAAGAAACTCAAGAAATAGACCTTAAAAATTAAACATTTTGAATATTTTCCTTCCTAATTTGTTTTGTAAAGAAGTAGAGTGCAGACTCTCCTCAAAGGAGCGCTTTCAAGTGAATCATAATCACATGCATGTGCAAAGCCATCAGTGAAGTCTAGATGTGCAATTAAATGCCTAATTTTGCTTAAAGAGCCCTGCATTCTTTACTCCCTGACTACGCCCTCAGGAAAACACACAGTAGCCTTCTCTCTTGAGTACTGGTTCTTTAAAGTGTTTATATGCCATGAAAGTGCAACTATGTGCCCAATTAGGGGTGCAATTGCTGGACTGAAGCATGAAACTCAGCTTTAGCCCCTACCATGCTGGCTAATTCTCCAGATCCTGGTTACCAACCCAAAGGGTCATATTAGTCAGCTTCCTCTGTCATCCTGGGGCTCAGTGAGAAGCATTAGATTCTTTTATTCTTTGCCAGTCTTTGAAAGGGTATGAGGGAGAAACAGTCAAACCAATGATTTTATAGTGTTCTTTTAGAGGGATTTTATATATTCCTCAACTAAATGATTAAAAACTATCCTCAGATATTGCCCTGCTGATGTGGAGAGAGGTAAATATGGTAGGGAATAAGGAAAGAAAAATAGGAACTCTTCCTTTAATTCTGTCTCTTTCTACAAATCCTGATCAAGCCAATTTTCAGCCTGTTGAAGAGAGACTGTGGATTACCAAGATAGACCCACTGCTAGGGAACTATAGCATATGTTCTCAAAAGGTTGTGCAGTAAGAATTTGGAATATTCTCTATTTAAAAATCATAGATAAATCTCTTTCATTGAAGGTTTTATACTGGCCATCCCTTTCCTCAAGTAACTGCCAAATCAGGTCATGGCCAGTGGTGGAATGGGCTGGGTGAGAAAGATCAGCACCAGGGGTTAGACACCCCACTCCACAGGGCAACCAAGAAGAACAGCACCCAGTGGTAGATAAGAGGAAGAAGTCTAGACATGGAGGTGTGTACACAGATTTCTGAGGAGCAGGCAGCGAGAATAAGGGCAAGAAGAGGAGAACTGGTGCCAAGCAACATGTAACAGCCATGGGAGTGAGATGCAGAACTTCAAGCTCTAGGTAACCACTGGGAAATGGCTGACTTGGTTCCTTGTATTTCTTCTTTGGTTCCTCATATCCTTTAATTCCTTGTATTCAGCTTTTCCTCTGGGATTTCCTCTTGGCCATGAGAAACAAGACAAAAACCCAGGTTTTGGGACCTTTTGCCTAAACTTTTACTGTACTCCTACTATGTGTCAGGTGTTGATTATAGTAGTAGGTGTTGATAATATAACGGTAAACCAGTAGATGAAAGTAATAGTCAAGAGGAGATCTAATGAGATGCTTGGACTCAGGGCATCTATTACTTCTACAGACTCAGGGCATCTTTCAGCAGATTCCAAAGTCTAGGATGACATGTAAGTGATTTCAGTTAGAGGAATTCACGTTCTGTTGGAACAGAGCTCCAGCAGGCAAGTCTGGACCCTGAATTACTGGTGTATGTTTATTTCTCTTCCCTCTTGTTTGTCCAGGCTGCTGCATTTCTACATTCCCAGTCTTACTAAAAAAAAAAAAAAATTTTTTTTAACATGTCTTGCCTCATTTCTAGTTGGCAGAGCAAAAATTTCAGCTGTTGATATTTCATGCCTCACAATAAACCAGGGCTTGACTTCTCACTGGCAAGTTGTCCCCTATTGTGTGGTGGGCACACAGCTCTCTGGGCTTATCCTGCAGATTCTATTCTTGCTCTTGCCAGAATAGCTCTGTGTGACTCTGTCATGACTGAATCACGAGCCAAACCGTTGAAGTGGTGAAACGTCAGCGCCAGACCACTCAGAGAGATGAAGTTGTTATGTGCTTCAACATAAAAGACAAAGATTTATGAAGTAAATCAAAATAATTATTTGAAATTTATCCTTCTCATCAAAAATATGCCACCTTGGTATATAGTATTAATAATATGACAAGGATAAAAGATCATTGTCTTTCTTTTGATACTTGGAATTGTGAATAACAAATAAATATGATTTCTGTTGACAGAGAGGGAAGGGACAGGCTAGAAAGTGGCTTGCTTTTATGGAAATCAGTGAAGTGCTCGGCAAACCCTTTTGTTTTTGAAGGTTATAATTATTGGTTATTAGTGGATCTAACATTCATATGATTTTTTCCCAACTAAAATACTGAGTCATGATAGTTACGTGGCTTCCATTAAACTGGAGAAGACATAGAGCTGGAGAAATCCCACAGAGCTGAAACTTAACCAGTGTAATAGAAAATCTGTCCCACAAATGCCACAAGGCAGAATGCTAAAGTGGAGGTATTTAGTGCCTGGGAAGTCAGAACCATCTAGATCTCAATTCTGTCTTAAAACTTTACCCCACCTTAAATATCCAATGGGTTTAAAAGGACAGAGAAATACTTGGGGTACCTGATACACTATGACAAACAGGCAGCCAACAGCCCTAACACTGCCCCTAGCACGTCAAAGGCTTAACGCCAGCCACCTCCCTCCAGGTCTTCATTCTCTCTCCTTTATATATCATTCAGTCGTTTCCTACTGATCTCTCACTCTTAGTATTTCCTCTTCCTCACAGATGCATGTGTCAGAGTAATCTTCTAAAAGCCAGCTTCTGTTCATGGCACCCACTTGTCCAACGACCTCAAGGGCTCCTCTTTAATAATAGCAATTGTAGCATCCATCAGTTTACTAGGTTTCAATGCTGTGCCTTATTTTGATTTTCACAATGATCCTATAAGGCAGGGGATAGTTCTTCCATCCATTTGATAAACAGGCATGAACAAATCCTTACCAAAATAAGCAATGAGAAAACCAAAGACCAGAGAGTTTGAGCAATCTTGCTAAAATAAGCCCTCCTTTTAGCCTTTACACATAGATCTATCCAGTTTGAAAGGTGGGGATCTCTCTAGTCTTCCAGACTATCCCACTGGAAAAACACACACACACACACACACACACACACACACACACACACACACACTATTTCTTTGGCATACAAGGCCGTCCAGAATTTAGTTCTAATAGATATCTTCAGTTGGATCATCCCCACCCATATCCTTTGCTTTGGCCAGAAAAAAATTACATGAAGTTTCCTAGAAAAGTCCAGCCCATCCTTTGTCTGGACCTTTTATCCTAGTCTTACCTCCTAAAATGCTTCTGCCCATCTAAATTCTGCCCACCAGTTGTGAAATGCTAAGGCTAAAAATCTACCTTTGCCACCAAACCTTCCTCAAAAGCACACTGCACCACTAACACACCAACTAGAAGTGACTTCTCCCTCCTCTGCCTCACAAAGGGCCTTGTGACAGTCTCTCATGGAGTGTGTTTGTGACACGTATGAGCATGATCACAAGCTTTGAAGTCAGAGTTCAACTCCTTGTTTTTCCACTTACTACTTAAACCACAGGACTTTGTCCCTACATCATTGTCCTCTACCATTATAGGAATTCAATTACATAAAAAATGGAAAGTGCTCAGCACAACCTGCCAAGGAGCAAATTTTCAAATATATATCATTGTTATTCTTAAAATGATTCGTATCCATACATTATTTCTTCTGCTGATCATAAGGTTGTTTAAGAGGGGAACTACCTTACTCAGTCTTCCAGCCACGCTGTGCTTAGTGCTGCATGGTAAGGTTTGATGAATGAAAAATAGACATGATGGCACTTCCAATCTAACCTCAGAACATTTAGGCTGCAAAGGGATACCAAAATTCCATGTAATTATACAGTAAAATTGCAGCAAGTAAATAATGAGGCAGCAAGGGTTTAATGTGTTCCTGGGTTATTGTTGTGTCTACTTAACTCAGATGAGTAGGGTCCAAGGTCTATGAAGCCACCGTCACAGTTAAAGGAGAGATAAATGCTCCAAATGCACCTCCCACTCTCTGTACATGGATGAAGAAGAGCTTACCATGCTTGAGGAGAATGGCAGTAGCAGGAGAAGTGTCATAGGAGGAGGAGGAATGGCAGCTGATATTTATTGAGTATTTAAATAGGTACCTGACAGTAGCTTAAACATGTGTGTTAACTCATTGAATCCTCACGACGGTCATTTGAGATAGCCACTAGTCTCCCATTTTTAGATGAAGAAACTAAGGTAGAGAAAAGTTAAGTAACTTCTACAATCTCACAGGAAGTGGTAGAACAGGGATTTGAACCAGGGCCCTTGCATTCAATAGCTATCCTCTATATATCACAGGAGCAGTATGGACATTGTGCTGTTCCCTTCCACAGGATCAGTCCAGCCAGACCTCAGCAGAGAGAGCTGTGCCTGATCACCACTCACTGCGTTTACTGGGCTGCTTCCTCTAATAGATCCAAATGCCATAGAACCTGTGTTTTTACTCTGGGAAGGATAGAAAGAATATTGACATGAGATAGTAATATCTACTTTTAAAAGCCCATACTTACATGTTTGCAAAGTCAGTTTCAAGCCCATGAAGATGTCTGGGACAAAATGACCAACATGGGTAGAGCTACCGGTAAAACCCTGGCACTGTGAGCTTTCTGACGAGTTCGTGGGGGAGGCAAAGCAGGTACAAGCTGACACTAAACAATAAAGAGAAGCAGCCTTGCTCCTGGATTAATTCTTTCAGGAAAACAAATACAAGCAATTTGATGAAAGTGTCTTTAAAAGTTACCATTGCTTTAGGCATCTACAACTTGGACAATGAGCCCATTTATGTTGCAAAATTAATATTAAAATTGCTGCCTAAGCTAGTTAACATAATGAGAGTGCCTTCAGACTGAAACCATAAGAAAAAGAAATAGATCCACATAAAAGAAGCCCAGAATGGCTGAGACTATTCATTAGCATTGCTTTTACATAAATCACTCAATTCTTGAAGGGCCAGAGGCTACCATATTCTGAGGCATGAGGCTAATCAATTCAGGAGGAAGGAATTTTACAAACCTTTCTTGAGTTTGCCACATCCTAGGCTGTGGCAAATCTTTGCTGTTTCACTAAATATATAATAGGTAGACATTCTGCCTCAAGGATAGTCTGTGTGCCAGAGTGGATTCAATATGGTTTGGCTCTGTGTCCCCAACTGAATCTCATCTTGTAGCTCCCATAATTCCTGTGTGTTGTAGGAGGGACCCAGTGGGAGATGACTGAATCATGGGGGCAGGTCTTTCCCATGCTGTTCTTGTGATAGTGAATGGGTCTCAGGAGATCTGATGGTTTTAAAAACAGGGGTCTCCCTGCACAAGCTCTTTTTGCCTGCTGCCATCTATGTATGATGTGATTTGCTCATCCTTGCCTTCCTCCATGATTGTGAGGTTTCCGCAGACATATGGAACTGTGAGTTCTCCATTAAACCTCTTTCCTTTGTAAATCGCCTAGTCCCAGGTATGTCTTTATCAGCAGCATAAAAATGGACTAACACAGAGTTCATAGGATGAGTGCTTGGCTACCATTTCAAGCATGCAGAAAGAAGGCATTGTGCTGACAATTTCAGTCACTAATTTAGGTCAATTCCTTGACAAGCATTCTTTCATCCAATTGGCCCTAGAACATGCATTCCAAACAAGGGTGGTAAAGAGGGAGAAACTTCTTTGGACAATGAGAAAATTGTATTCTTTTTAAGTATAAAGCACAGATAAGCCAGGTACAGAGGCCCACGCCTGTAATCCCAACACTTTGGGAGGCCAAGGCAGGCGGATCACTTGAGGTCAGGAGTCAGGGCAGATCACTAGCTTGGCCAACATGGTGAAACCCAGTCTCTACTAAAAGTACAAAAATTAGCCAAGCATGGTGGCAGGTGCCAGTGATTGCAGCTACTCAAGAGGCTGAGGCAGGGGAAGTGCTTGAAACCAGGAGGTGGAGGTTGCAGTGAGCCAAGATCATGCCACTCCACTCCAGCCTGGGCAACAGTGCAAGACCGTCTCAAAAAAAATAATTAAAGCACAGATATACACTTAGTACATAGACAGATATATAGCATCTGCAGTATTAAAATTCCATAGTTGGTAGAATCATTAGGAAAAAAAGCATATCTATAAAAGCTCCTTAGCAGGAGCAAAAGTAAGAAAAAATGTTGAAAAGCCCTGCAATTGAAACTATGAAACAAAAAGAGATGATCATTCTGAGTAGCAGAGCTTATTGGGAAGTAACAAACATTTCATAGTCCTCAAAGACACACTTAAATAAGGAAGCTTTTTTTTTTTGTATTGTTTTCCCATTCACAATCAATAGGAAAGTTCATCTGGTCTCATGGGGTTTTGACCCCGTTTCATTATTTGCTTTAAATGTTGTAGTTCGAAGAACAGCAAAGATAGAGTGGGAAAGGCTGAGGATTTTGAGTAAGACAAATCGGTGTTTAAATCTTGGATTCTGGCACCAGCTCTGAATCTTTGAATGAGGTTCTTAATCTCCATAATATGTGTAATATACATAGATGGCAAATAAGCATATAAGATGCTCCATATCACATCATTTGTGTTATCAGGGAAACACAAATTAAAACAATGAAAAACCACTACACGCCTATTAGTATGGCCAAAATCTAGAAACATCTATCAGACTAGCCAAAGTCTGGAACACTGAATACCAAATGTTGGTGGGGATGTAGAGCAACAGGAACTCTCATTCATTGCTGGTTGGAATGCAAAATGGCACAGCCACTTTGGAAGACACTTTGTCAGTTTCTTAGAAAACTAAACATACTCTTACCATAAGACCCAGAAATCATGCTACTTGGTGTTTATCCAAAGGAACTGAAAACTGATTTTCACACAAAAATCTGCCCACAGATGTTTATAGCAGCTTTTATTCATAATTGCCCAAACTTGGAAGCAACTAAGATGTCCTTCAGTAGGTGAATGGATAAACAAACTACAATACCTCTAGACAATGGCCTATTATTCAGCACTTAAAAGAAATAAAGTATCAAGCCATGAAAAACGATGGAAGAATCTTATATATTACTAAGTGATATTACCAAAAGGCTATACACTGTATTATTCCAACTATGTGACATTCTGGGAGAGGCAAAATTATGGATACAGAAGAGGTCAGTGGTGGCCAGGTACTGGGGAGAGGAGGAGGGTTGAAGAGGCAGAACACGGATGATTTTTAGAGCAATGAAACTACTTTGTAAGATACTAAAAAAGGGGGGATACATATTATTATACATTCATCCAAATTCATAAAATGCACATCACCGAGAGTAAATCCTGATGTAAACTGTGGGCTTTGGGTGATTATGGCTATCAATGTAGGTGCAATTGTAATGAATATGCCCCTCCAGTGGGGGATGTTGATATCAATAATTAGGGAGGCTATGCATGTAAGGGAAATCTCTCTACCTGCCTCTTAATTTAGGTTCCTTATTTGCTGTGAACCTAAAACTGCTCTAAAATAAAAGGAAGCATGTAGACATTTAAAAGTGCATAACTTATTACAAAGCATAAAAGTCCAAAAGATAATCCTCAGATTTCTTAGATCTCCATGAACTGACTTTGTTCAGGTTTTTTTTTAATGATACAATGTACTTTTGCCTACTCCCCAAAGGTGATAATTGTTTAGCTTTTAAATGTTAAAAAATTAAATATTTTTCATAATTATTTCTCACATTTTATCATGACCTCTAAGAAGTTCTGTTTCTAACAGGAAAATTGTGCTAAATAAAATAATTGACCTATGTGGCCATAGATCTAGAAATAAAAATATTTATCTAAACATTATGTGGAAAATAGAATAAAAATTTCCCTGTCGTGTTGGTTGACTGACCAAAAGGGACATCATTAATCACTTTGTGCATGGTTTTGGAGACTTCTAGTATGTGAGACAGCCTCAAAACAAAATTAGCTGGCATATTTTTTTCATTCAGTCACAATACAAAAATATTTACACACTTGCACCTCCAAATTAATAATATGTTGTACATTTCCTGAGGAAACAAGTTGCATCCCTTACAGTTTCTGGATACCCATCCAGTGATAATGTGATGATGATGATGATGATAATAATGATGATGATGGGGGTGCTCACTTGCTCTTGAGTGTTAAAAAATAACTATTGATGGTTGGGCACGGTGGCTCACGCCTGTAATCACAGCACTTTGGGAGGCCGAGGCAGGCGGATCATGAGGTCAGGAGATAGAGACCATCCTGGCTAACATGGTAAAACCCCGTCTCTACTAAAAAAAAATACAAAAAATTAGCCAGGCGTAGTGTTAGGCACCTGTAGTCCCAGCTATGCGGGAGGCTGAGGCAGGAGAATGGTGTGAACCCGGGAGGCGGAGCTTGCAGTGAGTGGAGATGCGCCACTGCACTCCGGCCTGGGTGACAGAGCGAGACTCCATCTCAAATTAAGAAAAGAAAAAACAAAACAAAACAAAAAACTACTGATTAGATAGCAGCTAATAGCTGAAGTGAAAACATAAAAATCGAAAGATTGATGGTAGTTTTGCACTTTAAAATGTGTCTCTTAGCCATGCAAGTGGCTTACACCTGTAACCCCAGCAATTTGGGAGGCTGCGGCAAGAGGATAGCTTGAGCCCAGGAGTTTGAGACCAGTGTGGGCAACGTGGTGGTGGGGGGGGGTACTCATCTCTGCTTATCAAAAAGATTAATCAATAAATAAAATTTATCTCTTAAAGATTTAAAATTCCTCTAGGGCTTAGAGTAAGAAAGCCATCATGGTGAAATTGGAAGTAGTAGAATCGATTGTCTGAAGCATGCAGCCTTACCTAAAATTTCCCCAAATTACCGCATGTTTGTAGCCTCCTATTAGCAGGATGGTGCTGAGTACCTTGGAAATTTTCCTCCTAACTGGAAATACCTCTAATCCAAACAGGATCCCATAGAGGGAAGCCTACTTCCAAACGCCACAGCTGGAACCAGAACTTCTTCCAGAGACTGGTCAGCACCCCTGTAATCCTGGTCCTGGTTCCTAGAGAAGCTGACAACCAGATAGAGCCAGAAATGCCACTGCCATGGCAGCCTGTCAGCGGCTACAGGAGATATAGAAGTCTACCTGGCTCATCTTTATGCTGGACCTGGGGATAGTGCTTCTCTGGAGTTTCTTCATGGTCTCCACCAAGTACTTCACAAACCACCTGGACCATTCCAAAATGTATTGTACATTATGTTTAGCTTAGCAGGTATGCCCAAGGCCTTGTCTACTTCCTTGGTGCCCTGTGTGGGGTAGACATTCCTTGTACCATCTCTAAACATGTCCTGACCCTATGTGTTACACTGTTTTTGTTTGTTTGTTTGTTTGTTTGTTTGTTTGTTTTGTGAGATGGAGTTTCACTCTTGTTGCCCAGGCTGGAGTGCAATGGCGTGATCTCGGCTCACCACAACCTCCACCTCCTGGGTTCAAGCAATTCTCCTGCCTCAGCCTTCTGAGTAGCTGGGATTACAGGCATGCACCACCATGCCCAATTAATTTTGTATTTTTAGTAGAGATGGAGTTTCTCCATGTTGGTCAGGCTGGTCTCGAACTCCCAACCTCAGGTGATCTGCCTGCTTCGGCCTCCCAAAGTGCTGGGATTATAGGCGTGAGCCACCGAGCCCGGCCTACACTGTTCTTTTCTTGCCTCAACTGCTTCCTTCTCAAGAAAATGCCCTAGTTCCTGAGGACTCTAAAGCCCCAGTGGCCATCCTAGTGTTGTGAGTACTCACAGCCATCCTGGTGAAAGGGCAGCCGGAAGTCTGTGCTTTGGTACCGTCTCCATCATCACCTTGTTCAGGGCCATCCTGCAGGACCACTGCATGGCCTCCACGTCATGAGTGGCTAGCACCTGGCAGAGATAGTCACATTCCTGGCCATGATCAGGTTGGTATGGTTTTTTTCTCCTGATCACCTGCTGGTTCCAGGCTGGAATTCTACTGCTACAAAGAGCAGCACAGGGTCAAAGGCCCTAGAGAACAGATAGTAGAGATGGGCCTTATCTGTCCAGGAGACTCAGGTGTTGACAGAAAGGAGCATGAGATTTCAGCTCCATTCAGCAGCCTTTCTTCAAGAGCTCATAATGATGGCTGATTCAGCCAGGGTTCTCCAAAGATACAGAATCAATTGGAGGTTTTATACACATAAAAAGTATTAAGAAATTGGCTAATATGATCATGAGGTCTGGCAAATCAAAATTCGTAGGTCAGTCCAGCAGACAAGAAACTCAGGGAGGACTTTCATGTTATAGTCTTGAAGCAGAATTCCTTCTTCTCTGGGAAACCTGAGTTTTTGCCCTTAAGACCTTCAACTGATTGGATGAGACCAGCCCCCTCAATCGAAAGTAATCTTTACTTAAAACAAGTGATCATAGATGTTTATGTTAATCACATCTATAAAATATTTTCACAACACCCAGACTAGTGTTTGCCCAAACAACTGCTCGCCATAGTCGAGCTAAGTTGACACATGCAATTAAACCATCACAATGGCCATCCTCAGGAACATCACTACTCTATCAGCTTTGTCCTTGCTGCTACCATTGAAGCCCTCCAGGCTGGAACCACTGAGATTATTTCTGGCATCATAGTAGTGCCTGAGTAATTACTTTGTAAAAATGAAGCAGATTGGCCATGGAATGAAAAGTCCACGTGGGGACTTAACAAGCCAGAGATGAAGAATAAGAATCTGTTGATACTTCTCTGTATTTGTCCAGTGAGGTACAGCTGTAAAAGAATCTTGTGGACATGAGCAGTCAGTGGCAGAAAAGTGCATGCTTTGGCATAAGGCAGGATAGGTCAAATGTGTCCTATCACAGCATTAAGGAAATGTCCTTCAAGAACTTCTCTGGTTTCATTCTCACCAGGAAGGCCCTTTGACCCTGGGAGGCAGAATTCCTGGATAGTCAACAAGAATATCTGTTCCCACAAAAATATATGCAGTCATAAGAAACTAGTAAATACATTTCCCTGTACGGGTCAATTAAATATGTATTTAACTAGAATTCTGACAAATACTCCAAGACTTCACTGTCCCCAAATGCACTGATTATTAAAGTTCTAAACTTCCACAAGAAAATGCACCTAGTATGAGCCACCAATATTACCCAATTTTACTACAAAAAGTATGGGGAAGGAGATTCCCTAAACTCATCAGAACTAATTAAACTTATTCTATTTTCATGAATAATTATGTGTTGCTTAACAACGAGAATACATTCTGTGAAATACATCATTAGACAATTTTGTCAGTGTGAAAACACTGTAGAGTGTACTTACACAAACCTAGATGGTACAGCCTACCACACTACTCATCTAAGCTAGCTGGTATATCCTATTGCTCTTAGGCTACAAACCTGCACAGTATGTTACTGTACTGAATACAGTAGCCAATTATAACACAATAATATTTGTATATCTAAACATAGAAAAGGTACAGTAAAAACAGGATAAAAGATTTGAAATGTTACACCTGGATAGAGCACTCACTACAAATAGAGCTTGCAGGACAGGCAGTTGCTCTGGGTAAGTCAGTGAGCTGTAGACTTTTTAAATACGATATACTTCAGCTGTATGGCATTTATTAATTTTCTTTAATAATAAATTAAACTTAGGTTACTGCAACTTTCTCACTTTATAAGCTTAAACGTTTTTAGAACTTTGATACTTTTGTATTAATACTTAGGATAAACTACACATTTTACAGCTGTACAAAAAATATTTTCTTTATTTCCTTCTATAAGCTGTTTTTTATTAAAGAGCTTTTTTTTTTTAGATTTTTTTCTTTAAAAACAAAGACACAGACACATTAACCCAGGCCTACACAGGGCCAGGATCATCAATATTACAGTCTTCCACTTTCACATCTTGTCCCTCTGGAGGGTCATCAGGGGCAATAATACGCATGCAGCCATCATCTCCTCTGATGACAATGCCTTCTTCTGGAGACCTCCTGAAGGACCTGCCTGAGGCTATTTTACAGTTAGCTTCATATGTGTATATATATATGTGTACATATACATGTACATGCATGTGTGTATATATATGTACATATACATGTACATGCATGTGTGTACATATATGTAAAATAAAGTTTTATACATATATACGTGTATATGTGTATATGTATGGAGTATACTCAAATAATTATAAAAAGTAAACAAACCATGATAGTCATGTATTATCATAATCACGTTTTTATGCTGTATATAATTGTATGTGCTATATTTTCATGACTAGCAGTGCAGTAGGTTTGTTTACAGCAGCATTACCACCAACACATGAGTAATATGTCATGCCACTATGTTATGAAGGCTACAATGTCGTTAGGTGATAGGAATTTTTCAGCTCCATCATAATCTTACAGGACTGCTATGTGGTCCTTTGTTTACTAAAATGTCATTATGTGACATGTGACTGTATTTAATTTCATTTGTTTATTCATTCCGTACTCCCTTTCCTACTCATAAGTTGTCTCATCCAGACTAAGATTAACTTCCCCCAAAAAATATAAAGCTGTCTAGGCTATCCTGAGCCATTCACCCGTCTAGTCAGTCTGGAATTTATCTTTTAATCTTAGCACTTGGTTCTGTCTTAGCTGGTAACCATGCAAAGCTATATGCAAGTTGAGTCCTGCAAAAAGGCACTTGGGCCAAGTGATCCAGAGAGGAGGCTGAAATCCAGCCAGACAGTGCTCCACTTGCTTAAGTCATGTGACCAGCCATGGGCTTTATCAGCTGCCAGCCAGTGCCCTTTTTCTAACTGGTCTTCCCAGAGCAGATACCTTTCTCTAATTAGTGCAAAGTTCCTGGTGAGCTGGCAATGGCTGTACCCTGCATTCCACCCCACTTTCCACCTACTTTAAAGCAGGCAGTCTCTTTAATAGGTCAGCCACATCTCCACTGACTAAGGCACCATTTCTGTGAGTGGATTTTCCCTGGAATCTAATGGACAGACACAGTACCCACATCATTACTTAATTCTGTGGTTCTAAACAGTACCACCCAAAGGAGCAATTTGAAAATTTGTGGTGGTAGCTTTTGGGTTCTCACAGTAATTAGGAGCAGTACTGTCTTCAGCGAGCAGATGCCAGTTCCTCTGCAGTGTCTAGAGTAGTCCAGCACAATGGATAATCATCCCTCATCCTGCATGACTTTCAAATGTCCTGTCCATTTTCACAGAGATGAAAAATTCATTCACATGATACTTAATATATGTCTACTGTGTGCTAAGCACTGTTTCAGGTGGTCTGGGTGAATAACATTCTCTGCTCTCTGGGACCTATAAAAACATATTTTAATTTTCTGAGCCTGGAACTTAACTCAGTTTTACATTGAGCAGAAAGTTATTTTGCATTGTTTTAAAATACGATAGTATGTTTTTCTTAAATGCAACCACCATGCAAATCAAGGGAAGATTGTAATTTTTGTTCGGAGGTCCACCAAGAATTGCTCACTATATCAGAAAACCACATCATTAGTTGCATCACTCCTCATGACAGCTACACCACCAGGATAACACATCTATTCAGTCCATGTTTGTAGCTGCAGCATTGACAGAGACCCTAGGACCAGACAAACATTTGACTCCATTAAGCTCTCTCACATAGCCGTGTTCAGACATTTAAATTCAGAAAGAGATTTGTTTTATTGTAAATGGCTTTCCTTTAGAGTTTCAGCTACATTTTAGTTAGAGTATTATATTATTGTTGTTGTTGTTTTAATGTGTGTGTGGTTGATTATACTATCAATGAATCTTACTTCAAGATGGCAAATGTGATGTAATGTACCTTTCTTCCAAGGGGTGGGGGGTGGTCACTGCATCTAAGTTGAAATCAACTCCTTGAACATTTAAATACCTAGCCTTGGCTGGGCATGGTAGCTCACGCCTGTAATCCCAACACTTTGGGAGGCCAAGGTGGGTGGATCACTTGAGGTCAGGAGTTTCAGACCAGCCTGGCCAACATGAAGAAACCCCGTCTCTACTAAACATACAAAAAAATTAGCTGGGCATGATGGTGCACACCTGTATTCCCGGCTATTCAGGAGGCTGAGACAGGAGAATCATTTGAACCCAGGAGGCGGAGGTTGCAGTGAGCTAAGATCGCCCCACTGCACTCCAGCCTGGGTGACAGAGTGAGACTCCATCTCAAAAAACAAAAAGGAAAAAAGAGAGGAAATTAAGTGTATATATATTTATTTTTAAATAAAAACATTAAAAAATTTTTTAGTTTTAAATTATTTTGCTTATTTATTTTTGAGAGACAGGATCTCACTCTGTTGCCCAGGCTGGTCTCAAACTCCTTAGTTCAAAAGATCCCCCCACCTTGGCCTCCTAAAGTGCTGGGATTACAGGCATAAGCCACTGTGCTCAGCCCTGTCCTTCTCTTTTGATAGCCTATTAAATACTGTGATATAAAATTCAGTATTAATAAATTCATGCTAGATGATAAGGGTATAAGCAAAAGAAGAAAATAAAAATATTTACTATATACAAACATATTGATTAAAACAATAAGGAAGAAATACTTATAACCACTACCAGCAATAATGTTCTCAACTCTGAGAATAGCAAGGACCACCTTACAAGGTTGCTAGAGGAATTAAGTGATGTGATATATTACAAGCACTATATCCTAAATATCAGCTGCAGCAGTATTAGTATTATTCTGGGCAGGAACTCATAATGGTATTAAGATGAGGATTGTGACTCAGAAGATGGCAACAGTGAGTCTGTGATGTAGGAGTTAAAAGGAAATTAAAAAATGGTTGTCTCTGGAAAAAAAGAAATAAAACCATGCTGAAACATACCAGGTTCATGAATAGGAAGACTGAATACTGAAAAGATCCAAATTATTTCTACGGTGTAAGAGAGAGGAAGACCCTTTTAGGGAGCAAAGCTGTCTTTTGATAAGCAATGAAATAACATCTCTAGTGGTGAGTAATGAAGCCTCTTTCTTCCCCTTCCCCACTCATCCCTCTCCACTAACCCAGAGAGAACCCTGATTTAAAATTGAGGGAAGGTGAATAAAGAGACCAGAAAACATGAAGGATCTTGGGGCAGGTGGAACTATGTGCAGCAAAACAGGCAAGAAGTTGTTCTTGGAGACACAAATAGCTGAGAGTTTTAATTGCACTTGCTGGAACTCATCCAAGTAGTCCCTGAAAATTGGTTTATTTTATAATATGAAAATTATATCTCAATAAGGCTGATTTTTTAAAATGATGTGTATATTATGATTTAATTTTTATAAAACACAATATGCTTAGAAAAACCTGGAAAAAAATATCAAAATATTAGCCATGGTTATTTCTCAATAGTAGGATCATATGTTATTTATTTCAAACAGTCTTGTACTTTCCGGTTCTTATGATAAGTGGACTGATTTTTAATAATTGGAAAAAGTAAAATCTTTCTAAAAGAGAACCATTTTCCAATAAGCTCATGCTCAGTTCAGAACAGTGCTAACTACTTAAAACCTACTGATTTCATATTCCTATCCATTCACGTGAAATTATCCAGCTATTGTTTAGGTTGTTCCAGTTTTCTTCAGAACCTCTGTTCATCTTTGAATTTAAATACAAATAAAGTGGGTGAATGTGTCAGTAGCAAAAATAGCATTTGCTGGTCTTGAGGTAGAAAGGGCAACAAATGGAAAGAGTCAAGACTCAGGTTTCCCGACTGCTCTGCTAAAGAATTCACTGTGTGGCCTTTGGTGAGGCACTTCCCCTCCAGGCTGCAGCTTCTTCAGCTGTAAAATGAGGGCTGTGAACCAGATCATCTCTAAGGGCCCATCTAGGACTGACATCCCACCATTTTATGTGCCCCTTTGGGGAGGAAGAGAAAGAAAAGCAAAGGTATGTTGCTGAGTCATCTCATCATGCACCGTGATAGAAATCACACCTCAGACTTTTCTCTATCGCTGTATTTATCATCTCACCCTCTCAGCCTTCATTCTGTTGATGATCATCTAGCAGTAAAACTTATTTTTCACTCCCAACACTACAGCTATTCCGGCTGTTACTCCAGATAGTTCAATCCTTATTGGTATCTCATTTTGCTCTGGCTCCCAATGGGGGTCTAAATATTTCCCTCTCTCAATTCCAACTTGTTCCAGCAAACCTTCTACCCCCTCTTTTGTTGAGAGCTCAGCCAAACCCTCCCATGGGCCTCCTTGCTATTAATAAATGTACATGGAACAGCATCCATGCTGATCCTACTTCAGCTCTTATAAATCTTAATGCCCTGAAATCTTAATGTAATCACACTCATTTTAAGAACTACAGTCATTTGTCCTTGGCTCAATTTTCCCAGAAATGACTGGCACAGGAAGCTTTTTCGTAAGGGCAGTTGGCTGAAGGCTCACTTGGCGGGTCTTGGGGAATCATTTCAGTTACAGTTTTGTCTGCCAAGTCTGTATTCCCTGCTGACCCAGTTTGGATTTCAAATTTCCATCAAGACCACCTGTCTGGTGTTAATTAGTTATGGTTTCTTGTTTTATATGCAAACTTGTTTTAACGTCCATGAACTGGCATAACCATCTTGGGCTACTCCCCCAGTTCTACTGTACAAGCAGCATTCTTAGCTGACCCAGCCACTCATACTCAAATAACATGCCATAGCCAGGATGGCAGAGTATTCGGCAAAAATCTGAGGATGAGGATTGCAAAATCCAAGTAACTCCCAATTTGCATTTTTCTTCTATTGGTTTTTCAAAATTCTTGAATTCATAATTTAGGACAACTCTTTCTTATCCCCCACCCCACACATGTGCCCTACACTCTCTAGTAATGGACATAGGAGAAACTTAGAGAGTCACACAAACCTGTCGCTTTTAAGTTACCCTAGATATCTCTATAGTTTTCACCCATTTGTAGGGTATTTACCAATTGCTGATTATTAAGTCAAATCAATGGCTTTCTATTACTTTACCAGGAAATGGGGTAGGATATATTTTCAGACTTACTAGCTTTCCTATAGTGTAGGAAGATCAAAGGCAAAAGTTACTTTCCTCCACTGGTGTGATCATGCTTTCAGAAGACATATTCTGACCAGATAACTTTCAAAGATTTATTCTAAATTTTTCTTTAACCCATGGTACAAAAGCAAACATAATCTCATTAAAATGGTGAACATAACAGCCTAGAAGAAAAAGATCTCACATTGACACATAAATGAACAAAACCTTTGAAAAGTATGAGAATCCTTTTTTCTCAGGTGTCAAAAAATGAAAATTGAAGGCCAGGTGTGGTGGCTCATGCCTGTAATTCCAGCACTTTGGGAAGCTGAAGTGGCAGGAACACTTGAGCCCAGGACTTCAAGACCAGCCTGGCCAACAGGCTGGTGAAACCCTGTCTCTACTAAAAAATACAAAAATTAGCTGTGCATGGTGGTGCATGCCTATAATCCCAGCTACTCAGGAGGTGATATGATTTGCCTGTGTCCCCACCCAAATCTCATCTTGAATTCCGACATGTTGTGGGAGGGACCTGTTGGGAGATAATTGAATCATGGGGGCAGGTTTTTCCCATGCTGTCCTCATAATAGTGGATAAGTCTCACGAGATTTGTTAGTTTTAAAAAGGAGAGTTTTCCCCGCACAAGCTCTCTTCTCTTGTCTGCTGCCATGTGAGATGTACCTTTCACATTCTGCCATGATTGTGAGGCCTCCCCAGCCATATGGAACTGTAAGTCCATTAAACCTCTTTTTTTGATAAATTGCCCAATCTCAGGTACGTCTTTATCAGCAGCATGAAAACGAACTAATACAGGAGGCTAGGGCATGAGAATTGCTTGAACCAAGGAGGTGGAGGTTGCAATAAGCCAAGATGGCACCACTGCACTCCAGTCTGGGTGATTAGGTCATGACAATGAAGCCCTCATGAATGGGATTAGTGCCCTTATAAAAGGGACTGCAGAGAGAGCCCCACCCCTTTCATCATGTGAGGTTACAGAGAAAAGACAGTCATCAAGGAAGCAGGCCCTCACCAGACACTGACTTTGCTGGTGCCTTGATCTTGGACTTCCCAGCCTCCAGAACTGTGAGAAAGAAATTTCTGTTGTTTACAAGCCACCCAGTTTATGATATTTTGTCATAGCAGCCCAAATAGACTAAGATATTGTGATTTTAAATTCAGTAGTTTTCACATAATTTTTGAACAACATAAATGGAGGTCAAAAAAATTAACTTACATTGTTCTCATTTTTATATTTACTTAAATCGCCTGCCATAGAAATTCCTCATGGCATTTAGAAATGTCCATGTAGAGAAGTGACAAGAAAAGTCATCTTCACAAAAATGTTGCTTTTTTTTCATGTATGCTAGACTATCTGATTTTATGTTCTACAGTGCCAATGACTAAATCCAGGACTAAAGTGGCTGGAAAGACAGGGTATGGAATTACTTTTCTGTCATAATTTAATGGACAATTTTCTGGGTGCTAAGTATTAAATGGTTTTAGGAAATGATGAATAGCACCAGGCTCAAGAATTGGAAGGATTCCATTTCTCCAATTGCTCTTGTTTTGGATCCACAAATAACCAGGGATTAGCTGGCAACAGGAAAAGCCATTGGCCAAGGCAACCTCATCTTCCCCTCTGGGGAGAACCCAGACACATATCCACAGGACGCCCCTGGATGAAGAAGTAAAGCAGCTGTGACATGCAGGTAAGATCACTCTGCTGGACCCGAGTCCACTGGAAAAAAGCTAGTTTGGTGCTAGATGATAAACATAAATATATTCTTATCTAAAGGCAAATGCTCTTTTGTCTTGAACATAAATGAATTATAAAATGTAGTTTCCTGAGCAACTTTTTGGGGGGTAAAAATACTAACATGCCCTAGATAATATAGTTCATATGTGTTTTCATATATCATGCATGCTAATTCATAATATGTAATTTATACATTATGCATATTAATAAATTATACATTCTTCTAGAGGTAATTATAGATTTTGCTAAACAATTACTTACACTATATTGTAACCAATAGTACTGGTTAGATGTAGCTATAAAAATTCCCAGCACGGAAGCTGTTTTTAACCTATCAGAATCTATATTGATCCCTTTAATAAGATTTTTTTAAAGCAATGCTGGTATGATTGGAGAGGAAAAGAGCTATTCAGTTCAAATTATAGTATTAAATACCTTCACTTAATCAATATTCTCTTCAAGGACAGATATATTTGCTTACTTTCACGAGAAGCAATTGAACATAATTCTGTTGCCATATGCCAGGTACAGTTGTCTGACACATCCATTTTTTTGCTACTCCTGCTGCTCTGAGCTAAATTCTTTTACCTTCTGAGAACTGACCAAATTTTCCTTTTTAAGATGTTCCTTGCCTTTGTAATAATCATTTTTCTGTTAATTTCCCTCTTAAATCACTTTAATATACTGATTTCAAACTTTATAAATTTATAATTTTTGCCTCCCTCAAATCAAAGGCCAATCTGTCATTTACATAACAAAAGTGTTACGTTTATGTTTGGATCCTATTTACCTTCCTATTACATCAAGGAGTATCAGGTTTGTTACTTTAAAAATATCATTCTTTATAAGCATGTTATTTTCAAGTTTTGAATCATTAAATATTTTGTTTCATACTTTGCTTGAAAGTATGAGGCAAATAGTTAATTTGTCATGAAGAAGCTGCTATTTGACTTAAGTTCAACTTGTATTTCAAAACTTTCAGATTAAAAATATCATACTCCATTAAGAGGCTGCCTGGATGGATGGATGGAGAAATAGATGGATATCTCTTTTTAAAATACAGCAGATTCGGTAAACAAAAAGAAAGTATAGTTAAGAAACTCCAAGAGCTATATGAATATGTTATTCAACATTAATTGAATATTGATGAAGAAGGAAGAGGAAGCTAGAAGAATATACTATTGGCTAAAAGTAGGATAATCATAGCATTCATAATTTTAGCTTTATGGATGGGGAAAAAAAGAGAGGAGAAGCCACTTGCTATAGATAAGAATTCTTTGTTAGCCATAAGGAGACCAGTTAACTGATGACAGCAATAAATAGCATTAAAAAGCCAACCAGCAGTAAAACTACAAAGTAGTAATTACAGCACTATGAGAACGTCAAGTATCTGGCAAGAATCTTTGACTAGGATCCAAGCTTGACACTCAAAGTGATTACTGATTCGTACAATAATATTTGTGTTTCTTTAATTCTTGGTCTGGAACTATATAGTATCTCTGAATTTCTAATTATAATAAGCTGTTAAATATTTAAATTTTCTTAATGAAGAATTTTATTTTTATACCAAAATGAAAACAGACTAGGTGTTGTTTTAAGTCTGTTGCCTGGCCACACTTGAGGAAGCCCTAGCACTTTTGCGTGTGTGTTCTAACCCGATGTACTATATGTACATAGGTAACACATGAACTGCAGGTAAAACATCTAGGGGGATTCGACGGTCTCCAAATGAGCTGGCTTTATGGGACAGCAAATTTTAATGACAGACAAATAAAAGAAGGAATAAACTCATACTATTTTCAATGAGACAGCAATCTGCAAATTTTTCTGTTTTTCAATGCTAGTTAAATCTTCTGGGCAACAGAGCAAGACTCCATCTCAAACAGAATAATCGAACAATTCTTCAGGAACCCGATCTCAGTGCTGTACGTCATACATATAATCCAAATGCTTATATCAATAAAAATCCAGGTAATATGCTTTATACCTAACAAAGTGGTCTCGATTTCTGTAAAACCTAAAGCAATTTCATAAAAGTCACTATTGTTGGGACTTAGGGTAGTTTTATGCTACAAAAAATATAGGGCTTTTGAAAATAAAAAAGATTAAAAAATCAGAATTACTTTTAAATATCCAAAAGTTTAGATGCAATATATAGCAATTATTTCTGAATGCTACTTAGAAAAGCAAAACTATGTCCTGTTCTGTCTGCCTTCTTTCTGCCCTACCCACCACTATCTCTCACTTTTTCATTCATCCATGGAGCCTGTCTTTAAACATTTAATACCCTGGTTTATAGGACAAGTTAGAGTGAGAAACACTGGTAGCAGCAAAAAGCTAAAACATCTAGGATGCTGTAAAAGGTATATAGCTTCTTTATCTATGTTCAGGGAAAACAGAGAAAAAACAATGAATTCCGAGCACTACTTAGTTGTCAAAAAAGCAACTCATCCAAATTAATTGTGTCATATTGAATACAACAAATACACCATTGTCACTTCTTAATTGTCACTTATGTCACACAGAATAAGACTCCAAAATTTGGCTTAAGCTTTAGATGGCCTTTCATTAAGAAAAACAGTATTTATAAATTTAACAAACACAATTCCACCACATACAGAATTTTCTACTGTCTTTTAAAAATGGCTTAAAAAAAAAGAGAATGTCTCATGCCTCTAGATTACGAAGCATTAAAAAACCTATTTTCCCTCACATTTTTATTGATTAAAAATAAAACCATAGTTTTGATCAGCTTTAATAATAAACAGGCCAGGCATTACAGCTCATACCTATAATCCCAGCACTTGGGGAGGCTAAGGTGGGAGGATCATGTGAGCCCAGGAGTTCGAGACCAGCCTGAGCAAGATGGCGAGACCGTGTCCCTACAAAAAAATTTTTTAAAAACATTAGCTGGGCATGATGGCATGCGACGATACTTCCAAATACTTGGGAGGCTGAGGCAGGAAGGATTCCTTGAGCCCAGGGGTTCAAGGCTGCAGTCTGCTGTGATTGCACCAATGTATTCCAGCCTAAGTGACAGAGCAAGACTGTCTCAAATAATAATAATAATAATTTTTTTCAGGAACCTGATCTCAATGCTCTACCTTATATATACAATCCAAATGCTTATATCAATAAAAATCCAGGTAATATGCTTTATACATAACAAATTGACATAAGATTTCTGTAAAACCTAAAGCAATTTCATAAAAGTCACTGTTGGGATTTCGGATGGTTTTATGCTTTTCTTCTATTAATCCTCTGGTGGGTGGATCTATCTTTTTATGTGAAATGCATGAAAAATATTTGACTGGTTATCAATTCATTATGAAAGTAGTTACATGGTTTTTCCAATGAGGTTAGACCAAAATGATTTTGGAATTTTCAGAATTTGCAGAAATGGAAAGAAGCCTGACCAAATTTGAATTTGCTCAAGGAATAAGAAGAGAGACTGGATGCCATTCTGAAATGTGTGTGCCTGTGTGCTTGCCAGGCTCTCTTCTGCTTGCCAGCTGCTAAGTCTCCCAAAATGTCATCCAAACTTGATTAAAGACAGCTTCCTCCAAACTCACTCTTTTAAGTCTTCATAATAAAAAAGGGTAAATTCTTCAATATTGTTAACAGAAATGTAAAATAACCAGAGCAAGGTGAAAGTTTGAGGCTAATTTCTCTTTAGGTGAGCAGTAGAGTTTCTACCTGTCATTACCACCAGGGTACATAGCAGGTACTCAAAAAAAAAAAAAAAAAAAAAAGTAATGGTTATTTTTACCATTTTTTCCTTAACCATCTTATTAAACAAACAGTTACTCTCACAATTTAGCACTCCTATAATGTCAGGCTAAAACCTAGATGGATTAACCACATTGGTGCCACAGATCATTTTAGAAGAAATCGAACAAAGGCTGCAGAAGCAGCATGATATGAACGGTGCAGGGCATTGTTAGATGGTGCCAAGCTCCACTGGATGCCTGACAGTGCCATCAGTGAGGGCTACAACAACGTCAGAGCCCTTCCAGAGGCTCACAGTTGGATGAGAAGGCAGACCTATAAACAATTATTATGCAAGAAGCTCTGAAACAAAGGAACCCATGACATTTCTTAGCGTCATTGAGAAAAGAAAAGTTACCAGAGTGGTGGATGGGTGGCAGGTGAGGCAGCTGAGGCTTGGAGGATGAAAACAGCTCTTCAGCTGAACAGGAAACCAAAAGATAAAGGAGACAGTAGTCACAATGGAAACAAGGCACAGAAACTGAAATCAAAATTTCCTCATGAAAGGGTAAGCCTTATCTTTGCCTAGATTATTGTAGGGCTATCTATACAGCCTCTGGGGTCCCTAAGTTCAGTGTCCCTCCATAGTGATGCCAACTCACATATGTATAGCCCCCACCTGAAGCACTCCATGGTGTCTCTGTGGGACTTGCGGGGCAAGGGAAACCAACACCATCTTGAAGCTCAGGATGCTTGTTTTGCCATGAGTAAGAAAGTTCCTTGTCTCTGACCCAGAAGACTTATGTCCACATCTATGAAACTGTGGTAGGCAAATTTGTTAGCTGACAATTAGAATAAAATCTCAGGCTGTTCTCAATGTCTGACAGATGGGTAGTAGCACCATGGAGAAGGGTAGGAAACAAAGGAGAATGAAATGGAAATTTGAGGGAAATGATGAGTTTGGTTTTGTTCCTGTTAAATCTGAAGTGGCAATAGGAGGCACAAATTGGTCAATACAGGCCCAAATTTCAAGAGAAAGGTATCAGCTAGAGAAACATTTGAAAGTTACTAGAATCTTTATGGGAGTTAATACCTTGAGGATGAAGAACTGAACCTGGAGAACACCAGTATTTAAGAGGCAGGTATGGGGATATGGAAGGAGAAATCTCTAAAGACAATAGAACAGAATGGAGTGAGCACACTGTCTCTCAGATGCCAAAACAGAGGAGAGTTCCAAGGAGAAAGTAATCAACAGCGTAATTCAGAGAGATCCACTAATAGAAAAACTAAAATCCCACTGGTTTTGGCACTCAGAAAGTCATCATTGTCCTTGCATGATGTGCTGGTCCTGGGTTTGTTAGCCCTCAGATTCATTCCTACCCTTCCTCTCATTCTGTGACCAGGGTGGCTGGCCCTGCAGGATGCACTTCCCAGGCTCTGGTGTCAGCTGGTTTCCGGCTGGGAGGCATGGGTGAAGGCGGCAGAGAGAACACATATTTCTGCTTCTTCTCTCTCCCTGAATGGCATGTCTGCCGTTTCCTGGCCTGAATCCCCTCTGTGGCTTCAGCTACCTCTAGCAGGACAGCCAATCCAAGGTCCTAGCTTTTGTTGGTGATCTCAGACCCAGTGTGTGATAACGCCATTTGCACTTTGTCCCTCCATTTTAGGTGTAGTAGCAGCTTCCAGCTATCGCTATCTCTGGGATACCTCATGATATGGTTTGGATTTGTGTCCCCGCCCAAATCTTATCTTGAATTGTAATTCCCAAAGTTGAAGGTGGAGCCTAGTGGGAAGTGATTAGAATATGGGAGTGTTTTCTAATGGTTTAGCACTATCACCCTAGTGCTGTTTCACAATAGAGTTGTCATGAGATCTGGTTGTTTGAAAGTGTGTAGCACCTCCCGTTTGGTGCTCACGTGCTCTCTTGCTCTCGCTCTCTCCTGCTGGCCATATGAATATTTGCCTACTTTTCCTTTGCCTTCTGTCATGATTGTAAGTTTCCTGAGGCCTCCCCAGAAGCAGAAGCCTGTACAGCCCACAGAACCATGAGCTGATTAAACCTCTTTTCTCTATAAATTATCCAGTCTCAGGTCATTCTTTACAGCAGTTCAAGAACAGACTAATATAACTTGCCATCCTCTGTTTGGTTACTCAGTTCCTCCACCTCCTATATAATCAATTTCCCTGCATTATATTTTCTTTGCAAATAATGGAAGTAGTTTCTTTTTGTCTAGTTGGATCCCAGTTAGTGCAGTGGTAAAAACAAAAGCCAAATATTATGAGAGAAAGAATGGGAAAAGATATTGAAAGCCAGCAGTCTGGATTATTCTTCTAGGGGTTTGGGTGAAAAGACAAGAGAGACTTGACAGTAGCTAGAGGGGACCTAGGTCTTTTTGTTTGGTTTGGGGTTTAGATTTGTTAAAATATGAGTATGTTTTTAGACTGAGAGAGTCTGAAAAGAGTGAGAGAATAAAAGTAGAGTAGTTGAGGAAGTCTGATTAACAGAGCAAAGTCCCAGAAAAAAACAGAAGGTAGTGAGGGGCTTCAAAGGATTGAGGTAACAGGTTGGACAGATAGATAGAGGACAGATAGATAGAGGATGATAGAGGGTTAATACTCAAACTGGCAAGAAGACAAGGATTGATGTGGCCATAAATCACCTTGTAAATAAGGTAGATAAAATGTTCTGATGGCCTCAATTTCTCCAAGAAGTTTGAAGCTCTGCTAAGATTAGAGGCAGACAAGAGGCTGCAGCAGAGCAGTGATGGTTTGGAAGTGTTCTGTGCCAAGTCGGAGTGGGAGCTGACCAGTGATGTCTAAAAGGATGAATGGGTGATGCAGAATGCTCAGCTGAGGGAGGGGACAAGTCATTTTAGTGATGTTAATCAGCATAGTTTTATAGTTTAGGGTTTTTTGCCCCCTTTAAATACCAGTTGCCTCTGTTTGGAAGCAGAAAGGTAAATCCAGGGTTGGGGGTCTTGCCAGGTGAGCACTGGGGGAGGACAGGGCTGCAGGAAGTTGGTGGGGAGGCAACAGTTTCGAGGGACCTCCAGGAAATATGGGCAGCATAACCAGTAGGAAGAAAGTACAGGGTTGTAGAGTCAGGAAGGCCTGACTTCCTATCCCAGCTCTAGGACCATGGGCAGATGATATAGCCTTTCCAAGCATGGCTTCCCTCAGTCAAAAAAATGAAGATAATAATAGTCCCTCAAGAGGTAATGAGACTAAATGATAAAATGCTTGTGGAGTGCCTATTAAAGATGCTGACACACACAGAGGAATCCCTGAGGGGCAGTGGAGCCAGGCATCCCCACTAATCAGATAGCTATTTGATCTTGAGATCTTTGGATCTCTCTTAGAAGGCAGGTCTCAATCAGAGGATAGTTCTGAAACTACTCAAAAATAGATAATGTAGGTTTCCAAAACAAGCCCATTTCAGGCCTCTTTGGCTCCTAACCACACAGAAAGATTCTAGCGAGACCCTGCTTCACTCTTAATATGGGAGAGCTGTCTGGGAGTTTGTAAGGTAAGAATCTCTATGGAATATAAGCCTCTGGAGAGCCACAGACCAGACAAGTCAACCAGGGCACAAAATAGACCCAGTGTGGAAAGGGCTCCTCCCAGGACAAAAAGCCCAGATGAAGAGCTGACAGGGGCATCGGGGAAAACACACATGGGCACTTTGTCTGGCAGTACAGCTCTCATTCTAAAAGCATGATGGCTCCAACAGCTCTCTCATACAACAGCCTACACATAACAATTCACAAAGTGACCACTTGGTCTGCTGGTTTCCCAGGTTCCCAGTCCTCTGCGTTCTGCCTTCCTCCTGACTCCTCTTTTCCTCATTACCCTAACAGATGGGAAAAGATTCCCCATGGAGTCATCATTCCCAGATGCACCAGGAGATAGGAAACCCACATCAACCAATTTTATAACCTCTGACAAGTCGTTAAAGGATAACATTATTGCCCAAAATAAGCTTTTTGGAAATAAGCTGATTGTAGACTTATTTCACTTATACATAACTGCCCTCACTCTTATTTCTACAGATAAGTAGGAGTTAGAGGAGCTAAACAATACTATAAATTTGCCTATTTTCACTTGCTTTCTGTTAAAAATAACACAAAACTATTCTCAAATATTTGAAATCCTACACAGTAAAGAACTGCTTAATGATCGTGTTCTTATTCCTTTAAGGAAATTCAATGATATGAAAATGACACATGTCATCACTAATTCCTGAGAATCAGAGTGAAAATATACAAAAGGCTTAATGAACAGATGAAGAAAGAAAACTGGTAATTGACATTTCTGGCTAGGGAATATGACAATCAACAGAAGGGCTACTGGTCAAATCTTCTTACAGACTGAAAATGCTAAAAGCTTCACCCAGAGTCAACAAATGCCATGTTCTAAGGAGAGGCGTCTTAGGGGACAGATCTGTTACTCATCAGTGGGCATGTTTCATCTTACCGCTTATGGCAGGCAAGTTAAAGGAGGCTTTGTGTACCTGCTTTGCAACAGAAGCTGGAACTCTGAGGTGCAGGAAGGCCTGGTCCTGCCCTCAGGCCCCGGGACAGATAACATATACACAGACAGTAAGCACCTAAAGAGACACACACAGCACAGTCTTCAAACGCTGCCCTTCAGGCAATTTCCCTGCATTTTAGACTCATTGAAGAAAAGGGCAAGTCAACTACAGGTCAGAAAGATGTGATGGAGAAACGTTTTTTTCAGTTTTGCATTTAACATAGATTTTCCTGTTCAGCAAAGTCTGAAGAGCTTGATATTCCTTCCAGACTCCCTGGGTCTTCCTATAAAGATAATAATGTGCAGAAAGGTAATTTAAAAATTAGTGCGACAGCTAAGTCCCTTCACAGCATGCCCAGTTTACACAATGCATTTTAGTGTCTTCCAAAAAAAAGTGAACACCTGTTCTATGCTCTTATTAGGGAATGCTGTAAAAGGCCACCAGGTCTCTCTGGTAGTATTGGTATGGATAGAGAGGCAGGACAGTGGGAGCTGTTCTGGTGCCATGGCCAGTACCACTGAACCCACTTCTGGGTGAGGATATGAGGTTCTAATCATCACACTGCGGGGAAAGGTTACTAAAGCTGGAGAGGTAGGGCAGAGGGCAGACAGAATGACTCAGACTTTCCAGAATGCACAGCCCATGTGTTGACCTCACTCTCCTGTTGCAAATCAATGGTAGTAAAGACCCCAACAGGAGGAACCTCCTAGAGCCTTTGCTTACAAATTTCAGCATGGGGTAAAAACGGTCCTTCCTGAGTTCCTGGATGCTTAAGGGAAATTTTTTTTAACACCTGGTCCTGAAACACATTCAAACTAACTCATGTGTCAGTCAAGTCCAATCCTCCTCCAGCATCAAAACAATGCTTTCAGCGCTACTTCCTTACTCTTTATGCCAGAGTGTAAGTAGTAAAACTACAAAGCAGAAAACTGACCCTAAAACGAAGACAGCAACAGAATAAATTGGAATGTTCCTCTATTATATTTTAACATGCTTTGCTGTTTACCAACACTGAACTTAGATCATTTTTTTCTACCCTTGTTTCCAGGGCAATCAATTCATTTGGGAGTGGCGGGGAGAGGCACAGACAAGAAAAAGAAAGTTTTTTAAGTGACACATACCATGAAGTCAACCTGAATGAATTTAATTTGCTGTGGTGGTGCAACAATGCTCAAAGGGTGTACTCAATCCGAGTTCTTTTTGATTGTTTCTGATGGAGTAATCTGAGGAGGGTTTCTTCATAATGGTGCCTTTTTCACACAGCAGGTACTTTTGAATCCCACCTGTAAATCAGGGAAATCTATAGGGATTTGTTTATCTTTCCCTCCCCATCTCTTTTATCTCTCTTTTTCAGTTATTTGTGAAAATAAAATCATTCTAATACTTTTATGTGAAAGAAAATTGGGTTGTTGTGCTCTGAAAGTGGCACATTAATTTTGACCAACAATTTGCTCACTGAAATTCAATCTCTAAGATATTTATCCTATATTCCACTGTTTAAAAAAAAATGTCCGCCTGAACTCTGGATCTACAACATACAAAAGTGATGTTTTAAATTAAGGGTTAGCATTAACTTCCTTCTCCTAGCCTATAGAGATGTGTGCTATGTACACAGATGAATGAGGCTACATGCCTCGTTTAATTTCCTCAAACAACTTAAAATTATCTCCATGACTAAATATAAAGATGAAGTATTTAACTGTTAATGTAAATGTATATTATAAAATTGCCCTGCTATATCAGTCTGCATTGGAACTAATTTCCTATTTGTGTCTCAATTTTAAATTGAAGCTATGGAATGTTTTGACTTCAGATCATAAAATCAAGCTACTTAAAATTGTGTGTACACACATTTGCCATAATCATTTGTACACATTTTACACATGCATACACACATAATCATGTGTACACACATTTGCCATAATTTAATAGCATTTATAATGGAAACAATTTAATGAATTGGTTAATAAACTATGTTTTTGTTTTTGTTTTTGTTTTTGTTTTTTTTTTGAGACAGAGTCTCGCTCTGTCACCCAGGCTGGAGTGCAATGGTGCAATCTCAGGTCACTGCAACACCTGCCTCCCAGGTTCAAGTGGTTCTCCTGTCTCAGCCTCCCAAATAGCTGGGACTACAGGAATGCACCACAATGCCTGGCTAATTTTTGTATTTTTAGTAGAGACAGGGTTTCACCATGTTAGTCAGGCTGGTCTTGAACTCCTGACCTCAGGTGATCCACCCGTCTTGGCATCCCAAAATGCTGGGGTTGCAGGCGTGAGCCACTGCACCCGGCCAATAAACTATGATATATCTATACAACAGAATACCATCTGGCCACTATGAGTGACAATGTAGAACAAGGAATAATGACACGGAAAGATAATAACATCACAGACAAGAGAATACCAAGAATTACAAAGGAGTATGTGCAATATCCTATTCCCTCTCTCTCTCCCTTTCCTACACATGCATAGGATAAAAAGGCTGAAACAGTTTATTAAGATAATACTAGTCACTACCTCCCAGTGACTACATTATAAGTGATGTTTGTTGCTTGTCAGTCCCCAATCTTGCCTAAGTTTTATAAGGAACGTGCTTAGTAAAAGAAATCATTAGTTTTCAATAGTAGTTACTTTTTAAACTGAGGTCAACAGAACCTTCAAACCCTACCATCAGGTCCATCCACATGCAACATAAGCCCAGGACTGCAAAACCAATTGAATTTAACAAAACCTCAGAACATTAACCATGAGTTAGGATGTATGCCAAACTGAGATATGGTAAGATACCGTGCCGACAAAAAATCGGCGCATTATTTGTGAGAGAACTAGATTACCGTGGACATACTGCTTCTCTCACTTTTTCTCTTCTCAAATATCCCAAAGGTATCCCTTAGATTGCTTTCTGGGACTGGCGTCCAGAAACAGCAAGTAAAGAGAGCCATGAATGTATATTGTCCTTAACCTCCTGGAAATACTGTTTGTCATTATTTGTGATGACTATTTTGATAAAATTTTATCTGTTCAAGGAATGTTGTAAATTTCTCCATCAAAAAGCTACAGTTGTTATAAAATAAGCATTCCATAAATACTTATGTAGTAAATAAATTACTTTTCAAAATGTCCACTCTGAAGGGTAAAACCTCATCATTTACAAAACATATTTAGCAAGAAAGAGGGGGAAGGAGGAAAGGGGAAGATGGGAAAAAAGAAAGTTAAAAAACAGCTTAAAGAAAAGCAGAGTAATGTGAAAAATTTTTTTTAAGAAATAAGATAAGCAGGGGTGAGATTAGGATATTATAATACTCCATATACTTGGTTTAAAATGAGCCATAAAGTTGCATGTAAGCTTCCCAGTAGCTACAACTGAAACACAATCAACTCTAATTCACAATATTTTTAAGATAAAAACAAGTTAGAAGCATAGCAGAAACAAAGGCCAGACAACAATTTCTCCCATGAATCCTTAATAAGAAGGGCCATGTCATGTCGCGAAAGATACCCTCAACAACATCCCATACAGTAGCTGCATAATTTATGGAGCTGTTTCTTGCAACAGTTCACATTGTAGGTTGACAGTAATATCCTCATTCAGTGTTTATATAAGGAACTCCGCTGGAAGATGGAAAAGCAAACACAATGGTCCAGGTTTGCTGCTCCATAATCCAGCTTAATCTTAGGATAAACTTTTTCACATACAGGAATATGTGTTCCCTTATTGCTTTTGTCGACCAAACGTTCTGTGATATGATATTCCCTAATACCAAGTGACAACTGCTATTTTATGTTTATATTTAAAAGCAGATCTGTGTGTTCTACCAGTTAGTGTACTAAATGAAAACTTGATATCTTCTCATTCATTCATTCGTTTGTTCATTCAGTTGTTTTAAAGTAATTCAACAAACATTTATGGAATACTTGTCTCCCAAAAGTCTGTTTGTATGCTAGGAAGTTAGTGGTGACTGAGGCCGACTTGGCCACTGTGATATTCTCATGTAACTGACAATGCAGTTTAGAGCATGGTTTCTCAACAGCAGCACCACGACATTTTGGGCTAGATAACTCTTTCTTGTGGTGGGGCTGTCTTGTGTATTGTAGGAAGTTTAGCAGCATCCCTAGCCTCGACTACATGTCAGGAGCAACTCCACCAGTTGTGAATGTAAAACTGTCTCCACATGTTGCCAAATCCACATGCATGGATTCAACCAGCCAAGAATCAAAAATATTCCAAAAAAAAGTACAACAAAAAACACAAATAAAAATATAGAATAACAACTAATTATGTAGTATTGACATTGTATTAGATATTACAAGTAATTTAGAGATCACTTAAAGTGTACAGAAGGATATGTAGATTATGTGCAAACGCTATGCCATGGTATACAAGGTACTTCAGCATTCATGGATTTTGGTAATCTTGGGGGTCCTGAAACCAATACCCCATCTATTGAGGGACAACAGTATACCAGTTAAAATTACATCCATTAACTACCTTGGTGTCATTAAGAAAGTCACTTAATTCTTGTTTCTGCTATCATAAAATCAAGAACCTGGACTGCATGATTTCTTAAAGATCCTAGCAAATTTTAAAATTTTGTGAGTTCATATCTAAATTCATTGTTTTGATTATAGAACATTTTTCTAAAAGCAGATTTTTGTCATTAGACTAGAACAGATAATTTTATAAAATTTATTTATTTTAAAGGATTGCAGTGTTTAAAATTTAGGAAAAAATAGAGTCTAATAGTATAGAATCTAATACTTTTCTATGTTCCTTGCTTACTTGTTCAACTGATACCCTAACCAAATAGGACTAATCTCTTACGTTTTAGTTGGATAAATTTATTATTTTGATCATCATTATGCTCTTTTTATAAATGATAAAATTGAGCCTCAAAAATGTTAATTTTCCCAAAGTCACAGACTTAATAATTAGCCAAGGCAAAAGTCAAATCCAGATCTTTTGATTCCAAACTGAGGTGTTGGAAGAGGTATGATAGTAAAAATTCTAGAACACGATAAGTTTTAGGACAGATGTTTGGGAAAAATATACTGGAAAACTGGGAAATAACATGCTAGCACTAGGCATAGATCCCAAAGGAAAGGGAAGCAGAACAATTGTTTACCTTAACCCTGTAGTTGTAGGCCCTCCCAGAACATCACCTTCTACTTGATCAAAAAGGGAAATGATAACAGAGTATTTGTTAGGCACCTAAGATATGCGAGAACGTTTATATTTAGTATCTCTAATCCTCACTTCACCCTGTTAAGCAGGTCTTCCCCAGCCTTATGCACATATGAATCACCTGGGGACCTTATTAGAATATATATGCTAATTCAGTAGGGCTTGGTTAGTGTCCAATAATTTGTCCTTTTTTTTTTTTTTTTTTTTTTTTTTGGAGATGGAATCTCCCTCTGTCACCCAGGCTGGAGTGCAGTGGTGCAATCTCTACAACTTCTGCCTCCTGGTAAATAATTACCACGATTCTCCTGCCTCAGTCTCCTGAGTAGTAGCTGGGACTACAGGCACATGCCACCATGCCTGGCTAATTTTTTGTATTTTAGTAGAGATGGGGTTTCACCATGTTGCCCAGGCTGGTTGCCAGCTCCTGAGCTCAGGCAATCCATCTACCTCAGCCTCCCAAAGTGCTAGGATTACAGGCGTGAGCCACCGCACCTGGCAAGAATTTATACTTCTAACAAGCTCCCAGGTGATGCTGATGGTCCTGAGCCACAGATCACATCTTGGGTGACAAGACTACAGAGTACATAGAGCATAATAATCACCTAAGGCTGGGCACAGTGGCTCACACCTGTAATCTCAGCACTGTCGGAGGCCGAGGCAGGAGGATCACTTGAGTCCAGGAATTCAAGACCAGCCTTGGAAATATGGCAAAACCCTGTTTCTACAAAAAAATACAAAAATTAGCCAGGCGTGGTGGTGCATGCCTGTAGTCCTAGCTACTCCAGAGGCTGAGGTGGGAGGATCCCTTGAGCCTGAGAGTCAGTGGTTGCAGCAAACCAAGATTATGCCACTGCACTCCAGCCTGGGTGTCAGAGTGAGGCTGTCTCAATTAAAAACAAAAAAGAAGAAAAAAAGAATCACCTAAGTGGTGAGGTCAAATGTACTTTCCTGGGCCCCATCCCCAGAAGTGCTAATACAGTCTACAGTAGAGTTTAGGATATCCCTGATAATATGCGTATAGGCCATTCTGATCCAATGGCCTAATGAACTGTGAAATCTGATTCATTTGGATTACAATCCTAGCTCTATTACGTTCTAGCTGTAGGAAAGGACCTTGAGCAAATTACTTAATTTCTCTAAGTCTCAGTTTCCCCCATGTGAAAAATAGGGATAATAAAAAATAGTTCATTGGACTGCTCTGATTATCTACATAAAATATCTACCATATATTACAAGTATTGAAGAAGCTCTAGTTATTGTGATTATAATGACGCTACTGCTTATTTAAAAGATGAGAAACTCAGGCACGGAGGGATTAACTGACTTACCTAAGCCTACTAATTAAGCAAGATGCGAACCTAGAGCCAACTTCAAAACCACACTAATTTCACTGCGCCAGATTACATATACCAAGTTCTAGATATTTCCACTGTATTTGTTAAAAATATCCAAATCATTCTTCCTATGGCCCTATTCTACTAGCTCTACCAGTCTCCTCCCCACTAGACTTTGGTTTCATCTCCTTGCCCTGGACCCTTCCTCTCAACCCTTTGGATTTTGTTCCCAAGGCTTGACCTTCATGGCTTTCCAAGAACCCACTGGTTATTCTGTCTTTGACCATGTAGGGCAAGATCTCCTTCACAGCCCACTTACCCAGTGCAATGGCCAGGGTGACCTCTGTCCAACAAGGGGCTTGGACATAAAGAAAAAGATGATAGATATAAGACAAACAATATCTAATTTTGAAGATGCACTTTTTGGATCTTAGAATAATGCGCAGGCCCTACCTCTTACCATTCTTAGATCCCACTGGGACATTCTATTTTTTAATACAAAACTCTTGAGAAAATGTCAATCATAGCTGTAAAATATCTGGGAGAGAAGAGTTAAAATGAAATTATTTACCCATTGTATTCTAATACAAATGGGAAGAATACAAAACATATTAGGAAGTTAACACAATCCCATAAAATACATGACAAGAAAAGCCACAGACTTACATTACTACTGCTCTGGCCAAAAAGATATTTCTTATGGGACTGAGACACTTCAGAATGCTGGAATAACTCAAGATCCTAAACAAGCAAATTGTTTTAGCATTTCTGTTCCAAGCAATAACATTCAATGACTGCATGGAGATTATTTTCAATAGAGATTTTATGAGAAAACTATAACTGGAAATAAAAGAAATATTCTAGCCATAAACATGACGTATCTCTTATTGCACATGTTGATGATGACATTGAATGAGATCTACAAGCAAAATACGACTTATGATGTGTGGTGTCAGCATAATAAAATAAGACTTTTCCCTCTCAAAGGTCAATTCTTGAGCTTCATAAAGACGTACAGAATTTCATAGCCTGAAAACTATGTTAAGAGGACACTGGGAACCAGATGGCAAAAGTTTCTGAAAGGAAAAATAGAGCCTTATGCCCATGCTTTAATTCACTGCAGCACAAATCAATGTTTGAAACAAACTATTCTAAGTCTTTAAAAGTCTTTAAAAAGTTTACACGCTGAATTATCTTGAAGAATGTGTCTATAATGAAAAAAAGTTTGTACTTAAATTATGTTCTCATTAGTAATTTGCATTTTTCTTGAAAAATGTCTATTTGGATCCTTTACTCATATTTAGTTTCACTTTTTTAATTAATTTCTCTGAAGAACTCTAACACAATGTGTAAAACTTACACTCTGAAAACAAAACAACAAAAACATTGTTAGAAGAACTTTTAAAAGACCCAAATAAATGAAAAGACATCCCACGTTTGTGAATCAGAAGACTTAATATTAAGATGGTAATACTCCTCAAATTGATCTAGAGATTTAACATAATCCCTATCAAACTTCCAACTGACTTATTTGCAGAAATTAAAAAGTTGATCCTGTAATTCATATGAAAATGAGACACCAAATAACCATAGCAATCTTGAAAAAGTTTACTGATTTCAAAAGTTATGATGAAGTTACACCATTTAAGATAGTGTAAGTTCTAAGGATAGACAGATAGCTCAATAAAATAGACTTGAGAGTTCAGAAATACACCCTTACATTTAGGGTCAATTAATTTTTTTTCAAAGGTTCTAGGACAACTGGATATCCACAAGCAAAGGAATAAAGTTGGATCCCTGCCTCATACAATACATAAAAGTTAACTCAAAATGAATCATAGACCTAAATGCAAGAGCTGCAACTTAAAATTCTTAGACAACAAATAGGATTAAATTTCCATGACTTTGAGTTAGGCAATGATTTCTTAGATACATCAGAAATATGGACAATAATAAAAAATAATAAATTGGATTTAATCAAAATTAAAAATCCTTTTGTGCTTTAAAGGATACCATTAAGAAAGTGATAAACCATAGAATAGGAGAAAATATTTGCAAAGCATCTTCTGATAAGGAACTTGTATCTAGACCACATAAAGAACTCTTACAACTCAATTAAAGACAACCCAACTAAAATGAGTAAAGTATCAAAATAGACATTTCTTCAAAGATGATATACAAAAGACTAATAGGAACATAAAAAGATGCTCAATATCGTTAGCCTTAATGATTTCACATTAAGGGAAATGCAAATCAAAACCACAATGAAATAGCACTTCACACCCATTATTATGACTAGATTCAAAAAGCATTGGTAAGTCAATCAATTGGATATAACAGACATATACAGACTTCAACAACACAGCAGAATGTTCATTCTTCTCAAGCTCACTTGGAACAGTCACCTCAAGAAACTACATCCTGGGTCATAAAACATACTAACAAATTTAAGAATAGAAATCATACAGTGTCTGCTCTCAGACAACAGTGGAATTAAACTAGAAGACAGTAACAGGAAGACAGTTGGAAAATCCCCCAAAGACTTGGAGATTAAACAATATACTTCTAGATAACATATGGCTCAAAGAAGAAATCTCAAAAGAAATTTTAAAATATTTTGAACTCCATGAAAATATAACATCAAAATCTGTGGTATAAAACATCCAAAACAAAATCTGTGGTATGCACTGAAAACAGTGCTTAGAGGCAAATTTAAAAGATTGAATGCATATTTTAGAAAAGAAGAAAGATCTAAAAAATCAATAACCTAAGCTTCCACCTTAGGAAATTAGAAAAAGAAGAGCAAATTAAATCCAAAGCAAATGAAAAGAAATAAAAATTAGAGCAGAAAATGAAACTGAAAATGGGAAATTGAGAAAAATCAGTGAAACCAAAAGCTGATATCTAGAAAAGATCAGTAAAATCAATAAGCCTTTTACCAGGCTAAGAGAGAGAAAGAAAGACAGAGGACACAAATTACTAGTATGAAAGATGGGACATTACCAGGGATGTTCCATGGACATTAAAAGGATAATAAAGAAATATTATGAACAACTTTATGCCCACAAATTTGATAACCTAGATGACCTGGACCAATTCCATGAAAAACACGATTTGCCAAAACTCAAACAAGAAAAAATAGACCATCTGAATAGGCCTACATCTATTTTTTAAAATTGAATCAATACTTAATCACCTTCTAAAACAGAAAGCACCAATCCCAGAGGAGTTCACTGGTGAACTCGACCAAACATTTAAGGAATAAATTATGCCAATTCCCTACAATCTCTTTCAGAAGAAAACAGCAGAAGGAATACTTCCTAACTCATCCTATGAGGTCAGTATCACCCTAACCCCAAAACCAAAGACATTACCAAAAAAAAAAAAAAAAAAAAAAAACCTCAAAAAAACTAAAGACCAGTATCTTTCATGAAAATAGATGCCAAAACCTCAGCAAAAATATTAGCAAATCAAATCCAACAATATATACAAAGAATTATACACCACGGCCAAGTAGAATTTATCTCAGGTATGCAAGTCTGGTTCAACATTCAAAAATTTATGTAATCCATCAATAAATAGGCAAAAGAAGAAAATTCACATGATCACATCAATAGATGCAGCAAATGCATTTGGCAAATTCCAACACCCATTTATAATAAAACCTCTCAGTAAACTAAGAATAGAAGGGTTTTTTTTAAAAAGGATAAAGAATATAAAAACAATACAACATCATACCTAATAGTGAGAAATTAGAAGCTTTCCTTCTGAAATCAAGAAAAAGGCAAGTATGTCCTCTTTCACCACTTCTTCTCAACACTATGCCGGAATTCTTAGTTACTGCAATAAGATAAGAAAATAAAATAAAAGGTACACCTATTGGAAAGGAAGAAATAAAACTGTCTTTGTTTGCAGATAACATCATTTTCCATGTAGAAAATCCAGAAGAATCAACAACAACAAAAAAACTGGAATAAGCATTTAGAGCAAGATTGCAGGACACAAGGTTAATATACAAAAGTTAATCACCTTTCTTTATAACAGCAATGAACAAGTGGAATTTGAAATAAAAAAAACATTTATATTAGCACCCCCAAAAATGAAATACTTAGGTATAAATCTCACAAAATATATACATGATCTCTATGAGGAAAACTACAAATCTCTGATAAAAGAAATCAAAGAGGCTGGGCATGATGGCTCATGCCTGTAATCCCAGCACTTTGGGAGGCCAAGGTGGATGGAACACGAGGTCAGGAGTTCAAGGCCAGCCTGGCTAAGATGGTGAAACCCTCTGTCTACTAAAAATACAAAAATTATCTGGGTATGGTGGTGGGTGCCTGTAATCCCAGCTACTCAGGAGGCTGAGGCAGAGAATTGCTTGAACCCAGGAGACGGAGGTTGCAGTGAGCCGAGATTTTGCCACTGTACTCCAGCCTGGGCGACAGAGCAAGGTTCCATCTCAAAAAAAAAAAAAAAAAGAAAGAAAGAAAAAGAAATCAAAGAACTACACAAATGGAGGTATATTCTATGTTCATGGATAGGACAGGATAGAAATATTGAAAGTATTGTCAAGATATCAGTTCTTCCCACCTTGATCTATATGTTTAAATGCAGTCCCAATCTAAATCCCAGCAAGTTATTTTGTGGATATCTATAAACTGATTTTAATGTTTCTGGGAAGAGACAAAAAAAAAAAAACAGAATAGACAAATAGATCAATGGAACAGAATAGAGAGCTAAAAGAAACTTACTATACTCAACACTTCTGACACCAAATGTATGCATTTTTAGCATTTTCCATACCAAGCAATTCTCCAATTCTCTGCAGATACCAGCAATTTGATAATAATTTAATTCTGACACTGTGTTAATGCTGACACCCTGAGTTAATATAGACCCTGAAGGTTAAGGGTTCAATTAGACAAGAGTGCACCCTACTTCACTTGCAAGTCACAAGTACTTGGTGCCCAGGATACCTGTTCCCTTCTAACTTGGTGATATTGTTTGAAACTGTGTCCCCACTAAATCTCCTGTCAAATTGTAATCCCCAGTGTTGGAGGTGGGGCCTGTTGGGAGGCGATTGGATCATGGGGCAGAGTTCTCATGAATAGTTTAGCACCGTACCCCTTTGGCACTGGATAGTGAGTGAGTTCTCATGAGATCTGTTTGTTTAGAAGCGTGTGGCACCTCCCCCCACTTCCTCCTACTCTGGCTATGTGATGTGCCTCAGTCCTGCTTTGCCTCCTGCCACGACTGGAAGCCTCCTGAGGCCTCCCCAGAAGCAGAAGCCACTGTGCTTCCTGAACAGCCTGCAGAACCGTGAGAAAATTCAACCTCTTTTCTTTATAAATTACACAGTCTCAAATATTTATTTATAGCAATGCAATAACAGACTATTCACTTGACTATAAGTTGGGGGTTCCCACAACCCTCATCTCATGTTTAATAATTTGCCATAAAAGCTCTCAGAACACAGGGAACACATTACTTAACATTTATGAGTTTATTATAAAGAATACAGATGAACAGCCAGATAAAGTGGTACTGAAGGTGAGGTCTGGAAGAGTTTCAAGCAGAGTAACTTGTGTTCCTGTGTAGTTGGGGTACACCACCCTTTCCTGAATGGGCACATTAACCAACCCAGAAGTTCTCCAAACCCTGGAGATTTTTCAGTGGAAGCTTATCACGTAAGCATGATAAATTATTCACTTAATCTACAGCCCCTCTGTCTCCCCTGAGGATAGGAGTGGGGCTGAAAGTTCCAAGCTTTTAATCATGGCTTGTTCTTTCTGATATCCAGCACCCATCCTGAAGCTATCTAGGAGCCTACCAAGAGTCACTTCATTAAAACAAAATATGCTCCTATTACTCAAGCGATTCTAAGGGACTTAGAAGCTGTATCGGAAACCAGGGGCAGACACTAAATATATATTTTTTATTACGTCACATGCTCAGAAATAAACCAGCATAGTCAACTGATCTTTAACAAAGGGGCAAAGGCAATTCAGTGAAGAAAAAAATAGTCTTTAAACAGATGGTGCTAGAAAGACTAAACATCAACATGCAAAAAAATAAATCTAGATACAGACCTCACACCTGTAGGGGAGGGAAAAGTGGCTCTTCACCACCCTCCTAGGTTCTTTGGCTGGGCTACAGCTCTTAAATTGACATAAGACAGATTAAACGTATACCATAATAAGTATTTTTAAAGATATGTGCAGAATCTAAATAAAGAAACTCACATAGTAAAACAAAAGAAATACAAAACTATACAACAATAAAATAATATTTGCCTATAAAAAAAGAAATGAAAGCCATTTTTAATTACATGCACACACATAGAAGTCCCACAAAAATATAAAACTTGAAGAAGGGCTAGATGACTGACATTTATATAGCATCTTGAGCTACAGAAAGAAATAGGGCTTGGGGCTCAGAAGGAGCAGTGGTGGAGACAAATTACGGGAAGGTGGGTGGAGAAAATGTACTATGAAATAAAAGTTGCCTTGCTATGCAAATATAAGTAAGGCTCTTTGGTGATAAAGGTTTTCTTGGAGTACTTCCCTTCCTGATACAGACATCTTCACGAATGTAAATTTCTTTGTATTTGTAAATTTCTATTTACAAAAGGGGTGTTTTATACTTTAGGCAGCTGAGGGAGTGGTGAAGAGCTTTGCCTGTGTTGGCTGGTTCTCAATTTCTTTCAGCTCAAAGTAATCAATATGCCACAATGGCATATATTGGGATGGCATATTCTGGTCTCCAGCAAGTCATATTGGAGTAGTGTGCCTGAGCCCCAACACACGCTTCATAATAATTAGCTCAAAATGGATCACATACCTAGACATAAAACGCAAAACTATAAAACTCCTAGAAGATAACATAGGAAAAAAATCTAGACGACCCTGTATTTGGGAATGACTTTTTAGATGACACCAAAGGCATGATTCATGACAGAATTGATAGGCTGGACTCCATTCAATTTTAAAACTTCTGTTCTGCAAAAGATCCTGTCAAGAAAAAAAAAAAGACAAGCCACAGACTGGGAGAAAATATTTGCAAAAGAACCTATCTGACAAAGGAATGTTATCCAAAATAAACAAAGTACTTTTAAAAACTCAACAATAAGAGAACAAAAAACTTGATTCAAAATGGACCAAAGATCTTGACAGACACATCACCAAGGAAGATGTACAGATAGCAAATAAGCATATGAAAAGATGGTCTATATCTTATGTCATCAGGGAAACACCAATTAAAACAACATTGAGATACCACTATGCACATACTAGAATGGCTGAAAATCCAGAACACTAACATCAAATGCTGCAAGGATGTGGAGCAACAGGAACTCTCACTCACTGCTGGTGGGAATAGAAAACGGTACAGCCACTTTGGGAGACAGTTTGACAGTTTCTTATAAAACTGAATATACTCTTACTATACAATCCAGTAATCATATTCTTTTTTTTTTTTTTTTGGTATTTATCCAAAGGAGTTGAAAACTAATGGCCATATGTAAACCGCACATGGATATTTATAGCAGCTTTATTCACAATTGCCAAAGTTTGGCAACAACCAAGATGTCTTTCAATAGGTGAATAAATTAATGGTAGTACATCATGAAAAAAGATTATTCAGCACTCAAAAGAAAAAAAAAAAACAGAGGAAACTTAAATGCATATTTCTAAGTGAAAGAAGCCAGTCTGAAAAGGCTACATACGGTATGATTCCAACTTCATGACATTCTAGAAAAGGCAAAATATGGAGACAGTAAAAAGGTTAGTGATTGTCATTAACCTTTATAGTGGCTTAGTGGGGAGGAAAGGATGAATAAGCAGAGCACAGAGGAATTTTAGGGCAGTGAATCTATGTTATTATAATGGTGGATAAATTATACATTTGTGCAAATCCATAGATGTACAGCACCAACCGTATAAACTACGGATTTCGGGTGATAATGTGTGTCAATATAAGTTCATTGATTATAACAAATGAACCATTCTGGTGGAAGATGTTAATAAGCAAGGAGGCTGTGCTATGTGTGGGAGAAGGAGATGTATGGCATATCTCCAACCATCCCCTCAGTTTTGTTGTGAACCTAAAAGTGGTCTGAAAAACGAAGTCTACTTTTTAAAAAAGCATTAATGAGAATCTGGTGAAATTGGAGCCCTCATACATGGCTGGTGGGAATGTCAAATGATGCAGCTACTTTGGAAAACAGGTTGGAAGTTCCTCTAAAGGTTAAACTCAGCGTTACAAGACCCAGCAATTCTGCTACACTATACTGCCTCAGTGGTGCATTAAAAAACTAGATTATTCTCCTCATCTGTGTTACACTGACTCAATACTAATGACAGTTTTTCCCTCTGATTTTTACCTCTTTCATGCCCTTGGCATAGTGACGAATTATTTCACAGTCCATGCCTCTTGAGTTATCTTCTCTTTAGAAAACAGTGGTATCTTAACAAATAGCCTCAATGGCCTCTAGCTCACAGGATTTTCTAATGTGTGTTATCCATCCTCATTATTTGCCACATGGTAATTTATGAAGATGGTTCAGACTGGTCCCAAATAAATTTGTGCTATCTGCTGATGGGACCACTAGGCATTTGAGGTTCCTTGTTCATAATCACCCTAGAACTTTTTCACTGTGGCCTTTCCAAATTTTACAGTACTTCTCAAACACACAACCATTTCCACCTTATTCTCAGTAAATAATTTTACTGACAAAATGTAAGTCATTAGAGAATGAGCCCTTCCAACTTTGTCCCACTCTTAAATACTTTGCCCCTACCACTTGGTTTCCTCAGCAATTGCCCAGGTAGGTTCTCTTTCTGCTGACTTGATACAAGATGCCTTAAGATCAAGGACTGTGATATTTTTCATCTTAACTCATTCACATAGCTCAGTACTTTGCACTTAGTAGTTAATTATGCACTACATAAATGAATATGCAGCAATTGAAATAAATCCTTTACTACAAAAATCCTAGACTTCATCTATTTCATTGATATACCAATCCATAATGTTCATTGAACAGAGTTGAAAGATGGACCCAAACCACATTTTATACCACTTGGTCTCAGCCAGCAGCAATGCAAACCCATCTGAGGGGAAAACAGGGACTTTCCTTCTAGTAATGTCATTTCAGAGAACAGTAAGGCAGGTATCACACAACTTCATTTTGGTTGCAAAATAGTTCTTTGTGGTTGTTCACAGAAGTAATTTGGCCGACTTTAAAGTTCATTTAAGTTACTTCAATGACAGTTACCTACTACTTTCCTTAAAATTGCTATTAAAATTCAAAGAAGAGCCCTGATCTCTTGTGAGGATGTTTTGAGACCTCACAGAGTTGACCTTGCTTTCTTTTTATGACCGATGGGCTTTTGTTTCTCTTCTCCCTTCCCTCCCCACCTGAACACCCATATCGAACATATTTTAACAATGTTATTTGCTAAATAGAAGACCCTATTTAGGTACTTATAAAATATGTTTCAAGTCATTCCATGGATTTTATATCTTTTGATGCTGTGGGGACCTGTTTTATATTCTCTGAAATCCCCAGACACTGCCAGAGCCACTCAAGCAGCCCTTGAAAGGACAGCATAGGTTGGAGCCCATTTCACCCACGAGAAATGAAATTACAAGTGAGAGCACTATTTGCTTTTTGGCATATTTGAGTTCTTGCTCAAGCATGTGAACAGGGTCACCAGGTCAGTGAGCTTCCCTGGCTTATGTCTCTGAAGACATCAAGTACTTCCTCACCTGAGAGTGCTGCCCACGAGAGCATGCACCATGTCACCCAAGGCCGAGATTTACAGCACGGGGGTGTAGTCACCAGGCAACCTGCTGAGACCTGGAAGACTTTTCCTTAGCTATTCCTCTGGGCACATTTGCTTACCTTTGGCAGTAGTGCAAAGGGCATAGTAATCTCCAAAAGCCACTCCTGCTGTTGAAGGAAATGCCGGACTCCTGATACAGTCTCCTCCTGATGTATTTCTTCGTCACCCTGTATATTTGTGGGGCTCGTCTGTTATTGTTTGTTTGATTTTTAATCTGGGAGCCCCTCTTACTATGAGCTTTGTGACAAAATGAACCCTCTTAAATTTGAACTGAAATGACTTGTCATAGGGAAAGCCCTGAAATAACGGTGAAACAGAACGAGGTAACATCTTAAGAGAGAGGAACGGGCCTTGCTGGCCCAAGGTTCTTATCTGGCTTGGAGGTGAGGATGGAGCTCATTAACGACTTCACAGGTAAAGGCACTTTACTTTCAAAGAGTAAAGTGATTGTGCTTGCTGATTGATTCCCAGAGATTAGCAACCCAATCTTAAATGGTCACACCAGCATAGAAAGCATGAGCGTCCATTCGAATGTGAATATAAAAAAGAATTTAAGTTACAAATTATTAATCTGATGTCATTTACAAGTCAACTTCCCCTACTAGGCTGTGATTTCCTAGCAGTCAGCATCTGTCTTATTCATTTCTGTGAGTTCAATGCTTCAGTGGGTGCCTGGTGCACAACAGAGGGTATTCAATTTATTGACGGGACAAATACATGGCATAAATAAGTGAAATTGTAAAAATTAATTATAATTTAGCAATAATGTCTTTAAAAGTTTTGGCAATCAGCCACTTCTTACCAGACTAACATCTAACATTTAAAAATAATGAAAAGAGTATAATTGACATGTTTGTAACACAAAGAAATAATGCTTGAGGTGATGGATACCCTATTTATGTGAAGGGATTATTACAGTGTGCCTGTATCAAAATATGTACCCGATAAATATATACACCTACTATGTACCCATAAAAATTTAAAAAGAGTAACATCTAAATAACCACAAATCACTGTCTTACTATAAGCTGATTTGCCTGCTCACGTTTAAACAGAAAACCACTGTCACAAAATACACTGGTAACCAGCCTTACTTCATTCTCTCCAGGGATCATAGGCAGTAGGGAGAAATTCTGTGAATTCTCCCTCCTGGAGCCTTGGTTTGCGAAGTCTGTAAAGTTACCAACTATGGTTTAAAGTGAATTACACGTATATTTTACATATTTTTCAAGGGCCCAGTCAATTTTAACTATGTCGTAGGAAATGCAGCTGCTAAAGGAGAGAGAATCTAACAAAATTCACTGCACAGGCCTAATTTTAACATAGTAGAATAACATCATTAGTTTCAATAACCTCACCTGCATTTCTCAATCCCTTAACAGAGCTTCTTGATAGAATACAACTGGAGGTGTGCACAATTACTGCCCACCCTCCTCTAAGGGGAAAAGAGTAGATGTGAGCAAGGAGCCACTTTGTCCCAGCTTTTAGAAATCATTTGTTAATAGGTATTTTCTTTGAAAGTTTGTGTTTGCTGCACCTAGACACCATTGTTTGTATTCACTGTCACCAGCTTGAACATATATAGCCAAAGAGCCATTCACTGAGAGCGTGCCAGCTGACAGCTATAAGGTGTGTTTGCAAGAGCTTTAATGATTTACTTGCAACACATGCTGAATGCACATCACCACCATCCCACCCCCACCCCAACACACACACACATACATCTTATGAAGTTTAATGCAGGAGAAAGGAACTCTACTAAAATGAAAAATTATTTTACAGGCAAAAAGTAACTTTTTTTGAGAGCATAAATAAGTACTGTTCAGCACTCATATGTGATGAAAAAAATCATTGTTCAGAGTCAATGGCCATCTTTGTGGAGAATCATAGAAGCTTTATAACTTGTTAATAGACCTGAAAGTTTGCAGAAGCTTAACTCTCCCACATAACCATTTCCACGAACCTATGGAAACTACCAGCATGTGATTACTTTACTCAGGCTTTCCTGGACTTCTCATTCACCCTGGATTCATCATTCCCTGGATCATCAATTCAGGTCCCTTTCAGATTGTGCAGGCCTCATATTGATCTATCATTCTCTATGTTGGGATGTGGGCTCAAGAGTTCACACTGAAAAGCAGCATTTGAACAACTGAAACCTACATAGTCACAGATACGAATCAAATACTTTCCTGACTCTTAAGGGCTACCGTCAACTCATTTTCACAATAAAATAAGAACTGATGTCTGTTGATCTAAAATTCCCCAAGCTAGGTGTAGATGCTATTTTCTCAAGAAACTTACTTCAATTACCATTTCTTACTTTGCTGCTTTAACCTGTTGTTCTTAAGCATCTCTTCCCTTGAAGCATGCTCAATTTCTTCAGAGAAAACACAAAAACACAAAAAGTTTCTTTTCACTCAGTTGGGAATTAGCTCTTTCTCAAATTTGCTTTTTTCTTCCTACTGCCATTTTTCAGAGAGATCTGTATTTTTTTTTTTTTTTTTTTTTTGAGACAGTGTCTTGCTCTGTCACCCAGGTTGGAGTGCAGTGGCCTGATCTCGGTTCACTGCAAGCTCCACCTCCCAGTTTCACGCCATTCTCCCGCCTCAGCTTCCCGAGTAGCTGGGACTACAGGCGCCCGCCACCATGCCCAGCTAATTTTATGTACTTTTAGTAGAGACAAGGTTTCACCGTGTTAGCCAGGATGGTCTCGATCTCCTGACCTCGTGATCCGCCTGCCTCGGCCTCCCAAAGTGCTGGGATTACAGGCGTGAGCCACCGCGCCCGGCCAGACAGGTCTGTATTTCTACTTCTACTCTCTTCCTCCCTAGTCCCTGGCCCTGGCTTCACCACCAAATCCCTCGTGTAGCTTTAAAAAATTCAGACGACAGACAAATGTTCAGGCCTCTTCTCTGGAAATCCCAGCCCAGAACATGTGGGATAGAGATTGGAAATTCCATGTTTTTTAATCTCCAAAAAGGACTGAGGCATAGCCAGGGCTGAGAAGTGTGGCCTTAGACCCTTGCAATTACTTCCACCTCCAACACTATTTCTGCTCTAGAACATCTCTGATAAACTCCTGATCACTAACTCCAACTGCCTTTTCTCAGTGCCCATCCTTCTGCAGCATCAACCCTGATGAACACCACTCTCCTGGCTCTCTTTCCTTGGTTACCCTTTCTTTGTCTTTTGTCCCCAGCAAACTTTCTTTCACCTCTGAGATTCACCATTGAAGGCATTCTTCAATATTTCATTGTGTGCCTTTGTTTTCTATTTTTACCATCAGCAAAGGCAACCTCAGCACTCCTATGGATCCAGACTTCTAAGTGCTGGATCTGCTTTTCCTACTGTGAAAAACAGAGCACATAGCCAGAATTCTCTGTCTCTGAGGTCACTACAGGGGAAGGCATACAGACTCGGGGTTTTCAGTGCTTACAGAACTCACTGCAAATGAACTCATGCTGGTCCCACTGGCAGAAATTGATTCAGTAGGTCAGGTTTGAGGCCCTGCCTGTAATCTTGTATTTGTTCAAGTACATAGATAACAGTGATGTGCACCAGAGGTCAAGCATTCTGCTAAACATCATAATTAGTTGTTTAGCAGCATTTATCCTGAAGGATTCCAACATTCAAAAAAAACTCAAGTGCCATTCATTGAACTACTAATGGCATCTATAATTTATCACGTCTGAGGAAGAGTCAGGAAGTAAATCTTAGTTCACACAGATAGCATCACAGTGCAGATTTCCTGAATACAACCAGATTCTTTCTCTCCCCATATGACCAGTCTTAGCACATTTTTCTCACCCAAAAAAAAAAAAAATTCCAGCTACAAAGTCTCAAAGATTAATGTAGCTCCTTAATTCCATTTTATTGAGAGAAAGAAGGTTACATCTCATTTATACAACAAAACTTGATTTAAAAAAGTTTATAGACATTTTTATCTTAAAATTCTACTCTGAAATAATAGCCAAAATAATCTCAATCTCTCTCTCTCTCTTCCTGTCTCCCTTTTGATAGTTTTTTGTTGGTATTAATTCATGATATGGTTTGGCTGTATCCCAACCCAAATCTCATCTTAAATTATCATGCGTTGTGGGAGGGACCCTGTCGGAGGTAATTGAATCATGGGGGCAAGTCTTTCCTGTGCTGTTCTCATGATAGTCTCATGAGATCTAATGTTTATTATAAGGGGGAGTTTTTCTGCACAAGCTCTCTTCTGTTGTCTGCCACCATGTAAGACATGCCTTTCACATTCTGCCATAATTGTGAGGCCTCCCCAGCCATGTGGAACTGTAAGTCCATTAAACCTCTTTCTTTTGTAAATTGCCCAGTCTTGGATATGTCTTTATCAGCAGTGTAAAAATGGACTAATACAATTCGCTGATCTTTTAAAATCACGACTTCTAAAAGCTTTCTCCCTATAGGAAACATCAGCTTATGGTGATGGTTATGGCAATGATGGTCACCATCCTTACCTAGATCCAGGCCCATTTCAACCCTTTACAGCCTCTATGTGATGTGCCTTCTGGTAAAACACAGGCCAGGCCCATCAGAGGCAGGAAGCTATAGGTGGAGTTGATAACCAACAAATGGACAGCCTTGAGGTCCAAAAGAGAACAGTTATGAAACATGGAAGAGTAAAACTAAGAAGATAATTACCTATCAGGAAATACATTTGTAGAAATTTTATGAGAAGTGATTAATGTAGTGAAGAAATGCAAAGCATTAAAACAAAATGTTAGTGCTATAGTGAACAGGAAACTAAGTTGAATGGGGGACTAATCAAATGACATAATAGTATAATAAGAAGCTAAGACTGATGTCCTAAATAAATGTTTATTGTTGACAGGATTAAACAACCTTCCTGTCTTGACTGTGTACTTGTCAACAGCAGGGACCAAGTTTCATAATCTCTGGAGAGAGCCTGGTACCTATGTTGGTGGATGAGGCGTGAACAAATGCATGGACCTGGACTCAGCTGTACTGCTTTTTGTGTTTTTGTTTTTTTTTTTTTTGAAACAGGGTCTCACTGTCTCCCATGCTGCAGTGCAGTGGCCAACCACAGCTCACTGCAGCCTCAACCTCCGGGGCTCAAGCCCTCCTCCCATCTCTCAGCCTCCAGAGTAGCTGAGACTACAGGTGTGCACCACCACTCTTGGCTAATGTTTGTATTTTTTTGTATATATGGGGTTTCACCATGTTGGGCAGGCTTGTCTTGAAATCCTAGGCTCAAGTGGTTTGCCCGCCTCAGCCTCCCAAAGTGCTAGGATTACAGGTGTACGCCAGTGTGCCCAGCTGTACTGCTTTATTAATATACTGACACCATATTTGTTGACACAAATTTAGCAGTTTGTTTTAAATAACGTGATATCACTCAAAATCATTTTACCAACTTGCTTACTCCCGTTACCCTTTCTTCTTACCTTTGAAGCATTCAGAAAAATTGGATACGTGTCTGTGTCTGCGTGTGTGTTTTACTGGAGAGACATTTTGCTCCCCATCACCTTTCAAAAAAATTACATCTGTTTTCAACAATACAACCTCAACCTTCTCAGCATTTATTTCTGCTGTACAAAGCCTAGGAAAATAAGACATTAGCAATATCATAAATAAAATGCTAGCTATTTAAATATAGTCAAATCTACATTATTTTCACAAATGGATTCAAATTACTAATATATGTTTGCATGTGGTCTTTCAGGTACATAATAATATGTTAGTGTAAATGTGAAGTTAATTTTAATAAATAATATTTGTTTAGATTCTGGATTATGTTATAAAATCAATAAGAATTTATTTATCTGGTTAAAATTACAAAATAGAGATGCACACACTAAAATAGTCAAGGGAAAGTGTAAATAATGTATCTGCTTTCAACATATAAAGTGAAATAAACATCTTTTTTTCCAAAGATATGTCATCAAATATGATTTGAGAATAGATTCAGTGCTTTGCACCTCATGTTGGCTGACTGTTCTACTCCAAGTATGATTCAATGTATTAATTTTACTTTAATGTCTCTATGATTCAGCAACTACATAATTCCTGAATAAATAACCAGATATTCTTAGATATTATTACTATAGTCCCTGATGTATGAAATTTGGATTATCTTTGACCTAATGTAATTAAATGACAATCCCTTAACTTTTAGGTGCATAATAATGTGCTATTCTAAAATCATAACAGGCTTACCTCATTTGGAGATGGCTATGGCAGGCTCTACTAGCCTGATCTTATTAAAATTCACATTATGAAATTTTCCATGTTTTGATTCTTTACTCATTGAGCACTCTTTGGAAAAAATTTGGCTTTCCTCATACAGCAATCTACACTCCAACTCCAATCTACACTACAACTCCAATAAGTTACGGTAACAATGATAACTGTCACACAGACCAGTATGTCTATATTGACACAATTCTTACTGGCACATTTTAGTCTGTGTGACAGTTACAGTTCTAATTATCCATTAGTAAACTGACATTCTGTTTTTTAAAAAATAAATTACTTTCTCATTCACCTTTGTTCATCTTTCCATGAAACCACCTGGAGTGAGGATCATCTTGCAGCATCATGATACTGACATTGTGTCTTGTGGGCTGACACATATGGTGCCAATGGCAGGAGCAATTAAGGACATGGATAAAAATTAGGTGGTGGTGGGGGAAGCAAAATAGGAGCAATTAAGTTTTTGGATGACACTCCCATCAGGAAACAACATAAAACAGTGTGGTGCCCCCTTAATTTCCTCACCACTCTGAGGAACCCAGGAGAGCTGAACCTAAATCCAATTCATATAATCTTAAAAAACAAAACAAAACTGATTAGCCAAAACTTTCTCTATGACACCTTTACATAGTCATTTATTTGCATTGGTTTAGTTGTAACAAATCTTGCTTTCAAGTTTACCGTTTGTAGCAATAGATAAGTTATTATAGGTTGAGTGACATCTCACCTGTTTCTAGTTTATAGACAGCCAAATTCCTTCTAAATACAATCACTACCTCTACAGAAAGTTTGAAAAATGCCTCTATACTAGTCAAAAAGGGTCGTTACCAGCAGGGACTCAGAGTGAGTGACTTTATAGAAATATTAACCAACTTATACATTCACCAGAGTCAGTTCTTAATAATTTGAAACAATTTCCTAACACCCCAAACATTGTCCCCCTAAAATAACAATGCGACATCAAAGCAATCGCCTGGGCCAAAAATAATTCAAATTGTTAGCCATGCTTCTGATCTTGTGTATTAAGAAAATAAACATCGAACATAACTGCAAACAAACATAGGTTGCTAGATTGAAGTACTGCTATGAAGTGGAAAGAATGGGAAGGTGGTCATGGCCATAATGATAAAAGCTAATATTTATGAAATGTCATTACATGCTAGCATTCATCTAATTACTTTACATAAACTATTTGGTTCTTATGCTACCTAACAAGGTGAGTTCTATTATTATTTTCTTCATTAAATAAAAGAAGAAACTTAGGGAAAAGAAAGGTTATGTGACTTGTCCAAGGCCACAGCAGGTAAGGTAGGTGGTCAAGGTGGGATCTGAACCTAGGCTAATTACAAGTTCATAGTCTTAACCATTGTGCCACAGCTGCTTTATAAAAGAGGGCTAAGGGATGGGGGGTACATGGGGCGGGGCAGAAATACTAATCCTCATTTTTGTACTTGTCTGACTTCGGACGAATATTTGAGTTCTCTAGGCTTTTGCTCATCAAAGTATGGTTCTTCCAACAGTAGAGTTTTATATCACTTGAGAGCTTGTTAGAAATGCAGAATAAAAATCTACATGTTAACAAGATCTCCAGGTGATTTATATGTACATAAAGTTTGAAGAAACATGGATCTAGGCTCTAACAGGAAAATTTAAAAGCTGATCAGTGTGATACCAGCAGTCTCTTTCAACCCAAAATTCTATATATGTGTGCACGACACTTCCAATATGTAGATGTTTAACATGTCCATGCATGCTCAAAATCAAATGCTGGATATTCACAATTGGAAAAATAATTCACAAATTCATCATCATTTCTTGGTACATAATTTGTCAAAGTTGGATTACATGTTCTGTGTTGATTAATATAAAAACAAGTGAAAATGTATTTGAATTCTGATGTTTGCATTTTATATTGATGTTTTCTCACAGTACAGACTTATATTTAACTAACATTTCAAAGTTGAATACAACTATAATTTATTCATAAGTAAAACTTAAACAATTGTCTTCAAAATGTTAGCAAAACTTTGATTCATTTTTGAGTTGTTTTTCCCTAATGTAGACATTAATTGCTACTCCTATCTTTTAGGAAAATATACAGTCGATGCTCCATTTTCTCTTTCTTCAACTCATTAATCACCTATGTTTTTCCTCTTTCCACTAATGACAATTAACTTCTGGAAGTTATTGAATTTTACAAATGAGCATGAGGAAATAACAAGGAAGCTATAACATCACTATCCTGATATTTTAATAAGTAGATGTATTTTAATTATTTATGATACTTTGTAACATGCCAGTAAATGCTTTCTAATGCTTTTTGTAAAGGCAGTGAAGTCTTAATAATTTTATATCTGACTATTACTCCTTAATATTAAATTTTTCACTGGCAATGTAAAGTGATACCACTGACAGGATTATGAGAATTAGATTTTTGGATCAGTAAAGTTTGAGTCATTGTATGACTACCATTTCTGCAATTACCCCGGAAAGAACTTCATTTTGTTATATGTTGATGTCACTGCTTTTGTATTGCTCCTCGGAATGATCCTCCTTTGCAAACATGTTTATCATCGGCAAAAACTGGTTTTCTATGTTTGTCCTAATGACTGGTTAGTTTGAGTGAAATACTAACTCCCAATCTGCCAGTAACCACTGGCTGACTTTGGACAAAGAATTTCCATTTTCTGGGCTCATGCTATTCAAGGTATTGTTCAGTTGTGGGCTCATGCTGGGGTCTACTACTGGGTCCCCAAAGCAGTGAATGACACAGCTGAGAACTGCTGACCATAACTTGCTGCTTACATACAAAAAGCCCTGTGGTTGGGGAATTCCCCGTGTTCATCCCAAATGTCCCTAACTTGAACTACTGGATTCATTTCTGGACTGACTCTCACTTGCCACTTTGGATTAATGTGCTTGCATGACCTGCCTAAGGTTAAGTTCATTTTCTGCCCTGGACACTCCCTCCTTAACCAGCCTCTTCAACCCCATACACTCCTCTGGGCTCCTGCTGTATGTAAGGGGGTGAGAGGGAATCAGAGATCAGATGGGAAAAAAAATCTGTGGGCTCTATTTTACTTTATGTTCAATTTTTAAGACTTAGAACTTTATATCCATAAGTAAAAATGAGATACAAAGCAACTACAAAAGAGAGACTGATGAGCATGTTGCTGAAAAACTAGTACTTCAAATTTAAATGAAACTAAGTTAAACAGTTTTCTCAGTTGCACTAGCAGTATTTAAAGTGCTTATTAAGCATATGTGGCTAGCTTCTACCATATTGGACAGTGCAGATAGAACATTTACACCATCAAAGAGAGTTCTATTCCGGACACTGGTGCTCTAGTTAGTTTACATATACTTTTTCATTTACTTTTAATAGCAACCTTATGAGGCAGGACATTACCCCAATATTCACACAAGGACTCAAGAGACTCAAAGACAGTTGGGAGGCTCACTCAGCTAGGAAGTGAAAGAGCCAGAGTTTGAAATCAGAATTCAGAGACATTCATACTAAAGATTTAAATACTGATCTGTCTGACTCTAACTTTCCACTCTGTTAGATTCTAGATGCCTAATTGCTAACAGTGTGTACGTGCATCTTAGAATATAATTTTGCAGTTGATCATCTGTTTCAACCCCTGAGTTTTGTATATGAGACTAGAAAGAAAAACTATTTTAAGTTCCAAATAGTAGTAATTTTTTCTTTTTTTTTTCTACAAACCTACATTATAACATTATAGAAAAATGCTAACATTTCAAAATATTTTTCCCATGACTCCTGCATCTCCTTCTTGGACATAGTTTGATATAAAGTGGTAGGGAAAATAAGATAAAATAAATTAATATTTATTGAGTCTTAACTTTATGCTAAACACTGTATTGGTTTGTAAACAAGAATGCTGTGACGTAGGTATTATCTTCTTCTTGCAAACAAGGAAACAATCACAGAGATGATGTGTTGGATCCATGCCCTTGGACCTCTCCTATCATTTTAAGCAGTGATTTATCCTAATCATCGCATCAATTATTTTGGATTTGTCTCACTTCTCTTGTCATTTTTCTACATGAATTTACTGAATCCCTTACACACTCCCTTGATATATAGTGTGGCAATGAGCTGATCCCTGTGGTGCCCACCATCTTGTCATTTACACTGTCATCCAGAAAAAGATGGCTTTTTAGAAAGATGGCAATGACCTTTTAACTAAGCTGTAAATGATGAAGCCTGGCAGCACTGGGATGTAACATATATTCTAGACCTGCAGCTTAAATACGTTGCCATTTCTTTAATGATCAGAATATTAGGAATCTGGGAAGCCAGCTGGGTGAGTGAAGATGGTGCTTCTCATGAATGGACCAAATGATTCAAGAGGCTACATTGAGAGGCTTTAGCCACTCTCTGTGTTCTAAGTTTAAATTATCAAGGGAGAGAATCCAATGATTCTCTCTTCCTGATGCCAAAATTTTTGGAAAAATTACTACATGAAATCTTGAGTTGATAATTCTCTGGGATGCAGAAAATCATCCTCATTTCATAGGTATGGAAATAAGTGCAGTTCCTACATTTATATGACTATATAGCAAGTGGCCAACCTGAGATTTGGGCTCAAGTCTGATTGACTTCCATGTTCATGTTTTACTACTACCTCTCTCCTGAAGGTATACAGAGGAAGAGGAGCTAGGGCCATAAATGCCATTTAAATATCTAAATAAGACAAGACACCTGGCAGCCAGGTAAAATCAGTATATATGCAAGGTCAGTCAGAACACTGGGGCAGGTTCCAAAGAAGCTATAAGATGCAATGCCTCTTTTTGGCACTTAAAGCATAATACGAAAATGATTTTTAAAGAAAACCAGTCCAACACCAAAATAGCAAAATGGTATCTCACTATATAAGGAGAAGTCAATAAAATTGTATAATATCTGAATTATAAATTTTTAAATCAAATGTGATGTTATTTCTAAATACATAATGGAAGTCTAATGAGGTCAAGAAATAAGGCCTAGAAAAAGTCATAGTTTACCAATGAGTAAGAGAGTTTATAATTACTATACCAAAAGAGTATTCAAAAAGCAAATCTCTGATTACATGTAATTACACAGTTAAAAGTAAAGTAGATGCTTCTAAAACTGCTGTTAAAAAGTTTGTTCTCTTATATAGTTAAGGAGTTTATCGTATAACTTTATTTGCAGCACTATCTTTTTCTAAGTCCTGTCAAATGCTTAACGTACTGGTAACCATGTGCCCAGACCCTGATCAAATTAGCATAAATTCAAAATTAATCTGATTTAAGGAGACTTTATTACAAGTTCAGCTTTTCATTTTCCTTCAGAGACATCTCTGAACATAAATAAGTGGAGTTCTTGAAATTTATTAACACATTGTAACTTTTGATTAGGCTGTCTATGTCCTGATCCTTAGCTTAGTTAATCCTGAAATGAAGCTTGTGGAGAGAAACCTAGAAAACAAAATCATCTTGAAAACATATAAGAAATTGTGTTCAAGGATGCAGAGATGTTCTCCAAGTGCTATACACATGCCAGGCAGTGTTGATAAATTAAAGAACAGATAAAATTTGGAACTACTATAACAGAATAAACAAAACATTATTGCCGTGGTTTGTTTAAATATATGCCAGATGATTAAAATTTCTCTCTTCTAATTACAATTTATTTTTAATTTAATTTTGAAGCCTTATGCTGCTAATTGTTTCGTCTGTTTTTGTTTTTACTTAAGCACATTATAAGCTCTTTAAGGAATTATGGTGTTTGTTTGTTTTTTTGTTTGTTTTTGAGACGGAGTCTCACTCTGTCACCCAGGCTGGAGTGCAGTGGCGTGATCTTGGCTCACTGCAACCTCTGCCTCCCAGGTTCAAGTGATTCTCCTGCCTCAGCCTCCTAAGTAGCTGGGATTACAGGTACGTGCCACCACACCTGGTAATTTTTGTATTTTTAGTAGAGATGGGGTTTCACCATGTTAGTCAGGCTGGTCTCGAACTCCTGACCTCGTGATCTTCCCGCCTTGGCCTCCCAAAGTGCTGGGGTTACAGGCATGAGCCACTGCACTCAGCCAGGAATTATGTTTTATACTCCTGTTTCCCTACATTTCCTAACACAGTGCTGGGTAAGTAGCAGTGCCTGCCTGGGGAAGTACACTGAGAAAGATTATGAGTTAATGACTAGACGCCATTAAGAGAGATTGCCGATGGTTGGTTAGTGATGTCTGCTGTGTCCTCAGGAGGAGGATGTGGCAGCTTACATGCCACCTGTTTTTCCATCCTATTAGTAGACATTCATTTCATACTTGTTAATTGAATAAGAAATATAAACAGGAAGAAAAAGATGGTTGTAGTTCAGTTTTACTATTGAGTTTAATTTTCATCCACATTCAATAAAAATTATACTGCATTGAAGATTATTGAGCATAAAACCAATAAACTGAAATTTAAAGGAAAATAAACTATCTGACAAAATCATCAGAGATAGTTTGTGTTCATATCTGACCTATTCCTTCAGATCCTGTATTCAAGACAGACTCACCTGAAATGTTCACGTCTCTACCCAGACAATGTTAAGGCCTCAGGGGTTCTCAGAGCTCAATAGGATGGACAGAGCTGTTCTCATTGAGGCTGGCTCAAGGGAAAAACTCTTGTGCAAATGGGAACTGGGCAGCATCATCACAACAACAGGTTATCCCAGTGGTGCTGTTTTGAAAGTGCAGAGCTTCTAATGAAGCTAATGTTTCCCACCCCCAAATAACATTTTGAGTCCTTGCCTTAGTAACTGGTAGTTCTAGTAAGAAATATAACATATATAATTATATCTACCACCCTGCCCCCGCTCCTCAGACACACACACACACACACATTTACCTTGACTTGTACATCTTTTCAGCTACATCTATGAGAATATGCCTATCTCTATGATTTGTAAAAGTTGCAGGGAAAGTAGACTTTCCTGTTGCTTTCTGAATATCCTACTTAAGAAAAAGGTGGGGTTAGATTTTGTTGTTTGTACTTTGTGTTACCGAAAAGCAACATATAGGACTTGGTACCTGAGGAAATTTTTCACCAAAAATAGGTTGGCAAAAATAAGTACTTATGGCTGGGTGCTGTGGCTCACGCCTGTAATCCCAGCAGTTTGGGAGGCTGAGGTGGGCAGATCACCTGAGGTCAGCAGTTCAAGACCAGCCTGGCCAACATGGTGAAACCCTGTCTCTACTAAAAATACAAAAATTAGCTGGGCGTGGTGGTGCACACCTGTAATCCCAGCTACTCGGGAGGCTGAGACAGGAGAATCACTTGAACCCGGAAGGCAGAGGTTGTAGTGAGCTGAGATTGTGGCACTGCACTCCAGCCTAGGCAGCAGAGTGAAACTCTGTATCAAAACAAATAAACAAAGAGTACTTATTTATCTAGTAACAACTTTAAAATAAATTAGAAAAACATTGTCATCATAATTCTACATTGCAGTTTCCTCTAATATCTTACAAAATTCCAAAATTTACACAAGTACTCTGTCAAAGGTTCTGTCTAATGAATATATTTAAATTCAAGTAGTATGTTGAAACAATTGGGGGGGAATTATTCTAGTCATAGTTGTGTAAAACTCTCATAGTGCTTGAGCTAAGAAATATAAGAAATATAGCATTTTTTAAAGCATTGATATGCCTTGCAGAAAATGATTTAAAACCATGTGTTCGATGCTAGCTGCTCATCCACAGCACCTGCTCTCCGAGACTCGTGAAGTCTACACTAAGCAAGGTGGGTGGTCAAAAGAATTCACAAGGCCATTGGGTTTGACCCCAATTATCTTTTATTGTAAATAGGCCATATGTCAAATTCCAAGATAAATTGGAAACATTTGATATATCTCCTGCTTCTAGATTAATTTTAAGGGTTCATTTTTCTATTCTTTCAGACCCTTTATTTGGTCTGCTTTGCTCTTATGTTTGAAGGAAAAGATAGATTTGCCTTTGTAGATTTGAGAAGATTCTATCTTTAAAAACACTTTTGGAGAAAGAGAATTTAACAATCAGAACATAGTTTGGGGGAAAATGGCAAGAAATAATTGTGCTCAAAATTTATGATAATGGCTAATATCCACTGAGTTTCTTCATGGAAATCTATGTTTACTACGGGGAAAAAGATAATTAAGAAAACATTCATTACCATGCTCACCAGAGATGGATGCTTTAACAAATCTCCTCATTTCCCCATTCAAATCATTGCTATATCCATGCAAACTAACACAAATAAATATCTCACACACGAAAAATGATATTCCTATGAACCTTTGAGGTATATTTAGAACAATTCTTCTTTAAGATAGACTATTAAACCACTGAAAAAACCCTGATTTATTCAAAAATGAAAATAATGTAAAACAGTGTGACCTACAACCAAATAGACACCACATGAATGATTCAGGACAGTGTAATTTTCATAAAACAATTTGGCATTAAAGCTAAACAGCATAGCAAAATAGAATACAAACTCCCTCTTCTCCTGACTCCCAATTTTTGTGGTCCTGAACAATTTAATATGTACTTTTGAATTTTGTACACAGATAATCAGTTGGAGAAAAATTTCTGTAAAAGCAGTGTTTTTTTATTTCCAAATTAATCAGAATGGAATGATTAAAATTAGAATAAGTCTAATTTTAAAGGATTTGTCTATTTAGTAAAACATCCCTGGAGTTAGAGAATTTATTGGTACAAAGTGTGTTTATTCTGTTTTTTCTTTGCTTTGCTTTGCTTTTTTCTTTTTGGAAGTCTATTCTATGGGTGCTTGCTTGCCAGATTAATTGCTCTTGAAACCATGAATATAACCACTTCTGTGCTCATTTGTATATGGCCAGGGCTCTAGTTCTTAAATCAGAGTTATTGTTTCCACTCCACAGATAAAACAAACAATATAAACAATAGCTGCGAGCAGTGGAAAGATGAAACAGAGCTGAAAAGGGAAACAGCAAGAAAAGCAATAAAGGGCTGAGTGAAGGAAAGAAGATCTTACTGTAATGGAAAGAAAACAGCATCCTGCTCGATTCCTCTTTGACCTTTGCTGCTACTTAATTTTGAATTTTGTGTAATGATACTGAAGAAGCGATGAGAGGTAACTGGTGAGGTAATGACCTCAAACGCCCCTCGGGTCGCCCTCAGGTCTCTCCTACCCATATCCACTGACCTCTCTTCTGACTGTCCCATGCCTCTCTTCCCTCACATGACCCCAAGTCTCCTTTCTTCCGTGCAGTTGCTTCCTCTAATGCCGTTCTTTATTCTGTCTAAATCTATAAAAGAGCATTATTATGTGTTCAGCTAAGAAGAAAACAGCTAAGAAAGAAAATGGAGAGACATTTAGCTTAGCTTTAAAATATATATGTATATACACACATACATCATCGAATGAACTTTCCACCTTTCCACAATAAAGCATTAATAAGAAGGAAGCCAGATCCTCACAGTATCAATGATCATTAATGATGTATTCATTACCAATAAGTGTTAGTGTCACATCGATGATGTGTCTATATATATACCTAATTACAATATTAAATAGCCAGCATGTATGATTAATTTATTTTCCTAAGCAAGTATACGATATTATTAAGAAGCTATTTCTTGAAAGAGTCTTTTGCTATGTTGATATATAGGCTTTGGCCATATGAGAATTCCAGCATACTTTTTAGACTGATTCTTAGAAAACATGAAAAATATTACTGTTCATAAGATTACTGAGAAAATTTGGTTACCCTCAGGAGATAGAAAAAAGCAAAGGATCTCTAGACTTGCATTTCTTCATTCAGCCAAGCTTTTGTTTTTAAATATAATCTGAGATATATAATGTATGAAAGGTAGCTCTCTGAAGCTTCAGGGAGAGAGAGCACAATTTCTGATGGCAATTGTTATAGGCTTGGCCTCCATTACCAACCATCCCATTGGCCAACAGAAGAAAGTAAAAACCTGAGCATTCCGAGTGATCTAAAACGGGCAACATTACTGTGCATCAAGATCTCTGATGTGTATAATAATGCTCCCTCACTCTGGGCCCAAAACAAGGCCCCAAACCAGAGAAATATCACATAGAAGGCCATCCCCGATCTAAGTTAGAAACTCTGGCTCTCTCAAATACAGTCTGTGATATTCCAGCAATGCTATCAGATAATATCCCCTAGATAACTAGGGGATATTAGACAAATCACTCTGCCATCTGGGTCATTTTTTTATGCAGCCATGAAGTGAACAGCCCTAATATTTCTGTACTCTAAATAAATAAGTATTGCTCAATGGAATTTAGGAAAATCAATAAAAACCTTTTTTTTTTTTTTACATAATCTAGTATTTAGAATCAACTCAATCAGTATCTGAGTATCTACTTTTTAGAATAATGTTGGCTTTTGTTTCTGCCATTGTTCCTAGTCTGATTTTATAGTTGTATATTTACCTGACACAAAGTGAAAAAGAGACAGGTCAATATATGGAACATACTATTTTACTATTTATTATATAACTCTGAAAAATTTTGCGTGAGGGAAAAGTTAAAACAAAATATCCTAAACTGAGGTTTGTGGAGTTGGTATTTTACTTATCCATATGTTTAACTTGTATATCTGAGGACTTTTAGAAGATTAATTATACAAATGCATTTTCAAAGTGATCAAAACACATATTGGGCACAATCTAATTAATAACTTTAACTTCTTCACAAAAGAAAAGGGGTAGACTTTTGTGTATTATGATAAAGAAAAAGAAAAGAAGAAAGAAAAAAGAAAGAAAGGGAGGGAGGAAGGAAGGAATGAAAGAAAGGAAGGAAGGAAGGAAAAGAGAGAAAGAGAAAGAAAGAGAAGAAAGAAAGAAAGAGAGAGAAAGAAAGAAAGAAAGAAAAAGAAAGAAAGAAAAAGAAAGAAAGAAAGAAAGAGAAAGAAAGAAAGAAAGAGAAAGAAAGAAAGAAAGAAAGAGAAAGGAAAGAAAATTAAGAATGACAGGAAAGAAACATCCCAAACAATAAATTCCAGAGTAATACTTTCCTTCAGCTGCCCATGTTTCCCTACAAAAAAAATGTGTCCAAGCCTATAAAGCTGTTTAAAAACAAAGGGCACAGTTAGAACCTAAGGGCTCTACTTTATTTTAACCGAAGCTTCAAGGTAAAACCTTTTCTTCACCTGATGAGGAACGCATATCCTAATAGTATCTTTTAAAACCTATTTTACAATGTTAATGAATCTGTAAAAAGAAGTTCTAAATCTTATACCTTTTTCATTTCTGTTTTGCTACAACAACTGCTTTTGGTTTTGGTTTCTTGCCAAAAACAACTGAACTTATCTGTCCACTATGACACATTAGTCTTTATCTCGGTTCAAAATACAAATGCACTTACTGAGTGCCTGCTGTGCTCCGAGCAGCATTCAAGACACCAGGTAGGTTACAGAGGTGAACATAGCTCCTTATTAACAATTTAGTAAGGGAGAACATCAGCAAGTAGTTTATTCTGAATGAGGGTGCAGGAGATAATATGATGAAAGAAGAGGGGAGAAAGTAAGCTGGAACAAAAGCATGAAAGAAGATGCTTTTATTCAGCAAAAGAGAATTATCAAAAGGGTGTGTGTGTCTGTGTGTGTCTGCGTGTGTGGTTTTGTTGTTGTTTGGTTAGTTGGTTGTTGTTTGCTTAGAAGAGATATGAGGAGATCTGAGCTTTAGAAGAATTGGCTAGGTATTCATGTGTAGGACCAAATGAAATTAGGAAACATGGAAGGGAGGGAGGACAGTGGAGACATAATGAAGGCACAAAAGAAGGCAACAGCAGCAGAAATGAGGATGAAGGGAACCAAAATGAAGCAAGTCATGGAAATAAGTTCTTCTGAACTTGCAATGATTTGGATGGGGGTGATAGAGGAGGAACAGAATATAATGCCATGGTTTTGAGCCCTGAGGACTAGGTAAAAGAGGCCACTGAGAGAGGAGCCTTTAAAGGGGAAATGGATTTAGAAGGAATTGAGGAGCTCCAACTAAGGAAGTAGAATCTGAGATCCCCCAGAGCACTGTGGCATAGACATGCACCAGGAATCTAGAAACACATCTGAAGCTCAAAACAGTGGTTGAAAGTAGAAATGCAGTGGTTGAAAGTAGAAATGTAAATCTGGAAGTCTTTAGTTGGCTGAAGTCCTTGAATTAAAATGAGTCACTGATGAGATATTAAAGAAATATGAGGAGAGATGGAGATTGGGAAATTAAAGATAGCCTGGATTTTCTGTTAATTACAGATATTGAATTCAACCCATCCCAAAGTATACTAATTATTCTTTCTTCTTCCTCACCTGCACCCACACCCCTAAACTTACCCTTGCTTTTGTTATTATGACTTCTGATATTGACTTTATTATTAACACACTCAGCCAAGTTATAGTTCTTATAAGTCACCCTTGGTTCTACTTGGTCCCCAAATGTTACAGACCCTTCTCTCTAGAAATCTCTTCCATGTGGCACTCTTTTTGCCAACTCCGTCTCCAAGTTCAGGTCTTCATTATGTCTGATCTGAAATATTGAGACCTACTCCTAATTGAACTCTCAGTATCCAGTCCCTCTAGTCTGTAGTCCATTCTCCAAATCACCTCTCAAAGGTGTCTTTCTAAGAGATGGAACTTATCATATCTCCACTGTATGTTAAAACCTCTAATGATCAACTTTGCATAGAATGACATCAATATCTCAGCATGGCTTACAATTGATGCCCATGTCTACCTGTAAAAATGTGGGCTTTTTCTATTCCTATGCTGTGAGGCCTTTTCTATTCTGCATCTTTCTTAGCACTCTCAGCAGAGCTCTGCCCTGAGATGAAGACTTTCTGTGCTATCTGTTACATCTTCAGCAACTGTGAAGGAGCAGTGAGCCAAGCTAAGGAACCATAAGGCTAGTGCTTGAGAACAATCAACAAAAGGGATGTTGAGGTCTTTGATAATAATAGTAGGATATGGCAGAGACTGAAAAACAGTGACCCAGTATGATAAAGAGCAAAATTCTTAGAGTGTCCCTAAGTGTCTCCATAAGCAGACCCCTGCCCACCTCTCTCAACTCACCTGAAACCGTTTCCATTGCTCTCTGCATTCAGATCTCACTGGTCTTCTTGCAGAACCTCAAAGTTTCCTTTTTTGTGCTGGTGCCTCTAGCTACATGACTCTTGCTTGCCTCTGACCTGCTAACCAATCTAATCTCATTGCAGGCTTACAACCACAGGGACCAGGTCCTGCCCTCCCCAACAAGGTCAGATGCCCTGCACAGATTCTCTAGAGCCTTGAACTTTTCCTTCATTTCCCTTAATGTTTGCAGGTAGATACTTACATGGTTTCGGCAGCATGCACACACCATTCTGATAGATCTTAGTAGTTAATAAAGTATTAACACATCTAACTTATGTATATATGTTATTGAAAAACTGATTTACAATCTCATCCTGAGATGCAATACTTAAAAAGTCTAAAGATTGACAGAGCAACATATTATTTATTAACAAATAGAGTTTTCAGAAGGTACAAACAGATTCTTATCTGTGTGCCCCTGTTACAGGCTCAAAAATCCATGAAATTTTTTTATACAGTCAAGACTTGTCACTGTCAACATTAAGAAAGTAAATATGATATTATGATCATGCATGTTCATAGGCTGAGATGATCATGTGAAAAGCATGCGTAGCTGAATCCAAGAGAAATACAGATGTCAATGAAGGAACCATCCAGACAGCCAACTCCAGTATAGCAGGGAGTATAAGTACCATTTTCTCTCTTGCCTTATCATATTAGACCTGTAGTAATTACCTGTTAAATGAATGAAGGTGCTGATGTCCTTGAGAAATGAGCACTCTTTAGTCTTTGGTAGATGAAAAGGATGGAAAAAAGTATAGAGTAATTGCACAGTGTGGACTTCCCAGGACGATAGTGATTGTGGTAGAAAAATAGTCTGGAAACAGGAGAAGGAGAAAGAGAGTTTCAACAGTGTGGAGCAGCAGTGTTAAGCTAGTTAAGAACAAGACAAGAAAATCTGTAATTGTGTCTAAATGGGAAACTGGCTTGAATTTGGAGGGTGAAGGTAAGATTCCTTTTTTGTTTTTTTAAACACAGATGTAGACAGAGGCTTCAGAATTTTTAGTAGTGAAATGAGTATGCTATACACATGGTTGTAACATTGGGGGACGTTATACAAGCATCAAGATCTGGTTTATGCAGCACTTAGTTTCTTTTCCCCCCAGAGGATAGCTAATGAATAGAAGGAGTACCAAAATTACTTGGCAGACCTATCATCACCAAAATCTTACTTCAGATTTAGATCGTGGAGCATGGCTTGTTTTTTTGAAAAATGCCATTGAGTTGGTGTCTAGCAAGAGCTTAACATGTATTAAGTCTTAGGAGATGCCTGAGTGAAAGGTGCTATATACTAAAATTATTGAGTTTCACCATATGCTCCTAGTCACTCAAAGAGGTGAGAAACATCTGGTTCATCTTTGGAAGGCAAAACCTTAAGTCCCTTGAACCAACAGCTTTTAGGAACCACATTCACTACTTGCAGAATTTGTTTCTGATTTTTGTTCATATTATCCATCTATTCTAATTTACTTACCCATGCATACCTATTTGCTTCTCTAATTGCATTTAAAATCTTTTTTGGGGGAAACTGTTATAAAACATGTCCTTGTTACATAAGGGATCCATATACATACAGGTTGATGGCATACTAATTTATCAATATCTAGAATTATTATGAAGAAGCTGTTTGAAAGTACCAGAACAGTACCAAAGTTTCATTCATTCATGAGATGATTGATTGCATAGACTCTGCAGAAATAGATTCATATTTCTGGATACATGTTACTTTATATCCCTCAAAGAGAAAAATACATTTGCACTCAATATGCATTTACAGGATAATATGACACAGGTGTGGTGACGTTAGAAAGGAGAGGGCCAGCTATAAAGAAGAAAAATAAAAGCTTTCCTAGGGAAAAACTTAGATTTCAGAATGGAGCTCTGGATTTGGAAAGATAAAAATAGCCAAACATGAAAGATGTTTTTCATATTATAGGGAAGCTCAGTCAACTAAAAGTATCACAAGCAAAGGTCCTACTAGGATATGGTATAAGACAAAATCAAGTTTATGACAACTGAGATATTGACTTAAACAACTGAGTTCCTTATGACAGGTTGAACAGAGAGCTGCTACTCAGCATGTAGGTAACATGAAAAAGATACGAAGAGGAGACAACATAAAGTATTCTAACACTCACCCCCTACAGAGTTTCATGTTGCTACTGTATTAAATGACATACTGCTGTTGTTGAAGAAGCATTCAGCAGTGACATAAAAATTCATATGTGCCAATCTTTATAGCGACACAAGTCTTTTATAGACCATGATATTTACGCACATTCTTATTGCTAACACTACTACTACACATTAATCTTTAAAACTAAATTCATAGTTTCTTAACATCTATTTATTCCTAATACACTTTAGGAAGCTGCAAGATGGAAAAATAAATCATGCCAGACATTAAATCACAAAGATTGACTGCAATGGCTTTTTGCTGAGAAAATATGTATCAAAGTACTTGTTATTACAAAACATTATGGTTGGAAATGCCAGAAAGAATTTTTTGAGTTAGAAACAACTGCATACTTTTGAATAAGCTGACGATGACAGTTAAAGTGAAAGACAATTGGCAATCCACTTATATAAACGTGCCTTGGCAGCCAAGTAAGAACGCCAAATAATGATGACAATAAAAATAATTTCTACGCTAACATTTACTGAACACTGAAGTGCCAAGCATTGTGGCTTTAAGTATATCATGTAATTTAATGACATGATTTATTTATATGGATTGTCTATTTAATCATCATGATATAACTACCAGGTAGATACCCTAGGAAATATGTTCTGTTCTGAGAGTTTAGCTTAATGGTTAAGCAGTTAAGAGCATGGACACTGAAGTCAGTTTGGGCTAGTATTGGTTATGCCCCTAACTAGCTGCTTGATTTCAGGCAAGGTACTTTAACCTCTGTGCTTTTCATTGTTTCTTATTGATAAAATAAGAAGATTAATGATAATTAATTGCTATAATATATGTAAAATATTTGAAAGAATGCTGGCATATGTTTAGTAATCAAAATGATACTTGTTATGATTATTATTTTAAAGATGAGCAAACAGAGAAACTTGGTGAAGGCCACACAGTTAACAAGTGACAGATCTAGGATTTGAAGTTCAGAAGGATGACTCCAGAGGCCAAGCTTTTTAGCCATATGCCATCATGGACATGAAATCTTGAGTAGGCTTTTATAAAGCAAGAATTGATAAGGAATAATTTTAAAAGTTGTATTTTGTATATGGAACAGATGTCATAATTATTCTTAAATTCTAATCCATATTGACATATAAATAGTATAACTATGACCTATACTTAGGACAGAGTCATTGATTTGACTCAATCTAGAATTTGATTCTAAATAAGTCTCATGTCTTATTTAACCCATTCTTAGTACACACTACTACCTCCTCCATCTTCTGTTTAATTTCTTTAGTTTAAAAAAGCCTTTGCTTTTTACTAAGACAAACTATGGTTGCACTGCGGGGAAAGGTGAGAGGAAAGGATAGAGATGAGGCAGGGCAGGATCATAATCCACGTTGGGGGCCACGGTGAGCCTTATCCTAAAAGACAAAAGGAGCCATTAAAGGAATGTAAGTAGGGGGAGACATGGTCAGATTCATGCTGTAGAAAGATTAGCACACAGCTGAGAAATGGGAACAAACTGGTGGCCAAAGAAACCTCTTTAATTGAATAAAGGATATTTCTGAAAAGCTATTATGTTTAAGAAACACAATCATTGAAAAAAGAAATGATCCTTCCTGAGATTGTTTTAGAAGAGTCCATGTGGGGATACTTCAAAATCACTGTCTCCTATGAACCTCTTGAACCAAATCTGAGTCCTCTTCCCACTGCCACTTCAGTAATCATGGTGTACACAATCTCTGGGAAATATCTAAGATATCTGAAATATATTTCCCATGCCCTACCCTCTTTTAGTGTAACAGCTTCCCCATCTTCATCTATTAGACTGTGGAGTGGGATTCCTTGGGGCCTGAAGGTGTAGGTTAGTGTGATCAGATACAGGGTTCCAGAAGAGAAGAGATTGAAGCCGTGCCTCATGTGGCAGGGGAGGGTACAGGGGATAAGGAACCTTGCGGTAGACAATGCCACCTTAGGCATTCACTCTCAGGGCTAGTACTGGGTTCTAGGGTGTTTGGGGCTAGAACACCCTCTCTCCGAGCCTTCAGGATGAGCTCATTGTTTAACAGTCCACCCTGTCCCACATACCAAGGCTCACAGAGCAGGGACAGAGGGGCCACACTTGACTCAAGACAGACCTTTGTTGTTGAATATTCTAACATGAAGGAATTGATTGCCAACATTTCACCGTTAGAGGATGTCACATAAACATGCAAATTTCAGAGGGGAAAACGTGGAAGATCTGGCAACATTGGGCTCTCATTGAGGCAGTGATTGATAATTGCCTGGTAATGAGTGAGGATGCTACCACTGGAGGCAGGGATTTCGAATATCTATTTCCTGTAACCAGAGGGTTCAAATGAGCAGCAGAGTGACTGGTCATTCCCCATAGTGACTTGAATTGCTTTGCTCTTTTTGTGTGGGATGCCCTCCCCTGTCTCCCACCAAATTCCCTCTGGTGATTGGTTGTGCATCTTTCTAACATCACTTCCCATGGGAAAGACTGTTGGTCGGCTCTGACAGCATGATGGCCCACTGCTCAGAACTGTGTGAGGGAGGCTTTCCCCTAGACTAAGCACACCAGTCACAAATATTTTCCATTTATGATTTCACCTCAAGCATCTTGACAGTGTCTGGTGTGTGGTAGGTACAAACAAAAACAAGAAGAACAATAATAATGGTGTAATATAAAGAGTGAAAGGCTTTGAAGTTAGACCCTGCTTCACATTTCAGCTCTTTCACTAATATAGACAAATTACTTAATATCTCTGAGCCTTGCTTTCTTTTCCTAAAAAATGGGCACTAAGGGTTACTATGCAAATAAAATCACATAATAAAATAATTCTATCACAATATCTAGCTCAATGAGGTCAATAGATGTGAGTTACCTCCCCCTTTTGAATGCTTGTGGAATAAATATTTATATAAAAAGACAGCAACCTATTGCATTTATTACCAATGGATTTTCAAAATCTTTTTGGCCTAGGAGCGTTTTCCTGAGAAGTATAGATATCTGGGAAAGAGTATTCCGAGGAGAGGCAAGCACAATTTCAAAGGCCCCAGATGGATTTTCCTTGGCCTGTTTGAGGAACCATGAGGGAACAATGAGGAAGGGAGAGAGTGTATGAGATGAAAAGAGAAAAATCATGGTATGAGGAGGCAGGTCATGGGAGCCTGTAGGTAACATTGCGTCTTCATCTTCGTAAATCTATGAGTGAGCAAGAAAATCATTGAAGAGTTTTGAATAGAGGAGTAACAAGATCTGACATGGTTTAACAGGATCACTCCAGATGCTGCATTGAGAACAGACTGGAGCAGGGTAAGGCTGGAAACAAGAAGGAAACAGGTAGAAACAGGAAGAACAGCGAGGAGGCTCTGGAAAATATCCAGATGACAGTGGAAGGTTGCTTGAACCCAGGTGGTAGCAGCAGAGATTAGGAGAAGTGGTTAGATTCTGGATTATTTAGAAAGCAGAGCCAATATAATTGCTGATGGATTAGCTATAGAGTAGGCGCCGGGGAGAGTTCAAAAGTACTACAAGGTTTGTAACTTGAGCAACTGCCAGAATGGAGTTGCCACTTCCTGAGAGTATAGGCATGGAAATGGCAAAGTCACTCCAGGTAACTTGGAAGCCACAGTGGGCTACAAAGCTTGCAAGTGGTGGACAGGAATTTGAATTTAAGTTGTCTGATGCAAAAATCAGGGCTCCTTCTTTTCTATCCTGCTAAATTCATCACAACATATTGCAGAGTTCACAACAGAAAATATTGTCTAGGCTGTTAAGACAGGTTTCAGGAAAGGTGTGGTATCAGAGCAGAAGACAGAGCAGGGAGACCATAGGACCATTTTGAAATGAACAATAGCACAAAGATCACGGGGTCTGAAGGCACCCTCTGTTTATTCTGGTCTGACCTCAACTGCACATAAGTCCATGGAGAGTGCACTGTGGGAGAGAAACCTAAAAAGATATATGAAGTAATGGAAAACCTTGAATGCTGTCCCTGGGAGCTAAAATTTAACCATTTGGACAATGAGGAGCTATTGAAAGACAACAGTAGAAGATGAGACAGTTTGTACTATGTTTAAAAAAGATTAACTTTGGAATGAGTGAAAAATGATAACTCCTAGAAGAAAGAGATGTGAATCCAGGAGACTAATGAAATAATCCAAACCCTCGTTACAGTAATGGCATACAAACTGAAAAGGTATAATTTAAGAAACATTTGATGGTTAAATTGACAGTACTTTGGACGGATTAGATGAAGAGAATGAAGTTGGGGAACAAGTCAAAGGGTTCCAGCTTGCCTGGCTTTGAGATGGATGTATAATAATTAACTGAGAAGAGGAAGGCCTGGGAAGAAGCAAGTCTAGACATGGAAATAAACTGAAAAGATAAATTGGATTTAGTTGCTGTTGAATTTAAGGAGCATGGATGCAGAACCATATCCAGATTTTTTTTTCACAGTATTCAGTAATCAGGAGAGAAATTAAGGCTAGAAATAAAAATTTAGGAGCCATTAGCATAGAAGTGATATCAGATGAAAATTTTCAAACAAAAGGGAGCCCAGGCATAGAATCTTGAGAAACATTTGCCTCTGAGAGGCAGGTGGGAGAGGAGGAGTCAGGAGAGTCCCTGAAGGACAGGACAAGGGGGTGAGAAGAGGGTCATCAACAGCATCGGGTTTAATATGAAGTCAATTAGCAGCAGAATCAAGAACCTGCAATTGCCTGTGAAAGCCCCTGGTAACCTTCAGGAGAGCAGTTTTTCTCCAGCTGTTGGAGAAGAAAGTAGAATGTAGTGGGAGGAAAAGTAACAACTTAGAGATAAAGCCTAGTCTCATAAGTCTGGATATCAGAGAAGTTGGACAAGCCCACACCATATCTAGGAAAGTGTTTGTTCATTTATCTTTGTTTTTATTAAAATATGAGGAAACAAGAAGATGTTTACAAACAGAAGGAAAGGATAAGACAGTGGGAGGAAAAGGTTGGAGATCCAAAAGACAAAAGGAAGATTTGATGAAGCTGTGAAATGGAGGAAGTGTGGAAAAGTCACAATGGAGAGTGGGATAAAGAGCACGCCAGTGATGAGTAACAGCTCAGGTTTTAAAGAGAACAGGATACAGAAGAAGGAGAGAAATGTACACACAAGCATCATGGGGAAGAGAGACAGCCAGGAAGAATGGAGCTGGGTCCATTCAGTGGTTCTGCTGAAAAAAGGACAATTTAAACACTGCTCCTTCGGGGGAAAATGCTGCTCTCCCATGTTTCTGGTGGGTGGTGTGTAATCTGGGCAACATGGGAAGGCACTGAATGATTCACAATATCACTCTTTGTCTAGCTCCATCCCAGCAGATCAAGGACAGGAGCAGCTGAGCTTGCTTCCTGGGGTGAAGCTCCTGACAGAAAGAGGAACTGCACGTCTGTTTTGCCTTCTTTCAAACTCAGCATGATGTACAATGAAAATGCTTGTACAGTATTTGCTGGAAGGGCCAAAGTCAGATGGAAAATTTTTCAATTATAAAATTCCGGCCAGGCCAGAAAAACTCAAAAGCCCTGAGGAGAATCGTAAAGGCCAGCACAGGCCCACCGTAAAACTTGGATGCAATGGGAATGTGGTTCTTAGTTTAATTTGTATGTCTGCCTATATTTCTGCAACAAATAATTTGGAAAGAAAAGGTAGGTCTTTCCTTAAAAGACAAACAAAAAGAGACCTTTCTCAAAAAAAAATATATATACCATTCAAGACCATGTCTATATGTCAAAAAATCAAGTTTGCTTTATTTTCTCATTAAAGGTATTATGAGCTAAACACAGAATGGTAGATTTACGGGTTCATTGACATTGGTGACACCTAGGAAAACATCAATTTACCCTCCACAATGATACACTGATCTTCAGAATACTGTGCACTCAGGTGTGTTTAAATGTGTGTTTTTAGGATACAATGAATAAGCTATAACCTCTTGAATTAAAAATCCCATTTTGCCTCCTGGAACAGAGTCTGTGGTGTCTGTTTTGGGGAAGCTTAAGTTCACCGTTCCCTTTTCTGATCTTAGATGCTAAAGTGATTTAGAATCGGGTTAGTCCAGAGTTGTTTTTGCAATAACAGAGTGTGGTTTTAAGACCTACTTGCCTCTTACCTGTTTTACGGCTACACAACACATTATCTTCTAAATACAAAGAAGGAGTTGTTCTCTATGAAACTTTCCCAACTTTCCGTCCTTGTATTTAACATTGCCTTCCTTGGAATCTCGATGCACTTGGCCATTATATCTCTTAAAGCATTTCTCATCTAATACTCCATATAGTAGTTACTTGTACACTTGGATTATGCTCCCCCACCACCACCACAAAAGGTGAGTATGGAGGGGGGGAGCCTTTAGTCACTTTTTCAGTCATTGAAGTAGCTGGCCTCTTTGTAATCAATCTATACTGATGGGATGGAATTAAGAAAGAAACCAAGGTCAAAACAGACCATGTTAGTTCACCATGAAGCATCATTTGCAGGCAACTGGATTGGCCCTTTCCTCTGGAAGTAAGGCCCTCTTGTACATGAATTGACATTTCAGGGGTATAGCAGTGTGCTAATAATTGTACACCCACTATACGCATACTGAATTCATACCCTGAGAATTTTTCTGCCTGTTTAAAAAAAAATTAGAAGGCCCTGAACAAAAAAGGTCTTGTGTGCCAGTCTGTGTAGTCCAAATATGTATGGTAATGAGGTCCTACAAAAATCCCGACTTCACCTAGTGCCCAGATATCTGACCAGCTCACACAATTGTCAAAAAAAAAAAAAAAGTTTCTCACCATCCCCATCACAATTTACACACTTCAGAAGTAGCGGCAGCCTGGGGAGGGCATTCACTGATGCTAAGAAAACCAATTGCAGCTCTGCAGTTCTAAGACAGCATAGGTATGTTCAGTGTATAAGAAACCAAACTGGACATTTATAATAGTTCTAGAAAAAGCAGAAGGTACATATCAGAGAAATGAAAAGAGTAGCTTCTGAAATCCTTTCTGCTCACAACCAGGTAGTGCAGGCCTGCACAGAGGATCATGGGAATGAGAAAGGTGTTCTCTGCCACATCTGTAACTCAGTTTGGACAGCTGAGTCCCGACCATGAATACAGAGGATTATACCAAAGCCCTGCTGGCAGATTCAAGAAAATGAATAATAATATAGTAATTTATTCAGTGCTTGCTCTTGGCCAGATACTGTGCTAGATGCCTTATATCCCTATTAATCCTTACTATATCCCTGCAAGTTGAGCATTTTCATCCAGCTCCTACCAATGAAGAAACTAAAGCTCAGAGAGTTTAAGAAATCTGCCCCAAAGCCACACCCCTAGCAAATGCCCTAGCTAGAATTTGAAGACAAGTCAACTTGACTGCAGAGGTCATACCCACTCATACCCTTTATATTTCATCAAATTCCCTTTATAAAATTCAGATCCTAAAACAGAAAGAGTCACCTTGGGAAAATATGGCACTCACATTAATCAAAACAAAGTTCAGATATTTCAAGACTTCATATCATCTAGCATTGAGTAATCACAACTTTTCATATAGCAGATAAGCCCAGAAATACTATCAGGCTATGTAATATGTAATTAGGAACTTAAATTCAGAGTCAGGCTGATCTCATGTCACAGCACAACAGTTTATGAGTTGTGCAATGAAAGCAAATCACTTACCTTCCTTATGCTTCAATTCACTCAGCATTCTAAGAACTGAATGACACATCCATATAAAGCACATTCATATAAAACTCAGCTTAGTTTTTGCTGCAAAGTGAAGACATGAATTTTTTTTATGATTCTCTATCCATCCACCCAAATTTGTACCTCCTGTGTCCCCAGGAAACTCACATTCCCAGATATGGTGAACAAGGTCCTCCAGGACTAGATCCCTGCCCTTCAGCAACAACATTTATTGACCCTGCAACTGCACCTAAAACTACATGGAACAATCTCCTATCTTCTTCCACTCCAACATCCTAATTCCATCTAACTCTTCATGGAAAGGAACTCAAATATCACTTCCTTTCAGAGGTGGCTCAGTTGTGCTCCTGTATGCCCCCCACCTGCCCCCATGTCTTCAGACATCTTGTCACATTTCATTGAAGACAGGGATCACTGCTTCTTTATCTTTGCATACCCAGGACTGAGCCCAGAATCTAGAGCTTCTTAGTCTATAATCAATGCTCGTTGGCTGAGAGAGGATAGATCCCAAAGAACAGACATTAGCAAATTATGATATCACACCTGGAATCTCAAAAAGCAAGAAACATCTAAGGACAAAGGAAATTCCAAACTGAAGATCTCTAATTCATATCTCCTCCTGGGTGTTTAAGTATCTGTTGTAGTGCCATTGACAAGCTCCTATGGATAAGTTTGTCCAGGGCTATTTTTTAGCCAAAATGGTTGTTTGGGCACCAGTACGAGTGTTACTTTAGGTTGCTCTCTCACTCTCCGCAAAAAGTCAGCAGTCACCCTAAATTCTTACTTCACCATGAGGCTTCAGTGCAGGCCAAATTGTGTTAGCTGCCAAAAGTGGTAAAACTGGTACCAGGACAGACTATTTAAGATTTTGATTCCTGGATCCTACCTCCTCTCTCCCACCCACTTTTCCCTAATGCTAAAAGTACATTTCTGTTTTTAAGAAAATTAGTGTTGAGGCTAGGCACAGTGGCTCATGCCTGTAATCCCAGCATTTTGGGAGGCCAAGGCAGGTGGACTACCTGAGGTCAGGAATTCGAGACCAGCCTGATCAACATGGTGAAACTCCGTCTCTACTAAATACAAAAAAAATTAGCCGGGCATGGTGGCACATGCCTGTAGTCCCAGCTACTCGGGAGGCTGAGGCAGGAGAATTGCTTGAACCAGGGAGGTGGAGGTTGCAGTGAGCTGAGATTGCACCATTGCACTCCAGCCTGGGCAACAAGTGTGAAACTCTGTCTAAGAAAGGAAGGAGGGAAGGAAGGAAGGAAAGAAGGAAGGAAGGAAGGAAGGAAGGAAGGAAGGAAAGAAGGAAGGAAAGAAGGAAAGATGGAAAGAAGGAAAGAGAAAGAAAATTAGTGCCATAGCTGACTGGATCCAAATACCTATTTAGAGAATATCTGGAGGATAATATGTTGACCTCTGTTGAATAGTCAAAAGTTCTGATTCTCAGAAGGCACGGCTCTTTCCTTTGAGTCTTCTCAGCTGTGAGAAGATAGAGAATACAGCATGACATAGAGAATGAGGACGAGAGGTCAGGCAGGGTGGCTACAAGATGGAGGCAACGATTGCACTAAATGTTAAAGAGTGAACCGTGGATCAGTAAAATACTGTGCAGAGAGATTTCCTTCAATTCTGGGTTGTTTTGTTACATTAGATATGCAAATTTAAGGACAGCTATAAAACGAGATGATGTTCTTTGGTTACCACATCAAGGTTGGTATTATTCACCCCTCACAATGGTCCACACATACCCCCGTGGTGTCCTGTGTGAAAAGCAATACTATAATTATCTTGATCCTCATCATCTGCATTGAGATTTATGTTCCACAAATTCTCCAGGTTGATGAGATATTGAGGCTGAAAACTTTGTTCATTATTTTATCCCTTTTCAGCATCCAGCAGTGTCCCTGGAACAGGTTAGGTGTTTAATCAGTATGTGCTGAGTTAACCTGGATCATCACTAAGTCACTTTAGGAACTCTGAGGCAGTATAAGGTCACTCGCTAGCACACCAAACAGGTATCAGCAGGTTTTGATGAGCATAAGCCATGACTTCCTAACATTTCACTTTATGATGCCAGAAGACAGCAACTCGTTACATATATTATAATTGTTATGCATTGAGTATATGCAAATTTGAGTATTGCTCATCTCTACTGATTCTTTATGGGATTATCCCAGGGAAGTTTCACCTAGCAATTCCACAACTACTTCTGGAGCCATGCCCTTACAATGTGTACCAATAATAATAAGCATATTCTAAGCCTCTTCCCTGAGGATAAGAGAGCATTCTTAATTATGTCATTGTGTCAGCAGCACTGAATACTTTAATGGGTATAATATATTTGCATAGGAGCTACGACAGTACCCAGGTTACATGTGCAGGCTGATAAAATCACAAATTAATTTATTTCACAGGATCTCCAACAGCAGATGTCCCTGAATATGGTGATGAAAAGATATTCACTAAAGCAACCACATGAGAATGCTCAAGCTGTTCACAAGCCACCCATCCATGGGAGTCATCTGTCTACATAGCATGCTGCCTAGAGAAATCAGATCAACATTCCAGACAGTAGTTATCATGTTGTCTAGATCATACTTCTTCCCAGAGCACATCCAAGAGGTGCTCACATGAACACTCTGGCTGGAAGCCCTGCCTGGGCCTACAAGTAGCTCTGATATTGAAAAGACCACAAAGAACTTAACATATATCTGGGTATTGGGCAAAAAGAAGAAAAGACACTTACCTATTTATGAGAATGAACCAAAGAGCTTTGGTTAAGAAGCCCTGTACATTATAGAACTACTCTAGGCCACGCGTGGTGGCTCACGTCTGTAATCCCAGCACTTTCGGAGGCCAAGGCAGGCAGATCAATTGAGGTCAGGAGTTCAAGACCAGCCTGGCCAACATGTGAAACCCATTTCTACTAAAAATACAAAAATTAGCCAGGTGTGGTGGCACGCACCTGTAATCCCAGCTACTTGGGAGGCTGAAGTGAGAGAATCCCTTGAATCCCAGAGGTGGAGGTAGCAGTGAGCCAAGATCACGCCACTGCACTCCAGGCTGGATGACAGAGCAAGACTCCGTCTCAAAAAAAAGTACTACTCTAAAAGACAAGCTTGACAATTCTGGGAGACTATTCTTCAAAATGACTTAAAATATCCTGAAATAGCTTATCGTATTGACCAAAAAGATTCATCATGTTTTCATTTGTTTATTTATTTTTAGTTTGGGATGCTCTGAAGGAAAACTTAGACTGATTTCCCAGTTAAATTGCTCATTCCCACTAAAGCTCATACATTATTTGTAGCAGTATACCAACTGTAATTTACAATGAATTTCGACAATCAAAATGTAAACCCCAGGGGAAGGACCAAATCCGTCTTGTTTGCCATCATATCCCACAGGCCTGCTCGGAGTCAGACTCTCAGTAGATAGTTGTTGAAGGAGTGTGTACATGTATGAACATGGAAAAAAACACTTACTGACTACATGCCAGGCACTGGGAACCATGTGATGTAGTTTGAATGGCCCCTCCAAACCTCATGTTGAGATGTAATCCCCGCTGTTGAAAATGGGGCCTGTTGGGAGGTGTTTGGAGCATGGTGGCAGATCCCACATGAATGGCTTGGGCCATCTCCTTGGTGATAAGTGAGCTCTCACTCTGGGCTCACATGAGATCTGGTTGTTTAAAAGTGTGTGGCGCCTCCCTCCACTCTCTCTCTCACTTGCTCCTGCTTTCCCCATGTGATATACCACCTCCTCTTTCATCTCCGCCATGATTGTACGCTTCCTGAGGTCTCCCTAGAAGCTGAGCAGATGCCAGTACCATGCTTCCATTAAAGCCTGAAGAACCATGATTGAATTAAACCGCTTTTCTTATAAATTATCCAGTCTCAGGTATTTATTTATAGCAATGAAAGAATGGCCTAATAACACCGCGCTAGGTACAGATTAGGCAAGCAAAAGGAATCAGAAGCCATCAGAGCAGGCTTGCTGAATCAATTAACAGCAACATCTACAAACTTGATAAAGTGCTGAGAAACTCTAAGAAAAATGACCTAATTCTGAATGCCTCTTTTCCCTCCTTCATCTCCCTAGCCATACTTTTCATACCACAGTAATAATTAAGGTGCTTTCCCTGACAGTTTTGCCAGTTCAGTTGAGGTCAGAGGCGTAGGTGATATGAAGAGAAGAGAGTAATTGGTGAGGCATGTGATGTTGCCATGTCAAGGAAGCTCAAAGGTGTTGCTTTCAGGTTAATGAATGAGTACCAGGCCAATAAAATACTTTCTTTACTTCCATCAGGTGTTGGCGGTTTAGCTTCACTTCTCAAAGACTCATCACAGCTCAAAGGCAAAGAGCACATAGTCACAGGGGAAGCTCAATTGCCTGTCTGGGACCTATTTACCATTCTTGAGTATAAAAGACATCTTTACAGAGACTGAACCTGATTGGGTAAAAGCTGTGTATCTAAGTGAAATGGGGAGGTTCTGCTTCTCCAGGACATGGTACTGTGCTATGAATGTTTTGTGCCTTCTGAAGCTTATACCACTGTGGTCTGGGGGTTGCCTATATCACCTGTGGTGTTTATTTAAAAATTTTCAGGCCCCATCCCAGGCCTATAGAATGAGATTCTCTTGAGGACAATGAACAAATCTTTATTTTTCACAATGCCCTGATTTTTACACACATTCAAGTTTGAGTATCACTGATCTCTACTGATTTTATATGAGACAAGCCCAGAGAAGTTTGCTAGCTATGAAAGATCGTGAGAGGGTCCGCTCTCTCTGTTTTTTTGTTTGTGTTACTTTGGGCTAAGAAATTTGACCCCCTACAGAAGCCTGGAAGGATATAAGAAGCTGGTAGAATGGGGATAAAGGGAAGGAGGTAGTATTTTCACCCAGAAATCCAACACTGAAAAGAAGTATGAGTCCATAGAAGGAAAGCAATAGATTGTGACATTAAAAATCCTTCTGGTAGTTTCACAGCACCTTCAGGTTTAAATCCTATATGAATTATTTGCCAGTATGATAGATTTTATTTCACATAGTGGCCCCCAAATTAAAACTTAAAAAAAATCCAATTCTTATCTGGGCATGGAGAAATGGGCACTGCTATACATCTTTGGAGGCAATCAAAACTGATGCAGCCTTTTTGTAGAGAAATTTGCCAATAATTATCAAAAAATGCATTTCCCTTTGATTAAATAATGTTACTGCTAAGAATTAACCCTGAAGATATACTATACCTGTTAGTATATGCTAATATTTTTGTACTGCTAAAATAAGAATCTCTACTAAAAAAACTTAGTTGCATTCATACAAATTATTTGCATTTTAAAAAATACATCTGGAGTACTACCATAAATAATATGATGATTTTACTGATAAAATAATATCACTCTTGAGGGCCATAAAGAAGGCAATTAACACTTACTGAGTCCTGAGTACTTATTTTGTGCCAATTACTGTGCTAAAAGCATTAGTGTAACCTCTTCCACAACCCTGCAACCTGGACATAATTTTCCCCATTTTTTCAGACAGGAACACTGAGGCTCAAAGAGGACATGTAACTGGAGCAGGGTCGTGGCTGACAAGTACAGATTCATACTCCCAGACTCTTCTTCAAAACAAATTCCCCTTCTAACTGCACCACCAGAAAGAGAAACTTCTGACAGTACTAATGCTATCTAGAAACATCAGGACTGTAGAGTTTCAGAATCAACTTACCTTGTTTCAACACAGCACTTTTAAAAATCAAGAAAAAATAGGAAGCATTATGTTGACAGGTTATGGTAGGAGGAGCCAGTTGCATGAAAAATAAGTTTCAATAGTTTAAGCCGATTTTAATGACTTAAAGGAGTGGAAAAACACAATGATTTTTCTAGTCCTTTCAGCTCTTTCCTCTTGGCACACAAAACTTCCATCACTGTCTTACAGCAGTGGAAGAATGATTTTCATCCCACAGAGGACTTAAAAATTTCTTTCTAATAGCTCTGTTCAGTTCTTGAATAAATGGGAATAACTCCACCACCTCCTTAAAACAGTTCCTCATATCTGTAATAAGGGATGCTGGGGAATGTGTAGAAATGTGTGGCTGAGCTCAGATTCACAGCCTGAGGTTACAAGGCTCCCCGCCAAGTTTTCACCTATATCAAATCATTCAGCAGGCTTAACCACTCTGCTTCTACCCCAAGGAAAATACTAACATGATTTAACTACAGCTAAGAATTCCAGTAGGTACTTACTAAATGTGACATAATGTTTTCCATGCACAGAGAAAAGGAAATCATTTTGCTAATCTATGCCTCACTCCAAACAATCACATTTCAGAGCTCAATCCCCCATTAAAGCAAGAACAGCTTAATTAACTTTAAATTTATTTGGTATAAAAGATGTATTTATGGGAAATGCAAAAATTCATAGATGCAAGAGCTTTAAAAAAGTACAACAAAAATGTTAAACAGCTTTTTAAAAATAAAATCCTTTTAACATTTTGCTCTTACTTTATTATTTAAGACAATTTCAATGACATGATATGGGTGAAGGGGAAACTAATAATTTGGAGAGAAGGAGGAAATTCACTATGCAAACAATAGAAAAGTGAATGTCTCAGAGAAAAGAGTACATGAAAGGGGATGGAGTCTGGAAGAGAAAGTCATTTCTAGCCAGACCTGTGGGACTGCAGGCAGCGTGATTATAACCCTGTCTGTAGTTTGTCTGTGATCTCTTGCCAAAGGCAGATAATTTAGCAAGGATAAAAATACAGGAATGACTTACCGTATAACTGATGTGGCAGGAAAATCACTTTATAGTACTTTTTGCCGGCAATGGGATAGTAAAAACAATTGCCCAGGGTTTACAATGAAAAGGTAGCACCATTTATAATGAAAAACTAGTCCAGAGAGCTAAGGAGCTAAGAACATAGACTTGAAATGAAGAAAATCAAGGCCGAAAAATAGGTTATTGTCAAAATGTATTAACTTAGAAATTCACAGGCAAATATTTCAGTTTAAAAGACAAATGTAGGAGTTGCTTCTTCTACCAGGATAGCTTAGCAAATTGTGACTTCAAAGTGAGCCTTGCAGCAGTTGAAAGGCTGATATTGCATGTTTCTACATAAGTGTTAGGGGTGGGGGTGGGGGAACAGGTGGCTATGATCAATTTGACTGGCTCTTTGGGAGGATGGTGTAAACCATGTTGTAAGCTAAAGAATAAACCATATGAGTAGTTTTAAGGAGGTGTTTAATGCTCCAGGTTGTTAGATGGGATACTTTACCAGTAGAAATGGGCCTAAATATAAATGGCCCTAGTAATGGAAAATGCTTCAAAAAATAGCTGTGGATAGACAAAACTGAAGAATTTACTGTTAAACCTCCCAACCCTGCAGAACCATGATCTGCAATGGAGATGGACAGAAGAAAGGACAAATGGAAAAAGTTCTCTTTGGGATTTTAGGAGTTGATTCTATACTATAAAGTGTTTCTCTCATTGAGATATTAGTATGTTTTTATAATAGATAAGGATAATTCAGAGCTGCCAATACTTCTCCAATAGCCAATCCATTTTCTCCTTCTTCCCTTCCAGTAGAACCCCATTAGTAGCGAGGTATTACACTGGGAAGATGCATGTGATTTACCAACACTCAGAAATTTCCATTAAGCTGCTAAAAAAAAATTACCCAATATTTTAGATAAATCAAATAGTTACGAATCTAATCCAAATCCTTCTAATATATTTACCTTTTACATAATCACATACAGAAAAAATAAAATTATATTCAAATATTCAAAAATAGCCAAGGATAGAAAAATCAGAAGAGTTTACTGTTAGCGTTTCCAACCCCATTGAATCATGTTCTGCAATAGGGCTGGACAGAAGAGAACACAAATGGACAAAATTTTTCTTGGAATTTTTGGAGTATTTTAAAGCTTTAAGAATTTCTATTAAGACTTTATCTAAAATAATATGATAAATTAAAAGAAAAATAGAAATAATGTTAAAGTAATTAAATGACTCCTTTTTTTAAATTTTCCAAGTTACCACTTTCAGGATCACATATCTCTAAAAATAAGAAAGGAAAATGGAGGCAGCCCCAACTCCCTATTCCAATTATCTGATAGGATCTGTGGTTTCAAAATGCAAATAAGAAACTATCTTGCCTTTGTTGAATCTGCTTCATCATAGTTACCATACTCACTAAGATGTTCATGAAGACTGAGAGGAAGAAAAAAAGAGGTAGAACAGAGGCACACTTACTGCCTTGCTCCTTCTCTTCCTAACTTTGAAAAGACATTTATCAAAGCTCTTTATTAACCTTGACAACAAAATGTTAACTCAACTCTTTAATGGTGATGATGATGGTAACATGCAGTGGCATTTTCTTTGTCAAGAATGGATTGTGCTTGGACATCAGCAAGATAGCAAAATAGAAAGCCCTAGACCCTCCTTCTCCTCACAAACACACATATTGAGCAATAATTCACAGACAAATTCCCGTTTTGAGAAATTCAGAAATGAATTGAAAGGCTCTTGCAACCCAGATAAATGTGAAACCAGACTCATCAAAGTTGACAGGTAGACTCAAGGCACCCTCTCACCAGAATTCCTACCCCTGGCACTGTGCCATACTATCAGGAAGAGATCCTTTAGCTCTCAGCTTTTTTGAGGAAAGGCAGGGCTTGGTTCACATGTCTAGAGCCCCAACTTTTCTGAGGGGGCTCCAAGAGCACTGGCTTCTCCCTTGCCAGCTTTGGAGCTCTGACAGATCTGGCATAATCTAGCTACCTGAAGGAGAACAGAGATCATAGTTTGAACTGGTAGAGGCCAAAGATCCTCCCCCATGCTTAGCCCAGAGTGAGAAAATTTTAAAATCCCAGCTCTCAGCTACTCCCTGGGAAGGGAAAGACTTGATCCATGCATCCCACTGACCAACTTCTCCAGGGCTGCATGAAGAACTGGCATTTCTTTCATCAATCCTGAAACTCTGATGGGTTTGGCACAGTCTAGCTGCCTAGGACAGAGACTTTGGTTTTGATAACTCTACCCAAACCCCAATCCACAATTCAGCATAGAGCAAGTGGACAAAAAGCACAGCTGCTTACTTCTCCCTGGGGAGGGAAAGAGTTGGAAGAAGACTCCAGAATCATTGTCTGGGCAGATTGGTGGGGTTCTGTTCCTGTGCAAGACCAGTCCATGAGGGACTTGAAGAGGTACCTGCTTTGTCTAATGCATAGATAACAATACAGAGAGAGAAGGAAGATGAAGAATCAGGTAAAGATATTTCAAACAAAGGAACAAGATAAATTTACAGAAACCAACCCTAATGAAATGGGTTTATATAATTTACCTGACAGATAATTAAAAATAACTGTCATAAAGATGTTCACCAAGGTCAAGGAAATGTGCATGAACTAAGTAATGATTTCAACAAAACAATAGAAGATATTTTAAAATTCCAAAATCAAATCATGGAGGTGAAAAACATAGTAACTGTAAACTAAAAATTTGCTAGGGAAGTTCAACAGCAGACTACACCAAGCAGAAAAAAGAATCAATTAAACAACAGGTCATTGGAAATAGTTTAGTCAGAGAAGCAAAAAAAAAAAAACTGAAGAAAGCTTAAGGGACTTATAGGATCATCAAGTGAACCAATATACACATTGGGGAGTCTCAGAAGCAAAGAAGGAAGAGAAATAACTGGAAAGCTTATTCAAAGAAACAATAACTAAAAGCTTCCCAAATCTGAGTAAGGAAATGGACATCCAGATCCAAGAAGCTCAAAGAAAACCAAATAAAATGAAACCAAATAAATGTTCATGAGGCATATTGTAATTAAATGTTCTAAAGTCAAAGACAGTCAGAAATTTAAAAGCAGCAAGGAAAAAGTGACTCATTACATACAAGGGAAATGCCACAACACTATAAGCAGATTTTTCAGCAGAAGCCTCATAGGCTAGAAGGAAGTGAGACAATAAATTCACAGTGCTGAAAGAAAAGAAATGTCAACCAAGAATACTATACCCAACTAAACTGTCATTCAAAACTAAAAGAGAGATAAAGACTTTGCCACACAAACAAAAGTTTATGGAATTCTACACCACTAGACCTGCCTTACAAGAATGTTAAATAGAGTTCCTCTAGTTGAAACAAAAGGACACTAAACAGCTGCATTATAGCATAAGAAAGTATGAAATTCACTGGTAAAGGTAAATATTATATATACACAAATAGAGAATACTGTATTGCTGTAACAGTGGGGAGTAAACCCCTTTTAATTCTAGTATAAAAGTTAAAAGGCAAAAGTATTAAAAATAACCATAACTAAACATATATTTAAAGATATACAATATAAATAGATATAAATTGTGACAATAATAACATAAAGTATGGTTGAGGGGAGAAGTTAAAGTGTATGTGATTGAACTTAAGTTTTTATCAGCCTAAAATAGACCATTTATAGTTTATGTAAGTCCCAAAGTAACCACACACACAAAAAGTACCTATGGAAGTTACATCAAAGAAAAGAGAAAAAAAATCAAAGCATATCAACAACAAAATCAATAAAACACAAAAGAAGACGATAGATAAAAAAACAATTTTTAAAATGGCAACCATAAACCCTTTCTTAGCAGTAATTACATTAAATGTAAACGGGTTTAACTCCCCAATAAAAAGAGTTTAATAAATATTAAATTCATAGAGTGGATTAATGCATAAAAAAAGAAGACCCAATGGTATGCTGTCTATAGGAAACTCACTTTGGATTAAAGGATACACATAGACTGAAAGTGAAAGAATAGAAAACATATTCCATGCAACTGGTAACTAAAAGAGAGGAGAAATGATTATACATATATCAGAAAAAGTAACTTTAAGTCAAAAGCTGTCACAGAAGACAAAGAAGGACATAATATAATGATAAAAGGGTCACAGTATCAAGCACCTGAATATATAAAGCAAACATTGGCAGAACTGAAAGGCAAAATACACACCAATACAGTAATAGGAGGTAATAGTAGGAGAGTTTAATATCCCACCTTGAATAATAAATAAAGCATCCAGACACACAATCAATAAGGAAACAGAGGACTTGAATAATGCTATAGGCCAAATGTCCCTAACATTTGTAACATTAGAACCAGCGTTCTACCAAAATTGGTAACATTGTCCTACCAACAATGTTTGATAGAACATTCTATCAAGCAACAGGAGAATACACATTCTTCTCAAGCTCACATGAAACTTTGTCCAGAATAGATCACATGTTAGGTCACAAAACAAGTCATAACAAATTTTAAAAGATTGAAATAATACTAAGTATCTTTTCAGACCACAATGGAATGAAACTAAAAATCAATAGCAGAAAGCAAGCTGAAAAATTCCCAAATATATGCAAATTAACAACACACTCACAGCATCCATTCAGCCAAAGAAGAAATAAAACAAAATTAGAAAATACCTCAAGACTATGAAATAAAAAAACACAACATATGAAAACTTACAGGATGTAGTAAAAGCAGTGTTAAAAGGGAAGTTCATAGTAATAAACACCTGCATTTAAAAATAAAAAAGGCCTCAAATAAACAACCTAACATTATACCTGAAATAACTTAAAAAAAAGAGAACAAACTAACCCCAAAGTTAGCAGAAGGAAAGAAATAACAAATATTGGAACAGAAATAAACAGAATATAGAAAAATAATTTAAAAATCAATAAAACTGAGAGTTGGTTTCCTGAAAAGAAAAACAAAATTGGCAAACCCTTAGCTAGACTAAGAAAAAAAGACTCAAATAAACAGTCATAAATGAAAGAAGAAGCATTACAACTGATGTCACAGAAATAAAAAGGATCATAAGAGAGTAGTACAAATAATTACGCCAACCAATTGGATAATTTAGAAGAAATTAATAAATTTCTAGACACATACAACCTACCAGGACTAAATCATGAACAAATAGAAAGTCATAACAGACCTATTCCTAATATGGAGATTGAAATAATAATCAATTTATGGCCATACCACCCTAAATGTGTCCAATTTAATCTGAATCACTAATAAAAAAATCCTCCAACAAAGAAAAGCCCAGGACCAGATAGATTCACTAGTAAATTCCACCAAACACTTAAAGAAAAAACAATGCCGCGTCTTCTCAAACTCCTTCTAAAAATTGAAGAGAAAGAGACACTTTCAAATTCATTTTATGAAGCCATTACCCTGACACCAAAGTCGGACAATGACACCACATAGAACAGAAAACAGGCCAATATCTTCGATGAACATAGATGCAAAAATCCTCAAGAAAATACTAGAAAACAAAATCCAACAGCACATTAAGATAATGATAAACCATCACCAAATGACATTTATCCCTGAGATGCAAAGATAGTTTAAAATAAAAAATTCAGCTAAACACTGTGGCTCCTGCCTGTAATCCCAGAACTTTTAGGAGGCCAAGGCAAGAGGATCACTTAAGCCCAGGACTTTGAGACCAGTGTGGCAACAAAGTGAGAACCTATCTCTCCAAAAAAAATTTGAAAAAATTATCCAGGTGTGGTGGTATGCACCTGTGGTCCCAGTTACTCAGGACGCTGAGGTGGGAAGATGGCTTGAGCCCAGGAGGTTGAGGCTGTAGTGAGCCATGTGCACACCACTGTACTCCATCCTGGGTGACAGAGAGAGACTTTGTCTCAAAAAAATTAATGTGATACACAATATTAAATTTAAAAAGGGATAAAAATCACATAATCATCTCAATAGATGCAGAAAAAGCATTTGGCAAAATCCAACTTCCTTTCAGGATAAAAATTCTCAACAAACTATGAATGTAAGAAAAGTACCTCAATATAATAAAGGGGCATATATATATATAAATCCCACAGCTAACATCATATCCAATGTCAACAACCTGAAAGCTTTCTCTCTAAGATCAGGACCAAGGCAAGATCTCCATTTTTGCCACTTCTATTCAACAGAATACTGAAAGTCCTAACCAGAGCAATTAGGCAAGAAAAAGAAATAAAAGACATTTGAATTATCTTATACACAGAAAACTCCAAGGACTCTATTAAAAAACAACCTATTAAAACTAATAAACAAATTCATTAAAATTGCAGAATTCAAAATACAAAACCAACACACAAAAATCAGTTGTAATCCTCCTGCCTCAGCCTTTTGAGTAGCAAGAACTGCAGACATGCACCACCAGGCCCAGCTAATTTATTTTTAAGAGACAGGGTCTTGCTGTGTTGTCCAGGCTGGTCTCAAACTCCTGGCCTCAAGTAATCCTCCCCCTGCCTTGGCCTCCCAAACCCCTGGGATTACAGGCTCAAGCCACACCCAGCCCAGTTGCATTTCTATACAAAAGACTATCTGAAAAGAAAAATAGGAAAACAATTTTATTTACAACAGCAACAAAAAGAATATAATACTTAGAAATAAACTTAGTTAATGAGCAGAAATACTTGTATACTAAAAATCACAAAACACTGATGAAAGAAATTAAAGAAGAAACACAAATGGAAAAACATCCCATGTTCACGGACTGGGAGACTTAATACTATTAAAATGCCCATACTACCAAAAACTAACTACAATTTTAATACAATCTCTATCAAAATCCCCATAGCATTTTTTACAAAAATAGGAGGGAAAAGCAATTCTGTAATTCATATGGAACCACAGAAGACTACATATAGCCAAATTAATCTTGTAAAAGAAGACTAAATCTAAAAAACATCACATTTCCTGATTTATAAAATGTATTACAAAGCTATAATAATCAAAACAGTGTGGTACTGGTATAAAAACAAATACATAGACCAATGGAATAGAATAGTCTGGAAATAAACCCATGCACTGACAGTCAATTGACCTTAGAGAAGGGTATCCAGAATAGATAATAAGAAAAGTATAGTCTCTTCAACAAATGGTGCTGAAAAAACCAGATTCCACATGCAAAAGAATAAAACTGGACTCTTTTCTTACAAAATACACAAAAATCAACTCAAAGTAGATTAATGATGTAAACATGAGACCAGAAACTATAAAACTCCTAGAAGAAAACATAAAGGAAACATCAACAGAGTGAAACAACCATATAGGAAATAATCAACAGAGTGAAAAGGCAACTGATGGAATGGGAGAAAATAATTGCAAACCATATATCTGAAAAGGAGTTAATCTCTAAACTTGTAAGAAGCTTACAACTCAATTTCAGGAAAAAAAAAAAAAAAGAAAAGAAGACTAATAACCCAAATAAATGATGGGTTAAGGACTTGAATAGACATCTATCCAAAGAAGACATAAAAGTGGTCAATAAGTATATGAAAAAATGCTTCATGTCACTAATCATCAGGAAAATACAAACCAAAACCACAATAAGATATCTCACACCTGTTAGGATGGTTACTCTCAAAAAAACAAAAGACAATAAGAGTTACAGAGGATGTGGAGAAAAGGGACACTTGCACATAGTTGGTGGGAATGTAAATTAGTACAGCCATTGTGGAAAACAGTGTGGAGAATCCTCAAAAAAATTAAAAATAGAGCTACCATATGATTCAGCAATTCCACTTCTGGGTACTTATTCAAAAGAATTGAAATCAGAAGCTCAAAGGAATATTAGCACTCCCTTGTTCATTGCAGCTCTATTCACAATAGCCAGAATATGGAAACAACCTTAAACATCTATCAGTGAATAAATGGGTAAAGAAAATGTGAAAATATATATATAATCTATATTATATAGAGAGATTATATATATTTCACATATATAATATATATATACAATAAAATGCTATTTGGCCATATAAAAAGAAGAAAATTCTGCAACATGGGGCAACTTGGATGAACTTTGAGGACATTATGCTAAGTGAAATAAGCCAACCACAGAAAGACAATACTACATGATTCTACTTTATGTTAGGTATCTAAAATAGTCAAATTCATAGAATCAAAGAGTAACATGGTGGTTGCCAGGAGAGGGAAATATTGGGACTTACTAATCAATGGCCATAAAGTTTTAGTTAAGCAAGATAAATAAGCTCTAGAGGGCTTTTGTACAACATTGTACCTGTAGTCAACAATAATGTATTATACTCTTTAATATGTGTTCAAAGGGAAGATCTCATGTTAAGTGTTTTTACCAGAATAAAATAAAATTTTTAAAAAATTGGAAACCACCTTAATGTCCATCAGTGGCAGAAAGGATTAAAATATATTATGATAGTACTTAATACCACTGAGTAGTACATTTTAAAAAGGTGAAAATAATAAATTTTATGTTATGCATTGTCTTAGTCTCTTTTATGCTGTTAAAATCCCTGAGACTGAGTAATCTATAATGAAGAGAAACTTATTTGGCTCATGCTTCTGGAGGCTGAGATCAGGGAGTAGGGGGCATGTCTGGCAGGGGCCTTCTTGCTGCATCATCCCATGGCAGAAGGGCAAAGAAAGGGCAAGAGAGCAAGAAAGCAAGAGTGGACCAAAATCACCTTTATAACAAACCCACTTCCAAGTTAATCAATTTATGCATGAGGGCAGAGCCCTCATGTCCTAATCACCTCTTAAAGGGCCCACCTCTCAACATTGTTACACTGGGGATTAAGTCTCCATCATATGAACTTTGGGGAACATGTTCAAACCATAGTATGTATATTTTACCATGACAAAAAAAATAAAAAATATATTCAAAGAAAGAATAGATTGTGCTCAGTGTTTTATTGAATAAACTATAAACAAACTATTTTAGTCCCACAACAGCGATAAAGTAGATTCCATCCTTCTCCAAAAGGGATTAAGTCACCTGCCCAGGTCATGGTGGAAGGTGAAGATTTGAAGGCAGGGAGTCAGCCTCCAGAGGCCATGCTTACGGAACTTAACCCTACAGCCCCTTAAGAGTCCCCACAGCATCTCTTATGAATGAGATTTCTATTTCAAAATGCAGAGGAAAGGAAAGAAAGGAAGGCAAGCAACAGTGAAAACCAGCTACATTTTCTTCTCCAAATGGAGAGCAGTGACATATGCAGGTTAGGTGGAGGGAGACTTTGGAAGCAAATGTAGCACAGACGTGGTCTGACAGCCCGGGGTTTGAATTCCAGACCTACCACTAACTATGCATGGAGGTGTTAGAGGGCACTCTTATTGTCCAATAACCCAGCTCCCAGGAGATCTGTTACAAGTTCCCTTAGAGAATAGCTTGCAAGAAGCTGAAAAAGCAAACCAAACACCAGCATCCCTGAAAGAAACATGCTTCAGAATTTCCAGAAAAGTCTCCAGGTTGGGAGTCAGAGTGTGTGGTGTTTGTATTATCAACAGATGCTTTTGCTTTTGACTTGTTGAGGTTGGTAAAAATAGCAAAGTTTTCTAAAGATTATTTTATGCACCGTGTTTATAAGATTGAGAAACAGCAATTGTTCATGTCAAGGAAGATCCATTTAATTATTTCTTTAAATTTTTACTGCTACTATTATTATTGTATAACTTTGGAGTAGAAGGAGGGCTTTGAGGGTTCTGATGGTGCTCTAACTGGGGAAAAAGAAGGTCATCCTGCTTTAGAAGCCTCCTAAAAGTTTACAACTCTGAGTTGAGAAGGGTCCCTGCCCCAACATTAGCAAAAGTAGCCTCTGTAGCTGAAGTGAGACAAGAAACACTGATATGAGATGACTAGGCCAAGACTGGCCTCACACTATGTGAGGAGAGCATCCAGGGTGGGGAGGAGAGTAAGGGACTCCCTCAAGACCCTGGCAGAAGGGAAGGATGGAGATTCCAGCCATACTGCTGCGGGTATTCAGACCAGAAGGTGGTAGCAATGGTGATGGTGGTTGTCACTCATACCCTTTTAAAATTTACCACGGCTGACTACCATGGAAGTTAGGGAAGCAAGTGTTGGTTACACAACATATTTTGTTGAATTATTTTCTGATTTCTGTACCAGAGGATTCTTTTTTTATATGACTTTTACGTACTTACGGTCAAATTTTCCATCAGGTCCCATTCTAGTAACCACAAATGAGACTTACATTTTTGGGTTTGGAGTTGCTTATGTGGGCAAAACCCAGCACTTGTACAAGCAAAAGTAGGGGTGGTAAGGAACAAGTTTTTGTACCATTTAGCTGTGGAAAAACCTAGCCCATGAGATCAACATCCACACAGCGGCAGTCAAGCTAGCCCCAAAGGGGCTGCACCATGTTGCCTCAGGCAGTTGGCCAAGAGCAGGTGCCTTTTGTTCCAAAGCTTTTTAGTGCTTTCTGTAGCCAGAATAGGGCCTCTTACAAATTATTTCAGGCAACAGAGTTATTTCTCAAACTACTCATCTGTGAGATGGTTCCAAACTGGGCCACAGCCTATATGACTGCATTGCCCCACCACAAGTAGTCTGCTAATAACTCCAAAAAAATTAGCATGTGCTATTAGCAGAAAAGAAATAGTATCTAACTGCCAAAAATATTTTTCTCTCAAAAGGGAAATAACCCCGTGTAAAAAATTATTTGGCTGCCTGTTGGCCCAATATCATTCTTTATCTCCATGATAATTTTTGTTTGTCAAATTAAAACCTAAAGAGTACTTTTCACAACTGCAGACCATCTTCGAAACATTTATGATCCATGAACTTTAATTTCAAAAAGATCCTCCCTACAAGTTCACTTGCTTCATGGGACCACAGGATTTTCTCCACAAAAATTCTGGATTTGTTTCCAGAGCTTATCTCATGATTCCTGCTGACTTTGGGAAGCGGTGCCGTTCCAATGCCGTGTGCGTGAGCTGCTGGGTCAGCCAGTTCAGTCCAATTCCCAAGCCAGGAAGCAGGCCTTAGCAACTTTCAGACTGTCTGCATCCATTCAAGCGGATATTTTAAAGGTACAGGGAAATAAATATTTCTCTAGTTAAAGAAGAATTGAAATATTCTCTAAGGAAACTTTTTTCTTGCATGTGAACATTTTTCTACAAGGATCCCAAACTTACCAGAAATGTATCTTTCGAAAGATAGATTGACTGTAATTATACATGACTTACAAAATACATTAGGCAATAGTGTGTGTGAGTAAATCAAGGGGCTCTCAGCTGTGTGACTCACAGAATTGTGTGGGGAAGATCACAAGCTTCCACATAGGTAATAAGCACTTTGTAGAGAACAAATGAAAGAACAGAATTCTGTTTTCATATTAGCTGGGTGAATCTTAGATTTGTGAGAGAAATGCAGGCTTTTTGAGCAATAATAGCAAAACCATTGTTTCAGTTAGGTCCACTTATAGCAAGCGACTTGTGGCCCTTTCTGATAAAAAAAAAAAAAGCTTTCTCAAAGCCTTTAATCCACTTCATCATCTTTAGAAATTTCTCATTATGCCATAAAACATCAGAACTACAAGTAAGGCAATGAATTATATTAAACCCTGTAGCCCTCTTTATTAATAAGCATTTAAACATACACATATACACATGCATATATCATGCCATACACATATGCATATGTGCATACATGTGTACATACACATATGTGTACATAATATACATGCATGTATGCATATGTGTGTGTATATATGCATACACAGATGTGTACACATATAAGAAGATGTCTCTTCCATCACAGGATGATCTTCTTTGATATTAAGATTTTTCAGGGCAATGGTCATGAATATGACAGATCTTTTCTCATACACGTCCACTTTTATTTAGGGTTAAGTTAGAATAATTTATTATTGTTAAGAAAATGATTCTCTTTAGAAAATCCTCTGTTGGTTTTGACATACTGTTGAATATTTTTCATAGGCACTTTTTCATCCTTATCACAGAGCTTATACTTTTTGTCCTCTCTTAAACCAGTGGTTCTCAACAGGGGGTGATTTTGCTTCCCCAGCCCCCACCCTCACCTCTGGCAATGTCTCCAACCTCCGCCTCCCAAGTTCAAGTGATTCTCCTGCCTCAGCCTCCTGAGTAGCTGGGATTACTGGTGCCCACCCCAACACCTGGCTAATTTTTGTACTTTTAGTAGAGACAGGGTTTCGTCATGTTGGGCAGGCTGGTCTCGAACTCCTGACCTCAGGTGATCCACCCACCTTGGCCTCCCAAAGTGCTGGGATTACAGGTGTGAGCCACCACGCCCAGCTGACATTTCTAATTGTCACAGCTGGGTGTGGGGTGGGTGGGAGAGATACTACTGGCACCCAGTGAGTGGAGGGCAGGAATGTTTCTAAACATTATACAGAACAGCCCCCCACTCAATAATAAAGAACTATCCTGCCCAAATGCCAATAGTTCTGAGGTTAGAAAGCCCTGTTTACACTAAAAGTCCTTCTCCCACTCAACATTACCACTGTCCTCGCATCTTTCAAAACAGGGTAAAACCCTGTCTACCCAGCAGACTCCTCTCACTAACCAAACAAGCAAAAGCATATTGGCATGCTGGTAACTATCACCCTTCAATGTCAGAAACATTCATAGCTTAGGTGTTTACTTATAGAACCACGCTTGCCTTTCTGTAAGCTGCAAAATCGTTTAAATCTAGTTAATGCATCTGATGGGAAATGGTATATAAGAAAGTATAGAAAAAAAAAGAGTATGTATATTAGTTTCCTAGAGTGATCACAACAAACTACCACAAACTGTGTGGCTTACAATGGAAATTTATTTTCTCACTGTTCTAGAGGCCTGATATATGAAATCAAGATGTTAGCAGGGATGCGCTTCCTCTAAAGGCTCCAGAGGAGAACTGTTTGTTGGCCTCTTCCAGCTTCTTGTGGCTGTATCACTTCAATCATTGCCTCCGTCTTCACATAGCCCTCTGCCCTTCAGTGTCTTCTCTTCTGTCTCTTATAAGACATGTCATTGGATTTAGGGCTCACCTGGATAATCTAGGATAATCTCATCTCAAGATTCTTAATTAATTACATCTGCAAAGGCCATATTCCCAATAAGGTCACCTTCACAACTTCCCAGTGAAAATATCTCTGGAGGGGTCACTGAACCCACTATAGTGTGTGTTGGGGAGAGAGGCTGGTGTGTGCATGCATATGTGTGCATCCAAAATCACTGTGACAAGGCCAAGTTCGAAATAAGCAAAAGGTTTTCTCAAAGTGTAAAGTAAGGTTTAGCATACTTTTATTTGGATTAATAATATCACTAGAACTGTCTATTGAATTCAAAAAATGTATTATCTCTATCTATAAGCTATTAAAAATAAAGATCAAGTACCAGAAAACCTGATGGCTTGAGGAAACACCAGAGAGAAATTAGCAGGTCTACTGCCCAGGTAAATTGCATGTATTATCCCAGACAGATGAGGTTCAGCATAATTTAAAAGGTACACACCTCCACAACCCTAGATAGTCCTCAAGTGTTTCATTTTTCATTGTTTAATCAAGGGAGAGAAAAAATGATTATGGAAATCAAATGAACCTTCAAGGAGAAGGAGTAAGACCTTGAAAAAACATTTTGCTGAAATCTCTTTATTTTGGAAATTGGGAAACTAAGATGCCCCACAGGCTTCCATCTTTTACAGCTTGCCCAAGACAAGATCACACAGACAGATGACTGAAGCAAGATTAGAAGCTCAATACCATCATTCTAGACCAACATTCTTTCTCTACATGCTGCATTATGTGTAACTTACTTTCCACATACTACAAAGTAAACTATTGTCTTTATTCTCTTTTAGTTTAAATAGAGAGGAAGCCACCTCACACCCTGTATTGATCAGCTTGGGCTGCCGTAACAAAATACCATAGCCTGGGTGGCTTAAACAACACATGTTAATTTTCTCACAGTTCAGGAAGCTGGAGGTCTGAGATCAGGATGTAAGCACGGTCCAGATCTGGTAGGGGCTCTCTTTGGGGTTTGCAGGTGACTGATATCTTGTTGTGTCCTCACGTGGCCTTTCATCTGTGCATAATCAGAGAAAGAGAGGGAATAATTTCCTCTTCTTCTTATAAGGCCACCAATCCTGTCAGATTAGAACCCCACTCTTACCTCACTTAACCTTAACTACCTGCTAAAATTCCTATCTCCAAATGCAGTCACATTGGGGGTTAGGACTCCAATATATGAAATTTTGGGGAACACAATTCAGTCCACATCACACCCCCTATGTTTTGTCAATAAAGAGTATTTATAACTTCTCAAAATGCTTTCTTCTTATATCTTATTCAATTTTTTATGTCTTATTTAAAAGTTATTTAATAACTTTGTGATTTGTTCCACTTAACAAATTGAACAACTGAGGTTTAGAGAAGCCTCAGTTGGCTGGCCCAAGGTCATATAGCTACTGAGAGGCAAGTTTTATTCATACTCTAGAGCTCTTTCCCAGCGTCCAAGATGACCTTCAGTGTTGGTCATTTAATAGCTGTCTTTATAACACATCTATAGACACTGCAAAACACAAGGCTTCTAAAAAGTCCTTAGAGAGACCTTCTATGAAAGTCTAATATTGCAATTCTTTCCCTTGGCTATCTAACACATTAGTGACTTGAACCCTATAGAATGGAAACAGCTTAATATGTCATCTGTTCGCATATGCACCAGGAATATGGCTTGAGAGGAGATTCAGCTGTTCTCACACTAAGCCATCAAGTCCTTAAAAAAACCATAAAGGAATAAATGATTATTCACGGTGCCAAAAGCACATGTATTTTGAACAAGAAAACACTATGTTAAAGAATGTGGGAGAAAAAACTAATGCAGATTCATTCAATGAGCTTTTCATTGAAACCTCTAAAATTGAACACAAGAAATGTTTCATTCCATACGTGGTATCAATATTTTACCAGATATAAAAAGCAAAACTATTGTCTGTTGACAATGATATAAATTTCTAGATCATTCTGGGCATAAACATAAAAACTCAATATATAAAATATTTTCACTATTACTTAAAGTTAAAAAAACTTTATAACATATTTACTGGTATTATTAATTTTTATAGGTGTGATGACAGTAGTAGTATTATTATAGAAGAAGAATTATTTTAGAGATGCATGTGGAAGCTAATATTCAAGAGTGAAATGTTATAGATCTGTGATTTTCAAGTACTTCAAAAAATTAAGCAAATACACATTAAATCTCAATGATGGGTATATGGTAGTTCATGACACTCATCTCTATACTTTTATCTCTAAAGATTTTATGTCTAAAGATATGTCTAAAAATGTATAAGGAAAATAATAGAATATGTTATAAAGTTACCAAAAATCTTGGAAGCAAAATATTATTAGTGTTTTAGTTAATAGAGTGTAACTACTAAATTGTGTATGAATGACCCATAAAAGAAGACACAAGGTAAAAGATACACATATATCTGTTTAGAGAAATACATACCCCGTTCTTCCCATAACTGCTGTTAGGTGAGTATACATTGATCAGTAAATCTGAACCAACCCTAACTATGTCTATTTTTTAGAATTGAAAACAACTTTGTTTTGAGTCAGATGGGCCAGTTTGATTTCAATAGCTAGCATTATTCATCTTGTGATCCATGGTTAATGCAAAAATGCACCTTCAGGAGAATTTAGTTCACATGCAACTAACATTAAAAGCAGATTTTTTTTTGTGGAAAGCACACAGGAGCACACACACATTCTCTTTAGGTTTTGGTTTGAAATATTTTTCAAAAGGTTAAAAACCTTCCCCTTTGGGGGTATTCATAAAGCCAGAAATAGTTTTTTTCTTTTCTTTCTCTTTTTTTTTTTGTCACTTGCTCTGAATTTTTTTCCCCAAGATGAAATACAGGAAGCCAATTCAGAGAAGCTAGTAAATTCAGTCATTTTAAGGGCCCCACACTTCTCAACCCACATGCAGAATTCTTGCTCCTACCCAGAAGTACAACAGCCAGATAGATGACAAATATGACCCTGGGTTTAAGTGGAGGCTCTCCCCTACCTGAGGGATTTTTCAAATAAAGCTTCCCATTTTACTTCTCGTGTGAATGGTACAAGTGTGTGTTTGAGCAGGAGGTGAATATGCCAGGGAAACAAATCTGTTCACACACTTGTACTCTCCTCACCCCAGACTCTTTGGGGAACACCATCTTGCCTCTGGAAACTATTAGTCATCATCATCTTCCAGTTTGCAGTTATCACAATAAATTTATTATTTTATTTGACAAATAACTCTGGAATTGACCTATCAAGATTAGAGAATTTGGAAACACATTAGATTAGCAAAGATGCTAAACCAAGTTACAGGAAAGAAGACTAAACTTACCTTATAGCAGGAAGACAAATGAGGTGTGTGTAAGTGCAAGAATACATCTGCAAGCTCTCACAAATTATCCCTGGGAGTTTAGGGAGTAAATGTACGGCTTATAGCTCGAATACAGAGGGGCCGGAGACAAAGAAGCAGTGTAATCAATGGACTGCCTCTCAATTTTAGAAAATGTTGAAACTGTATATGTAATATTTTCCTATTAACAAAGAAATAAGTGTTTCTTAAAAAAGGTATTAGAAAAAAATCATTCCTAATCCTGCCCCCGAGAAATGGTGCACTATTAACACCTTGCTCCATAGCCTTCCAGATGCTCTGAGAGGTTTTCCCTGACAAATCTGACTGAAAAAAGACCCAATTTGTCACTATCAACTCCACTGTGGAAATTTTGTGTGGGAAAGCTTGGAAAACCAAAACCCAACTGGCTTAAGCAGGAAAATATATTAACCCAGAGGCTCAAATGATGTCTCTCTCTGTGCTAGGGACTGAATGTTTGTGTCTCCCTGCTCCCGCCAGATTTGTATGTGGAAATCTCAACCCGCAAGGTATTAGGAGGTGGGGCCTTTGGGAGGTGATTATGTCATGAGGGTGGAGCCCTATAAAAGAGACTCCAGAGAGATCTCTTGTCCCTTCCATCATGTGAGGTTACAACAAAAAGCCATGCAGGAAGTGAGCTCCAACCAGACACTCAATCTCTTGACACCTTGGTCTTGGACTTCCCAGTCTCTGGAACAGTGAGAAATAAATTAAAATCATTAAAATAAAGCCACCCAGTCGATGGTATTTTCTTATAGCATCCTGAATAGACTATGAAACTCTTTCCCTTAGATCTGTTGTTCTTCACGATGGCTACATTTGCAGGCATCCTGTGACGGCAAAATGGCCACCAACAGCCAGAGGCTCTATCATCGCAGATGTAAATGCCTGAGAAAATAAGCTCTTCTTCCTACCAGTTGCTTTTGCCAAAGACCAAGGACTGGTTCCGGTTGGATTCTGTGGTCATCCCTGAACCAACTACATTGGCCAAAGGAACACAAATAATTCAAGAATGCTAAATGCCTGGGAAATGGATAATGCTTCTTTTGTCTCTAAGAGTAATCAAGCAGTAATCATAACATGCTGCAGTGTCACAGAGCGATGACTATAAGAGTTCTTTACATTTTTATGCATAGCACCCTAAATATACTAGGATGTACTCAGAATTGTCATCCCACCTTCCCAACTACTGGCCAAGCTGTATTACTGAGAGAGGTCTTTCCTGATTCCTTCTTCCCTCAGACCAATGGCTCTCCTGGGTGGCTTCTCACTCCCTTGGGATACAGACACTTAGCCTCTATATCTCAGCTGATTTTCAGGCTAGAATCTCCTGCTCTGCCATTTCTCTCTCTCTCTTTCTCTCTCTGTCTGTCTAATGAAAACACCCTTTCTCTTTAGCATTGTCTACAGTAGTGTCAATTCAGAAGGCTTTTTGAAAGAAACCATTTGGTGAACTTTGAGATCATTGTTTTGCATATGTAACAGGAGACAAGAAACTAAAGGGAGATATATTTGGTTCCACCTGGAATATGTGTAATTATTAATAAGAGAGCACAGAGATGATGGGCCAGATGGTACTGGGAATTGATGGGTAAGGCTGGAACACTGCTCTGTCATCTTGCTGCCTCCTATGGGTTCTGGAGTAAGTTATGAGAGGACCAGTGTCTAAAGTAATGTCCGAAGGCCCGTATGTCATGATAGCCACTATGATGGCAGGGCCACTTCTGTCTCTATGGGAATAAAGATGGAGAGCCCTCAAGAAAGGCAGGGATGTAGGAAGAGCACAGACACTAGAGTCAGTCTGCTTGGGTTTGAATCCACAGCTCTGCAACTTACTAGTATGTAACCTTGACCATCACCTTGAATAAGATAACCATGAATGAATTTAACCTTTGCTTCTTTGTGCCTCATTTTACTTGTATATATAAAAAGGACATATTAAAACTACCTACCTCATGGGATGATTCTGAAGATTAAACAGGATAACACATATGAAAGGCTTATTACAGTGCCTGGTACATACGCCCTCAATAGATGTTTGCTGGGTGATTAGTAACACTACTATTACCACTACTAGAACTACGTGGTGATTTAGAATCATAAATTGGAGTCAGACTACGTAAGTGCAAACAAAATTTTGTCTCTTACTAACCATGTGGTCTTGACCAAGTTGCTTAAACTCCCCAAGATTTAGTTTGTTTATTCATAAAATAGGAACAACAAGGGTACTTCCCTAACTGGGGTAGAAATAAAGATTAAATTAAATAAATTTATCAATTGGCTCTCAGATATTGTCTGTTGTTTTTTTTCTAGGGCATGCCATTTGAAGGGTTGTGAGAGGCCCTCCTCTCCTCAATGTCTCCACAAATAAAAAAAGAAATGTCCCCTAATTGCCATTTCTGTCCAGGCATCTGGAATTCTGGAGTTAGAAAAGCAGTTTAAAGGCAGTATTCACTGTTATATGTAAATGCCCTGAGGTAGCCACAAGGAGGGGTACCCAGCCAATAGCTCAGCAGTTTTGTTGGTTCAGCGAATGCTTTCCAAGGGGACAATTTCAGGGTGGGTGAGTGAAGATAAGCACTGTAAAGGGATGAGGACACCCGCACCTGGAGGAGCCTGGAAGTAGAGTAGCCTTGGATGTGGAGGTAACGCTCCCTAAAAATGTTACTGGCTCTGTCAACTTGGTCAAGGACTTCTGTCAGATAGTTCCATTCAGCTCAGGGTCTAGAATAGGCCACAGGGCCCAGATTATTCCCTAGGTTCTGGGCCCAGCATCTCCACAAAAGAACAGGCCAACTTCAACATCCACAAATACTGTCTTTAGATTTGGAAAAACTGGAGGTATCTGAAGAAATGTTGAGGCCACATGTAACTAGTCATGGAGCGAATGATTTAAACACTCTCTATGGTCCCAGCAATCTAGTGTTTTCCAAACAGTATTTTAATGATGATACAATTTCCCTCTTCAGATGTGGAGAAACTGGAGAACTGAATAATTTCCTAAGACCACAAAGCACAGAGGAGGCAAGAACTGTCTCAAAAAAAATGGGATGAGCCTAACCAAAAGAAATCTTCAACTTACTAGCAGAACAAGTTTCTTAAGATTTCATCTATGGAGAAAACTCCCAAAGAAAATTTGGGACTCTCTCTTCCCAAAGCAAGTTTTAAAATGCAACCAGACTAAACAATGGAGACCACAGGAACGATCCTCCCCTCTCCAGGTAAAAGGGTACAGGGTAGGGGAGGTGCTGGACTGGTCTTTTCCAGCTCTAACTTCTATGATAAGTGATCCCAGTTACCTGGGTTACTGGGCGGGGAGTGGAAGCAGAGAGAGCCGGTCCTTCACACTGACTTTCAGTTTTAATGTGAGCAAGTTTAATCAGTTTCTAGGCACAACCCTCCTTTCAAGTTTCTGGAAACATCTCAAGGGAGAGAATAGCACTAAGAAACACAGAAATCTTTTCTCTTCTCTGCAGGCATTTGTCACAGCGCCAGTTCCTAAGTGCACAAACTTTTGGCAGGACGAATCACTTTGATATACTTTTCCCAGGGTTCAAAAAGAAAAGATAAACAAAGAACTTGTGACTTCAGGAGGAGCAAAGGTAGCTCATAACTTCGGGAGTTTATGAGGTAGCTCATCTTCTTTACACTTCTGGCAAAGGGGAAGGGAGTGTCAGTAAAAAGAAATCACCTTGTTAGTGGTTTCTGAGACTGCAGGTTTGGCGCCTGAGGGCACATTCTGTGACAGTGTGCTGCTATTTTCCACAGGTAAAGCAGAGGGCAGCTTCTGTCAACAAAGGTTGACACTCCAAGGTTTTGTTTTGGTTGGCTTTATTCCTGCCTTTTAAGGCACAGAAAAGTATTAATCATTTAAAACTGGTTTTCAAAAGGTATTTGAATTTTCATTAACCATATTTCTCAATGAGTTAAGTCAAACAGGAAAGGCAAAATACAGTTGACGTTTCCTTTGGATTTTATGAGAACAAACAGGATGTGTCTAATTAAAACTTCATTTTTAGTTTATTTGGCAATTAGTTTATTTCTTCTAGGATAAGAGTGTTTATAACCACATGAAGATTCAAATGTTGAAGAACAAATGGCACAGAGATGAGGATGCATTTAAATATTAGCCTATGTTTATTCTATTTCACTTTTCTGCAGCTCTAAGACCTGTCCCTCACCAGCCAGTCTTGTATCACCCCATTGAGTAAAACACATTTTAAACCATCAGAGTGATGACTTTTGGATAATGTACTTTTCTGGATATGTGACAAGAATTTGAGATGTAAGAAATAAACATTCATCTTCAGTTTTTGATAGAATTGGATTAGGGCCAACAAACTATAGCCCAAGTCAAGTGTCTTCAATGATGCTGCACCAGTGATGTCATAATTGGAGCTAAGATTAGGAGACCTCACAGGATCTCAGTTCTTACACTCACTAATTTCTTAGTCAATCTTATTGCTTTCTTCCCACTCTCTGTCAATTGATGAAAAATCAGAATATTGCCTAGACTAATGGGAATGTGGTAATATCTGGCTCTGTAGATGGAGAGTGGAGGAAAGGGAGGATTAATCTCCATGATCTTCTAGTCCCTTGCTGCAGGTGGGCAAAGTCAAACAGAGGTAGTGACTGTCCCAGACTAACCCTACTTGGCTGCATCCTGAAAGGTCCACTGTAGCTAGGCTCAGCTCTGCAAATGCAACACTCTAATCTTGCTTGTTTTTTCAACTGACCCAGAGTGATCAGCTTCTATAGACTGACATTGGCCAAATACCCACAAAACTGATTTAAAATACCGATTTATTAAATTTTATTTTTTTTTTGAGACGGAGTCTCGCTGTTGCCCAGGCTGGAGTGCAGTGGCGCGATCTCGGCTCACTGCAAGCTCCGCCTCCCGGGTTCACGCCATTCTCCTGCCTCAGCCTCTCGAGTAGTTGGGACTACAGGCGCCCGCCACCACACCCGGCTAATTTTTTGTATTTTCAGTAGAGATGGGGTTTCACTGTGTTAGCCAGGATGGTCTCGATCTGATCTCGTGATCCATCCACCTCGGCCTCCCAAAGTATTGGGATTACGGGCATAAGCCACCGCGCATGGCCCCAATTTATTAATTTACAGTGATAAATATAACTCCCAAAGGCTCAGAGTGGCTCTTGGGCATGACCAGATCATTCTTTCCTCTGGAGAAAATGTTATGTGGGAATCTAAATTATATTTAAAGGGCAGCTTGGTGAGTTCAGTGTCACACAATGCTAATAGGATGTACCACCAAGCAGTGGTAACATGTGCTACCCAACTCCAATTCCATTTCCAGGAACAATTCTCAGAGTGGATAGGAGGGAATGTTATTTGCTCAGTTCTGACACTGTGATAAATTAGCCCCCTGGTGTTTTTCTAGAATTGAGATATATCATCACCACCCCTTAATGATAAGGCAATAACCTTTTAAGTATGTAATCAACATGTATTGAATAGAAAACAGCATTCTTTTCCTGAAAAAACAAAGTACTACAAAATACTCTAATGACTTTAACAGGACTTAGGGAGAATGTCCAGGGCCTTTGATTGAATTTGGGAGACAGCCTGCATCTTCTCTATGACAACTGGAAAATACAATGCTTCTTGGGCAACATACAAATTAGACTCCACTCAGAAGGAGTCTAGTGGATGAGCAGATGACATGGATGCACAGATGACAGTTCTGTGGATGAACAAATGACATGCTCATCCATAGTGTGCTCTCTTCTTGTATTCACCTTCAGAAAGTGACATTTTCTGACCTTGCTCCCCAATGTGGAACTGTGTCTTGCTATGCCTGACTGTTGTGTGAAGTTTTCCCACAATACCAGCCAAGAGTACAGGCAAGATGCTCTGTAGCCACAAATGCTCCTTGTGCTGATGGAACATCTTTCCCATCAGAACAATTTTGGTTCAATAATAAAATGAAGGGGACTCTAGAGGATCTTTCATGGCCAGCAAGGTGGAAGAGGTGTTTTAGCCCAGTATCTACTCAGGAAGTGGCATAAAAGGAGTTGAAACCATTTGCCAACATATTCAGGATAATAAGTAAGATTCTCATTTAAGGAATAACTTATTAAAGTCAAATGCATAATTGGGGAAATCCTCTCAATTTCCCCATCTCATTTCCCAATATCTAAAAGATATGGAGAAATAAATTATTTTTTATTAATAATAACAATAAATTATTTTTTCTTTTTCTCCCTGAGTGAATAAATTTGTTCATGGGAAATTTTGTCTATTCAACAATAATGATAGCAATAACTAATAGTTACAGAGCACTTAGTATTTTTTCTCAGATATTGCACCAAGAACTAGAAGAAATCTTCACAACTATTTCATGAGTTAAGTACTGTGACTGATTCTAGCAGGCATTAGGGTGAGAAAACTGGGCAAGTTGCTTAACTTCTATATGCCTCAAGTTCACACAGCTTGTAAGTGCAGTGCTATTGCTTAAGCCCAGGCCATATGACCATAGATCCTGCATTCTTAATTACTAAGCAGTGCCTCCTCAAAATTTCAAACTATAAATACTTGAGTAATTTGGCCTAACCCATTATAGCCATTAATATTGCCTCTATAAACTTGATTACCATGCTGAAGTTTTTTATTCCTTTTTCCTTCATGAAAAATAAGGCAAATGTAAAATTAGAACAACCTCCTGTTCTGTTTCTCAGTGAATGACTTTATTATCATCTCAGCCAATATTGAAATCCCCATTCCAAAAAAAAAAAAATAAGATCTCCACCACCCACATTACCTTCATTGTTAATATTTATAACATGTGGTGAAAGAGTTTAGAAATAAACTTCATTGTTCCAACAAAAATTTAAAATCTTCCAAATTGGCTAAGGGGCTCTACTTCCATAAGGTCTACTCCTTAAATGTAGGCCTCTTGCCAGTGTGTCTGACAAAGTGAGTCTCAAAATTTGAAAGTTATCAGACCATCTTTTGGCAGGTTAAAGAGAGTTCCAAGTGTCAAATGCACTCCTAGAACTGCAACTCCAAAAAATAGAATTCCTTCATATTTGTATATTAGAATTTAACCAGATGTTCATTATTAGGAAAAAGAGCCAAGTTAACTAAGCAAGGATCTATTCATACTCTACTATGAAAATTATTGAGTTTAATATAATTCAGAAGAACTCAAACAATTACTTTTAGAAATATTTAGCAATAATCCTCCAATATTAGCATTTAACTTTGTGAAGATGGGCCCCCAAACTTTAATTTTCAGTTAAAACAGCAAGGAAAGAATCTATTTTTTTTGACTTTTCAATTTTTCTAAGATGTTTCATAACAGTGAAAATGCATCAATGTCGGGGAGGATTAATCAGTGTTCAATCACCATATTACTGTAGGAAGTAGTAATCAGTAGAATCCTTTTCTGCTTTTATTTCTCTTAGGTTTTCAAAGGAGAACATCAAAGAGGGTTCTGTTTCAGGCATAATGGTCCCTTCTTTTTCTCATTAATCTCTTGATGCCTAGAAGCCCAAGAAACATAGACATTCTCCTTCTCTCCCATCTTCCAAAACCACATACAAGGGAATGAAGCTGTTCTGCAACATAATCTCACAAGACAATTGATGGTATCATACTGATTTCCTCTTGCTCAGTGTTTATGTATTCCCTCTTGTTCACCCATCTTCCTATCTCACTGAATTTGTATATATCCTTGTATTTTCAACCAATGATCCTATACTTCAAATACCTTCCATCTGTTTCAACTTTAATCTTGGAGGGAGACACAGCACCTTCAGAACAGACAAAAAGGAAGTGGGTACATATAAGTATTTCACATAAATAATCCCAATATATTGGTGTCATAAATGTAATCCCAAACATCTACCTAATGAGTATATTAAAGATTAAAACCTGTTCTCTGATTTTTCAATCTTTGTTTCTTCTTTCCTATTTGTTAGGCTGGGACATCATTAAGGTTATCCTTGAAGTCTAGAGAAAAAAATATTTTATCTTCTTCTTGTATTGTTCAGAGACTAGAAAGGAAGTCAAATACTTTAGCTCACCCAAATATAGCATTAATTCCTGCTGAGGAAAGTCTGATTGAGAAACATCCCCAGCTGGATACTCTTAGGTAACAATTTGTCTAGTCAGTTTCTTGGTAAACTAAATGTTTCAACTTTAGCAACACCTGCGCAGAGTTGCTTAATTTAGATCTTTTGAATCCTCCCACCAAAAAATAATAAAGAATCCAAGGAGTATGACTTAACCCTTTAGTTCAATTGAAAAAAACATATATTAAGTATAAGGATATGGGCACTTATGTCACTAGTTACAATAATGAACTGTTTCCTAAAATGCCCCTGGGACCTTACAAACAGAGCAGCAGCAGCAGCTATAATGGCACCAGTAGCCTCATGAGTAATGGAAATGGCACCTTAATACACATCTGGGGGCATTGACAAGCTTAGCACAGTCATTGAGGCCATTTACAGAAGTGGTGCTTTGGGAGACAGAGCAGGCTCCTACCCTTAGTGTCAGCAGAGAAAAACAGGCATCACCTCAGAGCAGAGATGTTATCAGAGTGAAAATTTTAAAACAGCAGTGCTACATGGTGGCCAAAAGGATTGGTTCCCAGATCATACATTCTAGACACTCCTTAGAGAAATTACGTGGGAAGAACATGAGGACACTGAAGTTCCCACAAAATAGGTGAAAATACAGCCAAAAATACTATTTTGAAATTGTAATTGTGATCCATTTTTTTTTTACCTTCAGACTAGTATGGACTGGGAAATACACTGACACTTTGTTTTAGTTATCTATTGCTGCATGAAAGCCTCCTGATATTTACTGGCTTAAAGCACCAACCATACTGTTAATTTTTGTGATTCTTTGTTTTGATTGGGCTTAGCTGGGTGGTACTTCTGCTCCATGTGATGCTGATTGGGGCTGCAGTTATCTGGGGTTCAACTGAGCTGGAATGTCCAAGATGGTTCACTTTCATGCCTGACAGTTGATATTGGCTCTTGGCCAGGAACTTAGCTGAGACTGTTGAACAAAATGCCTGAAAACAAGCTCTCTATGTGATTCGTGCACTTATTAGCTTGGCAGCTGGGTTTCAAGAGGAAGCAAACTCAGAGCTAGTGTTCTAAGAGAGGAGAAGCATATGCAGCCAGTATTCCCAAAAGCTTAGGCCAAAAACTGACACAGCATCACTTCCCTGTGTTCCACTAATCAAAGCAGTCACCAGCTCAGCCCAAGTTCAAAGGAGTGGAGAAACAGACTTTACCTGTGAATTTGTGGCCATCTTTCAACTGAATAACCTCTGTCCTTTGACTGGTTTCAAGGAAAGCTAAAACAGCCAACAGAGAAAGGTATTACTTACCACAAACTCAGATGGGACTAGGATGAGGGAGTAGGTGTCAATCAGAAACATCCTGGTTATGGTTGCCCCAGACTTCTTTTACATGTTTCAAACTCCATTTTTCAGATTCAGTCTGAACTGCGGCATTTATATGATCTTCTCCATTTCCTAATATTACACTGCTGAATGGAAAACACCTCTGTCAGGTCAGGAAACCACAATTCTTTTTTATCTGTTTCACTTTGCACTTGATGTTTTATACTTCCCAGTGTCAGAAGGAGAGAAACTAGGGCCTGTGCAGCCTTCTGAAGAATCATTGACTTCACATCAGATTCACCTGGGGTTTTAGAATCTCTACTCCCAGGCTATACTCCGGATCCAATGACTCAGTATGTCTGAGGGCATGCCTGTGTGCACACACAAAACTCTCCAAATGATTCAGATATGCACCATTCTGTTGGAACCACTCCTAAAATGGTTATTGTTTAGAAGTTAATTTAGGGTTTTTAAATTCTTTGGAAGGCTGTCATGAACAACTAATATATACGGAAGGCAATTTTCCTTATAATAGATCCATTTGCACAATTTCCTAGCTCTTACCTATACCTTTGTGATTAAAGTTAAACATAACCCCTCCCACATGATTTATCTTTGCCACAATCTCTTTTAAGTACCATTGGACTAATTGTGATGAAAAACTGAGGCACAGTCAAGGCTGGCTGTGTGAAGCTGAGACAGGGTTACTGATTCCTTTGCATGGCAGACAGGTGCTCTCCAGAGTCCCAGCCTGTTCAGAGCAGTTACACACGACATGATCAGCCTGCCATGGGGCCTGTATGCAAGCATGAAGCCTCTGGAACCAGCATCACAGTGCGCAATCTGCGGGATGACCACTCACAGGGCAGCTGAACCTAGGTACTGTGCCTTTGGAGTGGTGAAGCAGCCATGAAGCAGGCACCCAGCCAGCACTATGCATGCCAGCAGAAAGGAGAGAAATGCCCAGGAGACAAGGCAAATCCTCCTTCCTATAAAGACTGTCTGCATGCCTGCTTGAATACTGACTGCCTGGAGCAAGAAACGCTGAGTGGGCGGCAGAATCATGCCTCCTATGGGCTAATGTGACCATAATCTTTCTATGCCTCAGTTACCCTGGAGGAAAATAATGTCAGAGTCCTGGATTCCTCCTGGGGGTGCTGTGAAGAGTAATGAGATAGTGTCTACGAAGTGCCCTGAGGAGAGTTCCTCAGAAAACCATATAAAGACAAGTTGCATCATTAACGCCCATGCAGCAGGCCCACTGTCGGGGATTTCAAAGCCTTACCCCAACTCAGTTGAAGGACAGTGCAACTAAGACAGCCTCTCTAACTATACATGTCTAAGTCTAAACAGCAGGCTCACTCTAACTGCTGACATATTAAGAAAAAACAACACAATAACAACAATCATTGTATTGATCATTGGATGCTGCATTCATTGGGCAATCTCTGTTTTCTTTGATAGAAAGGCAGTAGCCCGCAAGCTTTCTTCCCTGAGCTGACAGCCATTTCTATAAAGCAATGTGTTTTTTCAGAGCAGCCTATGGTGACATAGCAACCCAGACATATGGTGTCATTATTTAGCCGACACAAATTTGACACTTAAGTGAATTTATTATATTTTGCTTTGCTCCTGGTGCCTGAAAGGCTTTGCCACTGTCTCCTCATAGAGCTTGTCACAGATGTTGATGTATTTTCCTCCTCCATGGCCAGGTTTTACTGTGGAAACTGATACAACTTCACGATAGAATTTCTAGATGAATTATTCACGCATTGCATGCTTTCTGCACACAGGGGCTTGGAAGAAATCCATACTATTCAATAAATGGTCTTTCTAATCCTCTTTAACAGAGCATTTTCTCCTGGTTTAAGCTGTTTCTATTATCGCCTTTGTAATCATAATGTTTTGGATAAAGTATTTCATAGTTGATAGCTTGGTAAAAACATTTACAATATTTCACATTAATGTGCAACAAAATTGCCCAGGCACTGGGATGAAACTGATCCATTCTAGAAACAATAAACCATATGGGCCAAATTCTCATCAGCTCAACTTTTGCTCACTTACACACACACACACACACACACACACCCCACCACCACCACCGCCACCAGCAACAACAAACCATGAAAACTTGAAGTCAATTCTACTTCCAGTGATTTATAGAACAATTCCTAAAATATCTCAATATTTGTTGTTTTCAACAGAAAAGGCCTCTCTTAATGCTAATACCATCTGTAGAGATGAGTTTTTAATTGAAAAAAATGTTAAACTTGATGGAAAGGAGTCAGATGAACTAATCACTGGCCTCTGAGAAAAGATTAATGAAACAAAAACATATCAAGCTTCTTTAATACCTGGAGAAGCCATAAGGATACCTCGAGTGACATTATGGGCTATGGTATATGGGAGTGAATAACCTTAACATGACACAGTAAGCCCATTGAAGAATTAAGAAGTAGAATTACAGTTTTTAAAGTATACTGACCTGTTGACCTTTAAGATTTAAGACTTTGCCTTGGGGTCATTTCTTGACCTAGTTTTTGTTTTGTTTCATTAGTTTTTTTTTTTATTCCCCACTGAAATAATTTTTTAACATTATTCAGTTAAATTCTAAGTGGTTGGAATGTTAAGTTCTTCCCTATCATTGTCTTACTTTTAATTTAATTAAATGCTTGAGAAGTACATGTTTTTAAATAAGAAATCTCTACTTTTAGAATTTGCTTTCTGTTCAAAAAGCACTGACATTCTGAATCGCTCCTAGAACAGATGGCAAAAGAATTGCACAAAAGCACAAAGGATGATGAAATTCTAGCTAATGATTATTATTATTTCAACAAATTCGGGCTAAGTGCAGTAGATTTCATTTACTACGCTTTGAGGTCCATCCATGCATAACTTCCCCCATGTGTTGTCTATGGCACCACTCTTTTCCCAGCCTCTCAAAACCTCAGCATTGGAGTCATCTTTGGCTACAACTTCTCACATCCCATATCCACCCCCCAAGTTCTGACAGTTCTTTCTTGCTTTGAAACATATCTTCTATTCAAATCTCTTAGTATTCCTCCACCTTACTCCAAGCTCCTGCTGTCTTAATTCGGATAGATATCCATGATATTTGTCCCATTTCATCTTCTAGTGCTCAGAAATTTCCCTCATTTGAGTCTTCCCCGTATATCATTACCAGGATAATCTTCCTCATATATGATTTTATTATATCTCCCCATTTAAGAATCCATAATAATTTTCTATTATCTAGGTTTATTACATGTATATGTGTATATATGCCATATATATCTATATCTATATCTATATCTATATATATATCTATATCTATATCTATATCTATCTATCTATCTATATATATATATATATATATATATCTCTGCCAGGCATAAGTACTTCAAAATATAAAATCATTTAATCCATATAACAACCCTATGACATAGAAACTATTACTTCTTCCTTTTTATAGATGAGCCCACTGAGACACAGAAAGGTTAAATAATTTGCCCAAGGTCACACAGCCAGAGAACAATGATGCCATGATTCAAATCCAGTCTGTGCTTTTAACAAATATACTATGCTGCCTCGATCTGGAATAACTAGCACCCACATGTTTTATATTTTTTAAACAGTTTTCATTTATTTCTCATTTGACCCAACCTTTCAGTCAGATGCTGTTCATCCCTAAATTCATCTTGTTTTATATCATTTTAATAAAAGGACTCATTTAAGTGGACTACTCTCCTCTGTGTATATATTTCTACCTCTTGTACCATCGCCTGTGATGTTTCTCTTGCCTGGGAGGCCCTCCCATTTTTCTCTCTTTATGTAACTTATATGTAACTCAGTTCCTTAAACGAGGCTCTTCTGACCTCACACGAGTCTCCTCCCTTCTTTATCCCCTCTCAGTGTGTGTGGACACACAGTCCAACTTGTCTACACTTTCTTTGCAGAGCCTCCTTCTGACTTCCATTCTTCTCTGAAGCTTCTCCCCCATTCTCACAGGCAGGACTTCTGTGTATGTTAACAGAGCTCTGATGACAACTCAGATGGTTGGTTTGTCCCTTGATTTTTACCACATTCCTCTGTGTTGGGATCACTTCACATGTCTACCTTCCCCTCACCATCAGATTATTAGTTCCTCAAAGGCAGGTGCTGCAAAACCTCTGCCTATGTCATAGCGTAGTAGGGAGTCAGGAAGTATTTTTAATACATCAGCATACAGTTCCATTTTGATTTCTACTTGTTGCATATGTGTACATATATATGTGTGTGTGTGCATTCAAGCATGTGTGTTTTATTTTCTACCAATATTGTAAATTCAATGAAGACAGATCTTGTTTCTATTTTCCTCGCATTTCTCATCAAATCAAGTACAATGTTATACCATCAATCCTCACTTAATGCTTGCTGTATGAATGGGTGAATTATTAAAATTACCCCAGGAAATGAAGATCTTTGGCTTGAATTGCCAAGTGTTAAAAATGGCACCACTCAAAAATATATAGTCAACCACACATTAAAAAGTACTAAGAATAACTCAATATTTCTTGTATGGAACAGTTGCATTTTCTTCTGAGAATCCATATGTTAAAGTCTCCCTCTGTATTTCCCACATGAGCACTTAAGTCCAGAACTCAGAGTGTACCTGGCTTCAAACCAAGTACATTAGTTATTTTGGAATTGCAGAATTAATAGTCATTCTCCCACTTGCAGATCTACCTCAAATAAAAATTGTATTTCATTTGGATTAAGAGTTGTAACTCATAAATTCAGCTACAGAAAGCTGCACCAACACAACTCTGTGGCACTTATCCCATTGCCGTGCTTCAGAAAAATACTAGCAATTATGATGATTCACTTATTATAAATAAAGAGAAATCTTTTCTCTCAATGCTTAGAATGTGGATATGGAATATGTATTTTACTTATTCTAAGAATCAAAATTGTATGGTGATATTGTGACTTTCAGGCCAAAAGCCAGAACCATATACAAATTCAGAAAACCATTTTGGCAATTCAAAGTTAACATCCAGATATTTTGTAATAGAGCCATGATATATCATTATCAAATGCCTCATAACTATTAAACACAGAACCAACAATAGATCCATTAGAAGGCAATTTTATAAATAAGCAAATATGTCTAATAGAAGACGTTATCTATCTTAATATTTATATTATGAAATATACCTATTATTAATAGATTTCTATTACCTTAAAAGCAAAAAAAGAGAAGAGAGTCAACATTTCTAGGACTAAGGGAGGCTCAGCTCTAAACGATGTGGTGTGACAATGAATTAGAAAACCACAGACTGAGAGACCAGCGGCTGAACAGGAGGGAGAAAGAGAGAAATGCACTTTTTCAAGTAGTTTTATTACTTAAGTTAGGTATAAAAAGAAAAGTCAAACAGCAACAGGCCTTTTACATAGCAGTTTTAGATGAGAATCAAATAAATCATGTCATATTTATACAACATGGAGACAACTGTTGACTTCCCATTTTTTTTCAGTCACTCCCTCACACACGGAATGTGTCTCCCTCACATGGAAGTTGGAAGCTCCTTCCATTCTAGAAGGCACTGACAGAGATGTGAATATGTAATATCCCAGTAATACAGTCATACTGAAAACTTGGATTTAATTTATACAGTTACCACTTGGGGGTTACCTCACATATTGTTTAAATCAAAGCTAATGGCTTTTAGTAACTCCAAGTTACTGCAGAGGTAGTTTGGCCATTTAAAAATAAGTGCTTCCATATACAAATGAGTAGATTTCCGCATACAAATAGTCATTTTAAAAAGCACTGGGGGACCAGTCACTCGCACACATTTATTGAGCACTGATTATGCAGTAAATAGGACCTAGACAAGGTGCTGTGGGTACAGAGAAAAATGTGATCCCAACCCTGCAGGAGCTCACAGGCCCACAGGGAAAACAAAGTCAGATAACTTTTAAAATAAAGATAAGTGCCTCAAATTCAGTATGTACAGAACACAGAGAGATTGCATATTACCTAAGGGATGAGCCTGGAAATGCTTCCTGGAAAGACTGACATTTGGTCTGAGACTTGCAGTATGAGAAGATAACTTCATTTACTACACATGATCACTTTGGAAACCAAATAAAATGGACACAGAGGAGGTGGTTTTACGATATGTGCCTTAGCAGGAATTAAGATCCAGGTTAGCTGTAAATACATATTGTGATGCAAAAACTATTTGATGAACCCTTTACTCTGTCTTGCACTACACTAAGGCATAGCAGAGAGTGCAAATAAGGAATAAGTGATGGTCTTCAGAGTCTATAATTTAATTAGAAAGTAAAAGTCAAACACGTGGCAGCCAAATAACAAGACAGGACACTAGAATCTTTAGCTGTTTCAAAGCCAAGTATGAATCACTTTCTATTCTTACCCAATCTTCTTTCCCACAACTTTTCCTGTTAATGATGTGTTTGCACAAGAGACAAACCACGCATAATTCTCATAAAGCTTTTTCATTTGTTTGTATATAAATCTAACAACGTCAAGAACAATGCAATTATCCTAATAGATGGACATAGCAAGAGACCAAACTTGGGTTCATATTTCTTCATATTTGTGGTAAATCCCATGCAGTCTTGCTTCATAACAAAACAGACCTCATGTTAGAGGCCATGTTCTTTCTCAGGACCAAAATGTCATCTTTATAGTTTTTATACAAAGTTACAGATGAAGAGGACTCAAAGGAGTCAACCACAACTTGAACATACACCAAGTTGAGGAACCAGATTTACAATGTAGTTACATAGCTATTCCTCCACTAAATCATATTCACTCGATCTGAGAAAACACCATTGGTGCATTCTTCCATTTAGTGAAGCAATTTCATTTCCCTGAGGAGTCGATCTCTTAAGGTTTTTTACTCCTACCCACAATGGGATGCATCAGTTTGCTCTAAGAAAAAACCATACAGGTAACTAATTGTACAAAAATGTGAATGTGGGCCTAAATCAACACTGCCTCTACTTGCCACCCACTTCAGCAATTTGTTTGACTCCTATGAGCCTCAATTTTGTCATATATCAGACAGGCACAATGATACCTACTGAATCATTACAGGGTTTACAGATTAGAGAGAAGGGACAACATACATCCACTCTGAAAGCAGATTAAGTCCCTGATTTGAAAAGCAATGTTAGGACAAATGACATGGCCACACAGAGCTGAAGTGTATGCACAGAAGGGACACTGCTGCTTGAAATACTGTCCACACAAAGGGGAATCTCCCTCGGCAGCCTTGAGAGCCTTGGCTACCCCTGCACCGCCCTTTCAGACTTGGGCTCATATCGGCTGTTGGGAAGAAATGATATTAATAATCTATCCATTTCCATTTAAAGAAATGCTAAGGTTCCCTAATATTTAATAGCCTTTCAAAAAGTAGTGACAATTATATTCCATATTACCAAATAGTGAGATATTGGTTTTTATTTTCAGAAATATAAAGTGATTATAATATGGAACATCCACTTTGCCAGTAGCTACATGAGCTTGGAGAGGTCCATGTAGGAGTACAAGTCACAAGAAACACAAGACACTGCTTCTTCTTTAGTTTTATGCTCTTCTCTCCCTCAGGTCAATTTCTCATCTATTGGAGGATACATGGGTATCCTCAGTGAACTCCCAATCCATCTCCTCCCGACTCCCACGTGGCAGCCTTCCTCTTTCCTTCTGCAGCTACTGGGATGCCTGACACCTACTACCATGCTTGAGGATATCCACTCTCCAAAGCCACTTCAGCTTCTCAAGCCATCCAGGCCCCAAGGCACATACCACATCAAAGCTGCATCTTGCCAAAATTGTCACAGTCTCAAGCGTTCATCATGTCACCCCTCCACCAGAGATCTCTCCTACTGAAGTGGAGAGAATTCCCCCACTGAGGGCCCTGGCCTATGACTCGGCTTGTGGTCGCTTCCCCTGGAACTGCGCGTGGCACACCACCTGCTGCTAAGTTGTGTGCAAAGGCCCTGTTGCCTCCCATCCTCTTCTCCCCGGGCCACAAAAGTGCTACCTCGTTCTGTTCCCTGGTATCTTCGACATTTTACTAAGAAAGTGAAAAGGCTCTCTTCCTTGTTTCACTTTGAGTCCTCTCCACTGGGATCTGGCACAATCCCCAAGAAAAATAAGAAGAGCACGTAGAAGATCGACAGGAGCGCCACACACATGAACCTGCCACTCTGCTTTCATTTAGGCCTTCATTCTGCAGCTCTTTCTCCACTTTAGGATAACTGCCTGAGGATGACTCACTCTTTCTCAGGAGGCTTCCTGGACTTCTTTCAAATAGCTCCCAGACAAGCACGTGACAAGCTTTGCGGATATGTTGGAATCTCAGAGAGTATATATTTTGAATTCAAGTGGCAGCCCTTGCTATAGTCATAAGCTAAAGATTTATAACCTACAGCTTCTTGATAAATTACTTTAATATGAAACAGTGTTGGAAATAAAAGAGTATTTTATTTTCGTAAAACTATATTTACTCCTCCTCCCCACACCTAGAAAGTATACACACACTCACATATACACGAAAATTCAGCCATCTTCTGTTCTCATAACCCTCACCAAAACTAAAATGTGTAATACTAAGACCTTTGTCTCAGAAATCCCATTATTCTATAAATGTGTTCAGGTTACATATTTCTAGCCTACAGAATTTCTGCTTACATTTCCTCATGGACAGAGCTTTCTGTTGCTCAGCTGATAAACTACGCTGGTTGTACTTATTCATGAGATTAATATAAACTATAGAAAAATGTTATTTACATACATGCCTATTTATTTTAATTATTAGCTTCAAGGATAATTTGTGACAATGCATTAAATTTTTCTTTGTATTACCCTGAAATTTGTATTTCAGAAGGCTATTGGCAAGGCATAGGAAATGAATTCAGAATCTTGCCATGATGAGAGAATATATACTAATACTATTTTTTAAAGTTTAATACAAATTGTTTCTGTATTAGTAACTTAAAGCATTTGCAATGTTACAAGATTTTTCACTGCATGCACAAACTGAGAAAGAACTTCTAAACATATTTAAGAATACTCTTCAGCAATTTTAGTGGCTCTCTCAGAGTGACTTCATTAATCATTGCTTCACTCAGGTAATTTATTTTTCATGCTGCTCCAATGAATTCTCCAGTTGTCTTTAATCTTTCCCAGCATCTTCCAATTGCTCAACTTTGTTCTTATCTCTGGGGCTGTTCTGTTTCTCCTCCGTCAGACACAAAGCAGCACACAACTGAGCGATCGCAACAGCTGAAAGAACTACCTGGCCAGAGCACATGCAAGGCAAACGCAGAAATCACTCTCTAGAGCAATGGGAAAGTCTTTTTTGAGGAGATTTAACATATTTTCTGTAAGCTTCAGTACACTTGGAACAGATAAAAATCTATGTATATAGCATGTGTGAGAGAAAGATTTCAAATAAATTACCCCTAGAGGCATAAGCATATGTTCAGCTATAGCTTTAACAATAGTTTCCAATTTGATTCATTCCCAGTGAGTTTTGCCATGAATTTTAATGAATCCTTCCAACTTGCATGTTGCAGTTTCTTTTTTCACACATAGCTAATTGCCCTGGAATCAGATAGTTAAAATTTTGTTTAACCTTAAGCCATTTTTTAAATAATTCTATCTTTCAGGTCTGAAAGTTTCATTTTGCTGTTAACAGACATAACCTAGGCAAATCCAATGTCATTTATAAATTTTACGTTTTTTATATATCAATATATAAAAAACAAAAAATATTTTTGGTATCTCGTAATTAGATGTTTTATTGTGAGACATTGATACTGAGATACAAAGAAAAATAATTATTCAAGAAGGGAAAAAAGCTATGAAAACAGTTTATACAATTGCCAGATTGAAGTGTCAAGAGAAGCAAAAGGTCTTAGGTTTACCATAGGCACATATAAACAACCCAGCCAACAGCAATTCTTTGTTGAAACTCTAGGTATTCATGACTCAAATATGAAATAACGCATCTTTCCTTGATGGTTGGTTTCTAGAAAATAAAAAATGTCCAGGGTTCCATAGTTCATATTTCAGGCATCATTCTTCTTAATGCACAAAGATTTTGCAAGGCTGACCTAGATGTGAGGTCTTCCAGACCTGTGCTTTACCTTGTGGATGGGTATGCATGTTTTACAACATTCTTTCAAATGTTTACTTACAAAGAAGGACTTGCAATATCTCCTACTTTCAACTCAGAATTGGACATTTTCAAGCATGCCTATTCTGCCTGCATTCCAAAACATGGTGTGGGGCTGGTACTGATAAACCTTGGATTCTTCAATTTCCTCTAATCAGAACAGAAACAAAAGAAACCCTCTGTCTTATTCTACACTATTTCTTGTGATCTGATTTTCCATTCACTTGCAGAGTGTCAGGGCACTGGGGGAACAGTGAATTCTCCATGAGTAAGCCCAATTTGACTGCTTTTCTCCTGGTCATCAGCTCAATGTTCCACACCACTTAGCGGTTGAGATCTAAGGAAAGCTCAGGCATGAAGCCTCAACACTATGTTTCTTGCTCTAAACAGCTGCTCTGAAGTAGCTGGAAAAGTCAGGGAGACAGACACAGCTTATCAGAGTTGCTCCTCAGTCTAACAAATGGTTCCATTGTGTGGAGCACTCTCAATGCCTACTACTTAAAAAAAGGAAAAACATCTATTTAATCAGTGTGGTGACCAAGGAGGGAAGCAACGGCATAACCACCAGGGTCTTGCATGGGGTGCACCAGGAAGCCCATGTGTCATGGCTCATGTAACGAAGGACCTTGGATTTAGACTTTGGACTTGATCCCTGAATGAGGTTATCCATACAGTCACTTTTAGTGTGGTCCACATAAAGGTGAATGTGTTAAACATAAACATTTAAAACATCCTAAACATTTTAAATGTATTTAGTATATTTTAAATATACTAAACATTTTTCTGTAGCCTTGTCTGGATGTTTATTTTAAGATACTGAGAGAAAAAAAATAAATACACAGCACTTACTACATTCAAAACGCCATTTAAACACTTAATGTGAATGAAATCACATATTCTTTATAGCCATCCTGCAGTAGGGACTGTTACTATCCTAATCTTACAGATGAGTAAACTGAGGCACAGAGAGCTTATGTAATTCATCTGAGGTCACACAGCTAGTAAGTTGGCAGGGACACCCAGTTTCTAACCCAAGCTCCAGAGTCTATACTCCAGACTGCTATACTCTACTGCCCCCTCTGAGAGGTGGGCTCTGAGAGGCCCTGGCAACTGTTCCTTCTCTTATGCTTTATCCTGAACCCAAGGCAGATTACTCTCAGGCTCCAGGTGCTTCCCTTGGTAGATATGGCTAGAGGTCCATGTAAGGTTAGTTAGGGACGCCACTTGAACCACAGCTTGATTGTTGTAGGGCTCCACTTCTAGCTTCTAGGGTAAGTTGTCCTCAAAGCATCATCTGGACAAGCAAGTTAGCCAGCACATATGGCAGTCACTCTCTCTCTGGTTTCGTGGTCCCACACTCTCTCTGTATACTCCCACTGTCCCTCCCTCCCAATGCTATGGCATCCGATATAGGCATTTATTCCTCATTGGCATATTTCCTCCTCAGAGGAGTTTCCTCCCCAGAGAAGTTAGAGTCCATATTAGTCCATTTTCACACTGCTGTAAAGAAATATCTGAGACTGGGTAATTTATAAAAGAAAGAGGTTTAATTGACTCACAGTTCTGCATGGCTGGGAGGCCTCAGGGAACTTACAATCATGACGGAAGGGGAAGGGGGAGCAAGGAAACTTCTTCACATGGCAGCAATGATAGAGAGAGAGACAGAGAGAGAGAGAAAGGGAGAGAGAGGGAGCTCCAGGGAAACTGACACTTTTAAACCATCAGATCTCATGAGAATGCCCTCACTGTTAAGAGAACAGCATGAAGGAAACCACTCAAATGATCCAATCACCTTGCACCAGTTCCCTCCCTCCACATGTGGGGATTACAATTCAAGATGAGATTTGGGTGGGGACACAGAGCCAAACCATATCAGAGTCTAATCAGCATGAGTTCGATCATTTTATCTTATTTAGGGCCATATATTATAGTGAACACATAGGAATTTTTGAATATGCTTATGATATTCTTGATCGGCACTAGCAATCTCTGATTTATCATATATTTTAAACCAAAACAGACCATCCAAATCTAAACATAGCCTGCATTTTACTTCTTCTTTCCCAAGATGTGAAAATTATAACTTATTTTTCAGAAAATTCCCCCAAACATAGGCAGACACTTGGTCTCCTTTTTCCTCATTTCCACAAGATAAAATAATTACAAGCAGAATTTTCAGAAATCATGTATGCATCAGGAACTCGGTCTTTCTTTTTGGTATCAGCTTGTTCAGAGGTATTCCTTTTGAGAAAATCTAGTGGTTGTCTTGATATCAGCAACTTCAAACCTTTTTCTTTACACAGACTATGACATTGTCATTGAATATGGTTTTGGACCACCATGTGAGCAAGTCATTTTAAACAGTTTTTAACATATCCTGTTACTGATGAGGAGTCAAATTTCATATATCAAGCAGTATTAAAAATAGTTATTTCCAGTTGACATGTATCAAGAGATTTTTTCTATGTTCAGACCATCTGACCAAGTAATTCTACTTTGGGGACTCTGTCCTAGAGAAATAAACTGAAATAACAGAAAAAGCTTTATGCACAAGGACAGCAATCCAACCATCTAATCCTCCCCCAATACAGGAATAGCTAATAAACTATCCATTTAAATGAATATTTTATAGCTCCTAAAATATAAGTGATGAAAATTTTATAAAATGTAATACTTTTCTCATTAAATGGAAAGATAAGACAAAATTATATGTATAAGTTAATCACACTTATGTAAAAATCAGGAACTCTGCAGGACAAAAATAATAATAATGATGAAACAGAACACACTAACTCACGGAGAAAGTAATTTTGACAGTAATTTTAAAAGACTAGTGGGATTCAACCAAAAAGGAAAGAAACAAGAGTACTCTAGTTCTAGCCCAAGAAGCTCTAGAAGAGCCTTTGGGCTTTCATATTCTTTTGTATAAGGCTGTACTCAAAAAATACTTATTAAATTAATGAATGATGGGAACAGATATTCACAATTACCTAGTATGTTGCAGCATACAAAATTGCTGATATTTAACCATTTCGACCAATAAAAACGGCAATTTTACATGATTCAACTGAATAGAGTCAATGAGCCTCTAATACCACATGTTGCACAAGATCCTGGTGAATAATCTGTACCTTCAGCAGTCACTTCCTCTTCCCCTTCTTCTCTCTCCCTCCTTTCTCCCTGTGCTGGCCAAATAATCAGCCTGAAGAAAATCTAGCTGGATATTTCACACAACATTGCGAAAAATAAAGATAATATCTGTCACTCGCTTTTTCTCACATTGGTGTCATCATATAGACATACTTCAGGGCTTAAACGGAGAAATGCGTAAATCCTAAGCTTTCTTTGTATATAATTACATGATATCTTGGGATAATAGACACCGATAAGTCTAGTTTCCCACACCTGGCCACCTAAAGAGAAAATCACCAGACAATTTAAAAGATATAGGGCTTTTTCCATTACAAAACAATCAATGATTCTTTTTCCATATCCTGAGAGCACTCCTGGTGGTCTTCAAATTTATTTCTTTTCATATGTGGAGAGAGGGAAATATTGAATGGAAGCTCCATATTTTGCAAAAAGAGCACTTTTATTCTCTATTCACTTCTTTCATCACAATCCCCTTCCCCACTCCCAGGCAACTAAGTAGAAACATCATAGGTAACCATGAGGGGAGTCAACCCAGAGAGACCTGGAACAGATTAAAAACAGTTGAACAACATTTCCAGTATTGCAAGCAGTTCTTTGGCAACACTCTACTAAAAAACATTGTTTGAAAAATAATTTATTTTTCACTTTATCTTTTTTTGTCCTTCCACTACAAAGAATAAATATTTGACTGTGTCTAATCACCCTTGTAGAATCCTCTATGTACCATTTTTTTACTTTACAAGAGTGCGAAAGTAATGCATATTCATTAGAAAACATACTTAAGAACTCATACAGCCATTTTGTTTTTCACTTTCAGTACAGCATTCAATAAATTACATGAGATATGCAACACTTTATTATAAAATTGCTTTGTGTTAGATGATTTTGCCCAACTGTAAGTGTTCTCAGCATGTTTAAAGTAGGCTAGGCTAACACCTATGATGTTTGGGACATTAGGTGCATTAAATGCATTTTCAACTTATGATATTTTCAGCTTTTGATAGGTTTATTGGGATGTAACCCCATTATAAGTTGAGAAGCATCTTTGTATAAATAGTAAAATAAATATGTAACCCTGTCTAACCACCTTTGTAGAATACCTTAGCCGTTTCAGAATTTCAGAGCCCTCTCAGCCTTAGCCTGATTGTTAAAATCAGCATCCTGGGCCAGGCACGGTGGCTCATGCCTGTTATCCCAGCACTTTGGGAGGCCAAGACAGGCGGATCACTTGAGGTCAGGAGTTCAAGGCCAGCCTGGCCAACATGGTGAAACCCCGTCTCTACTAAAAATACAAAAATTAGCCGGGTACGGTGGTGTGCGCCTGTAATCCCAGCCTCAGAGAGGCTGAGGCAGTAGAATCTCTTGAACCCGGGAGGTGGAGGTTTCAGTGAGCCGAGATTGTGCCACTGCACTCCAGCCTGGGTGGCAGTACAAGACTCTGTCTCAAAAAAAAAAAAAAAAAAATCAGCATCCAAAAAAGGGACATCTGTTCATTCACTTTTTTTTTTTTTTTTTTTGAAAATTGAGAACATGAGCTAGGACAATTATTCATGAGAACTGCTGAAGTAATACAATTAATATGTTTCCCTCAGTTTTATGATGTCTCTATAACCAAGTGACAACTATATAAGATGACTAAAGAAATCAGTTGGCCAGGCGCGGTGGCTCACGCCTGTAATCCCAGCACTTTTGGATGCCGAGGTGGGTGATCACGAGGTCAGGAGATTGAGACCATCCTGGCCAACATGGTGAAACCCCATCTCTACTAAAAATACAAAAATTAGCCAGGTGTGGTGGTGTGTGCCTGTAATTCCAGCTACTCAGGAGGCTGAGGCAGGAGAATCGCTTGAACCTGGGAGGCAGAGGTTGTAGTGAGCCAAGATTGTGCCACTGCACTCCAGCCTGGGTGATGGAGCGAGACTGTGTCTCAAAAAAAAAAAAAACAAAGAGGAAAGAAAGAAAGAGAGAGAGAGAGAGAGAAAAGAAAAGAAAGAAAAAGAGAAAGAAAGGAAGAAAGAGAAAGAAAGAAAAAGAGAAAGAAATAAATCAACTGAATTGTAGCAGGATGAGGTCTCAGAAAGTTTACAGTATATTCTGTCCTGCTTGTTACCAAGCTGACAAAGTTCAATTTGTAAGTTAGTCTGATATTGTAACATTTTGTTAGAGGAGCTAAAAAAAACCCTTTAAAAATTACTCACTTCTAGAAAAGTATAAACTCTGTACTAAATACACACCTGCTTTCAGTACCTATGTAAGCCAGACAATATCAATTTTTTTGTGGGAAAATAAACTAACCTAACTTTTGCCAACATTTCGTGTACATTTTTATGTTTTTGTTGTCCAAAGACAGATGTGAGTTTTAATACAGTTTACCCATATAAGGAGACAAATTGAGCTTCAAATCTATCCAGGAACTTACTTCATTCTTTTGTTATCCGGTTGCTTTGTTTGGATTAAGACTCAAGACAAAATGAAAAGTATGCAAAAGACATTAAGATTACTGTAATCACCTGAAGATTTGTCACTGTAAAGTTACCTTATGTTCCACCTCAAAATGTTTTAACTTCGTCATTCATTTTATGGCAAACAAACTCTCTAAAACTTGTCCAGTGCTCTCTTAAGGACCTTATTTAAACCTAGTGTGAGTCTTTTCTCAATTAGCAATTAGGTATCTAAAGTTTTTATTGTTAACTTGGTAATATATTTTTGAATTATAAAATCAGAGGGAAGTAGTTGGGAAAAGGACTGGAATAGGAGGCATGATTCCCAAGAGCTAGTCTCTGTGTTTTATCATGACCATGTGCTTTACCATTATCAGGGCCTCCGAATACATAAAATGAAAATGTTCTGTTAGATAACTAACTACTAGTTTGCTTCTGCTTTTTCCTGCAGTCCTTTGACCTATTTGGACTTCAGTTTCCTAAAGAATATAATGAAAATGATAACAAAATCACATGAATTCTAAATTGACTTCCAATAATATGATTTTAATTATATTTTCAATTGTGGATATTATCAATGCATAGAAATTTACATGTTCTAAAAGATCTGATATAGCATGTCATATGTTTTTATTAAGATATAAAATTGTTAAGAATAAAATTAGAAAAAGCCACCTTCTGGAATTCATACTAAAATAAGACAAAGCAAATAAGATTCACCATCTGTCTGGTAACTCACCTGACAAGATGGTTTTCAAACATGGTGCTCCCTTGATTATCAGTAACACAACTAGTGTATAAAGAAAGGTGTAGGGCCAGGCGTGGTGGCTCATGCCTAGAATCCCAGCACTTTGGGAGGCCAAGGCAGGCGGATTGCTTAAGCTCAGGAGTTTGAGAGCAGACCAGCCTGGGCAACATGGTAAGACCCTGTCTCTACTTAAAAAAAAAAAAAAAAAGGTGCAATCTCATCCAACAGCTGGAGAAAATTATGAATCAGCAAAAGGGTGAACTATCTGGTGGTCTAGAAAAATCTAAGATTATTATATTTACACTAGTATTCAGGGAAAAATGATGCCCCAGTTCTGAAAGCTCGAGACAGAGATCTAAAAAGATAAATTTGGATTCCACCAACATTTATCGGACACCTGCATACCATCCATTGTGATTGATTATTTTATGCACTAACTCATTTAGTCCTCACAAAACCCTAAAAGTATTACCCTAATTTTACAGATGAGGCTCATAGATGTCCAAGGACTGTCCAGTTTCACCCAGCTGGAAATTATCCCCTGTTCTTTGACCCCAAATCCCAATGTTTTTGAGTTCTATTATGCTGACTTTCCAGTGAATGGAGAAAAAAAAGAAGGTTTTTTTTCTAACACTCTAGACTTGAAAAACAGTAATCCATTTCCCTCTGTTAAAACTTTATGTTTGTAACAACTTAATTTTTTCTTCACTATTGAAACAATTATAAATGAAACCCCTCCCCTACACATCTATATTTTTCAAACTTTTACCTAAAAATCAAAAGTCAGTAAGTGTTCACCATAATACTGTAAAATAACACAAATCATTAATATGGTTATGAGGCCATAAGATAGAAAAGGTAATATTTTTTCTATTCATTGCTAGGTTTGCGGCTAAGACTCCTATAATGAAAGGCAGATTAATAGGAGAAAAACATATAAATGTATTTCATATAAGTTTACATGGCACAGGAGCCTTCAGAAATGAAGACCCATAAAACAGGAAAATCTGAATATTTTATGCTTTGGTTTGATGAATAGTGGACAGTCATGTAAAAGGATAAATAAAAGACAAAAGAGTATGATCTAATGGTAATACCCCGGGAGGGAGGGCTTAGTAAGGCCTGTTTGTTCAGATTCTTCTCTGTATTCCTGTGTCTTTAAAGATAAGGGCATTCTTTCCTCTGGGTATAGGAGGGATCCCTCTAGAATGAGGGTATTATGACCTACTTTAAAGGAAGGTCAGAGAGTTATTTTATGGTCTGCTGCAGGGGAGAATGGCAGGAGAAGGTCAGAGAGATCTTCCTGCTTCTGCTGTTTCTCAAATACTAAGGTTCCATATTTGGGGTAGCATATGCTGAAACATGTCAGTGCTAATAAACAATTGATTTAAATAAGGATTTAGGCAGCTAAGCACTGTTTACTGCTACTGAGCCCTTACTTGTGTCTACCCCACTGTCAAATGTCAAAGGATAGATGTGCTCAATTCAAAAACTATCTGATATGTGGCTCTGCTAATAGTAGATGCTACAGCAATTCTGCCACCAAATTCCTATGGTTGCAACATGAGAATGTCTGATAAATACAAGATAATTTATATGTTTAGCCAAAGGAAGTGAAACTTATCGTGCCTGTTAACATCTTGCCTTAATACAACAACACATAAGTTAGGTTTACAGAAATATTTGACACAGCTTGTAGACCTCTTGTTTATTACATTCTTGGACCCCTAGAAATCAAGTAGAGAACAATGAGGTTAGAAAACCTCCTATTTAAAGTTAATCCATTGGTATTCTATTCAAAAGTCATCATTCTTGTTTATAAATCACTCCTGTGCATTTAATTAGCATACATTAGTTCTTCAATGTACATGTCGATGGTTTAATTTTAACAGGCTCTCTAGGGATGATTCTTTTGTTAGGCAATGACAGCAATAAAATGTTTCAATATATTCATATCAAAACCATTTATAATATTCTATGACTCAGCAATTCCACTCCCACGTATTTACTCTAAATGATAAGTAAAATAATTGAGAATAATAACAAACTGTTTATCCAACAATAAGGAATTGTTTAAAATATAATACATTACATTGTTCCACAAATAGTTGAGAACTGCTATGTGCTAGGTGACAAAGACTGAGCAGTAAAAAAGGCAGAAATGATAAATACATTCATGAAGTTGGAAAGATAGATATTCCAGTGACTATTTCTATATAATAAACTATCCCCAAGTTTTGTAGCTTGCAGTAGCAACCATTTTATTATGCTTATAGATTCCTTGGGTGAGGAATCTAGTGGGAATGGTTTACCTCTGTTCCATGACGTCCGGGACCGCAGCTGAGAAGACATGGAAGCTGGAAGTGACTCCACAGCAGGAGGCTGACATCACTTAGAGGCTCCTCCACTCACATGAGTGGGTAGGATGAATCAAAGACTAAGACTGCCAACCAGAGCACCTACATGTGGCCTCTTCGGGTAACTTACCATCCTCCCAGCACAGCAGCCTTAGACTAATCAGATTCTTACATGACAATTCAGGACTCCAAGCATGAATGTTCCAGCAAACAGGTGGAAGTGGCATCACTGTATTAGTCTGTACTCACACTGCTATAGGGACATACCTGAGACTGGGTAATTTAAAAAGGAAAGAGGTTTAATCGACTCACAGCTCCACATGGCTGGGGAGGCGTCAGGAAATTTACAATTATGGCAGAAAGGGAAGCAAACATGTCTTTCTTTACATGGGGGTAGGAGAGAGAAGTGCAGGGAGAGCAGAGAAAAGCCCCTTATAAAACCATCGGATCTCATGAGAACTCACTCACTATCATGAGAACAGCATGGGGGGACCACCCCCATGATCTAATCACCTTCCATGAGGTCCCTTTTTCAACAGATGGGTATTACAATTTAAATTATAATTCAAGATAAGATTTGGGTGGAGACACAGAGCCAGACCATATCAATCACTTTATGACCTAGCCTCAGAAGTCACATTTCACCATACTCTATGGGTCAAAGCAGTCATAAGCCTACTCAAATTCAAGAAAAGAGGAATTAAAGTTTCTTCTTGATCTTAACATGTGGAGTGGCAAGGTAACATTGTGTATGAACATGTGAAGTATTGTTGTCTTCTTTGGAAAATACAACCTACCTATCTTTGTCCGTTTTGTGCTGCTATAACATAATACCTGAGGTTGGGTAATTTATAATGAAAAGAAGTTTATTTGGCTCACAATTCTGTTGGCTGGAAAGTTCAAAATTGGGCAGCTGCATCTGATGAGGGCCTCCATATGCTGCTTCCACTCATGGCAGAAAGTGGAAGGAGAATGGACATGTACAAAGAGATCACGTGGTGAGATAAGAAGCAAGAGAGAGAAACTGATGAAGTCAGACTCTTTCTAATGACCTGCTCTCTTGGGAACTAATCCATTCCCATGAGAGCAACAACTCACTCACCACCTCAGGATGACATTAATCTATTCATGAGGGATCCACCTCAATGACCCAAACACCCCGCAACTAAGCCCCACATCCCAACATTGCCACATTGGAGATAAAATTTCAATATGAGTTTTGATGGGGACAAACCACATCCAAACCATAGCACTGCCACAATGTAGCAGTGATGAGAGCACTACTATTAATAATTCCTAGAGTATTTATAAAAATGGCTAACATTTCTGAGTACTTACTATGAATTCCTAGGACTATCTAAGCCTTCACATGTGTTAACTCATCTAATCTTCAAAGCTGCCCTACAAGGTAATATTATCATTGCTTTCTTACAAATTAAAAGAAGTCAGAACACAAAGAAATTAAATCATTTGTCCATGATCACACTGGTAGTGGGGGAGTCTGGATTTGAACCCAGGCGGTCTGATTCCAGAGTTCCCCTTTGTAAGGATTTCTGAGAGTCATTTTGATTCTGAGAAATTATATTATAGGTTATTTTACCTGCTGTTTCCCTGTGTTTATTGATTTTTTTTTTTTTTTGAGATGTAATCTTGCCCTGTCCCTAGACTGGAGTGCAATGGCACGATCTCGGCTCACTGCAACCTCCACCTCCCGGGTTCAAGCGATTCTCCTGCCTCAGCCTCCCGAGTAGCTGGGATTACAGGTGCCCACCACCACACCCAGCTAATTTTGTATTTTTAGCAGAGACGGGGTTTCGCCATGTTGGCCAGGCTGGGTTTGAACTCCTGACCTCAGGTGATCCACCTGCTGCGGCCTCCCAAAGTGCTGGGATTACAGGCGTGAGCCACTGCACCCAGCCAATATTTTTAAAACACGAGGAAAATAAAGGAGTGTTTCCTTGAGGTTGTTCTTGTAGTCTCATAGGTTGTAAAGCACTTTCATATGAAGTGCTTTACAAACTGGTCAGATTAGAAGAATCATCTGACAAAATTGTTAAAAATAGAGATTTGGAAGCCTACTCCAGACCTATTGGCTCAGGCTCTTCAAGGAAAGGGCCTGGGTAATTGTATTTTTAACAAGCCCTTATCATTAAGTAAAGTTAGGAATCTCTACTATATGGTGTATTATGTCTGAGCTCTCCCAAATCTGTCTAGCTTTTCCTTTTCCTTCTGTTTGCTGCAGCTGTCAGAAACCACTCAAATGAAAGAAACCACTCAACCATGTAACTAGTGATTTTATGTAATAAGGAAGTGTTTTCCTCTTAAAGGCTGGTAAACACTTGATAGCTAAAGAATTCCTAGCAGTACTAAAGCAAAATTTAGCATCTTAGAATTGTGGTAACTTCCAAAGTGGTTTTTTTTTTTTTTTTTTTTTTTTTTTGACAGAGTCTCACTCTGTCACCCAGGCTGGAGTGCAGTGGTGTGATTTCAGCTCTTTGCAACCTCTGTCTCCCAGGTTCAAGCAATTCTCCTGCCTCAGCCTCCAGAGTAGCTGGGACTACAGGCACACGCCACCAATTTTCATATTTTTAGTAGAGATAGGATTTCACCACATTGGCCAGGCTGGTCTTGAACTCCTGACCTCAAGTGATCCACCCACCTCAGCCTGCCAAAGTGTGGGATTACAGGCGTAAGCCACCGTGCCCAGCCCCACAGTGTTTTCAAATGAGGCAGGATACATGTGGGATGGGAGGTATTGTGGTCATGAGAAAAACAATCTCCCGCAGTGTCATAATGAGAACATGGCACAATAGGCAAATGCCAGTGGACTGTACAGGTCCAAGGAAGCAGTATCCTCTTAAAAACTAACTTTAAACAGGATCTGATATTTAGGGTGATGATAAAAAAGCAAATGGAAATGTAAATTGGTTGTATAATTTCATTTTCCAAATATTTTATAATATCTATTTTTATTTTGAAACAAAATCTATAATGTTTTTACTCAGATTGAAAAAACAATTGTGAAAGCAATTCAGGTGCCACTCAAGGATTTCATTATTCAAATAAGAACAAGCATTTGTATATTCATCACTAAATATCCTTAGTTAAAAGTAACCTTACTAATGTCTAATATGTGAGAATTTACCATATGTCAAGTATTATGCATTGCCTCATTTAGTTCTCATAACAGTCTTATGAGTTATCCTCACCATTTTGTGGATGGGAACACTGGGCCTTAGAATACTACAGTTATTTGCCTAAAGTTCCATGGCTAGGATGACTCAGAACTAAAATTTGAACCCAGTAAAGTAATGAATCATTAACTGGTACCATAGTGGTCTTCATATTAATAAAGTCCATATATTTTAATGTCCTGTATATGCATACACATAATATTTAATACCCATGAAATTTACTTGAGTAGGTGGATTTTCTATATATGGAAGAAGGAATTAGAACTATTATAAAAATCCATTATAAAAATTATTTTAAAATTGCACAAAAGATAAATTGTGTAGAGACATGAAATACATAGTAAGTACTGTCTGAAAGACACCCAGCAAATGTTATACAAGTAACTGAGTTCAACTAATATTTATTGTACAGCTAGTATAAATAGAATGTAGTCTCCATTTTTGAGAATTAACAGTTTAGTTTGGAAGGGTAAGTTATACACAGATACACAAAGAAGAAAAGAAGAAGGAGGAGGAGAATTTATTTCTCTTTATTTAGCAAACATTATCAATGGGAATAAAATCAATGCCATTTTATAGAGAAAGTAAATGTACCCTTGATACTAGACCATTGCTAGTATTATATAACAGTCACTGAATTACAGATATTGGGAATTCAACCAAAGAGGGTCAAGATTTCTCCTATAAGGTGATTCTAAAGTGTGAACCTCAAAGACAATGTTATAATGAGGTTTCAATGAGTTTAGAATTCAAACCCTTTAAAAAGTCACTTGGGAATTATTAAAATCTTTGCTTAAGTTCTCTTCTCCTCCATGTCCACCTACTTTCACAAGGGTTAAGTGCCTAAACTCTCTTTTTTGCCTCTATACTCTTCTCAGGCTGGATTTTCAAATAGATTGATAATTTTATCATTAAATTCCCAGTTGTGGGAAAATGAAGTACTAGCTTAGTTTAGAATCTGAGAATCCAAACGCTTCAAGTTAAAGTTTTGGAAAGTTTTGTTCTTTCAGACTTCCTGAGATCATATCATTAGAGTCCTGTGATGAAAGTGCTGGCCAGAACTTTGGACTTGAAGATCACTTTTGCTATATTTCCGAGCAAATTCTCTTGAATGCTTGTTTCATCTATAACTTAAAGGTGTTACTTGCCCTACTCAGCTCCCAGAGTGTCTGTGAGGATCACACAATATAAAAAATATGAGAAAATTTACACTGTGAACTGGAAAGGACTATATAACTAAGAGATTATTAGTACTGTATTTAGTACAGTAATAATAAGATTCTCCTTTCTCTAAAAGTTGAGAAAACCCAAGCTGGTTTACCCATTTTTCTTTATCAGTGTATCAAGAATGCATCACTACTCAAGATGCCATGCATGCAATCTGTCCTGCCAACATTTTTAAGTCTGCAGAACAAATAAAATATAAATGGATATGTAGAGGGATTCCTGGCTTAGGTCCTATATAAATAAAAATGTGTCCTATTCATGAAGATTTATACATTACCAAGACATCTCACACATTTCCTTTTAAGAAGAGTTAATCGTAGCCTATTAAAGATACACAAATGATCTAGTAGCCTGCATCACTCTACTATGAGGTTGCAGAGAGCTCCACAAAGTCCCATTTGGCAATGCTGATTTTACACCTCATAAAAATTCAGTTCTTTAGAGGCGCACTCTGGTTTCCAGGCTGAGGACATAGTAAGAATGGTTTAAAATAGGTCAATTAGCCAACTTTTTTTTTTTCATCTAAAAGCTCATCCAGAGCATGATACAACAGACTTTTAGATGTTCAAAGAGAACTGTGAGTACTTTGTCAGTGCACCAAGAATACTAGAAGCTTTTCTCAGCAAATTACATTTTAGTCACATATTCATTTACATATTTTAGAAAATCAATATTTTCAATTGTTGGGTTTTCTTGAACAAAAATTTTAAAATAGATTTACTCTGAAGGTAGAGTAAGAATTTGAGAGTTAATACCTTTGCTCTACTGGCAATATTATATTTTGTTGTCTATTATTAAATTAAATAAAACAACTCTGAAATACCATCTAGGTTCCAGAGAGATTCTGTGGCACAGTATTAGATTAAGAAATTATACCTCCACTTTGGATTACTCTTTTGGGCAAATCAAAAAACTGAGAGTATCATTATACTAATAAGTAAATAAAATGTGCACTGAAATGTTTCTCAAAATTTATTTCCTTGAGGACACTTGCAAGGATCATATGAACATTAAAGTAGTTGAAACATTTGTTCCATTTAATCTTTTATCTGGCTCTTGAAGAATAGATGCAAAAGTAAATGAACATTTTATATTAGAAACTATGATTTTTTTTTAAAGAAATGCTTTTGTAACTCCCAACTCTTGGAACATAAGACCACATCTCAAGGTAGCTCCTGGAGCCATCAGTGCCCGTTCCTGCTGCCACAGAACAGCTCACGTGGGGTCCTGCAGACCAACAGGAAGACAACGGACCTGGAGGGATTACGACAGAAGGAGCCAGAGGAATATGGACTCAGAGAAATCATGAAGGTCATGTTTGCCCAGAAATAAGTTTGACTCTTTAATACTGTCATAAATCCTCCAAATTTCTCTGTCTCTCTCTCTCTCTCTTTCTGTGTGTCTCTCTCATTTCTAGAATATACTCTTAGCCTCTACAAAAAGAAAGAGCTAGTCCCAAATCTGTGAATAGTTAGCTGCATAGTATTAGGTATATTAATATCCCTAATTCTTAGATGTCTTGCCTTTATTTTTTATTAATATTATTTTAAATTGACAAATCATAATTGTATATACTTACAGGGTACAAAGTAATGTTTTGTTATATGTATACAATATGAAATGATTAAATAAAGCTAATTAACATCTATTACCTCACATTTTTTATGGTGGGACATTTGAAATTCACTCTCAATTGTTTTGAAATAAATATTAAATATAGTCACCATGTTATGCAATAGATCTCAAAAGCTGTTCCGCCTGTCTAGCTGAAAATTTGTACCCTTTGACCAGCAACTCCCCATTCCCTTTCTCTCCCCATCCCTGGCCCCTGGTGACTAACCATAATTATATTTTCTACTTCTATGAGTTTAACTTTTTTAGATTTCACATATAAGTAAGATCATGGATCAGTAGCATTTCTTTACACTAATAACAAACTATCTGAATAGGAAATTAAGAAAACAAATCCATTTACAATAGCAACAAAAAAATAAAATACTTAGGGAAAAACTTAACTAACGAGGTGAAAGACCTGTATACTAAAAACTATAAATCACTGATTAAAGAAATTGAAGAAAACACAAATAAATGGAAAGATATTCTGTGTTCAAGGATTAGAATAATTAAATTGTGAAAATGTCCATACTACCCAAGGTGATCTACAGTTTCAATGCAATCCTTATCAAAATTCCAATGTCATTATTCACAAAATAGAAGAAACAATCCTGGCCTGTTGCCATGGCTCACAGCTATAATCCCAGTACTTTGGAAGGCCAAGGTGGCAGGATTACTTGAACCCCGAAGTTTGACACCAGCCTGGGCAACATAGTAAGCCCCTGTCTCTACAAAAAAAATTTTTTTTAATTAGCTGTGCAAGGTGCTGCACTCCTGTAGTCCCAGCTACTGAAGGCCGAGGTGGGAGGATCACTTGACCCCAGGGGAAGGTTGTGGCTGCAGTGAGCCATGATTGATCACACCACTGCCCTCCAGCCTGGATGACGGAGTGAGACCCCCCCCCCCCGCCAAAAAAAAGAAAGAGAGAGAAAAAGACAAATACAATCCTTAAATGTATATGAAACCACAAAAGACCCTGAATAACCAAAACAATTTTGAACAAAAGGAACAAAGCTGAAGGCGCACACATTCCCTTAGATACATTGTCATTAAAAGGAAAGACCTGGTTCTTCCCACCTCTAGCATCTACAGCTATCTTGAGGAACTCCAAATCCAAAAAGTACTCAGGTGAGAGCTTTGTCAAGACTCTTCCTCTCCCACTACAGTATGAATGCATATATATATATACACACACATATATATTTCTATTAAAATATATTTTATATATAAAATTATATAAAAGTTAGTATTATTAAATATATTATTCATATATTATCTCTAATACAATATTAAATATATTATATATATTATCTAAAATATATATTTTAAAAATATATTCATTTATACTGTAAAGAGGATCCTTTGGAAAAGTAAAGTATTAATCCTTTAAGACTCTCTTCTGGAATAAGAAAATAAAATGAATCAAATAGAAATAAAGAATGATAATGACTAATTCATAAAATGGACTCTCTTTGATTACCTTAAGAATCATAGTTCACACTTTCAATTCTACTGGTCCCAACAGCTGAAAAAAATGCTTACAGATTTCTTAGGGTAAGCCATATAAAACTGCCAATATTTGACCTTTTGACATACAATAATAATTCTAATAACTTTATGCCCTAAATGCAAGCATATTTGAATTAAAGATGAAATTTTGAGCTAATAAACTACTCTTCCATTAATTAAATTAAGTTTTTAAAGGTTTTGAAAATAAACAGCAGTGCTTAAAAACATTTTCAATATTGTCATGCATTTCTTTCATTTCTGGTTCTAGTAATATCCATAATGACATTTGAGTGGTTCTTTCATGATGATAGAATTTCCCTGTATTTTACCCTTGTTAGTATGAAATCAGAGTGCCTCTGAACATCTCATGGGTCACATAACACAGAACAAGCAGACTTTTATAATACTCAAATTATCACTGTCAGAAGAGAGAGGCAGATTGCACTTAGAATAATAAATATCATTTTAAGAAGAAAACGTTTCAGCTGATGATGAAACAGGTTAACTAAAACATTGCTTGTATAATTGTTTATTTGGTGCTCAGGAAAGCTAATTTGCTGTGTACAGGCAAATAACTCCAACGCATTTGATTATCCAATTCCATTCCCTGCGACAATAGCAATTGTTTTCCCACCTTTGCACTCTGGACTCCCAGGACACACCGTACATACTTTCTTCTATCATAACATTTGTCACACTAATAACTTGCTTCCTACTGGAATAAAGCCCTATCACCTTATGTATCTTTGTATCCCTAGCCCAATGCCTGAGACATAGTAGATGCTCGATAATTTTGTATGGAAGATCTCAATTATTACCATAGAAATAGAATGGAAAAACAGATTGATTTCAAAGCTTTTTAAGAAAAATAATCAATAAATTTTGACAAACCATTGGAAGTAGGAAATTAGGAACAGGGGAAAGCCAATAACAATAAGGTACAAATATGAGGATAGTTTGGAGACAAGAACACAGTTTGGACAAATTGAGTTTGAAATGTTACTAGGCTAACCAGAAGAAAATAACTAGGAAGGAGATGGAAAAGTAGGTTTGGTGCTTAGAAGAGAAGCCAGGACTTCAAAGATTTGAATTTTGGCATCTCCCATAAAGAAGTCATTTTTGGGTGTGTGAATAGAAATGAAGTCACCCTGGGCAAGAACAGAGGATGAGGAGAGGAGATGGTTAAGGACTTCAAGAATTTAAGGAAATGTCTGTGGTTGAGCCAGGCTGAGTAACAGAAACAGACAAGAAATGTAGGATATGGAATGAAATGGCCTAATGAACATGAGGGCCGGGTTGGAAGGCAACATCACTCTGGAGAGGGCAGGCAAAATAAAAGGATCCAGAAAAGATCATTAGAGTTAGCTTCAAGGAGAGGATTGGTGATGTTCAAGGGACTTCCTTTAGTAGAACAGAACAGGAAGGCACACTGCAGTGGTTTGAGGGATGACAGTGATTTCAGAATTCAAGCTTAAAAGGAAAGATATGTGAATGTGGACAGATTGTCAGAAAGCTGGGGCTCATGGAGGCTTTTCTCCATCAGGGAGCCTTGGACATGCTTGTGACACTGATGGGAAGAAGGCAACAGAGAGAAGATCATGCCCTTTAATTTGATTTTGAGTGTCTAGCTCAATTTTATGTAGTAGCTTAAATGGCGTTTTATTGCACAGACAATAGAGACAGCTTTTGAATTTAAAAGCCTTTGTTACGAATTGTAAGAATATGTTTGCAAAGAAATATTCAAGTGCTTGTTTTCTTAGTTTAAAGTGTCATGAGAATTGAAAGGCTGAAAATTCCTGGACTGATTTTAGCTCATTGGTGAGTTTGGTGGTTGAACTATAAAATAAAAATAACCAAACTATTCTGCAGTTAGCATTCACCAGTGAACTAGGGGGTCAGTCCTTCTATAGCTCTTATCTATCTGAGAGTTGCCTGTCAAGCTAACTCATTTCGTCTCCAGGAAGTTCCTATGTTGAGTGCAGTGGTTAATAAAAGAGCTCTGTAATCAGCCTGCCTGGTTTCATACGGCAGCTATGCCACTTTGGAGCAAATTGTTTAAGGTCTCTATGCTCCTATTTCCTCATGAATAAAATAGGGTTATTGAAAGTGCTTACTTCACAGCGTTATTAGAAAGATTATATAAGTCAATACATATAAAAATCTTAGAACAATAGCTGGCAGATAGGAAATGCTCAATAAACACTAGCTATTATTATAGGGGCTTCAAGAAGGCTGAATAGAGGCACTGGACTCTGTCTCCTCCACAAACAGAAACCAAAATAATGAGTAAATAATCATACTTCAAATAGAACAACCAAGAGAGAACACTGAAATTCAGCAGAGAAGTGACAAGAAACACCTGAGGCACAGAAGGAGAGGAAAGGGAGGCAGATGACCTTGCCAAGATTAGTGGGGAGCCCAGAGAGTCTTCCCAGTGTGGGGAAAGTGAGAGATGTCCAGTGGTAAGTGGGAGATCTTCTGTGGTCCACATTCTTACCATGGACTCTTGTAATCCTAGCCATGAGAGTCCCTTGACCCCTGCAAACTCTGAGACAGGTATAAGGAGCTCCCTGGAGTCTGCATAATGGTATTGCTTCAGAGAGGAAGTGCATTCTGGCTTGTCAGCTCCCAAGTCTCAGGTAGTTGCAGAATGGTGCCATTTTAAGAGCCCTGCCCACATTAGACTGTATCCTGCCACAGGGCCCAGTAGCCCCTGCATCTCCATATCCTTGAAGCCCCAATGACATCCCCCAACATCCACCCAGAGAGCTGCAGTGGTATGATATAGGTTAGACCCAGCACAGTGGCAGTGTCCCCAGCACCCTGGTCCACACTGTGTCCTGCACACTAGCAAAAGGGTGATACAACATATCAGGGAGGCTGCTGCCAAGGACAAAAGGAGCCAAAGAGCACTCTGCAGACTTGAGGCTGCTGTCACTGACAGAAACCCTGCCCCTGCTCCCACCAGCAGCTGAACTGCAGTGCACTTGCATGCACCCTGATCCCTGTCCACTGCCATTACTGCACTGTCACCCAAACACATTGAACAGGACCTATGGATCACCCTTCCTTGCTCATCACCACCTGTTCCCATGTACGCCACCTGAGGATAGGCCTGCCTGGCCTGGCCCTGCCCCTCCCAAGTGCCCAAGCATGCCAGCTGGAGACATGGGGCACTCTATTGGTTACCAAGGGTATATGTATACACCACTAGGGACCTAACAACAAGTCCAAAACACCTGTTGCCAGTGCCCAAGCATGCCACTCAAGAGCCTGGGGATTGCTCTGCCCTGTCCACCAGCACTGGCATCTGGGCACTCCTTCTAGAGGTCTGAGGATGGGCCCATCCAATCTGCCACCACCACCACCACTGGTGCCTTCCTGCATGCATCACATGGGGGCTTGGGAGTGGTCCATGGAGGCCATCACAACTACCACCAACACCAGCAAGTGCCACCTGGGAGCCTGAGGGATGTCCCACAACCACTACTACCATCATCCACACCACACACATTGCTCAAAAGCTTCAGGCCTCACCCATTTCCCCAGCCCACTACTGTCACTACCAGCACCTAAGCAAGCTCCCTGGACACCCAAGAATCAGCCTGCCTGGGCCCACTAACACCAGTGCCTAAATATCCCACCTGGAGGGCCAAAGATAGGCACACTCAGCCCACTACTGCCACCACTAGGGCCCAAGGATTGGTCTACTTGGCATTCCATCCTGAGTAAAACCTCACTACAGCCTTCACTAAGAAAACATAACTTAAGCCACTGAGAAAATCACGAACACAATCGATGGTGTTTATAGCCAAAGAAAGCAGATGGAGACTGCACTCTTGCATAAACCCAGAATCAAAGCTGAAGCGCTCTACCCAGCCAACACCACAGACACATCTAGCAGAAAATCTTCCCCATGCAAGCCAATCCAAAAAATTGGAAGAAACAACTATTATACCAGATGTGCAGAAATCAGTGAAAGGACACAGGAAACATGAAAAACCAAGAAAATACTGCACCTTCAAAGGAACACAATAATTGTCCAGCAACAGATTCCAATAAAAAATAAATGTATAGAATGCCTGAAAAAGAATTTAAGAATTCAAAATAATGATATTAAGAAAGCACAATGAGATATAAGGGAACACAAGTAAGCAATACAAAGAAAGCAGAAAAAACAATTAAGGATATGAATGATAAATTTACCAAAGAAATAGATATCATTAAAAAAAAACAAAGCAGAAACCGTGGACCTGAAGAATTCAATGAACAAAATAAAAATATAATCAAGAGCTTCAACAGTAGACTAGCTCAAGAAGAAAGAATTTCAGAACTTGAAGGCAGGTCTTTTGAAATATCTCAGTCAGACTAAAAACAAAAGAATGAAGAAGGCCTACATGAGTATGGGACACTATAAAGCATCCAAGCATTCTAATGTGGGGTGAAAAGAAGTTCAATGGCATAGAAAACCTACTTTTAAAAAACTAATAGCTGAAAACTTCCCAAGTCTAGCAAGAGATTGAGACATCCAGATGCAGGGAGCTTGGAGATCCCTGCATAGATACAACCCAAAAAGGTTTTCTCCACAGCACATTTTAGTCAAACTGTCAAAAGTCAAAGACAAAGAGAGAATTCTGAAAACAGCAAGAGAAAATCTAGCCACTCTTCAGGGAACCCCATCATACTAGCAGTGTATTTCTCAGCAGAAACCTTATAGGCCAGGATAGAGTGGGATAATATATTTAAAATTCTGAAAAAAAACCTGCCAATCAAGAGTACTATACCCAGAAAAACTATTCTCATAAATGAAGGAGCAATTAAGACTTTCTCAGACAAGCAAAAACTAAAGGAATTCATTGCCACTAGACTGGCCCTACAAGAAATGTGTAAGAGAGTCCTATACCAGAAAGAAAAAGAATGACTTCAAACTACAGTATAATACTACAATAACCAAAACAGCATGGTACTGGTTCAAAAACAGACACATAGACAAATGAAACAGAATACAAAACCCAAAATTAAAGCTGCACACCTACAGTTGTCCAATCTTTGAGAAAGATGACAAAAACAAGCACTGTGGAATGGACTCCCTATTCAATAAATTGTGCTGGGATAGCTGGCTAGCCATATGCAGAAGAATGGAAATGGACCTCTACTTTTCACCATCTATACAGATTAACTCAAGATGGATTAAAAATTTTAATGTAAGACCTCAAACTATAAGAATCCTAGAAGAAAACTAGGTAACACCATTCTGGGCATTGGCCTTGGGAAAGTATTTATGACTAAGTCCTCAAAAGCAATTGTAACAAAAATAAAAATGGATGAATCAGAATTAAACTGAAGAGCTTCTGTACAGCAAAAGAAACCATCAACAGGCCGGGCGCGGTGGCTCACGCCTGTAATCCCAGCACTTTGGGAGGCCGAGACGGGCGGATCACGAGGTCAGGAGATCGAGACCATCCTGGCTGACACGGTGAAACCCCGTCTCTACTAAAAATACAAAAATTGGCCGGGCATGGTGGCGCGTGCCTGTAGTCCCAGCTACACGGGAGGCTGAGGCAGGAGAATGGCGTGAACCCGGGAGGCGGAGCTTGCAGTGAGTCGAGATCGCGCCACTGCACCCCAGCCTGGGCGACAGAGCGAAACTCCGTCTCAAAAAAAAAAAAAAAAAAAAAAGAAACCATCAACAGAGTAAACAGACAACCTACAAAATGGGAAAAAATATTTGCAAACTCTGTATCCAACAAAGGTCTAATATTCAGAATCTATAAGGAACTGAAATAATTGAACAAGCAAAAAATAACTGCATCCAATAAAAACGAGCAAAAAACATGAACAGATACTTCTCAAAAGAAGACATACAAGTGGCCAACAAACATGAAAAAATGCTCTGCATCACTAATCATGATCCCCAGTGTTGGAAGTAGGGCCTAATGGGAGGTGTTTGGGTCATGGAGGCAGATCCCTCAGGAATAGATTAATTCCCTCTCTGGAAGGGGAGTGGTGAATGAATTCTTGCTGTTAGTTATTTCCAGAGCTGGTTGTTAAAAAGAACCTGTCACTGCCTCCTCTGTTGCTTCCTCTCTCACCATGTGATCTCTGCACACAATGGCTTCTTCTTATTTTCCACCATGAGGAAAAGCAGCCCAAGGCCCTCACCAGAAGTCAAGCAGATGCCAGCACCATGCTTCTTGTATAGCCTGAACAACTGTAAGATAAATAAATCTCTTTTCTTTATAAACTCCCCAGCCTCAGGTATGCCTTTATAGCAACACTAAACAGACTAAGACAGGTACTAATATACAGTTAGATAGAAGGGATAAATGCTAATGTTTGATAGCAAAGTAGGGTGATAATAGTTAACAACAATGTATCATATATTTCAAAATAGCTAGAAGGGAAGACTTGAAATGTTCTCAACACATTGGAATGGTAAATGCCCGAGGTGATGGTTATACTAAACACCCGGATCATTACACATTCCAATTATATAACAAAATACTACATATGCCCTATAAATATGTAAAAATATTATGTATCAACTAAAAAACTATCCATTGTTTCCCATACATCCTATTATACACAGAGAAATTAGACTTTTATGATGATGATGATGTTGTGTTCTATCTTCTCCTATTTGTGCAGACCTATACAATAAACTATGATGATGTTTATTGACAGAGGTGATACTACGGAATTGTCATCACAGTACATGAACTTTAAATTATTTTTAAAGAATGCTAAATGATTTTCCTTGAGCCCCAATTACCCTAGAGTGGTCCTTCTTTTGAACCACGGCTATTGTTGGAAAATCAAGAAGCTACTTGATGTTAGAGATACAGCCTGTGGTTATGGAACAGTTTTTCTAATACAGAATGACCTAGGCCATATGGGAATTGAACTTTGGCCTCATTAATTCCATATTTCCAACTGGCTCAACTAACTAAACCAGGCAGGCAGCACCTCGTAGATTTTGAACACTCTGAAAAATGTGTACTTGTCAAATCACTGGGAAAGGGTGTTAAGAACTACTGATTATTCCATTTAATCCAAGAATTAAGCCAATTCAGGTACTGAGAAATGTAGTCTTAACCCCAAAACTTAATTTTACCTCTATAGTGGCACATGTTTGGCATTCAGTGAATGCCCTCTGAGTTGACTGATCACTGAGGCTAAATTCCTAAGCACATATCATAAAAATAGTACCCTGCCTAAAGATCAAAATAACAGTAAGTAGAAGGTATGTCAGTATTTTATATGACTTTACCAGGCCAGTTAAGAACCAGGTGTTCAAAACCTTAACTATTACTATATATACGGCTCAGAACAGAGTTTTATATGTGCTTCCCTGGAGGTAAAGTACTTAGCCTTCAGAGTCAATTTTATAGCCCTTTTCTGCTTTCACCTTAATGGATAACATCCGTCCACAAATTTGTAACATCAGTGAGTTCAAATAATGACTGGTGAGAATTCCATTCCTATTTGAAGGTTAAGACATTTTAAACTTCATCTCAAAGTGTGGCTTAATCTAAAAGTTAATCAACCTCAACCTTAGAGATTTAACAAAAACATAAAAGAATAGCTCTGAGACCAACCTGTGTTCTCCTAAAGACTCTAAAGGAAAGTGAAGAGGCTGATCTCTCTATTGGGCCCAGCACAGAGAGGCAGCTACTCAACTGACCTGCTGGTGTGAGCCTCCGTCAGCCACAAAGGGAGGTAAAGCTTTCTCTTTTAGCCAGCTCATGAAGAAATAAAGACTGTAATTCTGAATATTTTTGTCTTCCTAATATCAAATAGATCAATCCTTTCAGGAAACACCAAAATTAAGAACTAGATTTCCTTACTGTTCCATTGCAGGCTCTTTTTCTTGCTTTGTCTCTTGAATAAGCACAACGCTAAATCATTTCCAAGGACTTCGCTAAAATTCTACAGACCTCAAGTTTCTTAACCAACCAAATCTTTCCTTATTTTCTCCATCTATAAAATACCTTATTGATAGCACCTGGAGAAATAGACAGTAGTTTAAAAAAAAAAGGAGAAGGAAAGAAAGAAGGTATTTCCCCCTTGGATCACATGTAGAAAAAATATACTCTCATTTTTAGAAAGTGGATGCACAGGAAAAGCATTGTGTCATCTCACCAGAAACACTAGGTGGAATGGAGCTGTCAATCAGAAATATGAATGATATCCAGCTTTTTCTCAGTCTTTTTGTTCCAAAACTATCCAATAGGGCCATGTAATTTTATGTTGTGTTTTTATTCTCAAATGAGCATGTTTTAACTGGAAAACACGATCTGAAACTTTAAAAGATATTTTCCAACAAGGATTTTTGAATTAACTTTTACAACCTAAATTTCATCCATAAAAAGGCTAGTTTGTATTATATTTTAAAGTTTTTTTAATTCAGAAAGTCATCTTTTTCCCTATTCTTACCCTACTGTCTAACAAATACTTTCCCATCCTTGCTAATTTCCCATCCTGGCTGAAGTTTTTACAACTTTACAGCTCTGCTCATTCTTCAAACACTGAGTACGTACTATGTGCCAGGGCTTGTGCCAGGGTCTGGGAAATCAAATATATCCAGGCCATAATCTCTACCTTTAAGAAACTCATTTTCTACTACTCGGATAATGTGTTAACCCCACTATTTATAACCTGGGTTACTCCACTTTTCTCTCTTTACATCTTCGGAAGCTCCCACAGATACTCCATTAGACATGTATTTCAGAACTTATTCTTCCTAGACAAAAATTATTTGACCCTCATTCAATTGTAGAGAAGATATCCTATGTCTCTCTTATACCACATTTTCCTCTTGGAAGAGCCATTTCTCTTCAAATTGTTAAATTTGAACATTGTTTTTTCCTCCTAGTCCTTTACCTTTCTTAGTAATCTTAAAAAGATTATCTGTATGCCTATATGCTGAAGCACTTCAGCTTCTATTTTTGTATACTCACACTAGCCTGCTTTTCACTTTATAAAAGTCTTTGCTTTGCTTTTCCACTCCCATGCTGTCTGCAATCCTTCTAATGCCTATTCTTTACTTCTTCTGGATACAAGAAAGTGACATAAGAAAACTTTAACTTTGATATGGGTAACTTATCTATTCACATCACAAAATATAAGAGTCAGAGGAAAAAAACCTATTACTATCTCAATTACTTTGAAAGCATAGTACGTTGTTACAGATACTACCAACTTCTGAATTCTCAAACCTGAAAGCCTATTTAGTTCACATATTCAATATCATAAACATGCATCCACCCAAAAACAACAAAAAACTATGATGAAGAGAGACTTTTGGGGATGAAAATCAAGTGCTGCCATTATTTGAATGACTAACCACTTGAGTTTGATTCAGTACCAAGTTGCATCACTACAAAGTCAAGACAAATGAATTTGCTCTTCTGAAAGGCCCACCTTGGGAGTACCCGAGCTCATGAGCTCATGAGCTCCACCTTGGGAGTACCTGAATAGACTCAGGTTACCCTGAATTCCAAAGGATAAGGAGTCTCTGTCTGTCCTGATCCTTTAGGAAATAAGGCATCATTTTGTGCTGCAGAACTATCTGCTAAACCATCAACACCCCTTAGAGTTGAGAATGCATTCTGAACCTTCCAGAGCCTCCTTCTGTATTATTACAAGGTGGTATGAGTGACAGGTCCTCTTTGTGTTCCTTCTCCATCATACCTTCCATCCCATCATGACTTCAATCCCCAATCCCTCCTACCTCTCTACTCTCAAACCTTCTTGAGGATGGTGAACTTCACTCATACCAACTGAATCCAAGGAATTCAAACAATAAGCAGAACGTCATAGCAAGTGTAATAACTCACTGTTGTGAACTGGTTAGCAATTCAAAATATTCATACTGTAAGATATATTTAGATGTGTTTACCCAAACTGTGCACATCTATAAATGATACCCTCTACACAATCCCCATTGTTGCCTACCCCTTTATAACATTCATGCTTCATGCTGACCATTCCCACTCCCTGGTTTCCACTTGATATGAAATGTCAAAATTCCACATAAAATACTACTGAAAAGCCATGTATAAGGCTGCACATATTACATTGGTAGTTTGCTGAAGTGTGAGTTGAGCTATTCTAACAAAATGCTAGGTCCAGATTATACTTAACTTACATAGTTATTAATTAATTGCAAAACTATCTCAGAATTGTACATCTAAGAAGTAACTGAGTTCAACAAATACGTACTTTTTCCTAAGGAAACCAGGACCTATTTAAACTGGCATTCTATTAATTATATCTACATCCATATTTTATTTTCAGGGCTTTCCTGGTCAATGGTTGTATGACTAGAAAAAAAAAAAGAGCATATGACCAATGAATGAGAATTTAATAGATATGTACTTCAACCTTTCCTTCAAATTCCCTGTTTAATTGTTAATGCCATTAGGAAATTTATTACTACTGGTGGAAATGATCTCCATAAATTACTTAAGGTTTGACTAATTGAAATATGTGACTGGGGTATCATATCTGTAATGTATTTGATTCAAGAAGAGTAGCTGTGTTTTGTGTCAAACTGGATTTGGCAGTACACATTGGGCTTACAAATCTCTGGTGTCAGACCTGCACTAAAGCACCATTTGTTTAGGGAAGATTTGAAGAACATGAGCGAGTAAGAAAGAGTAGGTCCAGATGTTCTGCTTAAACCCAGGTGTGGCTCAATTGTCCTGTTTTGTGATGAGGGCTTTTCCAGAGCACAGGAAGCAGCACCTGTGTGAGATTACACACAGATTTAAACTCTCTACCAAGTTGACTCCCTTCTGTCTGATCTCCTCCTAATTGCGTGGCTTAAACAGATCTCAGGTGGAATAGGCCAAACATACACACTGCTTGCCATTGCTTGCATTGATTGAAAAAATATAAAAACAGCTCAGTTGTAATTTGATCTTCTTAAATAAGGAAGATCAATTGCCAATATAATGGAAGCAAAGTTGAGAGCACTAAAAAGATTAAGGTCCACCAAATTAATAATTAACCCAGATTTAATAAAATTGCTATTATATTTTTTCCTTAAAAAAAGACAAACATATCTCCTATACAAATTTAATGCCAACGTCAGAGTAATACCGGGGGGGAAAATGGATTGCTAAGCAGCCATGATGCTGTGTTGGTATTCAACAGGTTTTGGCTATAAATCGGTTTGGTGTGTGTAGATGACTTTTGGCTGCCTTATTAAAGGAAAATCCTTCTAGTAAAAATACACAGCACCCCTTTTCTATATAGTAAACAGATGTCAGCCTTTCATTGTAAAGTATTTTTGATTTGATAGATGTCAAATATTACTTTAACAGACAGTTCCTGTCTACAAAGAATATTTAACATTTGTAAGATAAAATAGCCACTCAAAAGTTTTTTTTTTTTAACAGCTAATGAGGCACCATTAAAACAAATGGCTTTGAAACTCCAGTCTTAGCACTTTAATTTAAAGATCATCTCTGTGCATTAACATTTCTCTGGTGTATGATTTTGCAGTGATAAAAACCCTGCAGTTAAATGTGTTTATCCAACAAAGTCACCTTCCCATAAGTCTGCTGGGCTTTCATAAACTGCTGATTCTGCTTTTGTTACTATAGGCCATAAGTGCTGAATGACAGAAAGCACAATACAGATGACCAAATCAAGACACATTTTGCTATGTAGAGCTATTTTCTGAGGACTAAAGCATGTACCAAGGACTGCATGTACTCTGTCAAAAAACATCTAATGGTAAGATGTTAGGTAACAATATCTTGCCCAGCCTCTTCCAAAATACTATCTGCCCGCAAGTGGGGAGAGCGTGCTTGCAACCTGGGAAGTTAAGGGAAACTGATATAAGTTCCTCCCTAATGTCCCTCTCCTACTCTCCACCAGGCATGTTAGGTAACAACAAAAACAGACGTTTTTTGACAGAGTACTTGTCTATGTAGTTTATTGGGAGGAAATTCTGCTAACTCAAAATTAGTTGCTTCATACTAGAAGAGTTGAACTGAAGTGGTATGATATAAACCTCAATGGTTTCACAGACCCAAAAGCATTGTTTTAGAATTCCACCCACAAAACGAACCACTTTGCAAGTTTTCATGCTTTTCCAACAACATTAAACTCCTCTGCCTTATTCTTGTGTGCCACTCCTCAGTTTACAAAGTAGATCATGTGGCATTTTATCCCAGCAACATCTGAAATGATCAGCTTCTATGTCAGACAAAGGAGTTAGGGATCTGGCAAAGGAGAGACCTATCGGCAACTGGCAAATAGTGGACCCAGGACTCAAACACAGGGTTTTTAAATGTAAAGAAATGGAAATATCTTTCCTAGTCATCAACCAGTAATGCCCCTGAACCATTCTACATTATAAGTAGACTAACTTAAAGCATTTGATATATCTGACATTTGTTGAGTACACTCTTTCCAAAAAGAAGCCTATGTAGAGAATATCATTTTACTGGATTGAATGATGGCCCCCAAAAAGATATGTCCACTTCCTAACCCCTGGGACCTGTGTATATGATCTTATTTGGAAAAAGGTTCTTTGCAGATGTAACTAAGTTAAGGATCTTGAGATGAGATCATCCTGGATCAGTTAGGTGGCCCCTAAATCCAATGGCAGGTGTTCTTATAAGAGATAGAAAGAAGACAGAGACACAGAGAGGAGAAGCCATATGAAGATGACAAAGCCAAAAATTAGATTCATGCAGCCAAGGAATTCCTGGACCCAGCAGAAGTTGGAAGAGGCAAGAAGGAGTTCTCCCCTAGAGCTTTTGTGGGGAGCATGACCCTGCTAACACCTTGATTTCAGACTTCTGGCCTCCAGAACTGTGAGAGAACACTCTGTTGTTGTAAGCCACCCAGTTTGTGATAATTTGTTACAGCAGCCCCGGAAAATGAATGCAATGATATTAGAGTGTGTTTGAGTTTTAAATATGAACCAAAGTAAATGCTTTCTAAGTTATTTCAACCAAGAATAGGTTTAGGCTTCCTTTGGGAAAGGCTCTCATTAAGCCCCAAGGTAAAAGGATGCTTTTCTCATTATGCCTGGAAGCTTGACTCAGATTGTGCTGCTAATGGACTCATGAAAACTCCGGAGTCACAGAATGAGCCATAACCCAAATTTGCGACAAAGTTTCACTGGCAGGAAGGAGAATGGGGGTGAGAGAGTAGGCACAGGGGCATCGGGGCAGGTCTATCTCTAGACCTGGAGAACAATGTACCATTGGGTGTGACTAAGGGTGGGGAAATCAGCTCATATTTGACTACACACATGAGGCAGCACACTCCTAGAAAGTATAAACACTATTGAGTTAAAGTCTTTCTTTCACCATGAGGTGACTGGGTTTGGAGAGCACATTAGCATCACTGCATGGATGTAGACTGCCCTATGGAGCCTTGATCTAATTTCTCAGAACACACAAGGGGCTCTGAACCCCCCGAAGCAGTCACATTTGGTAACCATTCTCATTGCTTTACCAAGAGAAGCAAGTTTCTTAGGGAATAAAAGTAGCTGACATTCTGCAACACACATGCAGCTGTGGCGATCAACATTCTGCCATCTTCTGCCAATTAATTTTGCTGGTCATCCTCTTCTAAGGCTCCTTTATGATCTATTTCTGCCTAGCAACAACTCTGCTGGCTTCTCATTAACCAACTTGTGGAAACTCTGAAGGTTCACTTCTGCCCCTGGGGCAATCCCAGCATCTTCCCCACTGTGGGGCTGTATGAGAACTCCATGCCGCACTGCCTCAATACCCAGCCTTTTCCAAAATACCATCTGCCCACCAGTGGGGAGAGTGTGTAGGCAACCTGGGAAGTTAAGGGAACCTGACATAAGTTCCTCCCTAATGTCCCTCTCCTACTCTTCACCAGCCATTCATCCCTGCTGGGATTGTGGCTCTGCAGAAACCCCACAATGGCCCCTACCCTTCATCTATATTCAGGCCGCCCCCTCCATTCCTCTAGATACTCTTTCTACACAAATGGCAATGTCCTCCTGCTCCTCACTTCTTAGGCAGCTTCTGCTCGTTTTTCGAAACGAGCTTAAGTTCTACCGCAATTATTTCAACTTCAACCTTCCATCTCATCATTACAACACTCACTTTATGACAAGGACCATCTCACACACCCCATCTCCATCCTTCTCCCAAAGAGGAGGGTGGGGTTAAACACAAGCAGAGACTAGAATAAAACTGGCTTGTGTTATGAAGGGATAAAAGTGTCAGTGGCAGGAATAGAGTAAGACTATATTGGGGTAAGTACCGTCTTTTTCTCTTGTTAAGTTTATCAATCTTTCTTTAGGTTTATTTTCTTACTGTTAGTGTATACTTGGATAGCTCAGTACAGTAGTTAAACACCCAGGTTCTGAATGTGGACTACTTGAGCCCTGACCAGGGGAAAGTTGCTTAGCTTCTCTGTGTCTTACTTTCTTCACCTGAAATTTGAGGCAAAAGGTACTTACATCAAAGGGGAGTTTTGTGAGGACTAGATGAGAAAAAAACCACCTATGAAGTACTTAGTACAATGCCTGGCATATGGTAGGAGTGCAATGAAAGATAGTAGTTGGTATAGGATCTAAAAGGGCTGAATTGGGGTAAGAGCTAAATAGGTCACTGTTTTTAGGGTCAATCTTGGAACACAAAGGCACAATTTTTGACTTTCCCAGGGTACATCTCAGCTTCTCATGGCTAGAATTAACAAAAGTGTTTGGAGCCAAAAGCTTAGAGCAGTTAAGTTAATGGTGCACTTTTCCCTGGAATCCTGTTCACCCTCAAACACACCCATAGCCACCAACCTTCCCTGGGAACCTGTAGTAGCAGGTGAAAGCTGATAAAAGATTAGAGGATTCTGACTGTTCTTTCTGCTCACCCTCTTACCCATAATTTTTCCCTCCCTCTCTCACCAACTCCTCACCTCTCTCCTTATCTGTCTTTTTCTTTAACTCTTAATCTTTGTTTCTTTCTCAGATGATTCACTGTAGAATTGGCACTTGGCTGTCAAGTCCTCGAAGACAGGATTCAAGCCTTAACAAGTCAGCTGAAGCCCCTGCTGTCCCCAGCACAGTGCTGAGTACGGAACAGTAGCACAATAAACACTTCATTCAATTTCCTATTGCTAGTGAAGAGGGTTTTTTTTTCCCCCTATAGATGACAATAACCAATGTAAAAAGAGAACATGGTAGGGTGGGATACCAGCTAAAATAGAGATGAAAGCAAGTGTATATAAGAGAAACTACAACCTAGGTTTTGTATAAATTTCTAACCAAAAGCCTTCAAGATGTGAAAAATACACTGCTACCTAGCTGCGAAATGTGTAAAAGACTTTTATCTGATAAATTGTAGTCCAAATTAATACCGGATGTTTTCATCAAATTTTTGGCAAACAGTTTCCCCCCATAATGCTGGTTACATCATTTTAAATCCCAGGTTGAGGCATGCTGACCAAGTTAGTTTTATGTTTCCTGTTTCTCTGCTTTCCAGAGTTCCAGCTAAAGACAAAAAGAAAAAGAAAGAAATTCCAATGTAAATTCTTTCTTATAATAGACACAATAGCTGCTTTAGCTGAATACCAGGTTCAGTACTTTTTATAGCAAAATTCAGTATTTATATCAACCAAGCAGTTAAACTTTATGCTTAACATGCCATCTTGTGAGAAGTTTACGTTTAGTTTCATTTGAAGTCTCAAAAATACAATCTGAAGGTATGACTAGAATGAAATAACCAAGAGTCTCTGTGCTCAGCACTAAGATTTTGTCTTTTTTTTATTGTACCAATAATAAAATTTGAAAGTATTTGGACCTATGGGAATAAATTAAAGCTGAAGCATGAGAGATGCCTGTGGACAACCATGGAATAGCGTCAGTTACTATGTGTTTATGAGCATTGTCAGGCTCCCATGTTTCTAGGGAAAATAGTGGCACAAAAATTATGCTCCTGCTCTTGGAGAATGAAAATCACATAAACTGTCTCCTATAAATCATATTTTGCTCGTCTAAGTGCATCAGACGAGAGAGAAGGAGAGGGGGCTTTCCACTGCCAGAAGCTTTGATCATTTTGATCAAACACAGACCACCTATCAGCCTTCCAAATGCCACCATGCGTCTTACACATTTTCAATATTGTGTCATAATAGCTACCAGTCATTGTAGTTGAGATAAAAAAGGGATCGTAATTAAACATATGATTGGATCCAGACATTTTAATCACGCCATCTATCTATTTTTCAGAGCAGGCCTGCTGTTTTTTCAGCAGTCCCCTGGAATCGCCCTAGGATGACAATTTGCATGCTAACTGAATTCGTGTAACATGCAGATTCATGAGGACATCTGTTGCTGATTGTTTTGGTCCTCTGCTTTTCAGACTCAAATATGAAAATGCAGAAAGTAAAAGGCAAATTATGGAGCCTGGGGCAAGAAAGAAGACTGATTGTTTGATTTTTCTTTCTCTCCCACTCTCTTTCTAGTGGAGACTATTACAGAAACTAAAAAGGGCCCCCACTTTGCAATCCCCTTGGCCTTACAATAGAATCGGGGTCCATGTAATGATACTGTTTCCCAGCAACTTCTTGTCTTAATCTTATTCATGTTGGCCTAGAAAGAAATCCCATTTGCAGCTACAAGGTCTCTGAACACAAGATAATAGGAAAGGAGAAGAGCTTCCCTGACCCTGTAATCCAGACGTAAGAAAGAGTCAGGGCCCACAACATCCTATGTTGCATAGAGAAGCTGATCCACAGGCTTTGCAAACATTCTTCCCAGCCTAGGAAAACGTGGGGAATGTGAAGGATCCAAATGCAAAGGAACTGTGTTACATAAACACATATGGGACCATTAACAATACAAATTCTTCAAAAGAGTCCATGTTAATCGTCCAAAGGTGGAATTGCTCAGGTGAAGCAGTGGAGTAGCTTCCCTTGGCCTTATTCAGGGGAAAGGCTAGGTATCAAAGTGATCTTCAGAAAACACTTCTTATCAGCTGTCATGTACCTGGTACCAATAGGAATGTTTTCACCTACATTTTTCTACAATCCTTACAATCCTGGAAGGTGGGAAATTATCCCTCTTTTACAAATGAAGAACCCACAGTTCAGAGAGATTAAATAACTTGCTAAGGCTACCCAGCTAGGAAGTCACAGATCAGGGTCGGTTGAAGCCCAGGTCTTCTCCTGCTGAGCAGATGATGCCGTACTTTTCACTCTGCCACACACCCTTATTCTTTGTTTGCATGGGCTGCACTGGTCATCTTCCAACCTCAACACAGTGCAAAATCTACAATTTTGAGGAAACCTATTCCTTTTGTCTTTTGCAAGGTGTATTTATTTAATTTGCCTCAACAGAAGATAGGCAAAATAGTTGCTTCATTGTTTAAACAAGTCCAAGTTGAGAATTTACCTGTTCAAGTAGTTTCAGGCTGCCTAGATTCTGGGAATGGGAAGTGTCAATGGCAGGAGTTGCTTGAATGAGCCAGAGTCACCATGAGAGTGAAAGGAACTGCTTCCCTCAGCACTCTTCTTCCCCATCCCCTCAGCTCCCCACTTCAGTTCAAATTCAAGTACTATTTATTGAGCATTGACTATATGTCAGGCACACTCATATTAATTTGCTTTGCAACCCCAAAACAATCCTAAGAGAAAAGTAACAATCGCCCCATCATCATCTAACCCTATGGAGCTTACAACCATTCAGCCAGTAGTGCTAAGATTCAAACATGGTCTCTTCACTGTAGACCAGTAGTGTCCAATCTTTTGGCTTCCCTGGACCACACTGGAAGAAGAATTCTCTTGGGCCACACATAAAATACACTAATACTAATGATAGCTCATGAGCAAAAAACAAAAAACAAAACAAAACACATACACACATACACAAATCTTATAATGTTTTAACAAAGTTTATGAGTTTCTGTTGGGCCGCATTCAAAGCCGTCTGGGCTGCATGCGGCCCATGGGCCATTGGTTAAACTAGCTTGCTATAGACCATTTCCCACCTCACTACTGTCTCCATAGTCCCAGTACCTTATTTTTCTTGTTCTTCCCACCAAGACCCCACATCCCATAGTGCTGATTAGCTCAGAGTCCTCATCCACTTACCACCTTCTCTCCCAATATCTAAGCTCCCTTACTCTGTCTCCAAATAACACATCGAACTCCTTGGTCCCCCTATAGCAGTGGTTCTCAAACTTTATTGTGTTTAAAAATCTCTTTTAGGCCTGGTGCAGTGGCACACACATGTAATCCAAGCACTTTGGGAGGCTGAGGCAGGCAGCTCACTTGAGCTCAGAAGTTTGAGACAGGCCTGGGCAACATGGCAAAACCCAGTCACTACAAAAAATTTAAAAATCAGCCAGGTGTGGTGGCACTCAGGTGTAGTCTCAGGTACTCAGGAGGCAGAGGAGGAAGTACTTGGTGTAGTGCCAGGTACTCAGGAGGCTGAGGAGGAAGGATTGCATGAGCTCAGGAGGTCGAGACTGCAGTGAGCCAAGATTGCACCACTGCACTCCAGCCTGTGCAACAGAGTGAGATTCTGTCTAAAAAGTAAAAAAATAAAATAAATTATCTTAAAGAGCTTGTTCAAACAGTTTCCTATGCCCCATCTTTAGAGGTTCTGACTCAATAGTTCAGTGGTGAGGGAGCAAGATTTTGCATTTCTAACAAGATCCCAGAGAAGATGCCAATGCTGCTGATCTGGGGGCCAGCCACAGCATTAAAGGCACAGACAAAATCTGCCAAGACCATGAAGAATGACAGCAAACTTATAGCTGCCATGTTGAAGGCATTTTCAGAAACTATGAGTATACCTCTTGTCATGACTACCTCATCAGATATATGTGGAGCAAGGGGAATTTGATTCTGCCACAACATTGGCTGGACATTTTTATTGGGACATAGGAGCCAGGACCCTAAAAATAAGGTGAGCAACAAAAAGTAGGGACTTGCTCTTTGCCCTTGTACCTCCTCCATCAGGACATGTTTGGTGACCTCCAGCTAAGGGATGTGCCTAGATTTGCCCCTAACAAACAGCCTTACCCCCAAAAATTCTTTAGGTCTTTTAATTTTTTTCCTTTTTAAAAATTCTTCATTTTCTTAAATGTTTGTAAAACATTCTTATAGTACTTTTTTTGGTTCTTTCAATCATTTAATTTCTGGTTTGCACTGTTTTATGAAATATTCATTATTCTTTGCTTTATTTGTCTTTCTTACAGCCTTTACCATTTATTCTAAATAAATGTTTTTTTGCCCTTTTACCATTTATTCTAAATAAATGCTTTTTTGCTTCTATTTATTTTCACATTTTTCAGGGGCACATGAAAAATGCCCTTTTTTATTACGTATGCAATATAAGATAATTTCAGAGAAACTGCATAACACAAACAAGCAAAATGAATAATTTAAAAAATCATATTCTCACCTACCCAGAGATAGTCACACACAATACCTAGTTGTATACATTTTCAGACAATTTTTCTGGCAAAACATTCCAAAATTTCCTCTTTAGCTATTTTTATCCTTTTTAATAATGTATATTTTAATTTTTTTCTTGTTATTTCTCAAATTCTCTAGTTTAGTTTTTTCACCTTTGACCCCTTTTATTTTCCATATTATAATTTTGTGACACATTTTTACCCTTCTATTAGTTTTCTCACACTGTTTTTGTTTCTTCTAGTTTTTAAAAATAGTCTGTTATTCTTTTAACTAAGTTTTTCATTCACTTTGCTTTTTATTGTTTACAGGGTTCTTATTCCTTAATTCTTTTCATTCTAGGTTTATGAATGACCCACAAATATGGAGAAATACTCCCTAAACAGGGATGACAGGGGGCTCATCCCACACCAGTCCTTCGTGATCCTCATAGCAGGGATCATATCTCCCCTCAATGCTGAATCACCTAAAATGTATGTAAAGCAAGAAAGAAAAACTATAAACTGAATTCCCTCCCAGGATTATGATAATTTTACCTGGACAGGCAGCATTCTTGGCCACCAGAAGGTGGCTTTCTTCTACTACATTTCTTCCACCACCCTCTAATCCCACATACAACTATGGCAGGTATAATCGCGGACATTGAGAAATAATTGATTGCTATGCAACAGGATGCTGAGGGGAGGAGGAGGTTCCATTCAGGGAGGACTCTCAGAGTAAACCTCTCTGATTATAACACGAAGCCTGAGGATGTTGAAACTTCCAACGAATAGAGCCATTATTCCAGGCTCTACAACCAAGTTTTAGGAATCGTACATCCACTTGTCACCAAACTATTATCACCAATATGACTTATCATTCATTTAAGCAGGATTCTCAGAGAATTTTCTTAGTGTCTAAAACTCCTCAACTCTATCCCTTTATTAAGAAGACTAAGGATAAGTATACATGGGAGCAACTGTCCATTTTAGGGTTTGGGGCCACAACAATGGCTGCTTCAGTTTTTTTATCATACATTTGAGTTTTCTACCCCAAAGTCCTAAAGATACTGAGATGTGAATCAAACATTTTCTTACCATGGAGCCAGATGCCATTTTTGGACTGGCTTGAGTCCCTAAAAATAAGTTGATTAATGTGCAAAGTCTGATTCCCTCTATGTAATGTTTCTTTCAGTTTCTATACCTCATGTGTGCTGCAGTTGAAGGTTTGTTTAAGAAATTCACTCTGTTAGGTAGAATTTCCTCATGGACACCCCATCCACCAACAAGCTATCCACTACCATTGTGTCCCTCTGGCCATTTGTCCTGCTAAGGCAGGAGTGTCCAATCTTTGGGCTTCCCTGGACCACATTGGAAGGATTGTCTTGGGCCACACATAAAATATACTAACGCCAATGATAGCTAGTGAGCTAAAAAAAAAAATCTTTTTTAAATATCGTAATGTTTTAAGAAAGTTTATGAATTTGTATTGAGTCGCATTCAAAGCTGTCTTGGGCCACATCCAGCCTACAGAACACAGGTTTGACAAGCTTGTACAAGGACTTGGATTCCTGGAATATCTCTCATAATGTCAATGTCCACTCTCTCTGGTTTGCATTAACAATTCCCAGCCATTTAACTTTCACTCAGTACTGCCTTCATATTAATTATTTGGCCTGAAAGGCCTGGAAGTTCTCATGTCAAAAAGAACATATAGCAATTTCATACTTTTATCTGAGTAGATTAGACTGCTCACTTCACATCAAGTCATGCAACTAATAACCCTAGGATGTGTCATCCCAAACTCACTATCTTCTTTAGAAAGTCCCTCTTATGAACAACATTCCTCTTGTGGAGAGTGGCTGAATAAAATCCTAAATGTAAAGATCCCAAACTGGTAACTTTTCATCTGGAAGTTAGCAAGAATGCCACCTCAGCAGCTGTAAGGAGGAAATACCCTTACAGAGATGAGGATGCACTGCCCTTGTCATCTCAGACTATTAGAGGGCTGATGCTGAACTACTGGACTCATACAATGAGGATCAATTCCTTCTCCTCTTGATTTTCCTTCTAGTAAGAGCTACAGAATATGCCTTAATGTTCATACTCTTAGAAGCTACTTGTTTATTTCAAAACTCCCCATATTTTCCACTTCTAGACATGGATAAGAAGTTTTCTTGCAGTTCATGAAATCATAAACCATGACCATTTAGAAATCTGGCTCAGTTCTTTTGCTTTACAGATAAGAAAACTGGACAGGATGTGGTGGCTCAATCCTGTAATCCCAGTACTTCGGGAAGCTGAGGCAGGTGAATCACCTGAGGTCAGGCATTCAAGACCAGCCTGGCCAACATGATGAAACCCGGTCTCTACCAAAAATACAACAAATTAGCTGGGTGTGGTGGTGGGCACCTGCAATCCCAGCTACTCAGGAGGCTAAGGCAGAAGAATTGCTCGAACCTGGGAGGCAGATATTGCAGTGAGCTGAGATTGCACCACTGCACTCCAGCCTGGGCACGAAGAGCGAAACTCAGTCTCAAAAAAAAAAAAAAGAAAAAGAAAAGAAAAAAAAACTGAGCCCCAGAAAAGTTAAATTTTCCAACACCACAGGGTTATAAGCAAAATAAAGCCAAGAATCAAGGTATCAGGCTGGGCACAGTGGCTTATACCTGTAATCTCAGCACTTTGGGCGGCCAAGGTGGGAAGCCAGTTCAAGACCAGCCTGGGCAACATAGCAAGACTCCAACTCTACAAAAAAAAAAAAAAAAAAAAAAAAAAAGCATAGATTAACATGGTGGCACAATCCTGTAGTCCTAGCTACTGAGGAGACTGAAGCTGAACTGTTTTGAGCCCAGGAGTTTGAGGTTGTGGTGATCAATCACATCACCACTGCAGTCCAGCCTGGGTCACAAAGTGACAAAAAGAAAAAAAGAAAAAAATCAAGGTATTGGTAATCCCAAGTGAGAGATTTCCCCATGATAGATACCGTTTTTCCCCACCCAGTAAGTATTTACCACCTGCCTGCCCTAGCCAGGGAGGCTGTATTGCTGAATACAGCCATCAGCTCCTTGCCAGTTTACTTGGATCAAGCTTCACAACCACTTGTGCGGTTCAAGTGGGGATGTCTTCCATGGCACGTTTAGAGATAGCCACCTACTTCCTAGTAAAGAAAGAGGACATCACAGAGATAAGATTCTCCCATACTCTTGCACTTGTTTCTACCAGTGTCTGGTAAGGAGCTGCTTACAAATCTATCTCCCAATTAAACTGTAAGCCTTTTGAAGGCAGCACCTCTGTCTTCATTTGGCCCATCTTACAATTGTTTGTCTTTCCATTTTAGTCATCTTTATATCCCCCAAGCCAACCCTGCCTCACATATTCCTAAAATAATGACCTGTGTGTCCTCTGTGTCACTCTTTTTCTCTCTATGGGGGCAAATAAGCTGCTAATAGTTTCCCTCTGTGTGGCCAGATTGTGTATCCCTGTTAACTGGGATACCAAAGCCCACCTGCCTGTCATTCCCAGCCCTCTTAGAGGTCACAGAGAAATTGTCCAAAATCTGATTTTACCCATATGCTTCCAAAAATCCTCTATAGCTTCTTTCCCAGTACCTCAATGGAAGTTCATGATTCACAACATGGTCCTCCACGGGATGACCCCAGCCAACATTATCAGCCTGACTTTCTCCCATCCCCATGCCTTACCCTCCTTCGAGGGCCATGCTCATTTATGCCTGGTTTCTTTTGCAATATCTTGTTCTGTCTGCCCATGATGCCCTTCTTTATCTTCACCTGGTAAACTTGTCATACTTCAAAACCACATTTAAATATCTCATCCTCCACACAAAGCTCATGCTCTCTCTGAGTTCCCATGAGGTTTTGTAATATTATTGGTTTACACGTTTTATCTCTAGGAAATACTCCTGAGGACATTACTTCTTGGGAAGGTCAGAGGCCTAATGAACCAGTAGATATCAATCACAGCAAGGCTGTGAGTCCTCAGAAATGCCAATCATGTGCTTTATGTAAAGTGGATAACTTTGTTCTTTCTGGTTGCCAATCTTCAATTTAGACAGAGGGGCCATATGTATTCATTCACTTAACCAATATTTATCAAGTGCCTAAATATGCTACACACTATTCCAGGTGCTAGGGAGATAGCAGTAAACCAGCCCCCAAAGCACAACACAGAAAATAGCAAAGAGCCTTTGCAGGAGTCTACTTGGCCAAACACTAGCCAGGGGTTAGTTAGGTCTTAGATCCATTACTTTACTAGAGAATTTGTGGAAAGTTAATGGGAAATAATCTTTAGGTTGAAAAAGAAAAAAAAAAGAAACTGAAAACAATGTTAGCCAAGACAATACTGCACTCTCATCTCTAACTCTGATCCCATTTAGTTAAATGACATGTATCAAGGTTACAATTTAAGAAGGAATTGTTGAAGAATTGCTCGTTATTTCATAAGCTTTTTCCCCCCACTCATTTGCAAGTATTTGCCTTTGAAGCTTCCTACCATGAGACATTTATATGTTACAGGAAAGTCTCAGGCCAATGACTTTCTGAAGTCAGGGATGAAAACACCAAGGGTTATAAAACTGTATAAAGAGTTTCTGAGCACTGATTCCCTTAATGACCCCGAAATAAGCTTCATGTGAAAGAGATCACATTCAAAACACAGCAATGCTTTTCAAAGCACCAGACAGAAGTTCAGTGTGATGTACTCATTAGCTTGAAAATTGTTGAAGGGGTTTGCTTTGAAGTGCAGTGCTGAACACAGTACACAGATGTGAATGTGAATGTCATCTCCTCACAGCCTGCAGAGCTGGTGCCAAAGAGACACCTTCCCTCAGCTAGACTCTCCACTTCTGACAGTCTAACAAGGTCCTAATTAGAGAACGAATCTCCTGCTGTCCAGGGAGGAGGAGCCTCATTTGCCAGATGCAAAGACATTTCCATTTGAGAAGGTATCTGAGTGACATGGCAATCAAATCAACAGCTTACCTGGCCTTTCCTCCAGTGTTTATGTTTCCATGTCTGAGTTTTTTTACAGCTTAGGTGATCATCATTCACTTCTCAAAGCATGAGTTTCAGCATTTTCACTAGGACTTGTAGTGGTTGTGAAGCTTCACCGAATGGCATATTTAAAGGCAAGTGTGTTTTTATTGTAGTTACAATAGTATCAATAAAAAAGAGTAAAAAGGGAGACCGTATAAAACAGAAGTTGCCTGTTGAATGTATGTGTTTTGCCCTTTATTTTAGACTATTTTATATAAATTAAATTTACTTAAAGATACAATAAACAGAATTGGAAAGCTAATATACTATGCTGTTAATTGAGAGACAGAACATACTAAAAGAAAAATAATATAGATAAACACAACTGGAATTATTTCGGAAAAAAAACAAAAACCTACCACGGCTTTAGCTTTTATTTTAAACATTAAATTAGATTAAAATTATTTGAAACAAAACTCTTACCACATATGGTGAGCCCTTCCTCGTAGTTTATAGACTATCGTCAACCCCAATCTCTCCAACAATTTGACCACTGACCCAGCCTATTAGGACATGATAGAATTAACTACATTTACTAAAATGACAGCCAATTCCTTATATGGTATCACAATGGCCTGAAAACAGTAGTGGAATTTCTCTTACGACCTCATGATAGCCAGTATTCAATTAAAGACTTGGAAGATTTGATTTATTATCATCATATCATTTGTACTTAAACATATGAAACATTCTGATAGATATTTTCCAATATATATATATGATAAAAGTGGAACCCAAACTAATCTACCTTTTTAAGGCTGATCTCATGTATTCTCTGAACAGCAATTCAGAAACTGCTGAGAGTTTTACCTATATTTGGAATATTTGGAACCACAGCAGAAGATAAATAGTTGTTTTTTCAACTTTATCTAGAAGTCCTTCTTCTGTTACTAATGTTAATGTAACATTAACAATAGTCACAATACTTACATATTTGCATAACACTACAATTTACAAAGTAGTGTCACATCCATTATTTCACGAGGCTTTAAGTTCCACCATGTCAGGGCCACCATTACCTTATTCAGTGCTGTATCCTCATCCCTAGTACAGCTAAATGCTAACTAACTCTATTTTTATAGAATGAGTAGATTCACTTGAGTAAGCATGCCAGGTATACATATCCTCATTTTAGAGATGAGGAAATTAAGGCTTAGAAAAATTAAATGATATAAACATAGAAGCAAAATAAGTAGGTGATTTTTGGGAGGCTGAGGCAGATTGCTTGAGCCCAGGAGTTTGAGACCAGCCTAGGCAACATAGCAAAATGCTGTGTCTACAAAAAATACAAAAAATTAACCACGTGTGGTGGTGTGTGCCTGTAGTCCCAGCTATTCCGGAGGCTGAGGTGGGAGAATCACCTGAACCCGGGGAGTTGAGGCTGTAGTAAGCCGTGATGGTGCTGCTGTACTCCAGCCTGGGTGATGGAGTGAGACCCTGTCTCTAAATAAATAAATAATAAATAAAAAGAGATCAAACTAGTACCAGAGCTAGACCTTCGATCCCATGCCTATTTCTCTTTCCACTGGCTGCACCATGTCATCTACCATAATTTATGTTTTTTAAGTAGCTGCTAATCCACAAACTGTTACCTTCTTTATGGTTGTGCTTGATCCACTATCCATAAAGTTTGTGATCACCTTGTGAGAAGACTATGGGAAACAGATTTCCTATTTTGTTGACAAGAAAACTGATGCTCAGTAGGGTCCCAAATCACCCACGAATGAGTGACAAAGCCAGAAACTAGAGCTGAGATCTTCAGACTCTATCCTCAGTGCCCTTCTTTCTATGCTAACTCTTGTTACCCTTCCAAGAAGAAGTAGCCCTCTCATTTCTGCCTTTAGTGGGCAGGCAGTGTGCCAAGCTCTTTGGAAGAGATGCTGGACCAATGGCACTGCCTCCATCTACCAAGGGCTCATCTTCTTGCGGCAGGTCCACACACATGAGTACAGCTGACTGTATGACAGATCTGAGCATGGCAAACACCAGAAAGGTACACAAAAATAAGACAGAGTTCTGTCAAACCAAAAAGAAACTAAAGCATTTAGGGCTGCAAAGTGCAATCCTGATCCTGACTCATTTACTCTCTAATCATAAGACATCTACCTTTGATTTCTTGGCCTGTCAGATAGGAAACAAAATGTATAAAGTGCTTAAGGGGGGTGCATTTTATATAATCCAGTCTTTTTGTTTTTTTAGAATCTATCTTTTCCAGCTGAAATTTAAATAAAAGAAAAGTTATTGTTCAACTTTCGACGAGACCTCTGTGTCCTTGTAACAACAGCCATTTCACCTATCCCTCATCTTCTTCAGAGGCAAGGTACCCAACTCAGTGTGTGGCTCCTATTTGTCTAAGCTAGTGGCTCACTACATAACCCTGCAGTAAAATCCCCTGGGTGTTTTTGAAGACTATTAATGTCTTGTCCCCACTCAGATCAATTATATTTGAAAGCTCTAACCATTTATTTCTCAAAAAAATGAGATAGCTGGGTTCAAATCATTTAATAACACTAAATCATTTTGTCTCTAGAGCTTCTTTATAGTAAATTGAATTACTTCAGTTTTCTCTATCTAGAGCCAATAGACAATTATGTGAAGAGAATGTCTAATTTGATGTGAAACAACCCAAAATGTTCTTACAACTTTTGATGTGAATAAATTGTGCATAAAATTAAATGAACACTAAAAATAAAATTAATGTCACTTTTTTTCTTGGAGGAGAGTTAGGGAGAAAGAATGAAAGAGAAATTGATTCATTTTAAAAGATATCTATTTTTAATAAGAGAAAAGGGATGCAAGGTTCTGGTGAGAAGCAAAATACTTCTTAGCAACTATCAATATAAGCCATTGCAGTGTTGTACACTGTAAAATATCCAATGGTAAATAAATGCCGTGGCTATTTTTTAATGTGTTTTTGTTAGGTTATGGTGCTTCCTAAAAGGAAGGAACATTGGAGTTTAAAACTGATCACGTTGTCACTAAATTACTTTGACAGTTTCAATGGTCTGAATTTGTAAATGACATAAAACAGCTACTACAAGAACAAAAGTGTCTGATTCTTGTTACTTTGCGGTTGCTCTGTATTTCAATGACAAAGGCAGTCTGAGAATCATGTATGAACACATTAAGGGTTTTTTTCCACCATGAACAGATCAAAAGGACCCCCTGAAGCCAAGTCTGTCCTTTATTTCTGCTAGTATAATTACTAATCTATTTGGTGGAATACTGGCATTTTACTTTTCTCTAGGCTCATGATTATATTACTTTTTTTATCCTTGCTGTCTAAAATGCCAGCAGTGGGCTAGAATAACTCAGTGACTTTGGTCATAATAAAAACTTAAAATTAAGAGTGACATTCAGATCTCATGATATGGTGGAAACAAAAATGGACTAGGAGCTAGCTCATTAATGTATGAGCTGGAGCAAACTGCAAGCAACTCCATTGGGCTGGAGTGTCTATAAATAATGGGATAAAAGAAAATGTGATCTTTTGGAGAAATCTTTAAAATAAAAAAGAATAACTTTCTACTTCTGATACCTATTCAATGTAATCTGTTTTATCAGAATTATACTAATATATTAATATTCTTTATTTTCATGTGTTCCCACTAACATTTAGGCATTCCCTATGCAAGAGAGAGAGAGACAGAGAAACAAGAGGAAAAAAGCCTCACCAACAGATTTATACTACAGTCAGCCCTCCATATCTGTTCCATGGATATGGAGGACCAACTTTTCATCTGCGGTTGGTTGAATCTGCAGATGTGGAACCTAAGGACACAGGGGGCCAGATGGAGGATTGAGCATCCCAGGATTTTGGTATCTACTTGAGGGTCCTGGAATCAATCTTCCACAGACACCGAGGGACAACTGTGTAACACGGGGACTGGTCATGGACCCTCTCAAACCACACAAGCAATGCCCAGTGAGGAGCTGTCCTGTTGCTCAAAATGTCTGTATGTGAATGCATTGGGTTGCTTGTGGAAGATGCACATTCCTGAGCTCCTTTCCCCACTAAAGGAAGCACAATCACTGCATGTGGAGTTTAGGAATCTGTATTGAACAAGCTTCTCCAGCAAATTCTTGTTCACAAACAAGTTTGAGAACCATTGGACTAAAAATGGACCCAAAGTTATTCATATTGTCTCCAGTCCCTTAAAGAAAAATTAGAGGCTTGCATCTGACTCCGACCCACAGGAACTAAATTTTGATTCACATCTTAAGCTCTGCAGGGAAGTACACATTTTCCATTTCAGACAGAAAACATTATGGGGTGGGAGAGAGCGGCAAACCATCAGTACAATTGGAGGCCTAAAAGGATAGTCCCTATGCTCTTGAGAGAGTTGAACTCATTACTGCTAATCACTCAGTAGAGGAAGCACTTCACCAAAGAGCATGCTAAATGCCTGCAGGTTGGCAGGAGTCCCTTAATTGAGACATGCTTCATGAAGTAATTAGATAATTAGAGAGTGCATGTTCAATTAACTTTGAGGATCTATGGAATACTAAGAAATATACCGGGTGATAAAAGGCTGTGTACAGAAATGTTTGTTATTACTAACTGAGAAAAATGGCTCTTTTGAAGTCTGAAGTCTAGAGCATAGCTGTTAGTGCTACTTCATCAGAGGTAGCTTCTTGGATTGGTGACCTTTGTTTAATCTAACAATTTTGTAAATTGAAAAAGGCTCAGTTATGAATCACGTTGGCTCTTCACAGGGATTTAATGGTTGGGTGGGGAGTGGGGCAGAGGAGGTGGGTAGGGGGAATTTCTGCTCACCAAATGGCCTAAAATATATTTCCTAAATTCCTCTTTTAGCAACAATCCCAATCAGTTCCGCATCCTACAATGCACACATTCAAAGGGAGGGAAGAAAAGTTAATATTTTTTTTCCTCATCCATCTCAAGGTAATGGCTGAGGCCCCTATAGTAAAAGACAGACTACTTTTATTTATTTATTTATTTCAATAGTTTGGGGGGAACAGGTGGTATTTGGTTACATGAAGAAGTTTTTTAGTGGTGATTTCTGAGATTTTGGTATACCCATCGCCCAAGCAGTGTACACTGTACCCAGTGTGTAGCCTTCTATCCCTCATCCCCCTCCCACCCTTTCCCCCGTGTCCCCAACGTCCATTGTATAATCCTTATGCCTTTACATCCTCATAGCTTAGCTCTCACTTATGAGTGAGAACATACAATGTTTGGTTTTCCATTTCTGAATTACTTCACTTAGAATGATGGTCTCCATCTCCATCCAGGTTGCTGTGAATGCCATTATTTTGTTCCTTTTTATGACCAAGGGAAAAACATAAAAATATGTTTAATATAAGTTTAACATGACATGAAAACCTTCACAAGAAAATTAAAACCCAAAGAAACAGGTAAACTTGTGCGGGGGGGTTTTGGTTTTTTTTTTGTTTGTTTTTTTGAGATGGAGTCTCACCCTTGTCGCCCAGGTTGGAGTGCAGTGGCGCAATCTCAGCTCACTGCAACCTCCGCCTTCCGGGTTCAAGCGATTCTCCTGTCTCAACCTCCTGAGTAGCTGGGATTACAGGTGCCTGCCACAATGCCAGCTAATTTTTGTACTTTTAGTAGAGACAGGGATTCGCCATGTTGGCCAGGCTGGTCTCAAACTCCTGACCTCAGGTGATCCACCCGGCTCAGCCTCCCAAAGTGGTAGGATTACAGGCGTGAGCCACTGCACCCGGCCCAACTTGTATATTTTTATGGATAATCATACCAAAGTATGATTGGAAACCAAAAGTTTATGGTTTAATGGTAATGAACTGCAGAACCTCAGCAAGGCCTGTTTGTTCAGATTCTTCTTGGCATCTTTGTGTCTTCAAGGATCAGGATGTTCCTTTACTCCAGGTATAGGGAGGATAGCTCTGGAAAGAGTGTCTTATGACCAATTCAGAGAGGAAAGTCAAATAATTCTTTTATGGCCTGCTTCAGGGTAGAAGGGTAGAAGAAGGTCGGACAGTGACCTCCTTTTGTCTACTGTTTACTGTTTCCTCAAATGCCAAGGGGCCACATTTTGGGTACAGATGTCCTGAATCCCATCAGTACCAACTCTGCAATGTTATGATGGCATATCCAATTTAAGTTTTATTTCTGATGAGGAAGACAACTCTATTTTGTCTTCTAATTTTAATCATTGTATATAGAAGCAGTGCATAATACTGAATGAATAAAGACTACCAAGCAATTAAAATCTATTCAATTAATTAAAATAACTTAGATGTCAAACTTTTGGGTTTTAATTATTTCTTGAACGTGCAACAAAGAGTATCTGAGTAACAGCTAACTCATACACTTCATAATTTCATTTCACACCTGAAACCTAGAAATCTATCAATTGCCACAAGTTGTTCAAATATTCTTTAATGTCTTCCCAGGAAGATAAATAAAAAGACATTCTAGCTGTTACATAATTTTTATAACACTCCAAGCAGACCTAGGGTAAATTGTAAAAGAAAAGCAAAAACAAAAATTAATTTAATAAATTGTATTTGCCTGACTAATACATTTCTAGGTACTGTTCTGCATGTGCTTGTCATACATCACATGTTAATAAACTTTCATTTAGTTTTCTCTTGTTAATTAGTCTTTTGTTAGTCTAATTTACAGGGCCCCAGCAAATTAATCTAAGATGGATAGAGAGAAAAGTATTTTGTTTTTTTCCCCTACACAAGAAGTTGTGTACAAAAATACATACAATAGAAGGTAGTGGGTTCTCAGTTAAGAATGCATGGCACACACAACATGGATGTATACTTCCAAAGGTGGAATGATCATTGAGGGCTGGCATAGTGAGAAAGTGGTTGTAGTGAATGTAAAAAATGTGAATTGGGTGAAGAAACAGGCCTTTATAAGTGGAAAATGGTCAGTGAAAGAATTTCCGACAGAAAGATTAATTCAGAATAAGGCCTAGAAGTAGGCATATTCACAGGAGACTGGGGCAGGAGGATCACTTGAACCCAAGAATTTGAGGCCAGCTTGGGCAACAGAGCAAGACCCTATTTCTAGAAAAAAAAATTTTAATTGTCAAAAGAAGTAGGCATATTCAAAGAACAAAGAGTTTGGCTGGCACAAAATTCCCATAACAACATATCAATGGAGAGATACCAAGTATATAGGAGTGATGTAGCATGTAGGTTTCTTCCTTTGGGCAAAAGAGGGTTCTTCAAGGTGTTAGAGCAAGGAAGTGTATTGTTCATGACTCGGTTTTAAGAAGATTAGAATGAGAGTGTTATATTTAGCTGGATTATCACAGAATTGCAAATGAAAAGACAGTTAGTCCAGGCATATGTGGGGCCATATGCCATATGTCAATTCAAAAAAAATTATATAAGGGAACTATACTGTTGATAACTATAGTAATGGCTGTAGTGAAAATGATCAAGGATTTTTGCATTCATAGTTATTTCTTAATTTCTAAAAGTGGACATGGGCAGAGGCTACAGTAGGGTGGTATGGGCCATCATGAAAGTAAGAACAATCCCCCTTTGCAGTTGCTTAAGTTTTATTTGCTTCCTTTCTCTCAGCCACTTATCGTTTCTTCATTATTTTGATCTGAAGGCTATTGAGAAGAAGCAGATACAAGAAATGCCCTCTGCCCTGTCCTTATTTGTCTAAAAGCAGGACATAGTTTGTAAAGTTGTCCCCACCCTCTCACTACTAGGAAGGATAAAAGTTAATCAAGAGCAACTCTAGATCCTTTATCAACCCAGAGAAATCTACATAATAAACTTTACTAACTAGCCTTTATTTTACATTAGTTCCCCCATATAGTTACCCTTCCACTATTTGCTGCCCTAGAAACACAAAGACCTTTTCATTTGCCTGTCACTTCTTTAAAAATTTATTGTTCTTTTGTTAACTTGGGATGTCACTAGAAACTTTCCAAACTGAAATGCAAAGAGAAAAACAGAATGAAAAACAAAATAAAACAAAACAAGGCAAAAAAAAAAAAAAACAGAATATAACATCTAAGAACTAAGATAAATTTCAAAGTGTGTAATGTGTAATGGGAATAGAGAGAACATAATGGAAAAAATATTTGGAGTAATAATGGCCAAGAACCTCCCCAAATTAATGACAAACACCAAACTTCATATCCAGAAAAAATCAAGTAACACTTATGCCTATCATATTCAAACTGAAAACAACAAAATGCAAAGAGAAAATATTGGAAGAAGCCAGAGGTTAAAAATTTAAATAAATAAAAAATGTATTTATAGAAGAATTACAGAAGACATTTTGTCATAAACCATGCAAGTAAGAAGAAAGTGAAATGTAATATTTAAAGTGCTAAAAGAAAACAAGTCACCAAACCTAGAATTCTCTACCCAGCAAAATTATCTATCGATAGTGAAGGAGGAAAAAAAAAGCTTTCTCAGGCAAACAAAAACTGAGAGAATTCATCACCAGTAGACCTGTCCTTTAAGAAATCTTAAAGGAAGTCAGAAAGAAGAAAATTGTATAGGTTGGAAACTGGAATCTATGTAAAGAAAACAAGGGTATCAGGGAAAGGTAAGTGAAGGTTAATTAATCTTTGACTTGGTCCATTTCTGCTGCTCTAACAAAATACCACAAACTGGGTAACTTATAAATAAAAAAAATTTATTTCTCATAGTTCTAGAAGCTGGGAGGTCTAACATCAAGGATCTGGCAGGTTTGGCCAGATTTGGTGAGGGCCAGTCTCTGTGAAGAAAACAAAAATATGTTACCCCAAAATATATTTATTTGGCATATTTTGATACAGCTATTCAGAGGGACTGCAGACATGGGGATGGCTTGGAAAAGCCATCTTTTTGTAGAGGAGATTGTATCCTTAGAGGAAATCTACAGATGCAAACAGGCTTCTTTAAGGCCACCCCCCAAACATACACTCACACCTTACTTACCTTCTCTGCATCTAGGAAAGATTAACTCACAGGAAAAAGAGACTAAAATTCTGACAATTTTAAAGGTCTGACAGAGAGAAAGTTTTACCACCAGCTACAATCTATTCTTTCTGAGGGGAGCTTCAAGAGTGGAAGGAAGGATGGGAGGAAGGAAGGAAGGAAGGAAGGAAGGAAGGAAGGAAGGAAGGAAGGAAGGAAGGAAGGAAGGAAGGAAGATGTCCTATGAAACTAGAAGATTCTCATCCTTAGTAGAGTAAGGATGGTAGTGATGCAACTAAATTTTAAATACATTTTAAAGCATTCCTTGGCTGAAGACAGCTAAATATGACTCTGGCTAAGGTGGGACATTTTTGGGACACTGTCAGGGGAATCACAGACTTGAGTGAAGGCCAGAGTACCAGGCTTAACAAGAGCCATTAAGGGAGCTTCAGATGGCTAGGAAACAGGACCCTTAGGAAAAACCTAATAACAAGAAGAGTAAAGTCAATTTTCCCTGGCATGATGAGCAAACTCCTACTATTATTTATTTTCAGCCTTTTCAAGATTCAGAAGCTCATTAAAAAGTGTTTGATTATCTGTGATCAGCTTGTGGACACAGACCGGCTGTGCTAGGGTAGGAGAAGGACAATCTAGACTCTAGGGTTCTAACTTTTATTTAAACAGACACCAGGATTTACTCTCAGCCTTTGAGTTCACTCAGGAAAGCTGAAGCCACGCTAGGTTAACAGACAGATTTTAATATAGGCAATTGGAGGACTAAAAAAATCACATAATAATGCTGAAGAGACACAAAGGTAATAACTGCAGAAAGCATTTGCCATCCTAGGGCTGCCAGAACAAAGGGAAGAGATTGAGTTATCCAAGTCTAGAAGGCAGGAGAAACCCTCTGTCAGTGAAACTTAATATCTGAAGAAGACAGCAGAGTCCAGCTACTGCTAGTGTCTCAAGAGCTGGAAGGAGAGCCTGTAAATCTGGACTCAGACCTCTGAGGGGAAGGTGCTCTGCCAGGCTGCTGTGGGTACACCTCAGCCTGGTTGTGGGAGTGCTGCAAGAAGCTGAACACCAGAAGACACTGCTACTGCATGGGTGAAACACCAACACCAGGGCTCTGAAGACAGAACTTGTTACTAGTAAACAGGAAATATCAGGTTCCTTCTCCCCTCTCCTGTCTTCTAGTCTCCTTCTATTGTCCCCTATAAACAGGAAGTCATCTGACAAAGGAAAGATATTAATGTGTATAATCCTTGCACCGGTCTCACAAAGCCAGGCAAAGCAGAGTAGATAAGAGCTCAGAGACAATAGCTTAAGTACTGGTACATCATTCCACTGAGGCCAACACAATGCTTGAAGTAATAATCCAAAGGAAATTGAGGTGCTGGTAGAAGGTGAGTGGTCGCTGGACACCAAAAGGAATATGGAAACTCTTTTAAAGACTAAGAACAGGTACTTTCTGAGTATCTAGTAGAGGAAAGGTACCTATCCTAATTTCTTAAAAAGCAGCAAATTGTATTTATTTTTGAATTTGAGAGATTTTCTCAGTATGTTTTAGGGGAAAGTTTAAGAAACAAGATAATGCTTTACTCACTTAATGTATGGTTCAAGGAAGGTATGTGGAATACAGACAGAAAGCAAGCATAAAGTTGCAGAATTAGATGCAACTCTATCAACTCTAGCTAACAAGTTACAGGCAGTTTGCAGGGTACATCAAAAGAAAGCAAAACCTCCTTAGAAATTGTCATTGAAGCTTTGTACTTAACACAGATTTGGATTTGGAGTAATTACAGACTGAGGAACTAAGGATTATCTGCAATTAATATTACAGGCTTTGACAAAGGACACTGCAAATGCAAGGCAGACAATGAAACAAGATGGGGTTGGGATGGATGTAGGGAGAAGTCAACAGGTAACAAAGACAACCAAATCTAAAGAAGACAGAAATACTTTCTTTACACCAAGCTGATTGTTCTACCAATCATGACACAAAAGAAATTCACAGTTCATATCAAAACCTCATAGTATATTACTTGTAGTTTTTTATAATTATTTAAATTAACTGTATAGCAGGGTCTTCTAGTATTTGACAGAAATGGTTGTAGGAGCTGCATATAGTTCTATGATGCATATAGTTCTATGCCTATGGTTCTAAGAGGAACTCCACAAAATAAAAAGTATCTTCAGTTTTCTTGGAGCTTCAGGACTGACGCTGGCATGTTAAAGAGCCTGAGTCACGCTGTTAAGAGAAATGCTTAACTTTAAGCCAGTGTTTCCTCAATTTATTTAAATCAAGACACCTGGTTTCAATAATCATCTCCATGAATGAGTTTTTTTCTGAACACAATTTACAATACATTGCTATATATTGCCTATAAATAGCATATAATTCCCCATTTCACAGAATAAATTCATTTTTATTTCATCCTTTGTTGTGTTAATAAAATCAAAATGTAAAACCTCCCTGGATGTCACTTTATAAAAATATACAAATCGATGGATTCAAGCTAATACTTTCAGGCAAGATTCTGGTGCTAAGGACTGACCCAGTTAAGCTACAGCCTCCGTTTCATGCTGCTTTATTGGGCCCTTTGCACCTCTGGGTGAGTCCTACACAACATGCAGGGATTATTTCCCTGCAGCAAGACACAGTAGAACTGCTCACAGGCAGCTCTACTGCCCTCTGGGTAGACTGAACTCTTCTTACTTTCCCCAAACTGCTGACTGTCAAGAAAGAAAAAAACAACAAAAACATCTTGGGGGAAAATAAGGATCACTAAATCAAGATGTCTTGTCTCCCACCCTAAATATAATTTAGCTAAAATCAATATGGACTTGGAAGAAGGTGAAAGACCTATTGTTATATTATGAAATTAGATAAACACACCTCTCACCAGTGGCAATTTTAATACATCCAAAGTAATTTTACTTCACCAGGGAAGAGGGGTGAGTCTCCATACCCATTTTAAAAGCAAACTGATGAAATGATCCCAAGTTTCTGAAAGTTCCCAGATGGATGCATGAAATACACATGCTTGTTCTCTCTCTCTCTCTCTTTCTCTCTCTCTCTCTCTCTCTCTCTCTCTCTCTCTTATTCTGCCAAAACTTCCTGATTTATCAGTCTCAGAGAATTTTTCTCTTGGCTATTATCACTTTCTGTTAAAGGATTGGAACGGAAACTTGCAATTTGGGTTAAAATGGAACGTGGCTTCATAGAACTGAACTGAAGTGGAGATCCTTTAGGAAATATTAAATAGCAGAATAACATTTCAGATATTTTGAAAGCCCAAATTAGCTAAGAATGACAAATATAACTGTGCTTTTATGGATTGCAGGCAAGTTAAATTTTATTTCAAAAGATATAAATTCTTTCCTTTTTGTAGGATTGTATTAAAATAAATGAATTCCAGTTCTGTATTTTATATTTCCAGATGCTGCCTCCAGATTCTGACATCTTTGGAAGGCTGATCTCCCTGTGTTTTCATGTCAGGGGAGCAGTCCTGGGATGTGAGCTTTTATATCAGAGATCTTAAGATCTCTGCTATGAAGATATTTATAAAGGAGAGTTATTACAATTAGAGCATCTAGCATGGATATTAGCAATTGACAGTTTATAAAATATTTCACTGGCATTATTTTACTTGATTATCCAAATAACTTCATGAGAGAAACTAGGCAGGTATTATAATTACTATCCTCTGCATTTTTCACTGGAGGACATAAAGACTGTGGGAGGCTACCCAGCTTGCCCAGGAACAAACAGGGCTAAGAGTCAAGGATGATCGACATCAAGAAGACCTAATTCCATGAAGTTCTGATACATGCTACAACATGGATGAACCTTAAGGGCATTATGCTAAATGAAATTAGCGAGACACAAAATGACAAATATTGTGTGATTCCACTGATATGAAATCTCTACAGTAGGCAGATTCATAGAAGCATAAAGTACATCAGAGGTTATTAGGGGATGAGAGAGTGGAGAACAGAAACTTACTGCTTAATGGATACAGAGTTTCTGTTTAGGTTGATGACAAATTTTGGAAATTGAAAGTGGTGAGGGTTGCACCATATTGTGAATATAATTAGTGTCATTTAATTGTCAACTTAAAAACAGTTACAGTGGGAAATTTTGTTATATATATTTTTACCACAATAAAATGCTTTACAAAATTTAAAAAAGAACAAGAAGAAGAAGATCTAATCCCAGAGCCTGCATTCTTTACTGGTTCATTCACTGTTCTACTATTCTACCTGAGGGTCAGCTATAGCTGAGAGTCACAGCTCAGCTATTTAGTATCAGCTCAGCAAGTAAAGTCTTAACTAGACCCTTGGAAAAAGGAGTCATATTGTTTTTAAGGTTTAAGAAGAACAAAATAGCATTTCCCTACTGAAAATATTTTGTAATTTAATAATCTTAAAAGCAATTCCTCACATAACAAATTAAGTTAAATACATTCCTTATCATTTACAAAGGGCAAATAATATAAATTTTATTTCGAATTGATTTATTAACAGCAAACACTAATTTTGGATAATGTTTATGCATAATTTACCATAAAATTTTTGCAAATAATTTGGGGATTTCCATGCTTTCTTCTTGTTGTCTGCTACTGCTATTAACAGAATGCTGGTTTCCATAACAGATCTCAATCCTGCCTAGTAGATAATGTCCAAAAATATGTGTCAATCAATTATATGTTCATCCATTGCAGGCTTATTCACAATAGCCAAGAGGTAGAAGCAACCCAAATGTCCACAAACAGATGAATGGATGAAGAAAGTGTTGTACATACGTGTAATGGAATATAATACAGCCTTCAAAAAGAAGGAAATCCTGTCACATGCTGTAATATGGATGAACCTTGAGGGTATTATGCTAAGTGAAATAAGATAGTCACAAAGACAAATCCTATACGATTCCACTCAAATAAGTATCTAAAGTCAAAACTGTAGAAACAGGAGGTAGAAAAGTGGTTGCCAAGGGCTGAGGGAGGGATGAGGAGGGATTCATGTTTATTGGTATAGAGATTCAGCATTGTAAGATGAAAAAGTTCTAGACATCTCTTGCACAACAATGTCAATATACTTAACACTATTGAACTGCACACTTAAAACAGTTAAATCAGTGAATTTAATAGCTTTTTTAAACTATAATTTTTTTAAGTTGTGGGGTCACAGAAATTGGATGAAGAACTAATAACAAAATAGGCACTGAGGCTCACATGGAGGAAAAATAAATAATAGGAAACAAGAATCAGACATGCAGGGAGCCATGTGGCATGTATCGTGGCAATCTTTATAATTCCACCAGAAGCATCTTTCTTGCCTTCATCACATACAACAGGCTACAATAACTCCAGCACCGTGGAGTTGTAAAGATGCCATTCAATCCAAGGAGAAGTTAACTTAATTGGTTTGAAAATATGCTGTTATTTATTTTGTTTTATTTGCTTGGGTTTTTTTCTGTTTAGTTCTTTTTTTTTTTTTTTAACCACGCATGGTAAAATTTTAGGATTTTTCTGGATATTCTAGATAGGGATAATTTTCTTAAAGAACAGAGATCTTCTCAAGAAAAAGGAAGTCTGATATGATTTGGTTGTGTGTCCCCACCCAAGTCTCACCTTGAATTGTACTCCCATAATTCCCACATGTTGTGGGAGGGACCCAGTGGGAGCCCTCTCATTATAGCGTGGCAGCCCCTCCCATCACAGGCCTGGAGGCCCAGGAGGAAAAGTTGTTTCATTGACCAGGCCCAGGGTCCTCAAGCTGTGCGCAGCCTAGGGGTTTGGCGCCCTGCATCCCAGCCACTCCGGCCATGGCTGAAAGGGGCCAACGTAGAGCTCGAGCAATGGCATCAGATGGTGCAAGCCCCAGGCCTTGGCAGCTTCCATGTGGTGTTGAGACTGTGAGTGCAGAGAAGTCAAGAATTGAGGTTTAGGAACCTCCACCTAGATTTCAGAAGATGTATGGAAACATCTAGATGCCCAGACAGAAGTTTGCTGTAGGGGTGGGGTCCTCATGGAGAGCTTCTGCTAGGACAGTGTAGAAGGAAAATGTGGTGTCAGAGCCCCCACACAGAATTCCTACTGGGGCACTGCCTAGTGGAGCTGTGAGAAAAGGGCCACCATCCTCCAGACCCCAGAATGGTAGATCCACCAATGGTTTAGACCATGGGCCTGGAAAAGCCACAGACACTCAACACCAGCCTGTGAGAGCAGCCAGAAGTGGGGCTATACCCTGCAAAGCCACAGGGGCAGAGGTGCCCAAGGCTGTGGGAGCCCACCTCTTGCATCAGCATGAGCTGGATGTGAGATATGGAACCAAAGGAGATCATTTGGAGCTTTAAGATTTGACTGCCCTGCTGGATTTTGGACTTCATGGGCTCTATAGCCCCTTTGTTTTGGCCAGTTTCTCCCATTTCGAACAGTTGTATTTACCCAGTGTCTGCACTCCCATTGTATCTAGGAAGTAACTAACTTGCTTTTGATTTTACAGGCTCATAGGCAGAAGGGATTTGCCTCATCTCAGATGAAACTTTGGACTGTGGACTTTTGAGTTAACACTGAAATGAGTTAAGACTTTCTGGGATTGTTGGGAAGGCATGATTGGTTTTGAAATATGAGGACATGAGATTTGGCAGGGTCCAGGGGCTGAATGATATGGTTTGGCTGTGTCCCCACCCAAATCTTATCTTGAATTATACTCCCATAATTCCATGTGTTTTGGGAGGGACCCAGTGGGAGATAACTGAATCATGGGGTGGTTTCCCCCATACTGTTCTCATGGTAATGAATAAGTCACATGAGATTTGGTGGTTTTATCAGGGGTTTCTAATTTTGCATCTTCGTCATTCTCCCTTTGCCTGTTGCCATCCATTTAAGACAAGACTTGTTCCTCCTTGCCTTCCACCATGATTGTGAAGCTTCCACAGCCACGTGGAACTGTAAGTCCAATTAAACCTCTTTCTTTTGTAAATTGCCCAGTCTCAGGTATGTCTTTATCAACAGTGTGAAAACGGACAAAGACAAAGTCTATCAAAAGTACTGAGTCTGCCTGGAGTTTGATCTACTTTTTACTAATTCAGTCTCTTCAAGAGGTGCTAGTAAGAAGTGTTTTAAAAATATATCCAGAACAGATGAAGCCCAGTGTTTTGCATGGTCTATGTTCCTCTGCTTATTAGTTAGCTTTCACTGGACCCAATAAGGTGGCTTCTGTCTCTGTCCCCTTTCAGTTCAAAAGTCTGCTGTCTAAAAAGCCTACTATGTCTCCTATTTTGAAGTCTTAAGAGAAAGAGATTGATTCACTGTACATCAGAGCCATAGAAGATGTAACAATGTCCCTTACTCTGCACAGGTCAAGGAACAAAACACATCTAGTACACAGAAGTTACATATTTTTCCCCTTACATATATGGAATTTTTGACAATGTATGAGATTTTCAATGTTTTATTATAGAGTGGAAAGCTTTTTGCAGAGAATAATTCCAATACCATAAAATACAGTAGGAAAATAAAAATTATAGTTCCATTTTTGAATTCCCTGCAAAGTTGGTGCTCCTATTTTATGGATGAGAAAGCTAAGACAGAGAGGTTACGTGGCTTGCCGAAGTTTAAATGAGAATAAATAAACAGAATCTGTATTTCATTTTAACTTTGTTAACTCCAAAAATCACTATTTTCTTCATATTGTCGCCCTATTAATTACTTAACACATGTTCACTTTTCGATGAACTTTGCCAAATGAAAGAATTCTATTGTGACAAGTATTATTATTTGGTCTGTAATGAATTTTGTTTGTTTCCTGATATAAGGAATTTCACCAAATATTAACTACTTGCCCTCTGTAATCTTTTGATTTCCAGTCTACTAGACTTCGATATAAATACAACTATAAAATTAATATGAGTTAAACAAAATGTCTATTAGAAGAATTATAATTATGTTTATTAGAAGAATTATAGATTACTTCCATTATTTTTATCTCTTATCTTACATAATATTTGTGCGTGCTCTTTAAAGTAGAGTTTTCAGCAAAGGAATAAAATGATTGCCTAAAAAAAAAAATTTACCATATTTGTTCTTGTTTTTATTTTTAATTCTCTTCAGAAAAGCTATTTAGAAAGAAAAAATTGAGGGTAGGAGGGTGAAAAAGGAAGAAAGAAAAAGAGATAATTATTTTCCTCAGGTAGCATATGCCTTAGAAGTTATGATCACTTCTTGAAAATAGAATTATTCTCAGAAATGCCAGAAACATTGCTCAAATACATGTACAAAGATTGTCCATTTCAGCCTTGTTTATGATAATAAAAACTTAGATGCAATCTAAAGTGCATTGTGATGATGTCACCTAAGATTCACCAGCTTGTGCATGTGTCTTAATAGCAAAGATTGGAACCAACCCAAATGCCCATCAATGATAGACTGGATAAAGAAAATGTGGCACATATACACCATGGAATACTATGCAGCCATAACAAGGAATGAGTTCATGTCCTTTGCAGGGACATGAATGAGGCTGGAAACCATTATCCTCAGCAAATTAACACAGGAACAGAAAACTAAACACTGCATGTTCTCACTCATAAGTGGGAGCTAAACAATGAGAATACATGGACACAAGGAGGGGAACATCACATGCCAAATTTTAGAAATTCAGGGATTTCCTCCCACAACATATCAAACATATTAAAATGTTTTCATATTAAATATCATTTTGCTTTGTAAAAATCAAAGGGCTTTTTATAATTTTGTTTTTGGAAAATTATCTATAACTAACTATAAATAACTCATTTAATTTATTATTAGTTATACCTTCTTAGCAATCATTATGAATACTTGGGAAATCTTGAGAAGTGAGAAAAGTCTAACATATAAATTGTCTTTAAATGTAATAAGTTATTATGGATTCTAAATTTAGCAATTAATGAAGATGACATGATGTTACATTTTACAGACTTTCCATTAAACTTCCTAATAATTTCAGTTTTACAGTTTTATAATTCTTATTTTAAAGCCAATTAATATTTTTTTAGTTCTCAACATTTTCACAGGCTTAAGTCCTTGGTAATTCCCACATTGTACCTCAGGTACTTAATGAATAGAATGGCCCTACTTGCTATACCAGTGATTCTGTCAGGGGGCAAATGAGGTCAACACTAAGTACAGGATAATTTTTCTATAATTTATAGAGATTTTGTTTTACCTTTTTTCCCTTTGCCCATTTAAAACAAATAGCTAGGCCTTTGGGCATCTTCTCACTAGAGGCATTTGTGTTGCAGCATAGATAGCAGAAACTGCTTAGAGTCAAATATAGTTGCTGGCTTATGTTTTACTGAGTCTTTATTTCCCAGAACAACTTGGGACATCCAGCAAGGAAAGAAAGGAGAAAGCAAGTGGCTTCAAGAGAAGTAAGAGAAAGGGAGAGATTACACAGGATAGGGAAGAGAACAGAGATGATCAGAACCCACAAGATGCAGTAAGACTTCAGAGGTGATCATTGTGATGGCATCATGGGTCCAGGCCAGGGAAATTCCCCTGGGCCCCCCTTGACCTGCAGACAGCAGAATTGCCTACCTCTGAGGCAGTGGGTCTGAACAATTAGAATAGCAGTGGCAACAATGATGGACTGAAGATTACAGGCACTTCTCATTTCTCTAGGTACCAATCACATAAGCTTTCCAGACTCGTGAACACCCAGAAAAAGGAAAGACACCCCCATAGTGACTGAGTTTTAATGTCCTACTGCTAGCAACTCAAAAAATAAAGATAATTTCATATATATAATTTAAGGTGATGTTTCTTGCATACCAAAGTTTGTAGCGTAAGCTCCTCTTAAAGGTATCATTATTTTGTTTCCATCATGATTGTTATTCAGGCCCTGAATGGTTATTCTGGCCATAGCCATGTGGCCTAGTGAGCTAGAAATTACATTCGCTTCGACTTAAATAGCAAAAGTTCAATTGATTTATTAAACAGATATTTATAAAGCATTTATTTTATTTTTTATTTTATTTATTTATTTATTTATTTATTTATTTATTTTGAGATGAAGTCTTGCCCTTGTCCCCCAGGCCAGATTGCGATGGTGCGATCTTGGCTCACTGCAACCTCCACTTCCCGGGTTCAAGCGATTCTCCTGCCTCAGCCTCCTGAGTAGCTGGGATTACAGGCACCTGCCACCATGCCCAGCTAATTTTTGTATTTTTAGTAGAGACGAGGTTTCACCATGTTAGCCAGGCTGGTCTTGAACTCCTGACCTCAGATGATCCACCCGCCTCAGCCTCCCAAAGTGCTGGGATTACAGGCATTAGCCACTGTGCCCGGCCTGATAAAGCATCCACCATGGGCAAAACACTATGTGCTGATGCTGGGGAGAGCTTAATGAGCACAGTGCCAGCCTGCATGGAGTCTGCCAGGAAACACAGACATTTAATAAGAAATTATGGTAACAGGCTGCGTCAAGTGGTGATACAGGAAGTTCAGACGGTTATGAATGGAAAGGAGATCTAGCAGAGGAGTCCCAGAAGGTCCCCCAGATGACATGGCTAAGATCAAAAGAACAAATAGGAATAGTCAGGCAATGAGGAAGAACAAGGACTAGTCCAGAAAAGGGGAAAGAATGCTATTTACCAAGTCTTGAAGAAGTAATCACTGAAGTCCTTGTGGGTCATTTAACTCAATTGTGCATTCGAGATGAGAATTCTCTCATAGTTTACTGATACACTGTAATCTAAACTTTGCTATCTGACTCAAAGGGCCACCACTTCATATTTGAGAATTTAAACTAGAAGGGGTGACAGTAGCTCTTGGATGTAACAACAATGGATGACACATGAGTGACAGCTGACAACCTAACGTGCAGGCTGTTGTGTGAACACAGAATTATATTGACACATAGAATAAAAATTAGTCCCAATAATGATACAGAGGAGTAAAAATACCACTTAGAAAATGTTCTCAAAACTAATTAAAATAGAGAGATGATTCAGATTAAGATGGCAGATAGGAGGCAGGACTAGCATGTAGTTCCTGCTCATATACAGAGCAGTGTGTGGAGACTCACATCCTGAAATTTTGCTCTAAGAACTACGGCAGGAACATACCAGGAAAGCCAAGAGAATCCACAGACCCTTTGTAGGAACTGGATCACCACTGCAGGCTTCCTGAGATGCTGAAAACCTTTGAGTCGGCTTGCTTTCTCAACGAGGAGGCTCATGGTCTGGGGCAAGTTCTCAGCCCTGGTCACTGGCTGCCTGGAAATAGGGTCAGTGCTTTTTGGGGGCACGGTGGGAGTGAGACCACCTTTAGGACTGGGGGCTGTGTGGGAGCAGGGAGAGGCTTATGACTGCTGGCTTTCCCCCACTTCCCTGGTGACCTGCATGACTCAGCAGAGGCAGCCATAATTCTCCTAGGAATATAACTCCACTGGACTGTGAACCACACTGCTATCCCCCACAACAGCCACATCAAGCTTTGCCCAAGGAGAGGCTGAGCTCACACACCCCTATCCCTGCCCCGACCTGGTGGTCTTTCTCTACTCACGCTGGCAGCCGAAGACAAAGGTCATAATGTCTTGGGAACTCTATGGCCCTGCCCACCATCTGAAAAACCTGAATACTTAACGAGGCATCCCTAGGGCAAGTTTGCATCTTCCCTACAGTACCTCAGCTGATGTGCTCTTGAAAGTGCCACCTCCTGGCTGGAGGCCAAACAACACAAAATCAGCACATTAAACAAAAGCACAACCAAGGACCCTCAGAGAGTTTGCTTCACTCCCCTGCTACCTCCACCAGTGCAGGTGCAGGTATCCATGGCTGCAAGACATGAACATAGATCATATCACAGGACATTTTGCAGACACTCCCCAGTACCAGCCAAGAGTCTAGTAGCTCCACTGGGTGGCTAGACCCAGAAGACCAAAAGCAATCACTACAGTTCAGCTCTTGGGAAGCCCCATTCATAGGGGAAGGGAGAGAACATCATATCAAGGAGCACCCTATGGGACAAAAGAATCTGAACTGCAGCCCTTGAATTCTAGATCTTCCCTCTGGCATAGTCTACACAAACGAGAAGGAACCAAAAAAACAATTCTGGTAATATGACAAAACAAAATTTTTAACACCCAAAAAGATCATACCAGCTCACCAGCAATGTATCCAAACTAAGATAAAAATCTCTGAATTACCAGAAAAAGAATTCAGAAGGTCAATTATTAAGCTAATCAGCGAGGCACCAGAGAAAGGTAAAGTTCAACTTAAAGAAATCAAAAACATGATACAGAATATGAAAGGAAATTTCTTCAGTGAAATAGATAGCATAAATAAAAAACAGTCACTACTTCTGGAAATCAAGAACACACTTAGAGAAATACAAAATGCCCTGGAAAGTCTCAGCAATCGAACTGAACAAGCAGAAGAAAGAATTTCAGAGCTTGAAGACAAGGCCTTCAATTAATCCAGTCTGTTAAAGACAAAGAAAAAATAATTTTTAAAAATGAGCAAAGCCTCCAAGAAGTTTGGGACTATGTTACACATCCAAACCTAAGAATAACTGGTGTTCCTGAGAAAGAAAAGAAATCTAAAAGTCAGGAAAATATATTTCAGGGAATAATCAAGGAAAACTTCTGTGGCCTTGCTAGACATCTAGACATCCAAATACAAGAAGCTCAAAGAACACCTGGGAAATTCATCGCAAAAAGATCATCACCTAGACACATAGCCATCAGGCTATCTAAAATCAAGACAAAGGAAAAAATCTTAAGAGCTGTCAGGCAAAAGCATCAGGTAACCTATAAAGGAAAACCTATCAGATTAACAGCAGATTTCTCAGCAGAAACCCTACAAGCTAGAAGAAATTGAGGTCCTATTTTTAGCCTCCTTAAATGAAACAATTATCAGCCAAGAATTTTGTATCCAGTGAAACTAAGCTTCATAAATGAAGGAAAAACATGGTCTTTTTCAGACAAACAAATGCCAAGATAATTTGCCACTACAAAGCCAGCACTACAAGAACGGTTAAAAGGAGCTCTAAATCTTGAAACAAATCCTTGAATTACACCTAAATAAAACCTCCTTAAAGCATAAATCTCACAGGACCCACATGTTCATAACAAGAACATAATGGAAAAGAAAAACAAGGTATTCAGGCAACAAATAGCATGATGAATAGAATAGTACCTCACATCTCAATAATAACATTGAATTTAAATGGCCTAAATGCTCCACTTACAAGACAAGGAATGGCAGAATGGATAAGAATTCACCAACCAAGTTTCTGCTGTCTTCAGGAGACTCACCTAACACATAAGGACTCACATAAACTCAAAAGAGTGAAAAATATATTCCATGCAAATGGACACCAAAAGTGAACAAAAGTAGCTATTCTTATATCAGACAAAACAAACTTTAAAGCAACAGTAGGGAGAGGTGGTTCCAAGATGTCCGAATAGGAACAGCTCCAGTCTGGAGCTCCGAGCATGACTGGCACAGAAGATGTGTGATTTCTGTATTTCCAACTGAGGTATCTGGTTCATCTCACTGGGACTGGCTGGACAGTGGGTGCAGCCCACAGAGGGTGAGCCAAAGCAGGGCGGGGCATCACCCCACCCAGGAAGCACAAGGGGTCAGGGGATTTCCCTTTCCCAGCCAAGGGAAGCCATGGCAGACTATACCAGGAAAATCAGGACACTTCCACCTAAATACTGCACTTTTTCAATGGTCTTAGCAAATGGCACACTAGGAGATTATATCCCACGATTGGCTCAGTGGGTCCCACACACATGGAGCCTTGCTCACTGCTAGCGCAGCAGTCTCAGATCGAACTGCGAGGCAGCAAGCCTGGCTGGGGGAGGGGCATCCACCATTGCTGAGGCTACAGTAGGTAAACAAAGCAGCCAGGAAGCTCGAACTGGGTGGAGACCACCATAGCTCAAGGAGGCCCGCCTGCCTTTGTAGACTCCACCTTTGGGGGTAGGGCATAACTGAATAAAAGGCAGCAGAAACTTCTGCAGACTTAAACATCCCTATCTGACGGCTCTGAAGACAGCAGTGGTTCTCCCAGCACAATGTTTGAGCTCTGAGAACAGACAGACTGCCTCCTCAAGTGGGTCCCTGACCCCCGTGTAGCCAAACTTGGAGACACCTCCCAGTAGGGGCTGACTGACACCTCACACAGCCAGGTGCCCCTCTGAGACGAAGCTGCCAGAGGAAGGATCAGGCACAATATTTGCTGTTCTGCAATATTTGCTATTCTACAGCCTCCGCTGGAGATACCCAGGAAAACAGAGTCTGGAGTGGACCTCCAGCAAACTCCAAGATACCTGCAGCTGAGGGACCTGACTGTTAGAAGGAAAACTAACAAACAGAAAGGAACGGCATAAACATCAACAAAAAGGACATCCACACCAAAACTCCATCTGTACGTCACCATCATCAAACACCAAACGTAGATAAAACCACAAAGATGGAGAGAAACCAGAGCAGAAAAGCTGAAAATTCTAAAAACCCAGCACCCCTTCTCCTCCAAAGGATTGCAGCTCCTCGCCAGCAGTGAAACAAAGCTGGACGGAGAATGATTTTGACGAGTTGACAGAAGTAGGCTTCAGAAAGTCGGTAATAACAAACTTCTCTGAGCTAAAGGAGGATGTTCGAACCCATCACAAGGAAGCTAACAACCTTGAAAAAAGATTAGATGAATGGCTAATTAGAACAAGCAGTGTAGAGAAGACCTTAAATGACCTGATGGATCTGAAAACCATGGCATGAGAACTACGCGATGCATGTACAACCTTCAGTAGCCAATTTGATCAAGTGGAAGAAAGGGTATCATTGATTGAAGATCAAATTAATGAAATGAAGTGAGAAGAGAAATTCAGAGAAAAATGAGTAAAAAGAAACGAAGAAAGCCTCCAAGAAATATGGGACTATGGGAAAAAAACAAATCTATGCTTGATTGGTGTACTGGAAAGTGACGCGGAGAATGGAACCAAGCTGGAAAACACTCTGCAGGATATTATCCAGGAGAACTTACCCATCATAGCAAGGCAGGCCAACATTCAAATTGAGGAAATACAGAGAATACCACACAGATACTCCTCCAGAAGAGCAACCACAAGATACATAACTGCCAGATTCACCAAGGTTGAAATGAAGGACAAAATGTTAAGGGCAGCCAGAGAGAAAGGGCAGGTTACCCACAAAAGAAAGTGCATGAGACTAACAGCAGATATCTCAGCAGAAACTCTACAAGCCACAAGAGAGTGGGGGCCGATATTCAACATTCTTAAAGAAAAGAATTTTCAACCCAGAATTTCGTATCCTGCCAAACTAAGTTTCAAAAGTGAAGGAGAAATAAAATCCTTTACAGACAAGCAAATGCTGAGAGATTTTGTCACCACCAGGCCTGCCCTAAAAGAGTTCCTGAAGGAAGCACTAAACACGGAAAGGAAAAACTAGTACCAGCCACTCCAAAAACATGCCAAATTCTAAAGACCATCGATGCTAGAGAGAAATTGCATCAACTAATGAGCAAAATAACCAGCTAACATCATAATGGCAGTATCAAATTCACACATAACAATACTAACCTTAAATGTAAATGGGCTAAATGCTCCAGTTAAAAGACACAGACTGGCAAATTGGATAAAGAGTCAAGACCCACCAGTGTGCCGTATTCAGGAGACCCATCTCACGTGCAGAGACACACATAGGCTCAAAATAAAGGGATGGAGGAAGATCTACCAAGCAAATGGAAAGCAAAAAAAGCATGGGTTGCAATCCTAGTCTCTGATAAAACAGATTTTGAACCAACAAAGATCAAAAGAGACAAAGAAGGTCATTACATAATGGTAAAGGGATCAATTCAACAAGAAGAGCTAATTACCCTAAATATACATGCACCCAATACAGGAGCACCCAGATTCATAAAGCAAGTCCTTAGAGACCTACAAAGAGAATTAGACTCCCACACAATAAAAATGGGAGACTTTAACAACCCACTGTCAATATTAGACAGATCAATGAGAGAGAAGGTTAACAGGGATATCCAGGACCTGAACTCAGCTCTGCAACAAGCAGACCTAATAGACATCTACAGAACTCTCCACCCCAAATCAACAGAATATACATTCTTCTTAGCACCACATCACACTTATTCCAAAACTGACCACATAGCTGGAAGTAAAGGACTCCTCAGCAAATGTAAAATAACAGAAATCACAACAAACTGTCTCTCAGACCACAGTGCAATCAAATTAGAACTCAGGATTAAGAAACTCACTCAAAACTGCACAATTACATGGAAACTGAGAAAAATGTTCCTGAATGACTGCTGGGTAAATAACGAAATAAACATTTTCTTTGAAACCATGAGAACAAAGACACAACGTACCATAATCTCTGGGACACATTTAAAGCATTGTGTAGAGGGAAATTCATAGCACTAAATGCTATGAGAAATGCAAGAGAAAACAGGAAAGATCTAAAATCAACACCCTAACATCACAATTAAAAGAACTAGAGAAGCAAGAGCAAACACGTTCAAAAACTAGCAGAAGGCAAGAAATAACTAAGATCAGAGCAGAACTGAAGGAGATAGAGACACAAAAAACCCTTCAAAAAATCAATGAATCTAGGATCTGGTTTTTTGAAAAGAACCAAAATTAAAAAGAACCAAAAGAACAAAATTGATAGACTGCTAGCAAGACTAACAAAGAAGAAAAAGAGAAGAATCAAATCGATGTAATAAAAAATAATGAAGGGGTTCTCACAACCAATCGCACAGAAATACAAACTACCATCAGAGAATACTATAAACACCTCTATGAAAATAAACTAGAAAATCTAGAAGAAATGGATAAATTCCTGGACACATATACCCTCCCAAGACTAAACCAGGAAGAAGTTGAATCCCTGAATAGACCAATAACAGGCTCTGAAATTGAGGCAATAATTTATAGCCTACCAACCAAAAAAAGTCCAGGACCAGACAGATTCACAGCCAAATTCTACCACAGGTACAAACAGGAGCTGGTCCCATTCCTTCTGAAATTATTCCAATCAATAGAAAAAGAGGGAATCCTCCCTAACTCATTTTATGGGGCCAGCATCATCCTGATACCAAAGCTTAGCAAAGACATAACAAAAAAAGAGAATTTTAGACCAATATCCCTGTTGAACATTGATGTGAAAAATCCTCCATAAAATACTGGCAAACTGAATCCAGCAGCACATCAAAAAGTTTATGCACCAAGATCAAGTGGGCTTCATCCCTGGGATGCAAGTCTGTTTCAACATATGCAAATCAATAAACGTAATCCATCACATGAACAGAACCAAAGACCAAAACCACATGATTATCTCAATAGATGCAGAAAAGGCCTTCAACAAAATTCAACAGCCCTTCATGCTAAAAACTCTCAATAAACTAGGTATTGATGGAATATACCTCAAAATAATAAGAGCAAACCCACAGCCACTATCATACTGAATGGGCAAAAACTGGAAGCATTCCCTTTGAAAACTGGCACAAGACACAGGGATGCCCTCTCTCATCACTCCTATTCAACTAGTGTTGAAAGTTCTGGCCAGGGCAATCAGGCAGGAGAAAGAAATAAAGGGTAGAAGTCAAATTGTCCCTCTCTGCAGATGACATGATTGTATATTTAGAAAACCCCATTGTCTCAGCCCAAAATCTCCTTAAGCTGATAAGCAACTTCAGCAAAGTCTCAGGATACAAAATCAATGTGCAAAAATCACAAGCATTCTTATACACAAATAACAGACAAACAGAGAGCCAAATCATGAGTGAACTCCCATTCACAATCGCTACAAAGAGAATAAAATACCTAGGAATCCAACTTCCAAGGGATGTGAAGGACCTCTTCAAGGAGAACTAAAAACCACTGCTCAACGAAATAAAAGAGGACACAAACAAATGGAAGAACATTCCATGCTCATGGATAGGAAGAATCAATATCGTGAAAATGGCCATACTGCCCAAGGTAATTTATAGATTCAATGCCATCCCCATCAAGCTACCAATGACTTTCTTCACAGAATTGGAAAAAACTACTTTAAAGTTCATATGGAACCAAAAAAGAGACTGCATTGCCAAGACAATCCTAAGCAAAAAGGACAAAGCTAGAGGCATCGCGCTACCTGACTTCAAACTATACTACAAGGCTACAGTAATCAAAACAGCATGGTACTGGTACCAAATCAGAGATATAAACCAATGGAACAGAACAGAGGCCTCAGAAATAACACCACACATCTACTACCATCTGATCTTTGACAAACCTGACAAAAACAAGCAATGGGGAAAGGATTCCGTATTTAATAAATGGTGCTGGGAAAACTGGCTAGCCATTTATAGAAAACTGAAACTGGATACCTTCCTTACACCTTATACAAAAGACAATTCAAGATGGATTAAAGACTTAAATGTTAGACCTAAAACCATGAAAACCCTAGAAGAAAACCTAGGCAATACCATTCAGGACATAGGCATGGGCAAGGACTTCATGACTAAAACACCAAAAGCAATGGCAACAAAAGCCAAAATTGACAAATGGGTTGTAATTAAACTAAAGAGCTTCTGCACAGCAAAAGAAACTACCATCAGAGTGGACAGGCAACCTGCAGAATGGGAGAAAATTTTTAAAATCTACTCATCTGACAGAGGGCTAATATCCAAAATCTACAATGAACTTCAACAAATTTACAAGAAAAAAAATCAATCAACCCCATCAAAAAGTGGGCAAATGATGTGAACAGACACTTCTCAAAAGAAGACATCTATGCAGCCAAAAGACACAGGAAAAAATGCTTATCATCACTGGTCATCAGAGAAATGCAAATCAAAACTATAATGAGATACCATCTCACACCAGTTAGAATGGCAATCATTAAAAAGTGAGGAAGCAACAGATACTGGAGAGGATGTGGAGAAAAGGAATGCTTTTACACTGTTGGTGGGAGTGTAAGCTAGTTCCACCATTGTGGAAGACAGTGTGGTGTTTCCTCAAGGATCTAGAACTAGAAATACCATTTGACCCAGCAATCCCATTACTGGGTATATACCCAAAGGATTATAAATCATGCTGCTATAAAGACACATGCACACATATGTTTATAGTGGCACTATTCACAATAGCAAAGACTTGGAACCAACCCAAATGTCCATCAATTATAGACTGGATTAAAATGTGGCACATATACACCATGGAATACTATGCAGCCATAAGAAAGGATGGGTTCATGTCCTTTGTAGGGACATGGACGAAGCTGGCAACCATCATTCTAAGCAAACTATCGCCAGGCCAGAAAACCAAACACTGCATGTTCTCACTCATAGGTGGGAATTGAACAATAAGAACACTTGGACACAGGGCAGGGAACAGCAAACACCGGGGCCTGTCATGGGGTGGTGGGATCAGGGAGGGAGAGCATTAGGAGAAATACCTAACGTAAATGATGAGTTAATGGGTGCAGCAAACCAACACAGCACATGTATACATATGTAACAAACCTGCATGTTGTGCACATGTACCCTAGAACCTAAAAGTACAATTTAAAAAAAAGCAACAGCAGTTAAAAAAAAAAAGAGGGACACTATATAATGATAAAAAGCCTGTCCAACAGGAAAATATCACAATTCTAAATATATACCCACCTAACACTGGAGCTCCCAAATTTATAAAAAAAATTACTACTAGACCTAAGAGATGAGATAGATGGCAACACAATAATAGTGGGTACTTTAATACTCCACTGATAGCATTAGACAGGTCATCAGGACAGAAAGTCAGCAAAGAAACAATGGACTTAAACTATACCCTACAACAAATGGACTAAACAGATATTGATGAAACATTCTACCCAACAACTGCAGCATATACATTCTATTCATCAGCACATGGAACATTCTCCAAGATAGACCATATGATAGGCCACAAAATGAGCCTCAAAAAATTTTAAAAAATCAAAATTATATCAAGTACTCTCTCCAACGACAGTGGAATAAAATTGGAAATCAACTCCAAAGGGAATCTTCAAAACTATACAAATACATGGAAATTAAATAACCTGCTCCTGAGTGACTGTTGGGTAAATGATGAAATCAAGATGGAGATTTAAAAGCTTTTTGAACTGAGTAATAATAGTGGTACAACCTATTAAACCCATTGGGATACAGCAAAAGCAGTGTTAAGAGGAAAGTTCATAGCATTAATTAAATGCCTACATTAAAAAGTCTGAAAGTGCACAAATAGGCAATCTAAGGTCACACCTCATGGAACTGGAGAAACAAGAACAATCTAAACCCAAACCTAGCCGAAGAAAAAAATAACAAAGATCACAGTAGAAGTAAATTAAATTAAAACAAAATAATACAAAAGATAAATGAAACAAAAAGCTGGTTCTTTGAAAAGATAAATAAAATTGATAGAGCACTAGCAAGATTAATGAAGAAAAGAAGAGAGAGGATCCAAATAAGCTCAAATAAAAACAAATTGGGAAATATTACAACTAATACCACAAATACAGAAGGTTATTCAAGGCTACTATGAACACCTTTACATACATACTAGAAAACCTAGAGAAGATAGATAAATTTGTGAAAATATACAACCCTTCTAGATTAAGCCAGAAGATATAGAATCTCTGAGCAGACCAATAACAAATAGCGGGATTGAAATGATAATTAAAAAAATACCAACAACAAAAAAAAGTCCAGGACCAGACAGATTCACAGTTGAATTCTAACAGACAGTCAAAGACATCGTATCAATCCTATTGATGCTATTCCAAAAGATAGGGAAAGAAGGACTCCTCCCTAAATCATTTTATGAAGACAGTATCACCCTAATACCAAAACTAGGGAAGGACATAACACGCAAAAGAAAACTACAGACCATTATCCCTGATAAGCATAGAATGCAAAAATCCTTAGCAAAATACTAGCTAACTGAATCCAACAGCATATCAAAAAGACGATCCACCATGATCAAGTGGGTTTCATACCAGGGATGCAGGGATTGTTTAACACTCATAAGTCAATAAATGTGATATGCCACATAAACAGAATTAAAAACAAAAATCACATGATCATCTCAACAGACACAGAAAAAGCATTTGACAAAATCCACCATCCTTTATGATTAAAACCCTCAGTAAAATTGGCATAGAAGGGACATAACTTGAGGTAATAAAAGCCATCTATGACAAACCACAGCCAACACTATACTGAACAGAGAAAAGTTGAAAGCATTCCCCCTAAAAACTGGAACAAAACGAGCATGCCCACTTTTACCACTTCTATTCAACATAGTACTGTAAGTCCCAGCCAAAGCACTCAGACATGAGAAAAAAATTAAGGGCACCCAAATCGGTAAATAGGAAGTCAAACCATCATTGTCTGCTGATTATATAATTGTATGCCTAGAAAACCCTAAAGACACAAGCAAATAGCTCCTAGAGCTGGTGAATAAATTCAGCAAAGTTTCAGGATACAAAGTTAATGTACACAAATCAGTAGCTCTGCTATACACCAACAGCAACCATGCTGAGAATCAAATAAAGAACTCAACCCCTTTCACGATATGTGCAAAAATAAAATAAAATAAAATACTTAGGAATATACCTAACCAAGGACAAGAAAGACCTCTACAAGGAAAACTACAAAATGCTACTGAAAGAAATCATAGATGACACAAACAAATGAAACACATCCATGCTCACGGCTGAGTAGAATCAATATTGTGAAAATGACCATACAGCCAAAAGCAATCTACAAATTCAATGCAATACCCACAAAAATACCTCATCATTCTTCACAGAACTAGAAAAAACAATCCTAAAGTTCATATGGAACCAAAAAAGGGCCCATATAGCCAAAGCAATACTAACCAAAAAGAACAAATCTGGAGGCATCACAGTACCCAACTTCAAACTATACTATAAGGCCATAGTCACCAACAGCATGGTACTGGTATGAAAACAGGTATACATAGACTAATGGAACAGATAGGAAACCCAGAAATAAAGCAAAATACTTACACCCAACTGATTTTTGACAAAGCAAACAAAAACATAAAGTAAAGAAAGGACACCCTATTCAACAAATGGAGCTGAGATAATTGGCAAGCCACATGTAGAAGAATGAAACTGGATCCTGACCTCTCATCTTATACAAAAATCAACTCAAAATGGATCAAAGACTTAAATCTAAGTCTGAAACCATAAAGATTCTAGAAGAGAACATCAGAAAAACACTTCTAGACATTGGCTTAGGCAAAGATTTCATGACCAAGAACCCAAAGCAAATGCAACAAAAACAAAGATAAATATATGGAACTTAATTCAACTGAAAACTTTCTGCACAGCAAAAGAAATAATCAGTAGAGTTAACAGATAACCCACACAGTGGGAGGAAATCTTCACAATCTACACATCCAACAAAGGACTAATACCCAGAATCTACAAAGAACTCAAAAAAACCAGCAAGAAAAAAAAAATCCCATCAAAAAGTGGGCTAAGGATATGAATAGATGATTCTCAAACGAAGATATACAAATGGACAACAAGCATATGAAAAAATGCTCAACATCACTAATTATCAGGAAAATGAAAATCAAAACCACTATGCGATACCACTTCACTCCTGCAAAAAAAGGCTATAATAAAAAAATAGTAGGTGTTGGCATGGATGCAGTGAAAAGGAAACACATTTACACTGTTGGTTGGAATGTAAAACTAGTACAACCACTATGGAAAACAGTGTGGAGATTCCTTAAAGAACTAAAAGTACCACATAAACATACATGTGCATGTGTCTTTATAGTAGAATGATTTATAATCCTTTGGGTATATACCCAGTAATGGGATTGCTCGGTCAAATGGTATTTCTAGTTCTAGATCTTTAAGGAATCGCCACACTGTCTTCCACAATGATTGAACTAATTTACGCTCCTACCAACCGTGTAAAAGCATTCCTATTTCTCCACATCCTCTCCAGCATCTGTTATTTCCTGACTTTTTAATGATCGCCATTCTAACTGGCGTTAACTATTCACAATAGCAACAACTTGGAACCAACCAAAATGTCCATCAATAACAGACTGAATAAAGAAAATGTGGCACATATACACCATAGAATACTATGCAATAAAAAAGGATGAGTTCATGTCCTTTGCAGGGACATGGATGAAGCTGGAAACCATCATTCTCAGCAAACTGTCACAAGAACAGAAAACCAAACACCGTATGTTCTCATTCATAAGTGGGAGATGAACAATGAAAACACATGGACATAGGGAGGGAAACATCACACACTGGGGCCTGTTGGGGGGTGGGCAGCTAGGAGAGGGATAACATCAGGAGAAATACCTAATGTAGGTGATGGGTTGATGGGTACAGCAAACCACCATGACATGTGTATACCTATATAACAAAACTGCACCTTCTGCACATGTACCACAGAACTTAAAGTATAATAATAATAAAAAATCCTACAATAAAAAAACAGAACTGAAAGTAGATCTACCATTTGATCCAGCAATCCCACTACGAGGTATCTACCCAGAGGATAAGAAGTCATCATATGAAAAGATATTTGCATATGCATGTTTATAACAGCACAATTTGCAATTGCAAAAATATGGTACCACCCAAATGCCCATCAATCAACGAGCTGATAAAGAAAATGGAGTATATATATTAAGAGTACTACTCAGCCATAAAAAGGAATAAAATAATGGCATTTGCAGCAACCTGGATAGAATTGGAGACTACTAATCTAAGTGAAGTTACTCAGGAATGGAAAATCAAACATCGTGTGTTCTCACTCATATGTGAAACTAAGCTATGAGGACTCAGGCATAAAGATGAAACAATGGACTTTGGTGACTCGGGTGAATGGTTGGGGGTGGAGAGGGATAAAAGACTACACACTGGGCATAGTGTATATTGCTCGGGTGATGGGTGCACAGAAATCTCAGAAATCACCACTAAAGAACTTATTCATGTAACCAAACATCACCTGTTCCCTCAAAAACCTATTGGAATAGAAAAAGAAAAAAGTAATTAAAATATAAATGTTTCAGTGCCAAATCTGCCTAGAAAATTCATGCATTTAAAACACTTCATGCCAAATACTGTAATGCCAGATGTAGTCATTTTTAGCCATGGAAAAATGAGGGAAAGGGAGAAAGGGAAGTTTGGGACAATGACTTTCATCAAATTAGATGAACTTACAAAAGACAATGAATCCATGATCCTCAGCCTCATCTCACATTCAAATGTCCACTCACATTTACATTCAGGATACCCAAAGGAGATAGGGCACTGAAGGCCTTCCCTTTTAATTTAGTCCATGGCTTGTTGGTCTGAATGTAACCCATATGGTTCCAGTCTGACTTTTCTAATGAGTTTATCCTGAAAAAAGAAAATCATTTTGATCCACGTTTAGTAAACTTTACCCTTTAATCAGTGTGGCTGGTTTTATTACATAGTTTTAATTTTGCTGATCTGTCACTCCTGTTACTATCACACTGTTAAAAAAAATTTTAAGGATATATAAATTACTAGCTTTACTTACTATGAGCTAATTTTATGCTTTTCCACTTAGCTAATTCTTGCTTTAAAGTTTAATTTTATGAGTTTATCTTACATATTTTTGCCACTTACCTCTTCTTATTGAAAGTTGACCTTCTGGCTTTCCAAAAGGAATATGATCATAAACTGGTGCTCACTGCCAAAAGTAAGCAGCATTATGAAATTGTACTCTGTCTAGCCTGCTGGCTTTAGAGTCCGGGAGGTCTGAATGAGGCAGGTTTCCCCCAGCATGGTGCAACTGCTCTGTCAAGGGGCAGTCAGGCTGCTTCTTTAAGTGGGTCCCCGATCCCATTCCTCCTGACTGTGTAAGACCTCCCAAAAGGGGTCTCAAGACACCTCCTACATGAGCATGCGGGAAGCATCAGGTCTGTGCCCCACTGGGACAGAGTTCCCAGAGGAATGAGCAGGTTGCTATCTTTGTTGTTTCACAGGCTTCACTGCTGATACCTCCAGGTACGGGAGGGACCAAGGCAAATGAGGTCTGGAGTGGACCCCCAGCAAACTGCAGAAGCCCTATAGAATGGTGGCCTGACTGCCAAAAGAAAAACAAACAGAAAGCAACAACAACAACATCAACAAAAAAGGCCCCACAAAAACCCCATTCAATGGTCAGAAACCTCAAAGATTGAAGATCATTAAAGCCCACAAAGATGAGAAAAAAATCAATGCAAAAATGCTAAAAACTCAAAAAACCAAAGTGCTACTTCTCCAAATGACTACAACACCTCTCCAGCAAGGGCACAGAACTGGGCTGAGGCTGAGATGGCTAAAATGGCAGAAGTAGGCTTCAGAAGGTGGGTAATGATGAACTTCACTGAGCTAAGAGAGCATTTCCTAACCCAATGCAAAGAAGCTAAGAATCACAATAAAATAATACAGGAGCTGACAACCAGAATATCCAGTTCAGAGAGGAGCATAACTGACCTGATGGAGCTAAAAAACACAACACGAGAGGTTCACAATGCAATCACAAGTATCAACAGCAGAACAGACCAAATGGAGGAAAAAATCTCAGAGTTTGAAGACTATCTTTCTGAAATAAGACAGGCAGACAAGAATAGAGAAAATTGAATAAAAAGAAACAAACAAAATTTCCAAGACATATGGGATTATGTAAAAAGACCAAATTTACGATTGATTGGAGCACCTGAAAGAGATGGGGAGAATGGAACCAAGTTGGAGAACATGCTTCAGGATATCATCCAGGAGCACTTCCTCAACCTAGCAAGACAGGCCAACATTCAAATTCAGGAAATCCAGAGAACTCCAGTAATATACTCCACGAGAAGATCAACCCCAAGACACATAATCGTCAGATTCTCCAAGGTCAGAATGCAAGAAAAAATGTTAAGGGCAGCCAGAGAGAAAGGCTGGATCACCCACAAAGAGAAGGCCATCAGACTAACAGTGAACCTATAAGCAGAAACCCTACAAGCCAGAAGAGATTGGGAGCCAATATTCAACATTCTTAAAAAAAAAAAATTGCAACCCAGAATTTCACATCCGGCCAAACCAAGTTTCATAAGTGAAAGAGAAATAAGTTCCTTTACAGACAAGCAAATGCTGAGGGAATTCATCACCACCAGGCCTGCCTTGTAAGAGCTCCTGAAGGAAGCACTAAATATAAAAAGGAAAAACTGGTACCAGCCACTAGAAAAGCACACTGAAGTGCACAGACCAGTGACACTATGAAGCAACCACATAAACAAGTCTGCAAAATAACCAGCTAATATCATCATGACAGGATCGTATCCACACATAATAATACCAACCTTAAACATAAATAGGCTAAATGCCACAATTAAAAGACACAGAATGGCAAGATGGATAAAGAGTCAAGACCCGGCCAGGCATGGTGGCTCATGCCTATATTCCCAGCACTTTGGGAGGCCGAGGTGGGCGAATCACGAGGTCAGGAGATCAAGACCATCCTGGCTAACACGGTGAAACCCCGTCTCTACTAAAAAACATACAAAAACAAAATTAGCCGGGCATGCTGGCAGGCGCCTGTAGTCCCAGCTACTCAGGAGGCTGAGGCTGGAGAATGGCGTGAACCCAGGAGGTGGAGCTTGCAGTGAGCCAAGATCGCACCACTGCACTCCAGCCTGGGTGACAGAGCAAGACTCCATCTCAAAAAAAAAAAAAAAGAGTCAAGATCCATCAGTGTGCTGTCTTCAGGCAACCCATCTCATGTGCAAAGACACACATACACTCAAAATAAAGGGATGGAGGAAAATTTACCAAGAAAATGGAAAACAGAAAAAAACTGGGGTCACAACCCTAGTTTCTGACAAAACAGACTTTAAACCAACAAAGATCAAAAAAGACAAAGAAGGGCATTACATAATGGTAAAGTGTTCAATTCAATAAAAAGAGCTAACTATTCTAAATATATATGCACGCAATACAGGAGCACCTAGATTCATAAAGCAAGTTGTTAGAGACCTACAAAGAGACTTAGACTCCCACACAATAATATTGGGAGACTTTAACACCCCACTGATGATATTAGACAGATTATTGAAACAGAAAATTAACAAAGATATTCAGGACCTGAACTCTGCTCTGTATCAAGCAGACCTGATAGATATCTACAAAAATCTCCACCCAAAACAAAAACAACAGAATAACCATTCTTCTCATTGCCACATGGCACTTACTCTAAAATTGATCATGTAATTGGAAGTAAAACACTCCTCAGCAAATGCAAAAGAACTGAAATCACAACAGTCTCTCACAAGACTGTGCAATCAAATTAGAACTCAAAAAGTCTATACTAAAAATACAAAAGAAAAAAATTAGCTGGGCATGGTGGTGCATGCCTGTATTCCCAGCTACTCAGGGGCTGAGGCATGAGAATCACTTGAACCCAGGACGCAGAAGTTGTAGTGAGCCGAAATTGCGCCACTGAACCCCAGCCTGGGTGACAGAGTGAGACTCTGTCTCAAAAGAAAAAAAAGAAAAAAGGAAAGAAAGAAACTCACTCAAAACCATTCAACTGCATGGAATTTGAACAACCTGCTACTGAATGACTCCTAGGTAAATAATGAAATTAAGGCAGAAATCAAGAAGTTCTTTGAAACTAATGAAAACAGAGAGACAACATACCAGAACCTCTGGGATACAGCTAAAGCACTGTCAAGAGGGAAATTTATTGCACTAAATACCCACATGAAAAAGGAAGAAATATCTCAAATCAGCAACCTAAGATCGCAACTAAAAGAACTAGAAAACCAAGAGCAAACAAACCCCAAAGCTAGCAAAAACAAGAAATGACCAAGATCAGAGCTGAACTAGAAAACCAGGAGCAAATGAACCCCAAAGCTAGCAGAAGACAAGAAATAACCAAGATCAGAGCTGAACTGAAGGAGATAGAGAGAAGAATCAAATAGACACAATCAGAAAAGATAAGGGAAATATCACTGACCCCACAGAAATACAACCAACTACTAAAGAATACTATGAACACCTCTATGCACATAAACTAGAAAACCTAGAAGAAATAGATAAATTCCTGGACACATACACTATCCCAAGACTGAGTCAGGAAGAAATTGAATCCCTGAATAGGCAAATAATGAGTTCTGAAATTCAGTCAGTAATAAACAGCCTATCAACCAAACAAAAAAACCCAGGACCAGACAGATTTACAGCTAAATTCTACCAGAGGTACAAAGAAAAGCTGGTACCATTTCTACTGAAACAATTCCAAACAATTGAAAACGAGGTACTCCTCCGCAACTAATTTTATGAGGCCAGAATCATCCTGATATCAAAACCTGACAGAGATACATCAAAAAATAGAAAACTTCAGGCCAATATCTCTGATAAACATCAACGCAAAAATCCTCAATAAAATACTGGCAAATTGAATCCAGCAAGCACATCGAAAAGCTTATTCACCATGATAAAGCTGCCTTCATCCCCAGGATGCAAGGTTGATTCAGCATACACAAATCAATAAATGTAATTCATCACATAAACAAAACTAAAGACAAAAACATCATGATTATCTCAATAGATGCAGAAAAGGCCTTTGATAAAATTCAACAACCCTTCATGTTAAAAACTCTCAATATACTAGGTATTGAAGGAATATACATCAAAATAATAAGAGCCATTTATGACAAACCCACAGCTAATATCATATTGAACGGGCAGAAGCTGGAGCATTCACCTTGAAAACCAGCACAACACAAGGATGCCCTCTCTCACCACTCCTACTCAACATAGTATTGAAAGCTCTGGCCAGGGCAATCAGGCAAGAGAAAGAAATAAAGGTATTCAAATAGGAAGAGAGGAAGTGAAATTAACTTTTTTTGCAGATAACATGATCCTATATCTGGAAAACTGCAGCATCTCAGCCCAAAAGCTTCTTAAGATGATAAGCAACTTCAGTGAAGTTTCAGGACACAAATCAATGTGCAACAGTTGCTACCATCCCTCTACACCAAAAACAGGCAAGCAGAGAGCCAAATCATGAATGAACTCCCATTCAGGCTACAAAGAGAATAAAATACCTAGGAATACAGTGAACAAGGGAAGTGAAGGAACTCCTCAAGGAGAACTACAAACCACTGCTCAAGGAAATCAGAGAGGACACAAACAAATGGAAAAACATTCCATGCTCATGGATATCATTAAAATGGCCATAATCCCAAAGGTAATTTATAGATTCAATGCTATTCCTATTAAACTACCATTGATATTCTTCACAGAATTAGAATAAACAATTTTAAAATTCATATAGAACCAAAATAGAGCCCAAATAGCCAAGACAATCCTAAGCAAAAAGAACAAAGCTGGAGTCATCATGCTACTCTTCTTCAAACAATACTACAAGGCTACAGTAACCAAAACAGCAAGGTACTGGTACAAAAATGGACACATAGACCAAGGGAACAGAATAGAGGACTCAGGAACAAGACTACACACCTACAACTATCTGATCTTTGACAACTGACAAAAACAAGCAACTGGGAAAGGATTCCTTATTTAATAAATGGTTCTGGGAAAACTGGCTAGCCATATGGAGAAAATCAAAACTGGATCCCCATTCTTATACCTTATACAAAAAAGTTAACTCAAGATGGACTGAAGACTTAAATGTAAAACCCAAGACTGTAAAAACCCTAGAAGAAAATCTAGGCAATACCATTCAGAACACAGGCACAGGCAAAGATTTCATGATGAAAATGCCAAAAGTAATTGCAACAAAAGCAAAAATTGACAAATGGGATCTAATTAAACTAAAGAGCTTCTGCACACCAAAAGAAACTATCATCAGAGTAAACAACCTACAAAATGGGAGAAAAATTTTGCAATTAATTCATCTGACAAAGGTCTAATATCCAGTATCTACAAGGAACTTAAACAAATTTACAAGATAAAAACAAACAACCCCATTAAAACATGGGCAAAGGACATGAACAGACATTTCTCAAAAGAAGACATTCATGCAGCCAACAAATATATTTTAAAAAGCTCAACATAGCTGATCATTAGAGAAATGCAATTCATAACCACGATGAGATACCATCTAACACCAGTCAGAATGGCTATTGTTAAAAAGTCATAAAGCCACAGATGCTGATGAGGTTGTGGAGAAATAGAAGTACTTTTACACTGGTGGTGGGAGTGTAAATTAGTTCAACCATTGTGGAAGACAATGTGGCTATTCCTCAAAGATCTAGAAGCAGAAATACCATTTGACCCAGCAATTCCATTACTGTGTATATCCCCAAAGGAATATAAATTAGTCTTTCATAAAGATACTGGCATGCATATGCTCATTGCAGTACTACTCACAACAGCAAAGACATGGAATTAACCTAAATGCCCAATAATGATAGACTGGATAAAGGAAATGTAGCACATATACACCATGGAATACTATGCAGCCAAAAAAAGAAATGAGATCATGTCCTTTGCAGGACATGAGTGATGCTAGGAGCCATTATCCTCAGCAAATTAATTCAGGAAAAGAAAACCAAACACCAAATGTTCTCACTTATAAGTGGGAGCTGAATGATTCAAACACATGGACACATGAGGTGGGAGCAACACACACTGGGGCCTCTCAGGTGGGGACTGGGGGAAGGGGGAGCATAAGGAAGAATAGTTAAGGGTTTAATACCTGGGTGATGGGTTGATCTGTGCAGCAAACCACCAAGGCACATGTTTACCTATGTAACAAACCTGCACACCTTGCACATGTACCCTGGAACTTAAAATATAAGTTGAAGAAAAAAAAAGAAATTGTACTCTGAAGTCCTGGCTTTATACATTTTAAATCTTGAACCCTACTTATTAAAATATATGTAATGCAGTAGGACCTTACCCTCTGACATTTGGTGATGTCAAAATCCCAGAGTCCTAATTAGTACAGAAAGAGAAGACAAGAAAGAATGAGAGACAGAGAAATAAGGGACATCCTTCATTTCAAATGCTTCTGTAGCTATCACTGTGTGTGACTTTACCAAAAAAAGACTCATGCACATTGAATTACATATGCAGGAAGTTTGTTCCTTAGACTAGAGACTGTAGTCTATTCTCATTGCTATTCACAATGGCAAAGACATGGAATCAACGTAGGTGCCCATCAGTGGTGGATCGGATAAAGAAAGTGTGGTAAGTATACACCGTGGAATGCTACACCCATAGAAAAGAATAAAATTATGCCCTTTGCAGCAGCGTGAATGCAGTTGGAGACCAGTATCCTAAGTGAATTAATGCAGGAACAGAAAACCAAATACCGCATGTTCTCACTTATAAGTGGCAGCTAAACAATGGGTTTTCATAGACATAAACATAGGAATAATAGACACTGACGACTATTAGAAGGAGGCAGGAGGGAAGAGGGCAAGGTTTGAAAAACTATTGGGTACTGGGTGACAGGATCAATTTTATCCCAAACCTCAGCATCACATAATATAACCCAGTAACTAATCCACATAAATACCCCCTGAATCTAAAATATAGGTTAAAATTATTTAAAATAAATATAATAAAAATTTTAAAAACTACAACTTACTAAGATATTTAAACATATCAGTAAACTACCTTTGTTATAGCTTAAGTAAACGAATATCTCTAGTTAAAAATAACGGTGATTTCATCAAAAGATTCACTCTAGATACCATTGTCTAAGTACTTTCAAATAATGCTTTATTGGGATTAATAACATGACAGATCAAAAGAACTTGAATTCATAAATCTAATATTTACCCCAAAATAATTTTTTAAAATGTGGACCATTTCAGACCAAAGCAGAATCCAATTTGTTTATTTTATCTACTAAACATAAGCAGTAACTTTCGTAAATTTTTTTTAAAGTTAAGTGGGGCTATTTTGCCTGTTCACCAAAGTTTAGCTCTTATTTAACACACACAAAAACATACTACACACATTAGAGGAAAAAAAATCCTGTAGTGCTTCAGTGAAATTTATGTATTTACCTAATCATAAAAAATGTACCCTTCTCTATTTGGAAACAGAGAAAAGTATAAGGAAAATAATAAAAATAACCCATGAGAAACCATATTGAATTTGGGAATATCTTCATGCGATCTGTTTTACAATGATTATATGTTTAAAGAAATGTATATAGATATTTTTTAATTGAAATATACTATGGCATGTAGAGTATGATATTTTCAATAAAGAAAATATATTTCAGGCAATAGACAAAAAAAGACTTGGTCGTTTTGGAATATAGAGGTCATAGAGTGCAACTTGTCCAAACACGTCCCCATTTCCCCGTCTTGAATAAACTGTTGCCTGGCATTCATGGCTCTGCCAGGATTAGTTTGGATTTCAAGTCACCCCAGCAGGATTTCTTCCACCTGCCTTTGCTCACCTTCATCTCATCCTGTCATATCTAACTTCCAGATCAAGCCCACTTCACTTAAGAGGCCCATGGTATTAGAGAGGACATTTTTTATTATACACTTGGCTTCCTCTATACCTCTGCTTCTACTTCCTTTCTGACTTGACTTTCCACTGTACTGTATTTTCTTTGTTTTTTTGTCTTTGTTTTTGTTTGAGATGGAGTCTTGTTCTGTTGTCCAGCCTGGAATGCAGTGATGCAATCTCAGCTCACTACAACCTCCGCCTCCCAGGTTCAAGCAATTCTGCTGCCTCAGCCTTCCAAGTAGCTGGGATTACAGGCATGCACTGTCGTACCCGGCTAATTTTTGTATCTTTGGTAGAGACAGGGTTTCGCCATGTTGGCCAGGCTGGTCTCAAACTCCTGACCTCAGGTGATCTGCCCACCTTGGCCTCCCAAAATGCTGGAGATTACACGGTGCCCAGCCTTTCCTTCTTTTTTTTTTTTTTTCTTAAGACAGGGTCTCACTTTGTCCCCTAGGCTGAAGTACGGTGGGCCAATCAAGGCTCACTGAAGCCCCAACCTCCTGGACTCAAGGGATCCTCCTGCCTCAGCCTCCCAAGTAGATGGGACTACAGGCACTTGCCACTACATTCAGCTATTTTTTTTTTCTATTTTTTGTAGAGACAGAGTTTCCCAGGCTAGTCTCAAACTCCTGGGTTCAAGCAATCCTCCCGCCTCAGTCTCCGAAGGTGTTGGGATTACAGGTGTGAGCCACTGCACTTGGCCATAAACTGTATTTTTGACAACATCCTATATATCCTTATCAGCAACTGCAGTGGGGAGGAGTAAGGAAAGGAGAGAGTACTTCTTTTCAAATGGATTCAGCAAAGTCACAGAAATGGCTCCCATTGGACAAGTATGGGTCACCTATCTATCTGTGGATGCATAGCTTTAGTGGACAAGTCTAGGTCATGTGTCCAGGCTTAAGTATATCCAAAATGGATGATGGAAAAATGGCTGCTACCCAAAAGGAATATCTGGGTGCTATTTGTAGAAGGGAAAATAGATGCTGGGCCCATAAACACAATTTTGCCTCTACTCTAACTCCTAAGCAAATATATTTTTTTTTTTTGGGGGGGACGGAGTTTTGCTCTTTTTGCCCAGGCTGAAGTGCAATGGCGTGATCTCGGCTCACTGCAACCTCCGCCTCCCAGGTTCAAGTGATTCGCCTGCCTCAGCCTCCCAAGTAGCTTGGATTACAGGCATGCACCACCACACACACAAAATACAAAAAATACTAATTTTTGTATTTTTAGTAGAGACAGGGCTTCTCCATGTTGGCCAGGCTGGTCTCAAACTCCCAACCTCAGGTGATCCGCCCACCTTGGCCTCCCAAAGTGGTGGGATTATAGGCGTGAGCCACCACTCCCGGCCAACTTTTTTAATCCCAATGTGTAATTAAAATTATATATGATTAAACATATCTCTTTAAACCACATACTTATTTTTAAAAGGTAATATAAATTAAGACAAAGATGAATAACCCACTAGCAAATGAGCAAGGTCTATAAACACGCAGTTTGCAGTGGAAAAAAAGTACAAATACCAAATATAGAAAACGATGTTCAGCCTCACTCATAACAAAATCAAAACAAGAAAGAGAAAATTAAGAACTATGCTCCTCAAAAATGTATATCATATGATGCCATTTTTTAATCTTGAAAATGATTGAAATTAGAGGATACTCAGAACATACAAAGGCATGTCAGCTAAAATGCATAAGTCAGCAAGTCCACTGCTAGAAATTTATCTTCCTAATACACTTACGAAAATTCTCCAAAACATATGTATAGGGATATTCGCTGAAGCATAATTAAATTACAAACAAACTAACCAAAAGTAAAAACAATCCAGTGTCCATCAATAGCTAAAAGGATAAATAAATTATGAAATGTCTCTGTGATGGAATACTGGAGGACATTAAAGAGAATTAATTAGATCTATTTTTAGAACAAGCTCCCAGATATGAAAGTGCAGAAAAGCAAATGCAGAATACTATCACTGGTATAATATCCTATATGTGAAAAAGAAAAAAGTAGATGCCTATATGTGGGAATGTGCATCTTTTTGTGGAAATAATAACTGATTAATAAGATTATTTCCCACTTTCCATATAATACACTTCTCTACTATTTGACATTTCTAATTTTACAAATGTGCTCATTTTTAAAACTATCAACAGAGATTATTGAGTAGGAAGATTACAAGTCTTTGTTCATTTCTGATTTATAAAAAGACTGATGTGTTATACATTTTAAAGTGTATACTTAAAAGAAGGATAATTCGACCCTATATTAACATAAAAGAAAGTAAAATGTAATTAAAACATAATAATTAGGGATTTACTGTATAATAGGCTATATACTAGGCACATCATATATATATATATACACACAAATTATATATATGTTATTTCATTTACTCCTCAAAATGATACTATGAAATGAGTACTTTTATTGTCTTCATTTTACAAATGAAATGAGACTTACAGAAGCTAAGTAACTTGACTAACAGTCCTCTCTGAGTGAAAGACAAGATTTAAATCCAGTCAATCTCAAAGATTCCATGATGAAGACACCACAGGCAATTGCAACAAAAGCAAAAAATGACAAATGGGATCTAATTAAACTAAAGAGCTTCTGCACAGCAAAAGAAACTATCATTAGAGTGAACAGACAACCTACAGAATAGGAGAAAAATTTTGCAATTAATCCATTTGACAAAGGTCGAATATCCACCATTACAAGGAACTTAAATCTACAAGATAAAAACAACCCCATTAAAAAGTGGGCAAAGGACATGAGCAGACACGTGTCAAAAGAAGACATACATGCAGCCAACAAACATATTTTAAAAAGATCAACATCACTGATCATTAGAGAAATGCAAATCAGAACAACAATGAGATACCATCTTAAAACCAGTCAGAATGACTATTATTAAAAAGTCAAAAAACAACAGATGCTGGTGAGGTTGTGGAGAAATAGGAAGACTTTTACACTGGTGGTGGGAGTGTAAATTAGTTCAATCATTGTGGAAGACAGTGTGGTGATTCTGCAAAGATTGAGAGGCAGAAATACCATTTGACCCAGCAATCCCATTATTGGGAATATACTCAAAGGAATAGAAATCATTCTATTACAAAGCTACATGCACACATATGTTCATTGCAACGCTATTCACAATAGCAAAGACATAGAATCAACCTAAATGCCCATCAATGATAGACTGGAGGGCCAGGCGCCATGGCTCATGCCCATAATTCCACCACTTTGGGACTCCAAGGCAGGTGGATCACCTGAGATCGAGAGTTTAAGACCAGCCTGGCCAACATGGTGGAAGCTCATCTCTACTAAAGATACAAAAGGTAGCCAGGTGTGGTGGCACATGTCTGTAGTTCCAGCCACTCAGTAAGCTGAGGCAGGAGAATCACTTGAACCTGGGAGGCAGAGGTTGCAGTGAGCCGAGATCATGCCACTGCACTCCAGCCTGGGCAAGAGTGAGACTCCGTCCCAAAAAAAAAAAAAAAAAAAAAAAAGATAGACTGAATAAATAAAATGTGGTACATACGCACCATGGAATACTATGCAGCCATAAAAAGGAACAAGATTATGTCCTTTGCAAGGATGTGAATGGAGCTGGAAGCCATTATCCTCAGCAAACTAATGCGGGAAGAGAAAACCAAATACCACATGTCCTCACTTATAAGTAAGAGCTGAATGATGAGAACACATGGACACATCTTGGGGAACAATACACACTGGGGCCTGGCAGAGGATGGGGAGTGGGAGGAGGAGAGCATCAGGAAGAATAGTTAATGGATGCTGGGTTAATACCTAGGCGATGTGATAATCTGTGCAGCTAATCACCATGGTACACATTTAACTACGTAACAAACCTGCACATCCTGCACATGTACCCCTAAACTTAAAATAAAAGTTGGAAATTAAAAAAAAGATTAACTGCCTCTGAAGTTCATGCTCTTTCTAGTAGGTGATAAGTAAATAATTATAGTATTTGGAAACTAAAGAAACCAAGATACAGAAACACTGAGTAGTTTGGCTATCACTCACCTCTATGATTTGTTCTCCAATGTTTCAAAGACAGAATAAAATATTTTTTTCCTCAAGATTCCTAAAAAAATTAAAATAAAAAAATAAATCTGATTCTAGAGGTAGCATACTTCCAAAGTGTAATTCATATTACAAGTGTAAATATTGCCGAAGGAACTGTCTTTCCATGTGATGGTGGCTGTGAGGATGCTGGCTGCAGCGGGTGAGGTGCAGCTGGGGCTGCACACTTCTTGGAACCAATGGGGGCAGGGAACAGGCAGGAGTCCTGCCCCCCTATCGAGTTGGTGAGGCAGGAGCCTCACACTCCTCATACTCCCTGGCACTGTTGCAGCCATCCAAACATGGCTCCAGACCCTAGCATCCCTGAGCTCTCAGGGGCCCTAGAAGCCCCCTGACCCTGCAGGCTTGAAAGTGCATGCTCCCACTCCCTGGCCTCTCCCCACTCCCGACACCCACTCTGGGGTGGAGCAAAGTTATGGCCAAACCTGGGTGCTGTCATAACCTGGCCGGGTATGCACACACTGCTGACACACTAGCCCCCATCCTACTTGGCCACCTCCAGACTTGGGGTACCAACAGGCACGGGAGGGGGGCTGGGGTCTGAGGGTGGCTCAGCATGGGCCTGCAGGCACCTCTTGAAATGGACAACCTGGGCACCATGGACAGCATGTTAATGGCAGGCAGGTTCCTGGGCAGAAGGGGGAAGGTCCCCAGTGAAATCTCTCCTTCAGACCAGGTATGGGAGCGGGGCTGCCAGTTCTGGGCAAAGTGGGCACCTGGAGTAAGAACTTCACTGATGACAGTTCGGCCAATTGGATGATGCTTTTTCCAGGCCTGCTGTGGCTGCCCATGACCAATCAGCATACACTTCCTCCATTTTGAGGACATAAAAACCCCAGACTCAGACAGACACTCACTCATCAAGATGACTGAGGTGACTAAGATGAGCTTCCTGCAGATAGGAGCTAACCACTTTGGGTCTCCTAAGACGTGTTCTGTTGCTCAATAAAGCTACTCTCTGCCTTGCTCACCCTCCAGTTGTCCATGTACCTCATTCTTTCTGGACGTGGGAGAAGAACTCAGGACCCAAGAATGGCGGGACTGAAAGAGTTGTAACGCAAACAAGGCTGACACTTGCTCCCCCACCCCCACTGCTCGCCATGTTGCAAGCGATGAGAAGGAGAGAAGAGCTGCGACCCTTTGGGGAGCTCAGACCCAGGGGCTTCCCGAGCCAGGGTTGTGACACCTTCTTTGGAGCTCTGCATTTCCTGGCATCTCAAAGCTTTTGGGTGCCACCACGTCCCCCTCATCCAGACAGGAGTACCCACTGCGGAAGTGGCTTGTAGTACATCTGATCCAGCCACAACTTTGCATGGAGCTGGTGCCTGTGCCAGTGCCTGGAGCTGCCTGCCCTGCCATAGCAGCCAGCATGGCTGTCTGTGCACAGTAGCCAGACCCCATGCTCACTCGCTCACACATCCCTTGCCACTGCACACCTGGCCTGCCCTTGGCAGGTGTGTTATCTGAGCCAGGACCATGAGCCAAGCACAGCCTGCCAGGCTGAGGGGGCAGAATGAGCCCAGCAGGCCCAAGCAAAACTCAGGCAAAGGGGCCACTGGCCCCACAGGTTTCCAGATGGAAAAGCAAGACCCTAAGGGATCCTGTGACAGATGAGGGTAGATTATGGAAGAATATGTGTTATCCTATATATTACTGAGTCTACAAATTAACTCTTAACACTTAAGTTCCCTGCCCTAAACTGATTCAATATAATTGAAGTGATAATAAATCCCTCCTTCCCCAGCATGGAGAAAATTAAATGAGAAAATCAAATATATAACATCCTTTTAAAAATCATGACATTTCTCAAATATAAGGTATCGTCAGTATATAATAGGCCTCCCCAGGGACTGAAGACTGATAGAATTAGTCCTGTGCCCTTCTGAACCAAGCAAAGGCCTTCCACACCAGAGAACAAGCAGAGTGTTAGCAGCCTTTACCTGGGGATCCCACTGGGCTTTAGCTCTTTATTGAGCTTTGAGCCCAGACAATGAGGTAATAGTCTGATCCTCATTTTAAAGCACATAAAACCCAAGGAGGTTAACTAATTTCCCTAAGGTCACACAGAAGTCACGGGTGAAGTTGGAATTGAAACAGAAGTTTCTTAATTTCCAGCCACTGCAATGCTCCCAGGACAAAGCTCTCGTGGAATAAATTACACATTGACACAGGGGCACTTTATAATTCCATGGAGAAGAGTTCCCAGAAGTGAAATATTTCATTTTAAATTGAAAAATCTCAGACTTACAAAAGACTGATGTCTTCCCCAGCTTGCAAATTATGCATCTCAGGAGGGAAAGAATCTCTCAGGAAAATCTCCTAAATATTCTACATAGTACAGCTCAGCCCTAGCAAACTACCTGAACGACTGGTAAAAAACGATCAGTACTGTTGTCTGCCTACAAATGTGTGAGGATTTGTGTACAAGAAGGTTTTCCCTGAAAGCATGGATTTGGCATGTGAATATAAATGACCAATGCCTTTATGTGAAGCTGTAAGAGGAGCCCCAGAGCACTCACTGAATTGAAATGAACCTGAGGATAAAGAGAAGTTGGCTCAAGGTTAGCAGTTCTTCCTAAGGATCACTAACCTCAGATCCTTGGATAATGAGACCACTTTACAAATTATTAAAATAATTGTTTTGATGGAAAATAATGCAAAGGAGGATACCAAATTCTGTGCAAATCCACCTTGAAAAGACTGTATTAATCAATGATAATGCTGGCTAAAAATTAGATTTCTCCTGGGTAATCTTTTGCAGATATCAAGGTGGAGAAGGGAGGGAGGACACTGTTATGCACCTACGTGGTGACTTTGTGGGAAGAAAGTAGGCAGGGAGACCCCATCCCCAGCTCCTCCCCAGTCCTAGCCCTCCTTAAAAACCAAAGAGAGAAAACTATGAGAGCTCCCATCTCTCTGGGGTAAACAGTCCCAGGCTACACTAGCTGGGAACAAGATTTAAGGGCTCTGGGTTGTCCAAATATAATCCAGATGTGGTCAGGCAGCCTGCCCTGCTCTCACCCAGGACCATTTTTGCAGAAAAAAAAAACACCAACCTTACTCCAAAAGTATGGAAAGGTCTGTGACTTTCTCCCAAGGTTGTGGAGAAACAGAGGAAGTGATTACCTCACTTAGTTTTTTTTTAAAAAAAATTTTCCCCACATTTCCACTTTCCATCCACAACAGTTGCTACGACTCTTTCCCTAAAGAATGGCCTCCAGCCAAGCTCTCCTTCACTCCTCTATGCTCTTTCCCTGGCTTCCTTTCCTGTCTGGACTCTTTCCTCTTGTTTTCCCACCGCCTTGCCTCATAGGACTTTCCCACCTCTCTGTAACCATGGGAATCTGCCAGGGAAAGAGGCAGGTAGAGCCAGAGGCCAAGACAGTGAGAGCCAAAGTGATCAGTGGGGACCAGGATCCAGGTCAGTGAGAAGCACAGACCCCCATGAACTGGAAGAGTTGAAGAAGAGGTAGGGCTCACTCTAGTTACCCATCAGGATGGAAGACTACTCACAGAGTTATTACTTATGTCTCCTGATCCCTAGTTTTCTGGAATGGAAATAATAATGGAATAACAGGGCTGAGAGTGGTGGCTCACACCGATAATCCCAGCACTTTGGGAGGCCAAGGCAGGAGGATTGCTTGAACCCAGGAGTTCAAGACCAGCCTGGGCAACATAGGGAGACCCTATCTCTACAAAAAATTAAAAAATTAGCCGGGCACGGTGGTGCACACCTGTAGTCCTAGCTACTGAGAAAGCTGTGGTAGGAGGATCACTTGGGCACAGGAGGTTGAGGCTACAGTGAGCAGTGATTGTGCTACTGCACTCCAGCCTAGGTGACAGAGCAAGACCCTGTCTCAATAATAGTAACAATAATAATAATGTAATGTATGGAAATTGTAGTAGTGTAAATTAGATTAGTTGATATGAATAAAGTACTTAGCACAAAGCCTAGCACTGAGTGCTCAATTAATGCCTGCTATAATCATTGTTCTCCTACACCCTGATCCTCCTCTTTCTTGTTTCAAAGTCTAATGTAGTTGAAGGAAGAAAAATGCTTAAAAGCATTAGTTTGCTGCAGTACTTCTCACACAGAGGCTGAGGACTAATTTATTTTTTAATTTTTAATCTGTCCTCATCCTCCTGCACGTCTAGAATGCAGCTCATGCCACATTCAGTTCTCCGTGCGAACTTGACAACTGAACTGGTCTACACCACAATTAATGAGGTGAGTTCACTGATCACATACTTGGATGTCACAGCAATGTCATTTGATGAAAAAATGTTTCTAAATGCTTGTTCTCAATTTCTGTAGATCAGTAACCAAAGAGTTCTCAGGCCACACTTTGAGTAGCAGTGGTTAGTGGTGCCTACAGCTCTTGAGCACAGCTCTATCAGGCTGGGTTACTCTGAGTTCCAGAGATGTTTGAAAATGTGCTTGGCCTCAGAGACAATAAATATACCCCACCTATTTCTTCAGAGGACCATAGTTATGCTCATCTACCAAACTTCCATGACCCTGTCTCCATCCCAGGCCTTCAGCTACCCAATCTGTAAAGTGGTCAAAGTCCCCTGGGCCTCATGCTCCTTTCAATGCCTCTTCTCTCTATTATTTCTCACAACACAGCCTGGCACAGAGATGCACTAAAGTAAAGAAAACCTTGCACAAGAAAGCCACTTGACAAACGAATTCATGCTATCATATTAGGGATGTGGTAGGGAAAAGGAGGCAGAGAGGACAAGAAAGGGATTTGAATTGCAAATAGCAGGAAAGGAAGAATAATGGTTAATATAAAGAAATAACAGTGACAACATTTCATACTGTAGTGGAGGACATGTTTCATGTTTCATGGGGGACAGAATTGGGGAAATGATAGTGATACTTCCAGAAGCATCACACCATGTGGAGATAATCCTTACACAGAACATATATAAATAAAATGTTTAAACTGTATAAACAAAAAGAGTAGAGTAACTTCTCTCATAATGGGTAAGAGTACTGTGTGTGTGTGTGTGTGTGTGTGTGTGTGTGTGTAAAGGTTTTCTTTAACCTATTCTATTTTATTGTTTTCCTTTTTTTTTCATTTTATAATGAAAAAGCACTGTCTCAAAACATATAGGAAAGTATTCTCTACACCTGACCTTAATCTATCCACATGTGTAGACCTGTGTTGACATGAAAGTCTAGCTCTTGAAAGTCTTTAAGACATTGTTTTATCACAGAAGGATTCTGTTCTCTTCCTTCAGGAGGTTGCTAATGAGTTATAGACTACAGGGTCTGGGCACTGGGGGGGTCCTACAAGGAGAACCACCCCCCCCCCAATGATGCTATGGAGACCCCTGTAGTGGAGCCGGGGCCAGGCTGCTATTGACTTCCCTCAGAGACAGCTTGCACTGACAGTTGGGGTTTATAACTGTAGGTCCATTTAACCTGCCAAGAGAGAGACTTGGAGGGAGCATTCATTTGGGATTCATTTTGGGGTGGCCTTTTAAGTATCTGCCCTGGCAAAGAGAGGTTCTGCTGGAGGCTTTGTGTTTGTTTTCTTTTTAATGGTACTCCTCTCTCTTCCAAAACTCACTTCTCTCCTCTATGAATACAGTGTCCTCAAATAAAAGACAAATTTCAGGTACACATAACTGATTTGCTATTTACAGAACATTTGCAATGTAAATATGATGAGCTCAAGAGTATTCTTGTGTAAAGTGCTAACAAATATTTGTTCTGCTGAGGAGTGGCCAGGCCCTCCCAGCCTGGGATGGTTTCAGCTGGCCATGAACAGGCCCTGTGAGGGCCCTGGGCCTCTAGCCCTGTCCCCCACCCCACAACCTTGGCAGCTGCCACAGCTGACCTCCTAACTCTGAAATTAAAAAACAATCACAAATGGATGTTCAAACAGCTCCATTGCTTTGGCTTATCTCAGAGTCTGTGTTTCTAAAACAGAACTTAGGAATAAAATTGTGCTTTTCTTCATGTGTTGGCAGGGTCAGAAAGACCTCTTCTAGAAGCTGTCCTATGGTAGTGGTGACCGGTGTCTGTTGAGCCCTCCAGGCCCTTTCTCCTGAGCCTGGGGAGCTAAAGGCATCCTGAAGTAAAAGTGTCACTAAAAGCTGCAATAAAAGGAATAATAGATGTAACTCTCTGAATGACACCAGTCTGGGCACAGTCCGACGTCTACGGAGAGAAAGAGAGAGAGGAACAAGAAAAGGAGAAGGAAGGCCAGGTGCGGTGGCTCACTCCTGTAATCCCAGCACTTTTGGAGGCCAAGGTGAGCAGATCACTCGAGGTCAGGAGTTCAAGAACAGCCTGGCCAACATGGTGAAACTCCATCTCTACTAAAAATTCAAAAATTAGCTGGGCATGGTGGTGGGTGCCTGTAATCCCAGCTACTTGGGAGGCTGAGGCAGCAGAATCACTTGATCCCCAGAGGTGGAGGTTGCAGTGAGCTTAGATCACACCACTGCACCCCAGACTGAGGAACAGAGTGAGACTCCATCTCAAAAGAAAAAAACAAAGAATAGAAAAAGAAAAGGAGAAGGAAAGAGAAAAGGGAAGAGCTTCTCCACAACCATTGGATGGCCTCCCATTGCTCTGAAGACAAAGACGAAACTCAAGGCTGTCCTCCGAGCCCTGTGTGATCTGGTCCTGTCACCTGCCCATGGCTCTGTTCTCCTCACTCTTCCCTATCTCTCTATTACCCAGCCAGACTCACCATGCTCTGCCCAGAGCCGGACCTTTGCTGCTACTTCTGCCTGGACCTCGTTTTCCTTCCCCTCTTTGCCTAGATAATGCCATGTCATCCTTCAGATCTCAGCTCAAGAGTTACTTCCTCAGAAAGCCCTGCCTGATTTCACCATCTAATTCAAATGCTCCTAGCATCAGTTCTCAGGAGATCTGGTACCTCTTCTGGCTACATTTGTCATTGTTAACAATTTTACAACTGTGTAAAATTCGATTGTCTGTCTTCCCCCACCAAGTTGTAAGCTCCTGAGGGCAAGAGCTGGAAATATTGTTGCTCACCACTGTGCCTTCAACAGTGTCTGGGGCATACTAGGGTTTAAAAAGTATTGAATGAATGAATGAATTAGTGAAGTTAGGACTCAACTCAGCTGGTCTCTGCCCATTTCCAAAGCATGTTTTCTTAACTATTATGCTGGAATGCGAAAGGCTGCTAGCAGGGAAGAATGAGCAAGGGAGTATGTTGGGAGGCCATAGAGCCTTGCAGGCACTGCTACTTACTAGCTATGTGAACTTCTCAAAGCTTCATCTGAAAATGAGGATAACACCTCTTTATAGCATTGCTATAAGGATTATATAAGATGATCCATAGAAGTACTTAGCCTGGCACATACTAAGCACACAATAAAAAGTAACTAAAACTAATCTTGCAGGATCTCCTCTTGACCTGATACCTCCCAAATAAACCGACCCCTTACCTGAGAGATTGTCCCTGTCTCTGTGTCTCTGTCTCTCTCTCCCTCTCTGAGACTCATCCCCTCCGAAGCTACTGGAGTATATTTGCAAATACTCTGCTTGTGACCCTGTCATAGCCCCCATCCCCCACGATCAAACCTCGCCACCCAACACACACACACATACACACACAGATACACTTTTTGGCAGTGTAGTCCTCATAAATTCCAGGTTCCTTTGGTATTTAGCTGTTCACTGCTTTAATATAAATCTGAAAGATTTAATATTAAGATTTAATTTATATTAAGATTTAATATAAATCTTAATATAAATGTAAAAGACAGAAATTTCTAGATTTAGAAATCTAAAGCATACTAAATCTTCATTTAACTTTGAGGTGTTTTAAATTTTTATCTGCAAATATCTAGTATTTTAAAGTTTCACCATCCACACAGTTAAGAAAAAAGGCAAACTAACGGAACAATAGAGAAAGCATCAACAAGAAAAAGAGCTTATTTAGCAACGGTGCAGAAATATGCTGCCTGAGGCTACTACTTGCATGAAAATACATTAAAAAGAGATGTCAAAAAATCCTTACAACTACCAGGTGAAAATGTATAAAATGTCCTGGATTTTTTCCAAATTTGTAGATCTTCAGAATTTTTTTTTACTTAAATGTGAAGGAGACATCCCAGCCCATACAAGTTTTTAGAGCATTCTGGCAACTCGCTTGTCAATTCCAGGAACAATTTGTAAATATTCCATATCACTTTTCTTAATTTAAATAGCTAGTGGCAGCAGAAAACTTCAGTTTAAAGCCCATGGATTTTCCTATTTGCTGCTCTAAGAGCCCATAAACATATGTATCTTTGGAAAACTATCATGTGTTTTCAACTTCCTGAAGAATTCTTGTAAAATATAACTGAACCACATTACCCTTTGTCCTGAGCTTTTATTCCACTAATGGACAAATTGGGAGAAGGCTGAGAACAAATGTGCTATTAATTACCCAGATGGCTTTTTAATAGAAACTTGGATTATTCTTTAGCCACTAAACATTGTCCAGAAATTTCTTAATAATGCTTGTGTGCAGGCATTCCTTCCAGGAGAATAAAGATCTCATTGACCGGCAGGCTCGGTTATGTCAGGTTAGCTTAGGAGACGGTAGACAAAGAGTGGGTATTGTATAGACCAGAGAGAATGACATGCCATATCTGAGCTGCCCAGTCTCCCCAGCAATGACAGATTTTCTAATTCACTGCAGATTCTCACAAAACTGGGTGGTCAGCTTTGGAGAGAACCAACAGTGGGTCTATTGATTCTGGGTGGGAGCAACATAATTCTGAATTAACCTGAATTGATTCAATACAACAGCAAGTCTTGGTATCGGATTAAAATTAGGATTAATACATTAAATGTTAGGTCAGAATGTTAAGTCCCAGCACTGAAAGACTCACATGAAATAAGTCAAAGCTAATGCAGGCAGGTAGGATAGCCAGAAGATAATTTGTACTTTTAGGCTCTAGAAATACATCACTCAGAATTCACTGGCACGAATGATGCCTGTTGTGATTCAATGCTTCATGTTACGGTTTTTGCTGCTTAGGTCATAAACAGTCATTTTGAAACTGTGCCTCTTTTCTTACGTTTATCATATACATGGGGCAGGGTGGGGGTGGGCAGGAGCTTTCATCTTACACACTAATGGCTGAGAGACAGCCTGGCTCATTATTTGTTCCTACTTTTGTAAAATTATCTTGCCAGGGGCAAAATCTGCTGCTTCAAGCTTCCCAAGTAGACAGCAATTAACTTTCACCATGCTCTTTAGCAGACACATGCTCCTACTAAATCATAAAGGATGCAAACTACCATTTTGAATATGTTTTCCCAACTACTAGATGAGTGGATTTATATTTAGGAAAATAAGAAGAGAATCAAATACCTTACAGTTTCCTGGAGTGATTATTTTAACACAAAAATTTTAAACCCTCTTGATTTTCAAATCGTATTTTAAAAATCCAAATGGCTATGTCTACAAGAAAGAATATGAGCATTTGTTCCAAATAGTCCTGGTATAACCAAGCAAAACAGTTCACAAGTGAGCCTAGGTAAAAAACAAAGTATTTGGATGTAACAAACTGAATGTGCCATTTTGTTGGAATATGTATTTTCTTAGATATTTTAACATCAATTGGATATTTTCCTCTTACTGCATATGTCGTCTTAAAAGAATGAAGAGATAAAGGATTGAAATGCCTTTTTGCAATTACTTAGCACATTCAGGAGTACTTTTCTTCATTGTAAGAAATGATATATTTGTACTTAAATCTTGAGAGTTTATAAAATGTCCCTCTCATTCTTCCTTTCCTTTGACCTTTCTCTAGTCTCCTTGTTTGAACTTTCTCTATTCTCCTTGTCACATGGTCACCCTGAAGGCAATCAATCGAAAAGGGAACTTTTAATATATTTGAAGGGACTGTTCTCAGTATGTTTCCAGATGCTGTAACTTAGTCATATTGTCCTCTAAAATCATCGCTTATTAGCAATCCTTACTGTAGCAATCCTTATTCATCTAGGCAGGATATATTTTCAGGTCTTCAGATAGACTTAATCATAAACAACTTATGATTTATGATTTGGGTTTGGGCTTTAAACTGCCAGGGGCTTTTTGCCAAGTCTTACTAACTGAAATACAATTTTCATTTCCATTTTCCATTTTGATCTGTTTGTTTTCCCGATGCTGCCTTATGCCTAGATTTCTAGCACCTGCACACTGGCCCCTGGTGGCAGAAATTAGACTTCACAGAGCCTATGAGCTTCCAATTATACACTTCTTTCGGCTGTAAAGTTCCCTTCTGGACCCATTCCATATTAAAACTTATTGGTCCCATATCCCATTCTCAAGAGTCCTGCTAGGTAATTCAGTCAACTAATTAAAACGAGTTGTGAATGTGAATTTCATCCCCTCCCCAGTGTTGCAATGTTATAAATCAAAAGAGTTTCTCATACCTAACCAGAGAGAGAGGAGAAACTCTTAAGCAGAAGACATTCATAGGCAAATCATATCACAGAGGTTTTGTACTCAACACACCCTCAAAACTGGGCCTGAACAAGTGACACCTCCTAGAATCCTGTAATAAGAGGAACAGGGGCTTTACAGTCAAGCCTCATTTTAATCCCAGTTTCTCTATTTAGTGGTTGTGTGGTCTTAGACAAGCTACTCAACCTTCCTTAGTTTTCAGTTTGCCCATTTGTAAAACAGAGATAATGACACTTTACTCTGAAGGACTGTTGTAGGGTATATGTATGCAGAGCGCCTGGATGATAAGTTCTCAATCACTGTTAGACATTATTATCTCAGTGGAAAGATGGAGGAGGCCTTATAGTTTTTATCGTTTTTTTTTTGTTTTGAAAATTGTGCTTTCAGGATATGACAAATGTAAATGACATAGGGGGACAAAAGGACAAAAGTATAATATTTGAAGTTAAGACTGGCCAAAAAGATGTGGGTTCTCTAGGCACATATCTATAGTGTCTGCTGCATGCACAGTTGGGAAAGAGCTACTTAGAGTTAGAGGATCTCTTAGGCTGGAACTAGAGCACTAAATATAAAATAGCATGTCTGTTTTTCTTTTTTCTTTTTTGAGACAGAGTCTCACTGTGTCACCAGGCTGGAGTGCAGTGGCGTGATCTCGGCTCACTGCAACCTCCGCCTCCCAGGTTCAAGTGATTCTCCTGCCTCAGCCTCCCGAGTAGCTGGGACTACAGGCGCGCACCACCATGCCCAGCTAATTTTTGTATTTTTGGTAGAGACGGGGTTTCACCATGTTGGCCACGATGGTCTCTATCTCTTGACATCGTGATCCGTCCACCTCGGCCGCACAAAGTGCTAAGATTACAGGCATGAGCCACCGCGCCTGGCCGCATGTCTCTTTTTCAATGGTAGTAAGTCTGTAAGTCAATGGGCTGCTGGCTGCAGCCTCCAAAAGAATAATAGTTAACACCAAATCAGATTTCTAAATAAGCCCAGGAAACAGGCAACTCTGACAAATGGACAACTGTTCAGGAGATGTTTGTTTACACAGACATCTTCTAACACTGTAAATAAGATAATAAGAATGCATACTCCTTTGCAGCAGTCATAAAAGCTAGAATGGAGTTAGGTAGTGTCTAGACGCCTTTGATCAAAAAAAAAATAGCGATTAGTGGTCGCTGAATTTACTAACACAATTTTCTTCCCTTTTCTCCAATTATTTCTATTTTCAGCCTTCACTTTTAGGATTTAGTTACAGCATCTTGCACTGCTTAGTCAGCAGACATGTGCCATTTGGGGGATGCCATGATCCCCTTTTTCAAAATTAAATTTTGAAGCCAGAAGTGTCAAGTTTCATTTCTCATTTAATGTAATTCTATGAGACTTTACTCAGCAGTATAAATCCACTGATCATCATCTGTTTTCAAGCTTAGGCATAGGGTGACTCATGCCCAAGGTCTTGCTATTAATTATTTTCCCAAGCACCAACCACTATAAACCTTTATCAATTAAGTAACTACTCATAACAAAACATGAAGATATACCTGCTGAGATCTGTAATGAACATATTAGTTTAGTTAGAGAGATTCAATATATTCAAATTAACAATGATAAAGTATTACAGTGTAAATTATACCAAAACATCCCTCTAACACTTTTTAATCATTAAGTGTTTATTAAGAAAATAATCTGTACCCAGTTCCACACTGGGAGGTATTTTCTCTTGTGGCATTTTTTTGTCTTACCTAATGTTGTATTCCCTATGGATAAGGATTTAATAACAGATCCTCCATCTTAGGTGGTCATACAATTGCTATTTTCTGCAGTATTAGAGAACCTCTTTCACTACAAGACAAGCTCAACTGTAGGACTGCCTGAGAACATGAACCCAGAGAGCAATTTAACAGAGTGATTTTTGTGTATATGCTTGTATGCCAGAGAGATGGGATAAAAACGGACGGCCTTGTATGATCTTCTCCATTAAACTGCTTTGCTAATCTCTTTCCTCTTAGGTTGTATAAGTAAATGTTCTGATTGTGTCTTTTCTCCTCAAATCCTCCCTTATTTGCTGCCGCTAACTGGTCACTCCTTTACAGAGAGGTGGCTCCTAAGATCTAACTACTGCTGAGCGCAAGAAATTTCTTCATTCAACCCTAGCTCCCTATAGGATATAAGCTGAGACTCATGGGGATCAGAGACCATAAACAAGATAAGATGTATTTGTAGAGATGATCCCTAGCTGCAGTAAACTTTTCCATAAGACCTCACACTCTCATGTACTCCTCTTTCTTGGTAATTTTTCCCCTCATAACTTTATATCAACAACATTCTAAAAAATATTACATTTGTTTCTTTTGTTTGTTTCGTTTTGTTTTTGACTCACAGAGATTTTCTGTGTTTGGCAAAATCATTTGTTCTCTAGAACAACCTGATGGTTCTTTCTTAGGCCAGACACTTATATTTTACACTGTGAACTGAGATATCAATTGCTTATAAAGATGGATTTATTCTCTTTTTAACACTTACAAAATAGCTCCCTCCTCAAATAAATATCTGGTTTGGGCGCAGCTCTCTAAGAGCAAAAACAATTATTTTTTTTTTGGCGGGGGGAATAACTTTCTCAATCTCTGAGAAGCACAAGTTTAACATATGCAAAAGAGGAACTGGAACATTTTGCAAAAGACTCATAGAAACATTTCAGTATTGTAAACCATCTGACACTTAGAAAATTAAGCATTTTTTATTTCTTCTTTTGAGAAACTACTCAGATATACAAGACTGAATTTTTAAAAATATTCACATGTGCTACTTAATAAGTAATTTAACCAGAATATAACTTTACTAAAAATATTTTTCCTAGTCTGGGAAAAAAATAAAAATCTGAAGATAGTATTCACTACAGTAACAAAACTACCCAGTTTTAAAAGTGGGCTTTAATTTAATTTAAAATGCCATTTTTATAGTTCCTGATTTCTAAACGTTTTCATAAGTCTTTATCTAGAAATATGGTACCCAAGTCTCCAAGCTCCCAGCCCAGGATTTTAACAATGAAGCTTTACTTAGAATTTCTTTCCTCAAGATCTTTTAATCATATGGGAAAGAGAAGGAGAAAGCTGATTTTGAGTAAAAAAGACCTATTACCTTGCATTGTCACTTAAAGGAAAAAAATCTTTAGGCATTTGGCAATAATTTTTAAAACTGAAATATGTGAGTGTGGTATTACTTTGTATTTAGCCAAATATTTACCTTTTTTAAAAAAAACCTTCAAAAAATATTTGTCCCAGTTTTCCCTTAATTTTTGAGTCAAAATGTATTTCAACAAAAATGAAATCCATATGCTCCTACTTTATTCCTCTTACTTCCTTAACATTTTGTTTTAGAAGATCATTTTGCAGCCAAAAAGCCTTATTAGTCCATTTCCAGATTTTGTCCTCTACTTATTAAATTGTATTTGACCAACAATTGTTAAATCATGGATTTGGAAAACCAAATATTTATTACAATCCTAAACACTTTGATCTTAAAGAAACACTTCAATGAATGAATGATAAGCAGGGAAAAGTAAAAACCATGCAGATAATACTGAATAGGTTTTTCAACTCTATCAGTAAATCATGATTGAAAACTTTATCCTAGTTCCAAGGAAAGCTTTTTCTTCATTCCTTCGGTTATTAATTTGCTAATAAAAATACAATTTTCATAAATTTTTAGGCTGTATTACAAATTCCCATATGCTCTATGTAAACCATTTTTGAAATGTAAATCTCTTCAGGCTTTGAAACTAGACACACGCTTACTAAAAATATGGAAGATTGGCAAAAATGACAGCTACCACTTAAAATGAAGACATAATAGAAAAAGTAGGTAAGACTTATGGGCTGGCCACAAAATGTGATCCTAAAACTCTAGTAACAGCTAACATCTAGTAATTAAGAGCTTATTTTGTGCCGGGCAGTATGCTCTGTGTACCGTGTACATTATCTTATTTAATCCTGGTAACAAGCCTAAAAGGATGATAATACTTTTAGCCCCAACCGCAGACCTGAAAACTGAATTTTAGAAAGACTAATTTGTCTCAGGTTACATGGTCAATAAAGTAAGTGTGATTTAAACTCCAAGACCATGTATGTCCAATGCTGGCACACATTGGCACTCGTAAGTGAAACTGTGGTGAGGAAGGCTTTTAAAATCATGAAATGGGCTGTGACTGCAACAATCTATCACTTCCCTCTTATGGGATTTTCCCCAATTCACCCAACCCCTTGGACTATTGCTTCCTCCTTTGCCTGTGGGCTGTTTTTTGGTTACCAAGGCAGGTAAGTAAGAGATTAATGTCAAGGCTACCGTAAAACATCATGCTGCAAGGGTAATTCTAATCTGAATCCAAATAATATCCAAGCAGATCATGGAAATGTTCCTAGGGAACCACAAAAGTCAAATATAGTCATCAACTAAGATCGCTTTTTAACTAGCTGCAGGGTGATGTGTTCCCAGGATACAAGGAATTATCTTATGTCTCTCTTACCTTAGGACAAGACTGCTCCCACTGTTAGAGCAAGAGCTTGCTAGTGACAATTTCTTAACTTTCATGGAGACTAGACAAAGTTATAAGTGAAAATATAACTGTTCAACTGTTCAGTACATTCCCAAATAGAAAAAATAACATAAAACCCCTTCCAGTGACAGAAATCATGATTTGAGAGCATCAGGTATATAGCTTCTTATCTAGGTGGAAGTCCAAGGCTTTGGGAGAGGACACCATTCTTTTCTCAACAGATGTAGATTGTTATTTCCAGTCCACAACTAATATAATCTCATTTCTTCAGGTTGAAAGTGAATACTTTTTATGCACTAAAAGTAGCAAAATTATGGAACAAATATGTATACTCAAATAAAAGATAGCTCAACAGGTAGACTCTTAGGCTGATTTTGTGGTGTAGACAACAACTTATCAAAGGGAAATTCACACCCCTGAGTCTAGAAAGATGGAAAACATTAAGCAATGGTAGCCTTTATAATTACTCCCATAATTTGAAAATGTAAGATGATTATTACAGCCACTTCTATATCTAGTTTTAATACCTAAGACACTCAATTTCCAAAGAAACTCAGTTCCTTCCCCTGGGGTTCCTCAGCAGTATATCACCATTATAAAATTGAATTAGCCACACCTCCCAATCCAGATTTCAGGTCTTTGCTTTCTTAAGGAAATTCATTCCCCTCTTCAGATGTGCTAACTCTGTTGGCTTGCTCCAGAGTGAAACCAAAGTTTTCAAGACCTGCTGGTATATGACTGTTTTAAGTATAGCTAACTCCAGACCCTGGCTTTATCTTTAGGTTTGTTTGACTTGAGCAACATTTTGAAATAAGAAAATAATAAATTTAGCATATATACCTGGTATGCACCTGCAATGGAATATTACTCAGCCATAAAAAAGAAATTAAGGTTGATACATGCTACAATGTGTAACCTGAAAAGTATTACACTAAGTGAAAGAACCCAGACACAAAAGGTTACATATTATATAATTCTATTTATATATTTATATAAAATATCCAGAATATGTAAATCCCAAAAGACAGAAAGCAGATTGGTGGTTGCCAAGGACTAGTAGGAGGGAGAAAAGGGAAGTGATTGCTTGATGGTTATGGAGTTTTCGTTTTGGAACTAGATGGTGGTAGTAGCACAGCATTGTGAATGTACTAAATGCCACTGAATTGTTCACCCCAAAATGTTAATTTTATGTTATGTGGACTTCACTTCACTAAAATAATAATAAAAAAGTTTGTATGGCACCTATAGTTCTTATGGCCCAAGGTGCTACAGAAGCAGAGAGAAGGAGAGCCTAACTCAACCAGGGAAAACCCTGGAGAAGACCACATCTAAGCCAAGACCTGAAAGGCAAGTCAAATTTAAGGTAAGTGGGTAAAGGTAGAAGTGGGAAGGGGAAAAGAAAAGGGAAGAGAAATATATTCCAGGAAGATGTTATGTGTATGATCATTTAATAATATAATACTGACATTTTCAATTATTTCTCTATTCCCATAAAATCAAATCAACAATCATATTTTAGTCATCTACTATTTATGGGAAACTATAATAGATGCTGAGAGAAACAGAGGCAAAAGAGGCACAGTGTTATAAAGAAATAAAACCAGCATTTATTATCTTCTTTGTAATATATACTTTACATATATTATCTCAGTTTATTCTTTCAACAGACCTAAGAGATAAGTATAATTAACCCTGTCTTGCATATGAGATTATATAAGCTCAGAGAAGTTAGAACTTGCCCAATATTGCACAGCTTGCAAGTGGAAGAGACAAGATTCAAACCAATGTGTCTGACTTCAGAGGCCCAGTTCTTGCCACCAAAGTGGGCTGCTGATCATAAAGTATATAATTATATCTGATTGATGGTAGATAACTATTTAAGACATCAGTAGTAGAGAGATCACGAAGCAGAGCATGATGCTCCCTGTCGGTGGCAACATACATGGAAAGAACTGGGACCAGACCTGGAGAGAGAAAGAAGTCTCAGATTCCAGATCCCAGTGACAGAAGTGGGGGTAAGGAGGAAAAGATTTAGAAATTACTACTCCCGAAACTGTTGTCCAGTCCCCATTACACAGAACCTAGGGTGCCTCCTTCCTGTACCACGTACTTACCCACCTAGAGCACTCTACATATTCGGTGTTTGTTTTATTTTTATGTAGTATTTTTATTCATATTCTAGATCCATACTAGCTTTGGGTAAATTACACAAAGTTGTGTAACTCTCTGTGCTTCAGTTTATACATCTGAAAAAATGGAATAATAATAATTGTGGATTAAACAAATTAATATATACACATGAAAAGTGTCTAGAATACAGCAAGTGACCAAAAAAATGTTTTTGTTCTTAATGTTGTTGTTGCATGGTATTTCCCTTGCCAGGAATTCTCAGCTTTTTAAAACATATGGACCATGTCTTTTTTTCTTTTTTAATTTCCAGCCTTTAGCACAAAGCCTGGAACACAGCTGATAAATAGAAAGTTTTGAGGCAAGGTGATGGTAAACCCAGTATTGTATTGATTACTACAATTCTCAGGACTGAGACTATGGCATCCCCTTTATTTGTAAACCCTTTGACAACTATAAAATAGAGATTGTCAGTCCTCAAATATTTATTAAATAGCTACTTTCTGGCAGGCCCAGCACTGAAGATACAGGATTTTCTAAACTCCAAAGACTAGAATTCAATCCAAATCGTTGATTCAGGTTAGGTGGGGAAATAAATATGAATGTATACCCTTAAACAGCCTCAAGAGAAATACCTGTGCAGTGTCAAAGTTTTTACTATTATTACAAAGAAAACATTGCTACTCATGTACAAAACAAACTATGATCCATTAACTCAACACAGAAGCTCCTTTTGGCTCCATAAAAGCTGGCACCCAAACAAGTTTTGTAGTCACACTGCCGAAAAATACCTGACCAATACATTTTAACGTTCTTGTTTTCTTTCGGACATATTTCAGTAATTGCCTGTCTGCAGGTACAAGATGCTTACAGGAAGTGATTAATCTTTCATGAGACTATTCTACTCTTCCTTAATTCAGTACAATAAAAGCTTGAAGGAGCAGGCACCCTCATGTCAGTGCATGCTTCAAGGACCAGCAATTTTAATGGGAGATAAGGCTGATCACATGATAGCTGTCAATGATGAAATCTCTTTCTTAAAAGTAAGCAACACAACAGGACAAAACCACCCCCTGAAAAAAAAAAAAAGCCCACCTCTAAACCTAAAACCTAACTCTTTTTTTTTCCTGGTAGGAGGCCAGATGGGATCCTCAGACATCATGAAACACTACAGCTGGAAGCTGAATGGTTGATCTATACCCCTAGCCCCCTACATGGAGATACTAGAGATGAGAAAGGCTCTTGTTTGCTGTATGAAGCAGGTGTGGTTGAACTAAATGGGGAGAAGATGTCCAGCTGGAAGAACCCATCAACCAGCTGCCCAGGGCAGTCTGCTTAGATAAATACCACCTGTTACTAAACGGCCAGCGAAAAATTAGTCATATCCCAGGAACCTGCTGATTCTCTGTCTATTGTGCTGAGGCTTTTGTATCTTTCAACATCCTAAATCCCATGTGTATCTCAAAGCAATGGTCATATTCCCTGTGCTTAATTTGATTCTGGACAATGACAGAGGGTTTTCCAGCATTAGACTAAAGTATTTTCTTGGGGCTGGGAGCACATACATGAGAGAAGAATAAGAATAAACAACACACAGAAGAAGAGGGCAATGATCCCAAGTGGCATCTTTTAACATGACAGTCTCAGTGCCCTGTAGAGGCTGGCCACCTTGAAAGATGATGCACAGCACCATCTTCTACACCCTATTCCATCTTTCTCACTGTTCCCAAGCAGGACCAACCTCTTCTCGAGCACTAAGTATGACTGCTAAATACACAGACGACAAGCACACCTGCATACACACACACATGGACACACACTCACTCTTTTGCTTATGCCATTCCCACACCTGGGAATGTCCTCTCCTGAATTTTCCAAATCCCACTCTTCAAAACCCAAATCAAATCCTGCTTCTCCTGGAGACATCACTAAAATTTTTGGCCCAAAATAATTTCCTCTAAACTGATAACAGCACTGAAAATCCACAATGTACATTTTGCCACTTTAACCTGTTGTTTTCTACTCTTGTCCCAAGTAAGTCTCATGTCCCCAACAAGACTCCTTGAAGATAGAACCCATCCCTCTGTGGTCTAACCCATCATCCAAACAAGGTTATGTCAATTCAGTATATATGTTCTAAACTGAAAGGATGCTAACTTCAAAAATTATTATAGGATAATGGGAAAATAAAATGGTAGATCTAAATAGAGATCCCACTGGAAAGGCCTTTAATGATTTTTGCTTCAAGTTTACTAGAGGTCAGTGTGCTGGAAGCCCTGGACATGTAGTCAGAAAGATTGAGACTGAATTCTGGTTTTCCTACTTATTAACTTTATGGTATTCATTATTTTATTTTTAACAGTATCCATTTATTCATTTGTAAAATGGAACCAATAATTAGAAAGTCAGGAGACCGCTGGAAATCTCCAATGAGGCAGTTTATAACTATAGTGTTCATGTGCATTACCAAAATTAAGCATTAATCCTTCATTCTTTAGTCAATTGCACAATTCCCTCAACATCACACAAATCAAAATTTGTTTGATTAGAACAAAATGACATCCTAGACTGAATTTTTAGGCTTCACAAACTTGGCTATCAGAATCATTGGGGGACCTTGTTAAACTACAGATTGCTGCTAGATCCTAATTTTGGAGATTCTGATTTAGTTGGTCTGGGTGGGCCCACATGAATCTAACAATTAGCCAGTTAAATCATGTGTTAAATCATGTTTGTTCACATTTATTTTGCCTAGTATGTGACTAATAAATAGTTCTTGGGATTGTGGGCTCTTAAAAACATATCTTAAACTTTAGTAAACATATTAATAATGATGTATGGTGCTATCCAACTTAAAAACAGGTTTTATCTCCTAAATATTTTCTATAATTAAACTTCACAGTCACAGTCACACACACACATACATACGCATATGCAGGAGGTTAATGTGGGGTGTGTGTATGTGTGCATGTGTGTGTGTGAATTTCCTGGAGGTATGTGCTGTAATTACCCACCATTCCGGAACCTCTCATATATCAATTTATCTCTGTAATCTGATCATTTGCTGCAGTTAGGGTATGTCCCATTTCTATTCCTCTGCAAAGTTCACTCATGTTTGTAAAATAATTACTCCAACTAAGAAATAAGACAGTACATTTTTTAAAAGAAAAAAACATAACATATCAAAGAAAAAGACAAAATCCTAAATGCATGCAATTTACTTTTTAAAGAAGCGGCTTTGGACCCTTTTCTACCCTGACATCTGCCTGGTTCAAGCAGCCTTGAAATGAGAGTTCAGGCACTTCTAAGAATGTTCTCAATCCAGGGCATTTGGTCCCTCAGTCGGGTAGGAGTCAAGGCAATCAACAGTGGTTTAGACTAAACAGGAAGAGACCCAGCTCAATTAACGGGACAGACACAGGAATAGTCATCGCATTTAGAAACAATGAAAATTTGAAAAGCATTTTGTTGCCAATAGTCAGCTAATACACACACAGGTAGACAATTACACTGTCCATCCCTTTCAAATGTGTCCGGTAAATTCACAAGATTTACAATCACTGTATTGCATCTAAGTTCTCCCACAGAGAGTTCATGAAAATTAACTCAATCTCTTATTTAAAATCATCCCAGACATGATTACGATACAGAGAAAACCAAGCATCCCTCTGCCTGGGCTCTTCCAGTGTAAGGAAAGCCACTAACTCTTTCACAGGAGCAGATTGTTTCAACTTAATTGAATGAAGTAAACTTGGGGAAATACCTGACATTGCCAACTTGACCTCTGCTAAGCCTTTTGAACTTCAATCACTGTCCTCCAACACAAAGCCTTCTATTAGGCTTTCAGCTATTTCCCCTGATTACACAGGTAGCTTATCTTAAGGATTCCAAGGTTTCAGTTATCATTTCTGACCTTATTGTGAGACAAGTATTATTTCCGTGCTGGGTTTTATGACTAAGCCTCCAGAGCTATTTGCTGGTTTGATTGAGTAAAGAGCATCTCATTTCAGTTTCTTATCCACCAAGACCCCATAACTTATTCTAAAGAAGGAAAAGTGGTTTTAGTTTATGAGAATACTAGTGAAAAAGCTCAAATAAATTAGCACTAGTTAGAAACTGTCCAAAATCATAATCTTTGGTTTTTTGTATAGATTTCAAAATTAAAAATGTAATTTGGAACATGGGGCAATAAAGATGAAAATTGTTTCCAATAACAAAGTGCAGATGGTAAAAAACAAAATGGCTTGAATGTCTCTAACAAACAGAATTATTCTTCTTCTCACTCCCTTGCAGAAGTAGTTTTGAATATATTGCCCAACCTGGTAAATAAAAGGTGCTTCAAATCTGAGTTAACAGCTAACTTTCTTATTCTTAATTCTAGATTTTATGTGCCTTTTAGAAATATACCAGACAAATTTAAAATATGGGAAAACATTTAGAATTCATCCAACTCTTAATTGCAAAGTAAAACAAATATAATTTTCTCTCAGCAGATTGTCAGTGATTAAAAAGACTGCTAACAGCCAGTGCCAGCAAATACGAGGGGGAAATACACTCTCATATACTGTGGGAGGACAAATTACTACAAATTCTGTGGAAAATGATTTATTTGTAATATCTACTGAAATGCAAAATATGCATACCTGGCAAGGCTATCCACTGAAGAATTGTTTACAATATCAAAAAGAGGGAAAAATTTAAGCAGAGGTTCAAAGTTCAGTGTTTAATAGTAACAATACAAAGTGTGCATAGTACATTTTAAGTAAGTAAAACTCAAAATACATTCTAGATAAATATATGTAATAATATTCCAATTTAGGGTATCAAATGTGTATGTGTGTGTGTGTGTGTGTATATATGTATATGTATATATATATGTATATACATATGTGTATATATGTATATATATGTATATATGTGTATATATATGTGTGTGTGTGTATATATATATATATATATACTGAAGAAACAGGAAGGATATATATCAAATAGCTAACCAAGTTATTAACCTTGAGAGGAGAAAATGTATGTAAGAGATACTCAGCTTCTTATTTTATAAAATCCAAACACATATGGAGGGATGAGAGTGATTTTTATATTTTAGTACATTTCAAAACATTTTTAACCTAGAAAAGTACTTTAGAAATCAGAAACCTATATCTAAGTAAATATTAAAAGAAGTAAATATCTATTCTTGTCATCTGCAGATAAAACCTCTATGAAATAAATGAGCTCTTAATTTTGGGGGAACTACATTTGTTAAAACGAGTTACATCAAGTTGGACTCTGCCTTTGCCATTTCTTGGTGTCCAGTTAGTCTAAATAAACATGCATAATTCATTTATTTTTGCATATTTGAAATACGAATTTGCTGAGGGGACACATGCATTGCTTAATTCTCTTCCCCTGTGTTATAATAAGCTTGCATAGTAATTGCAAAGGTTTCCTCTAGAAACTTTATTGTGTTGTTTGGTCCATTGAATGGAAATTTTATCTTCTTTTAAGTGGAATTGTGCAGGATTAAGGGATAGAATACTAAAATAGTTGCAATAAGCCTTTTGTCTATGAGTTGTTTTGCTTTACAAAAATAAAACATCGTATTTATTGTCCCAAATCCTACAGAAATGGATTGTCACATAGCAGGGTTTTCTTCATATTTTCCAAAACTGTATACCTTATTGCTAAGCTGCCCAAATTTCTTATCAAATTAAAAATATGAACATCAGCCCATCAAACAAGTCTCTATAGCCCCCTAAGTGTCATAGAGAGATGTTAGTATTGGCAAGAAAAGTTCATGAAGTCTATTACTTCTGCCAAAATTGCCTGGAATTTCCTGGCATTCCATTTCAACAGAATATCAGTTTAACAGTATGGCTGACCAATGCTCAACCAGGCAAGGGTCTTAAGAGTTAATATTTATTATAATATCCACACAATTAAGACAACATATAACTCTAAAGTAATTTTATACATACAAAAATACTTGCAAACTAATATGTTTATCAATTTTTTTCTTCTCTTTTTCCCCTTCACTTTTTAAATAACACTACTTATGTGGCCTTGAGAAATTTGTTTAACTTTTCTGAGATTTGGTTTCTCATCCACAAAATGGGGATAATATTATCATAATAAATGTTTACCATGAGAATCGGGTAAGTATGTTGCTTAGAACAGCTCAACAAGTGCTCCATAAATGGTAGTTCCTGATATAACTAATAGATACTGATGACAGCAATATGCAATTAAGAGGCAGTATTCTACTCTTGTGTGGATGTAGAGCAGTCCCTAGAGAGTATAAAAATCAAATCAGAAACTTTCAAAATAACTATTTCTGGGCCCCAATCATCAAAGACTCTAATTCACTCAGTCTGGGATTAGGCATAGGAATCTTCATTTTTCATAAGCACCCTCTAAGTGATTCTTATCACTTAGGAGAAACAGTGATACAAAAGGAAAAGCAGAGGAATGTAAAGGAAGAAAAAGGAAGAGAATATACTCCCCTGTTCCCTGGCAGCCTTCATTCTTTACTACCATTAACTACTTTCTCCAGATTTTGTGACTAAGAAATCTTCTCCTAAATCTAACTTCTATGTACGTTATGCCAGGAAAGACAAAAAAAAAAAAACTGTTCTTCCCCTTCATCTCCAACTCTGACTACATTCTCTTCCAACTTCAACAAGATATTGCTCTATGCCCTAAACGCCCTAAGCGTCCCATTATTCCTTTGGGTTTCCATCATTGTTGGTTCCTTCTAACACTCGTGGTGTAGGATAGAGAAAAGAAAGATGATTCTTAAAGACCAGCACATTTCATTTCTATGTATTGATCCCTAACCTAAAAGCATCTGTAGCCCTATCAGAACTTGGAATTCACACCAGCCCCTATGTTCTCTCTTCAATAATAGAGGAGCCCCTCATTTACCCACTTCTCCTTTACAGTATCCTCACTCAAAGCTACCTCTTCTGGTGAACAGTGAGCCTAATGAATATCTTGCCCCAGGAAGAAGGTAGGCCCGGGTTTTAGAGGGTCGGAAACCTGTCCCATTTGAGGGACACACTTGAAGACAAAGAGTATAAAAATAACTCACTTTCACACACACAAATATGATCAAGTGAACTGAAAGCTAGGGTCCGTTCACAGCCTTAAAAGTTGTTATGAACTGAATTGTGTTCCCCCTAAAATTCATATGTTGAAGTCCTAGCCCCCTACTGTGTCTGTATTGGGAGATAGGGCCTTAATGGAGGGAATTAAGGTTAAATGAGATTGTAAGGGTGGGCCCTAATCCAAAGGGACTGATGTCCTTACAAAAAGAGGACAAGCACTAGGGTTGTGAATGCACAGAGAAAAGGACATGTGAGGACACAGCAGAAGGTGGCACTCCACAAGCCAGGGAGAAGGGCCTCGGGAGAAACCAGTCCTACTGGCACCTTGAACTTCCAGCTTCTGCTGTTTAAGCAACCCAACCTGTAGTATTTTGTTATAATACTTTATTATGACAGGCCTAGCAAACTAATACAGAAGTGGTCCATGCAATTGAGAGGTCCTGGTGCTGAAATGTCATTAACTTCTCCCTACCTCCTTCTCTTCTAACAGGCAAGCTGAACTTCACATCACTATTATGGCAATGCCAACTCTGACCTAGACTAGTGGTTATCAAAGTTTGCTGAATATTTGCATCCTTAAAAGTCCAGCTCAAATACTGTATTCTATAAATTATTTAATCTCCTGAGATGCAATTAATTTTTCCCTACTCCATATCCTATCTCACATCGGTCTGCATCTCCATTGCTGCCCTTATTTAATTCTGCCTTATATTGTCATCAGTCATTATTCATATTATACTACCACATTCATGTTATTCATATTAATTAATATCTATATTAATTAATAATAACAATATAATATTTTACTTAATCATTTAAATTTCTCATGGGAAGAGACCATGTCTACTTCTATGCTTAACACAATAATTTGCACATAGGAAGTCCTCAACAAATGTATTGAACTGTCTAATACGTGTGAAATGCCTTGAGGTCTTTACTCAACAGAATCAAGAACATTAATTATCTCACTACCTACCTACCTACCTGATATGGTTAGGATGTATGTCTCCTCCAAATCTCATGTTGAAATGTGATCCTCAGTGTTGGAGATGGGGCCTTTGGTAGGAATTGGATCATAGGTCTGGATCTCTCATTAATGGCATAGCACTATTCCCTTAGTAATTTGTGAGCTCTCGCTCAGTTAGTTCACTCAAGATCTGGTTGTTTACAGGAGTCTGGGACCTTCCCCTTCTCTCTCTTGCTTTCTCTCACACCACATGATATACCTGCTCCCTCTTTGGCCTCTGCCATGATTGTAAGCTCCCTGAGGCTCTCACCAGACAACAAACAGATGCCAGTGCCATGCTTCCTGTACAGCCTGCAGAAGTGTGAGCCAAAATAAACCTCTTTTCTTTCTAAATTATCCAGCCTCAAGTATTTCTTTATAGTGACACAAGAATGGGCTAACACATGACCTGTAGAATATGTACATAAAATCAAAGAATTTTATAGCTGAAAAGGCCTTAAGGACCATTAGTTACTAGCTACTCACTTTATCCATTTGCCAGGCATTATTCAATAATTAATAACAGATCTAGAACTAAGAAAGAGGTTAGTCACGATCCTACCACACAACCTGGCTGGTCATACAGACCTGAACAAAAGCTATAGATGGACATATCCAGCCACCTTAGAATCATCTTAGAACACCATGCTGACCTCAGGGTAACCTTCTGATTATGATTCCATACCTGTTGGAGCTCTTCCTGTGTACAGAATGCACAGATCTCATTAACATGAGCATTGTAGATTATAGTTTTGTTTCTCACTGTAGTTAAATAAATTGGCACTCTGATTTTTTTTTTTTTTTACTTAAGCTTGAAACAGATTTCAAACTTCTTCAAAATAGTTCAACTATGTGGATATTTATTTAAACAAGAAAATGAATTTCTCTCAGTCCAAATTCAAATATCACGAAGTCTACTACCAAGAGTAATTAACAATTTGCCCAGCCAAACTTGGAACTAACTGGCTTGGGTCAGGTGAATATCAGATTTAGCTTTTGTGTTTAAACCCCTAACTTCTTCACCAGAAAGGTGAAGAAGGTTCTGATGGTGATGCTCTTTGGCATATGGACTGCAACATTCTAAACCATACCCAACCATCAATTCCTCCCATGCTGGTCTCTGAATCTAAGTGGCGATGACAGCCATTAGATAGACACTGCTAAAAATGAAGTGCTGACGAGAGAGAGGATTTATACCCCATTACCAATCCCCTGAGCCACGCCATGAACCTTTAACTAGGCATTTTATCATGTTGGTTGCCACTCTGAATTTTCTCTAATTTGTCTCTTTTTCAACATGTGGTATCCCAAACTAAAAGCAGTTGAAATATGTTCAGGCAAGACTAGTGCCAAGTGGCTTGAAATAATTTTTTTCTGGTTTAGAACATAATGCATCCATTAACACAGCCTGATATCACTTTGAAGGGATTTAAAATATCTCTCTTTTTTAAACAAATTTTGCTGTCTTGTTGACTTTAATAGCTTTAAAAATATGCTAAGGCATGGAGTGGCAAACTATGACCCAAATACCAAAGTGGTAAATAACTTTGAGAGAGATGACTAAGTCATCTTTGGTAGCCACTAAGTCTTCTCACTAGGTTCTTTCATCCTAGCCCTTCTCACAAGGTTCTCCTTCCTACTCCCCCACAATTCAGCCAGCCAAGTATTAGGAGCCCATCTCAGCTACATATTACCTCATCTTAACCAGAGCATTAAAAGCTAAGCTAAAGTCTTAGTAGATATAGGCTTATATTCACCTACTCCACCCCACCTACAACCACCCCACACTAACTCCCAGGTTTCTACATTTTTTAAGTGATTTTTGAGAACAGAAAAAAATTCAAAACCCAAAGCAATGACATTATTCTACCCACTACAAGTTCATATTTTACTTGGGATTGGGTTCTAAAAGCTAGTGTAAAATACGAAAATCAAACCTGGTCAAAATTAGCATTGGAAATCTGAAGAAGGTGCCTGTGACGGGCAGAATTCTAGATGGCCCTCTATTATTGCCAGCCTAGTTATTCAATCAAACACTAATCTAAGTACTTCTGTGAAGGGACTTTGCAGATGCAGTTAAAGCCCCAAGTGAGTTGGTTTTAAAATATTGAGATTAACTGGGTGGGCCTGACTCAAACAAGTGAGCCCTTTGAAAACAGAGCCTTTTTCTCAGGCTGACAGTAGAAGAGGATGTCATCGAGATCTAAAGTATCAGAGGGACTCGATGACCATTTCTAGCTTGAAGATGGAAGTGGCCATGTGCAAAGACTAGAGACTAGCCTCTAGATGCTGAGAGCAAACCCTGGCCACCAGCCAGGAAGGAAACATAAACCTTAGTCGTACAACCACAAGAAACTAAGTTTTTCCAACAACCCAAATAAGCCTAGATGGAGATTCTTTCCCAGAGTCTCCAGATAAGAGCTCAGCCTGACCTACACGTTGATTTCTGTCTTGTAAGGCTCTAAGCAGAGAATTCAGGAAAGCCAGTTCAAACTTCTGGCTTAACTAATTAAATAGGTATTGCATAAGTTGCAAAATCTGTGGTGATCTGTTATACAGAAAGAGAAAAGTAATACAATGCCACACTGGAAATTTTCTGGATCTATACTCTTCAACACAGTTGCATAAGGTATTTAGTTTAAATTAATTTTAATTAATATAAATTCCTCCATCAGACTTGCCACATTTCAAGTGCTCGATAGCCCCTTGTGTCTGCTAGCTAGCATACTGACCACTATAGACTAGAGAACTTTTCCATCACCATGACAAGTTCTATTGTACTGCTCTGGAAGATCCAAAAGAACTGGTTTTCCTGTAGCTTTGGCCCAGATGACTATTCCTCTGGTTGAGCAGCTTATTGTGTTGCATTTATGGATCATGTGGTAAGGGAAATTTGCATTTTTACTACTATGATCACATTCAGCCTTCAAGATGCTCACATTGGGAGAAGCAAAAGGGAACTAAGACTGATCAAGGAAAGTCAACTTCTGCCTTCTATTTCCTGCCCACTCCCAAATGCATAATCAATTTGTGAAATGGTGTGCAGAATCTGATTGTTTCCACCCTGTCTCTCTCAACTCCTATAGTTGGATTTGTTTTAGTTAAATGTGCATATGATGTGACTCCACATACCCTTCCTACACCCTCTTTGCAGAAGGCTAGCAATCCTATGTCTGTGCCAGCTGGGAGATGAGAACAAGCTGGGACTAACTTTGGAGTCTGACAAGCTTGGCCAGAGGATAGTCTGGCCATCTAAGACCAAATCCAGGAAAGTATGTCCCTGGCTAATGGTGCAGGGACAATTTAGGAGCCCAGACTAGGGAAGAGCACCCAGGCTTTAAGGTGATAGCAACTATAGATATCAACTAAAGTATATGGGCTAGGCCATATACTTTCCCAAAAGGTGGTAAAATTTTGATCAATGTCACATCAGGCATTTTTGTCATTTGCACATATTTCATTAACCTAAAAAAAATCAGATTATAAGCCTTTTAAAAAAAAACTTTTCAACAGATATTTTTATCAAATGGGTTGTGCTTAGTAATGTCCACAAGGCTATGGCAAGACCACAGGGTCAACCAAAATGTCCTAATAAAAACCTGGAAATCAAGGCAGGTGGGTGGTTCACGCCTGTAATCCCAGTGCCTTGGAGGGCTGAGATGGGAGGATCACTTGAGGCCTGGAGTTCAATGCCAGCCTGGGCAACAGAGCAAGACCCCATCTCTACAAAAGCATCTTAAAAATTAGCTGGGCATGGTAGTGCATGCCTGTAATTACAGCTACTTGGGAGGCTACAGCAGGAGGATTGCTTGAGCCCAGAAGGTTGAGGTTGCAGTGAGCTGCAATTACTCTACTGCACTCCAGCTTGGTTGACAGAGCAAGACCCTGTTTCTAAACACACACACACGAAATTAGATTTTTGTTTGAGCCCTGATAGAAAAGCAAAATATAGAAATTAGATAAAAGGTTCAAACCTAGACTCAACTCATTTCAAAGAGATGCGGGGAAGAACCAGTCTAGGACCCTGGGAAAATTAGAATGGAGAGCATTTCCTATCTACTACCAGATCTAGCACCTACTCGTCAATGACCTAAGCCAGGAAACACAAACATCATCATAGGCAATCAGGATAGAAACAAGCTAACACAGAAACAGTACATGTATGGACAGTGTTATGTTTTGAATATTTGTGAACCTCCAAAATTCATGTTGAAACTTAATTTTCAGTGTGGTGGTATCAACAGGCAGGTCCTTTGGGGAAGTGATTAAGTCATGAGGGTTCTGTACTGGTGAGTGGTATTAATGCCCTTATAAAAGAGGTATCAGAGACCTGCCTGGCTTTTCCATGCCTTCTGCCATGTGAGGTCATAGCCTTCATCCTCTCCAGAGGACACTGCAAAAAGACGCCATCTTGGAAAGAGAAAGCAAACCCTTCCCAGACACGGAATCTGCTGGTGCAGATTGACTCTGGACTTCCCAGCCTCCAGAATCATGAGAAATAAGTTTCTATTATTTATAAATTACCCAGTCTCAGGTGTTTTGTTATGGCAGCACAAATGGACTAAAACAGGTAGAGACAAGAAAGGAGACGCCACCCACTGCCCTGCATTTCTGACTTAGCTGCCCGGCATCCAAAGACGATCCCCACCCAGGAAAATTGATCGATGATACCCTTCCCTCTCCTCTG